>NC_000021.9:25485497-26115420 GCF_000001405.40 Homo sapiens
CAAGCAGCAGAGTTAAAAGACAACCCAAAGAATGGGAGAAAATATTTGCAAACCATTCAACTGGCAAGGAATTCATATTCAAGATACACAAGAAACTCAAACATCTTAACCATGACAAAAAAAAATTTTAATGGACAAATGATCTGAAAAGACATTACTCAGAAGAAGACATGCATACAAATGGTCAAAAAAAATACATGAAAAAATGCTCTAAACATCAGAGAAATGCAAATCAAAACCATAATGAGTTATCATCTCACCCCAACTAGGATGGCTATTATCAAAAAGACAAAAAATTACAAATAACTAGAATAGCTTTATTTTTTTAAAAAATCGATATGATGAAATAGCCAAAAAAAAGAAGAAGAAGAAAATAAGATAAAGAAGAGAAAATATCAACCACATGCACTTGGAGAATCTACAATGGTACAGAATTCAGGGACATCCCCTCAATGCCCTCGTTTTAATGTCTGTATATGACAGTTTCCCACTAAACTGCAAACTCTATTAAGAGCAGGGAGTCCTCTTCCTATCACAGTATGACCAATATAACTTAAACACAGTGGGAGCACATAGTAAGTGTTCAAAGGAGAGAGAGTAGGGAAGAAAGGAGAGAGGAGGGAGGGAGGAAGTGAATGTAGGTAATTATTTTGCCCTCCTTCTATATTGAAAGCAATCTATTCCTTTTGAGTAACAACCCCAATCTACCCTACAGCAAGAGATGGTCTTAGAGAACCACTTTAGAGGTGCATAAATATCTTTTTCATACCATAAATCTTATATCGATTTTAACCAACTTCAATACAGTTTCCTTCTCGTTACATTTCATATTTTCCCTCAGATAATCTTTATTTCCTTGAACATTTCTAAGGAAATTCTTCATATTATTTCTAAGATTGCTTTACTATATTGTAAAGTCTTCTCACTGAAGCATTGTAAGGAAAAGGTTAAAGAATGTTCACAAATTCTTCCAAGATGTGTAGACTCTTATTTGGAGGCTCTTGGACTTAACAGAAAAACTCAGTTTTCATTATCTCTTGAATGTCTGCTATTATGTATGGGGAATATGCATTTTAGAATTTGCAACCTAAAAGGCCGCTAAATTTTAAAATTCTTCTTTGAGACAAAAAATTACATCAATCATCTGAAATATAATTAGTACTGCTAAAATTGTTATTACTATCTACTCTCATTAGAGCAAAAAAAAAAAAAAACCCTTTCTGTTTGTAATTTTTTTTTCATGCCATTCTCCTGCCTCAGCCTCCCGAGTAGCTGGGACTACAGCTGCCTGCCACCACGCCCGGCTAATTTTTTGTGTTTTTAGTAGAGACAGGGTTTCACCGTGTTAGACAGGATGGTCTCAATCTCCTGATCTCGTGATCCGCCAGCCTCAACCTCCCAAAGTACTGGGATTACAGACATGAGCCACTGCGCCCGGCCTCTGTTTGTAATTTTAAATTTAGTAAATACCAAGAATAAACACCTTTAAATGTATTGACTTAATGCAATGTACAAATAAAGGTTAAAACCACTTGAAGAAAAAGAGGTGTGGAACTCAGCGAGACAATCTAATTGAAACAATCTAAAACTTTAATGTCAGTGTTTCACAGCTTGACTATGTAAATTCATAAATTTGTTTTTGATACAGTCCTGAATCAGCACAGTAAGATTTTGACTAACAACATGGACCAAGACTTATCTTGAAGCACATAAACCATTTTTGACACATATGTTCACAACAACAGCCTTCAGAAGAAAAGGGAACAGTGAAAGTTCTAAGAAACTGGGCAGGAATACTTCCTAACGTTCAGTGGTTTAGATGAGTTGCTAAATCCTAAGTTGCAAAAGTGTATGTAGTTCGCATTAAAAAAAAAAATTACTTATTCACTATGCAGACAAAAAGTCCCTTTGAACATGCTCTATTTGGGGGTAATTTTATGACTCAAAGAGTTTGCCACATTTCCCCAGGGATGCTTTAATCATTTCTCCCTTTTACCCTTGAAAGACCTCAAAAAATCCAGTTATGTGTCATGAATACACATATGTGCCAGATACATTCAGAACATAGATTTCCTGCTAAATAATTAAGAGTGGAAGAGCATGTCTTCGTGAGCTGAATGATAGCTTTCTCATATAGTTGACAATTCTCTTAAAACGCAATATTATTTCACAATAATTCCTAAATATTCATTAAGGGATCAGTGTCCCAAACCAAAGTATTACGGTTCTGAGAGATTTTCTCCATTGCACTGGTCAGCCAAAGGGCACTTTTGGGAGCAATGTCTGAGATCTAGAAAAGTTTTAGGGAAAAAAATTAGATAGATAGATAGATAGATAGATAGATAGATAGATAGATAGATAGATAATAGGTAGGTAGGTAGATAGATAGATAGATAGATAGATAGATAGATAGATAGATAGATAGATACTGAAAAATAACTAAACCCAAATCTTCACAACTAAGCTAAGCCAGAAATGTCTGGATTCAGACACAGTTATTATAATTCAAAAGCGTATTTACTGGAGAGTATAGGTAATTTCTGTGTGTGCTTAAACCAAAATTAGCTTAACAATAGCCTACCTAAATGGAGCAACAACCTTTTTCTTCTATACTTGCCCTTACTTCTTCTGATACTCTCTTCTCTCATTTTTCATACATCAAACACACGAACAAGTCTCTCCACTAGCAAATCATTCCATTATTTTATTAATTCTAATGTATTTTTAGTCTGGACACATAAATTCATATAAAATGAAATTCATCTACCTAGATCTTCATTCCCTGCACTTGCTGCTGCCTGTAACCTTTCCAATCTGAAATTTATTTCACTGAATGGAAAAGCTAGAAATAAAATGATAGAGAATAAGGTTTGCCTTCTTTCTCTCAACTACTATATTATGCTTACTTCTGTTAAGTAAAGGGGTTGCCTCTTCCATGAGGGATTATATTGCTTTTTCCAACTGAGGGTCTGAAAGTCATATTTAGCTATTACATTTTTCTAAGCCACCATTTCTTCTGGTCTCACATAATCCTTAAGGTTCATCTCCCTTATTCTGCTTCTCCAAAAGCATGGTCTCCTCTGTGTATATTCTGTTTATTTATCTACCTAAAATCTAAATATATCCAACAGCCTCTTAGATCCTCCTCCTTTCTTGTTGGTAATTTGTAGTTATTATTAAGGAGGATTCTTCTAATTCCTCTTGAACCATGTCATCTATGAGCTAGGATCCCTGACATGGAATCATACTATGTTTTTTTCTGTTATTTTTTAAATTTGCTTCATGAAAGACCAGAATGACATTTCTGAGTACCTGGAGTCTGCTCTCTCTTCATTGTTTCGATGTCCAAGAATAAGCTATTCATATACTGTTACCTCTACCTAGAATGTCCTTCCACCTCTTCTTTTTCTAGCCAACTCTCCATCATACCCCAAGAAGACCTACTGTGTAATCACTTTTTCTCATAGAATTACTTTCTCATATAAAAAGTGATTACACTGGAGCCTTCCTTCCAGTTCTCCATCTCTATTCTTGCAACACACTTTACATGTGCCTTTACTATAGCACTTAATACATTTCACTAAAGTTAATTAACTAGACTGTGAGTTCTTGAAATAATCTCTATTGGTCTGGAAGTCCCCAGAGCCTTATAAGCTATATTCATTCATCCATTTGTTTACTTATTTAATCATTCTTTTAACAATATTTTTCAAGAGCCCACTATATACCAGCACTCTTTGGGCCTCCAAAGATCATCAGTGAATGACAGAGCAAGATCCCTGCTCTCTCGAAGCTTTTAATTGTAGCAGAATAAGGCCTGACAATAAGCAAGAAACAAATAAATGAGCAAGACTGTTTCAGATGTAAATTGCAATCAATACAACATATAAGACAGGCCATGTATTAGTGTGATGGGAAGGGTACTAGAGATAGGGTGGTGAGACAAAGCCTCTATACATGGCAATATTTGAGCTGCAACTGAATGACATAAAAAACCAACATTAAGATCTGGACCCTGAGTCTATAGACCCTATAGCAGTTGGAACAAGCTTGGCATGACCAAGGAACAGAAAGAGGCTATGTGGATGGATCTTAGCAAGTAAGGAACAAAGAGTTGGAACTGATCAGATAAAGTCTTGAATGTCATAGTAAGGAGTTTGGATTGTATTCTACTGCAATTGCAAATCACTAGAGGGCCTTAAAAATAGTGATGCAATCTAGCTGATATTTAAAAACAAACTTGTTCTTCGGTTAATAGGGTTGAAAAAGGAAAAAAATTTGTTCCACATTTATTAAACGAATGAATAAATTATGCTCTCTTTATTTCTATATCATCAGCAAGTTCTTTGTGTTAATTTTAAAATCTGGAATTGCTGTGTCAGCATTGAGACAAGTTGGAGAAGGAAAGCTGCTACTCCTGATTTGCTGGCATTCCTCCTCCACGAGTCTGCACTCACTTCATGGTTTTGATATTCAAGTACAGCCTATTCATACACTATTCCCTCTGCAGAGAGGATCCTTTTTCTCCTTTTTCTGCCCAACTTTTGGTCATACCCCAAAGAGGTCTACTAAGTAATCTACCTCGTAAAGTAGACTACATCACCTAGTTGGTGGGTGATAGCTACTAGTGCATATTTATTGACTGAATAAAGCTAATATTTCACATCTTCTACACAAGAAGGATTTGGGATCTGATATGGTAGACTACATCACCTAGTTGGTGGATGACAGCCATTAGTGCATATTTATCAACTGAGTAGAGCTAACATAGCTCAAAACTTCTACACAAGAAGGATCTAGGATCTTTCTGCCCTTTCTTCTCTTCTCTCATACCCCTTCCTCCCTTTACCCCCTAAAGCAAGACAGCATTCTTAGCTGCAGATAAACTTTCCTTTGGTATAGATTGTGGCAAGAGAGTGGGCAGGTGAATTGAGATTCCCAGGGGAATCCTTGCCCCAATCTATACCAACGGAAAGTTTATCTAGCTGTCCTCGATCTAAGTCATAACCTTTAATCCAGCTTTTATGAGTGAAAAACAATATGATATTTTGGTCCCATCTCCCTGACTCGCATGTCTACACCAGAACTGGTTCTGAATTCAGAGCAAAGAAAAGGGGTTTCTGAAATCCCTGTAAGACACAATGTGATACGTTTGGAAGACACTAAATTGGAAGTTTGAGGGCCTGGTAAACTTGAGATCTAGTTGCAACTCTATTGTTAACTAGCTGTAAAACTTTAGGGCAGTCACTCAAAATCAATAACTAACATGTATTACATATCAGGCACTTGTTCAGCACTATCTAGATTATTTCATTTAACCTTCAAAACAATTCTGATTTAGATACAATTATTACCTCAATTTGCAAAAGAAAAACAGGCCAAAGAGAGTCAGTCTGAGCACCAGGATTTAAACCTAGAGAGCCTGACTCAAGAGCCTGACTCATCTTTCACCAGTTTTCTATTTTACTCATCTATAAAACATACAGGTTGGACAGACATCTTCCAACACTGAATTTCCCTGACATTTACTGCCATTACCTTTTCTGTCTTTTCAAAGATGAAATGCTCATCTTCAGTGCTCTGATTTTGACAAAATTATCTCCATTTCTCTGTTATTCCTCTGTGGAAGATGAAGCACCTCCTCTACACTATTTACTTTTGTGAATCATTCATGGATAGCACACTGTTTAGCTTGATGATTATCATTGAGTGTTTGCCACCCTCTTAAAATGAATGTAAAGTTAATTTAATCCACAAATCTGAGCTACAATATTTTCCTCAATATTCATCACTTCAAATTCGTCTCTTGTCAGAAACTGATGACTCTTAAATCAAATCCTACATTTTTGAAATACTGAAGCTTCAACTATTCTCTCTCCAGCTCCTCTTTCTCTTCCAAGTACAACCTTCAAGTAGAAGAATCTATTAACACCCTACATTTAGTTTCCCACCGCAGACTTCAGCGTGACCAGATGCACATTGCACTTTACTTCCTGTTACTGTCATTTGTTTTCAGGTGAGATACATGCTGACTTTGTCCAACTATAATTATTTGGAACCCTAGCCAATACTCCTAACCAATTGTTTTGTTCAATATTATTCAAGTTCTTCGCTCAACTTTTTGTTATATGACGAAGTGGGTTGATGAGTTTTAGCAGACTCTTCATCCCAGTTTAGACATGACCATGAAAAATCAGCACATCTCATGAATGGCCACCTTGAGTTGGCTATGGGCCATCCATAACCCTCACCTTCAGAGCCGCCATCACAATTCTTGACCTCCTGGAAACTGTAGCATACTCCTCTTCCAGTCCAATATCCATTGGTCCTTCTTTTTATTTGTGAGTTAGAAAGTGTACCTTATTTTTTGAAGGTACAGATTCACACACATGAGATGAACCAGGGAACTGATGGATGGTGCTACTGAGTTCTGATTGGTTTTTTAATCTAATAATAACTTTCTTTAACTGACAAGTCATAGTTGTATACATTTACGGGGTATAATGTAATGTTTTGATATGTGTATAGCATGTGGAATAATTAACTCAAGCTAATTACCATATCCATCAACTTCACCTACGTATCATTTTTCATGATGAGATATTTGAAACTTATGCTCTCATTTTCTAATATGTAAGACATTCTTATTGACTTATTGACAGCTTGGTGTGCCACAAATTTCAAAATCATGTTTTCTTTTGTTTTGCAATATTTTCTCAATCGACATTAATTTTTAATACACTAATAACAGGATCTTCTTGGTTTTTATTTCCTTCTGACTAAACCATCATGCTGAATTTTCTCTAACGTACATAATGGTCAGTAAAAATAGCTAATACATGTTTACCAAAGGCATGTACTATAACATAGCACTACTCATAAGTGCTCCATACTGGAAACTACTCAAATGCCCGTCAACAGTGCAACTGTATAAGTAGATTGTGGTATATTCACACAATGTAATATAATAAGAATGAGCAAGCTTAAGTACATGCAACAATAAGGATGAATCTCACAGACATTGAGACAATAAGGATGACTCTCACAGACTTTGAGACATTGGAGTGAAGGAGGCCTGACACAAAAGAATAAAACTCCCTGCTTCCATTTCTATAAAAGATAAAACAAGAGGCTGGACGCGGTGGCTCACACCTGTAATCCCAGCAGTTTGGGAGGCCAAGGCGGGTGGATCACCTGAGGTCAGGAGTTCAAGACCAGCCTGACCAACATGGAGAAACCCTGTCTCTACTAAAAATACAAAATTAGTCAGGCATGGTGGTGCATGCCTGTAATCCCAGCTACTTGGGAGGCTGAGGCAGGAGAATCACTTGAACCCAGTAGGCTGAGATTGCAGTGAGCCAAGATTGTGCCATTGCACTCCAGCCTGGGCAAAAAGAGTGAAACTCTGTGCCCCACCACCTCCCCCCGCAAAAAAAGTGAAGGCAAATCAATGCTGTTGGGAGTCAGGATGGTGGTTACTCCTGAGGTTTTGGGATAGTGCCCAGAAGGAACAAAAGTGGTCTCTAGGTACTGGACATGTTCTGTTCTTCATCTGAATGCCAATTACATGACAGTAATCAGTTTGCAAAAACTCAGTGAATTCTACACTTTAGGAAATGTACATTTTCTGTATACATTTTAGGCTTTAATTTTAAAAGTTTAATAAACTAAATAAAAACAAAATAAGACAAAAGTTCCCATCATCACTAATCATCAGAGAAATGCAAATCAAAACCACAATGAGATACCATCTCACACCAGTCAGAATGGCTATTATTAAAAAGTCAAGGGCCAGGTGCAGTGGCTCAGGCCTGTAATCCCAGCACTTTGGGAGGCCGAGAAGGGCAGATCACCTGAGGTCAGGAGTTCGAGACCAGCCTGACCAACATGGAGAAACCCTGACTCTACTAAAAATACAAAATTAGCCGGGTGTGGTGGTGCATACCTGTAATACCAGCTACTTGGGAGGCTGAGGCAGAAGAACTACTTGAACCCGGGAGGTGGAGGTTGCGGTGAGCCGAAATCGCATCATTGCACTCCAGCCTGGGCAACAAGAGTGAAACTCCGTCTGAAAAAAAAAAAAAAAAGTCAAAAAACAACAGATGTTGGCGAGGCTGTGGAGAAAAGGGAATGCTTATATACTGTTTGTGGGAATGTAAGTTAGTTCAGCCACTGTAGAAAGCTGTTTGGAGATTTTTCAAATAACTTAAAACAGAACCACCATTCAAGCCAAAAATCCTATTACTGGGTATATATCCAATGGAAAACATCATTCTTCCAAAAAGACACATGCATTCATATGTTCATCACAGCACAGCTCACAATAACAAAGACATGGAATCAAATTAGGTGCCCACCAACGGTGGCTTGGATGAAGAAAATGTGGTACATATACACCATGGAATACTATGCACCCATAAAAAAGAAAAATAATGTCCTTTGCAGCAACACAGATGCAGCTAGAGGCCATTATCCTAAGCAAATTAACACAGGAACAAAAAGCCAAATACCACATGTTCTCACTTGTAAGTGGGAGCCGAACTTTGGGCACTCATGGACATAAAGATGGTAACAATAGACACCAGGAATTACATGATGTGGGAGGGAGGGAAGAAAAAATTGAAAATCTGTTGAGTACTATTCTCAGTACCTCAGTGATGGGATCATTTATACCCCAAACCTCAGCATCATACAATATACTCAGGTAACAAACTAATAGTTAACCTTTATTAAGTACTTGCTTTTTACCAGGTGGTATTTATCTATGTAATTTTTATGTGCTAACTCATTTAATCTACAGTAATGGAACTCAGAATTCCATTGTCTGTCCATCAGTACAGACAATCTGATGCTGTTCTCTGGAGCAGAGTATTGGTTTAAATGTTGGCTCAGTTCATTTCTAGGTATTTTGTTTTATTTCTTCTGGGTTTTGTTCTTCTGTTTTCACTTTGTTATTTCTCAGTTTACTTTTTATAAAATGAAGGCGATAATAGTAGCTACTTCATAGGTTAGTGGCAAGGATTAAACACGAAAATACTTATAAAGTACTTACCATAATGCCTAAAACATAGTAAGTGCTCAATAAATCTTTACTAAATTATAGTTTCTGTCTTATCTTGCCTACAAATAGGCATCTTTTGTAAACAGAAGCATTGCAAAATAGTCCACGAGCTCTTTCACATCCATATATTAGAAACTAAATCAAAGAGAGCAGCATATCATGTTCCACAAAGGAATGAATGAATTAATTTTGCACTAGAGAAGAATATCATCCTAACAAGTGAAGATGGTGATTAGATAATGGTAAGAATGCATACAGACAAATTTAAAACAACCAAAATATACATCTTGGTTATCAGCATAAGGCTTTCTGGAAAAAAAAAAATCAAGAGAAAGGGATAAGTGCAATGATGCTCCTCTCTGAATCCTGACATTTGTGACAGCTGTGTATTTTCACATGCATCACAGAAGTATGTGTGTAGTGTTGACTGCTGACTTAGAGGCAGAACGCCTAGATGTAAATCATGGCTACTTATAGCACCTGGGAAGATCACTTCCTCCTTCCTCAGTTTTCTCACTGGCATGATAAGGATGATTTTAATAGTACCCACCTTGTAATTGAAGGTTTTAAGCAGTTAATATTTGTAAATGACTTTGAATGCTTAGCATATAGAAAGCATTAATAGCTAGCAATAAAATATAATAAGTTAAATATCCAGCCGGGCATGGTGGCTCATGCCTGTAGTCCCAGCACTTTGGGAGGCTGAGGTGGGTGCATCACCTGAGGTCAGGAGTTCGAGACCAGACTGACCAATATGGTGAAACCCTTTCTCTACTAAAAATACAAAAGTTAGCTGGGAGTGGTGGCACGCTCCTGTAGTCCCAGCTACTCAGGAGGCTGAGGCAGAAGAATCGCTTGAACCCAGGAGGCAGAGGTTGCAGTGAGCCGAGATCGCACCAATGCACTCCAGCCTGAGTGACAGAGCGAGACTCCTTCTCAAAAAAAAAAAAAAAAAAAAAAAAAAAAAAAAAAAATCCAAGGTTTTCTCTGGACAAAATTATCAATTCAAAATTCTGCTCAATTTTTCCTCAATTTTCTTCAAAGTACATCCACCTCTTTCTCTCCAGGACTCAAATGCACACAACCTAGCCCCTGGTAATTCAAAGCCCTCCTTGAAAAATACTCCATCTAGACCAAGCTTCTCCCCGTCATAGATCCTCTCCTTTGAATCTTTACAAAATTTACTTGTGCTATGTTTCATTTCACTTAATGTAAAAAAAATGTAATCCTTTCTAATAGGTAATAATGAGTGAACTTTTTCAGATAACATTTCTGATTTTAACAGAGCCTTCTGAATTCTGCTTTAAGCCTAGTGAAGTGACACAGTGGTATAAACTTCCAGCACTATATTTGCCAACTGAGAGATGTTTTCAATCAGAAAAATATTGTCATTCTCAATCACAGCAATTATATGACTGTCCACTCTACTCTGAATATTTAGGAGCTGTAAATTGCAAAACAGAAAATAATTCTCTTTTCTACTCTTTCATCTCCAAATAAAGGGAAAAAATGGAGAACTAAAAGAAGGAATATGTTTTGATTCTTCTGTTGGATTTTAATTTCCCCTGGGAATGGTCAGGAAGCTGCTATGTGCAAGCCATCCTCCTCTATTTTGAAAAACTCTGTATTTTCCAATACTCTATAAGTCAATGAGATAGTTCCCTCCCCAACCCCCACCTTGAATTTCCCTTATTGACTCCAGGGGCAACCACATGGTACACATGCATATATGTACACAAGTGTGCACACTCCAATGAACACATATGCATAGGCTGCATTGCCATCCCTATGCTAGCATATAGCATATTTCCTCAAATTAAAAAAAAAAAAACTAGTTCTGATGCCCCAAAATGCAGAATCTGAACCTCAGTGGTAGCCTTGGAATTACAAAAAAAAGAAATTAATTAAAAACAGAGACCAGTCTCAGTTACAGAATCTCAAGTTTTATTGATAACACAATGTATAGGCATCACAGAAGTAAATAAAGTGGGCCGTTTCTGGTGACTCATGCCTATAATTCCAGAATTTTGGGAGGCCAAGGCAAGAGAATTGCTTGAGGCCAGAAGTTCAAGACCAACTTGGGAAACATAGTGAGATCCTGTCTCTACAAAAAAAAAAAAAATTAAAAATTAGCCAGGCTGGTGGCTCACCTGTAGTCCCAGCTACTCAGGAGGCTAAGGCAGGAAGATTGCTTGAGCCCAAGAGGTCAAGGCTGCAGTGAACTGTGATTGTACCACTGCACTGCAGCCTAGGTGACAGAGTGAGACCCTGTTTCAAAAAAAAAAAAAAATGTAAGTAAAGTAATATCCCAAGCTCTGTTTAGAAGACCAGCTACCCCTGTAGTGGTATGCTGTTGCAACCAACTGAATAACTCACTTAATCTGCACTTGTACTTTAGTGCAAAATGGTAGTGGGAGTGTAATCAGTAGAGAGAAGTGAGTCTTTGACTGTAGGAAATTATTGAGTGGTGGTTAACCCCAAAGGTCCAAACCCCTGACCTTCTCCCTCCAAAGGCATCTGGCCTGCTGAACATTGACAATGGCATAGACCCATTAGGGTTTAACACCCTCCCACTGGATCAGGGTGTTCCAGGCATTTTCTGGCACTGGATATTCCCCCAAAACAGCAGCATCAATACATCCAGATAGAACCAATGCCAACTTTTCCTAGAACACACATACCAGTCATGGGACGGGGAAGGAATGTAAATTCTTGCCATCATAAAATCACAAAAAGATGACTGGGAAACATTCTAAAGATTGGTTTCAAGCTGTATCTGATGATGCAAACCCGCACTAATCAATGACTCAGAAAGTCTCAGATACAAGTGATTGCTCATGCACAAAAAAGCATTTCCAAGGGAGCTGAATCCATTGAGACTGAAGAATAGATCAGGATATCCAATATAGATCTTTCAGCTGCCTTTGATCTCTGGGCAGAAAGGACTGTTTAACACACTTTTTAAGCTTCTTCAATATTTGGGAATTCTTATGGATAACCTATACGTGGGTACCCTCTAGTCACTAGATTCTTCAATTCCCCAGTGTGGCCAGGTGGGCTCATTAGACAAGAGCCAAATGTTATCAGTCTCACATAGCACAGTTCAACGCCTCCACACTGACCAGGCGGTCTGTCTTGCTCAGCCTCCTAATTCCTCCTGGCAGAAGTGCAGAAGTTCTCCTTGGCCCCACTCACCACATTTACACACAAACCTTGGTGCCTTCCACACATTTGCTCTTCAATCCAACCGAAAACAGTCTCACTCTTTCGTGGATGTCTGCAACGTGAAGAGAAGTACAGGATAGGACTCTGGCTGCTGAACCTGTGCAGAAAAGAAAAAATCAAGTTGAATTTCTGCACACCCACAGCTCAAGGCAGTACTGCCCATGATCTGGACAAGAGGTCCCCCGTTCTGCACCCTGTGCTCACTCTAGCCCCCTTCCTGCCACACGCCACACCAGAAAGCAAGAAGCTTATGGAGCCAAACTTGTCATGTGGAAGCTGTGCCTCCTTTTGTAGACCCTGCACTGGGAATCTGGACCCTGGATTTTCCTGCCCAGACATCCTTGAACCCACTTCCAAGGCTGGAATGGAACGTTTCACCAGGTGTGCCTCCTAAAAGTGGATGGCACTGGTCATTTGCTCATCCCAGGCCAGAGGAGTGGCTAAGGAGCTGCTGTATTTAAGGACTATGGACCCAGCTCTGGAGTATGACCTGGAGTGTCCATACACATAGAGGGAGATCTCTCTCAGTACCAGAGGAGCCTAGTGGTGGGGAGAAAAGGGGAGCAGGCAGGGTCCAGGCTCAGTTTTCCCAAAGCTGCCACATTTCATCAAAGAACTCTGAGAAGCTTGACAGTCAAAAATTTGCACATAGCCTCCCAGGTCAACATAAAGGTATATTTGTCAAGATAAGAGAACAGAACAGATTTTATTTAACAGATTACTAGTTTGAGTTATAATTTTAAAATATTTAAATATATGGTTTGTGGGCTTCAACATGTACTCTTGTTCTAAAGACAATATTGGGCCAGAACTGCTGAAATGTATTTTTGCTTAATGTTGTTTTCTTCAGAAACCAACTTCTGCAGGGGATCTATTTCTAAGAAGTCTCAAGTTCACAATAAAACTCTTTAAGCCTAGGGCCAACAACATTGCTCTTCAAAATAGCATGATGGACACTTCTCAAAAGAAGACACATATGCAGTCAACAAACATATGAAGAAAAGCTCAATATCACTGATCATTAGAGAAATGCAAATCAAAACCACAATGAGATACCATCTCACACCAATCAGAATGGCTATCATTAAAAGTCAAAAACAACAGATGCTGGCGAGGTTGTGGAGAAAAAATGAATGCTTTTACACTGTTGGTGGGAGTGTAAATTAGTTCAACCATTGTGGAAGACAGTGTGGCAATTCCTCAAAGACCTAGAGAGAGAAATACCATGTGACCCAACAATCCCATTACTGGATATATACCCAAAGGAATATAAATCATTCATATCAAGACTAGTGCACATGTATGTTCACTGCAGCGCTATTCACAATAGCAAAGACATGGAATCAACCTAAATGTCAATCAGTGATAGACTAGATAAAGAAAACGTGGTACATATACGCCATGGAATACTATGCAGCCATAAAAAGGAATGACATCATGTCCTTTGCAGGAACATTGATGGAGCTGGAGGCCATTATCCTTAGCAAATTAATGCAGGAATAGAAAACCAAATACTGCATGTTCTCACTTATAAGTGGGAGCTAAATAATGAGAACAAATGGACACGTGGAAGGGAACAACACACACTGGGGCCTGTCAGAAGGTGGGGGGGTGAGAGGAGGGAGGGCATCAAGGAGAATAGCTAATGGGTGCTGGGCTTAATACCTAGGGGATGGAATGATCTGTGCAGCAAACCACCATGGCACACATTTACCTATGTAACAAACCTGCACATCCTGCACATGTACCCCTGAACTTAAATTTTTAAAAAATAAAATAAAAATATAAAAGTAACAGGATTAAAAAAAATAGCATGACGCCCAATAAGCACCATTTCCATCAATCCTGATACGTGATGTGCCTCAGGCAATCTCCAGTACTCAATCCTGAATCGGCCACATTCTCTGCTAACCCAACCCTTGTGTCACATTCTAAGACTCCACTGATATCAAATGCAATTGAATAAAATAAATTCCCATTGTGCTGTGCATCACAGAAACATAGATTGACAGGAATAAAATGAATAATCATGTCCACTTTCCACTTCTGCCTCCTCCCATTGAGGAGCATTATGCTATTTAAAATCCTAAGGAAGTCCCAGTTTATTATGAAGCTCAAGGTAACAAGTAAGAAAGAAATACTAAAAAGGCTAGCTGAGTGGATTTACACTAGAAAGAGCAGAGATATGCTAGAGACATGAAATGATGAATTGGAAAGGAAGCAGGGGAATATGAGAAAAACAACTTGAGAGACAGAATTTGGGGATGGGGTCTGGGCAGAGTTGGGAGTGAGAGAGGAGGGAGATTTGGGAGCAGCTGCCATGTGTATGAACTATTGAGAAAGACATGCCGTAGTGGATTAAAGATGGCCATAAACATTGCTACTACATCTACCAAGAGGGAGAGTGTAAGTCCATTCCTGCTGCTATAACAAAGTACTTTAGACTGAGTATTTATACACAACAGAAATTTATTTCTCACAGTTCTAGAAACTGGAAAGTCCAAGATCAAGATGCTGGCAGACTGAATGTTTGGCAAAGGCCCATTCCTTATAGACAGTGTCTTCTTTCATGGGAAGGAAGGGACAAATGCTGTGTCCTTACATGAGGGAAGGTGGAAAAAAGGGAACATGGCTTTTCCTTCAACCTCTTTTATAAGAGAACTAACCCCACAAAGTGCCACCTTCATAACGATCATTTTCCAGAAGGGCCTACCTCTTAATATTGTCACATTGGGTCTCAGATTCCCACACGAATTTTGGAGGGACACATTCAGACCATAGCAGAGAGTATCCCTCAACTCCTTTAACTCTGAGATAGCTTGCATATTTGCTTTGGCCAATAGAACGTGAGGGAAGTGATGTTATGTAACTTCTGAAAGTGGTCCTAAAGAGATCTGAAGGTGCCTTTTTCATGTACTTGGAGGACTCCCTCTTAGAACTGAGCTCCCATGCTGTGAGAAGCCCAAGCCTCGTTGAGTAGCCATAGTAAGGAAAACTGAGACATTCTGATGGACAATCTCAGTTGTGCTCCTGGCTGCCAACTGCCAACCATGGGAATGAGCCATCTTGGGTGTTCCAGCCCAAATGAGCCTCCAAAAGACTGAGCCCCAGCCAACTGCACAAGAACTGAAATCACCCAATTGATCTCATCAACCCATAGAATTGCACTAGATAATAGCCAGTGATTGATATTTTCAGTCACTGATTTGAGGGTGGTTTGCTACACAGCAATAGATAATGAAAAGATGGGGAAAGAGGATTTTAAGACATTTCACTGGGCATTATGGATATATTCTCTTTATTGTGTGTTCTCAAGAGATTATAAGAAAATTAATTTCCTTTTCAATTATTTCTGCACATCAGCTTAGCGTTGAGATGAAGTGGATAAAGACACATAGGTTTCTTATGGAATATACGTGTAATGCCAACCAGAAGTTCTGAAATAATTAGCACAGAAATCATGCTTTTCATACACATGCAGTAAAATCTAGATTTTCATGCTAACATTCAAAAGAATTTTTTTAAAAATACAGCAAATTTAAAAAGAAAATATACCTTGGAGAAAAATCTCCAATGACTCATAAAATTTGAAATAACTAAAAATTGTCAAAATTCCGTGGCTAGCTCCATATTTCTCTCCAAAAACCACTACCCACCAACCCCCTTTAACTGTAAACCATGTAGAAACTAAGGATCTCCAAATGGTGTACTATCCTTAACAGAACACCCAGGTTCAGCATCTAGACCTACTATAAATATCTGTTAACAAAACCTGGGCTCCTCAGCATGTCAGTCTCTCAAAGAACCACATGTTAACATATTTGAGAGAGGTTTAAAGCACTCAGACAGCCATCCCATTCTAGTTGAGGTGACCATCGTACACTGTGGGACTCCTTCCTCTCTAACCAATCATTTTGGCTTGGAAACACCCACAGCTGCTGTGAGTCCGTTCTCTTTAACAACAATATGCAATGCTGCCAAGTTTGGATTGAGTGGGGTTGTTACTTTCTATATGCAATTCAGATCTCTGGCATATTTGCATCCTAGACTATCCCACCTACATGGTTTAAAGATATTTAACTTTAGTCATAGCAGAGCCAGATAAGCATTTAGCCACTGTATTAGTTCATTTTCATGAACACTGTATTAGTTCATTTTCATGCTGCCAATAAAGACATACCCAAGACTGGGTAATTTATAAAGGAAAGAGGTTTAATTGATTCACAGTTCCTCATGGCTGAAGAGTCCTCAGGAAACTTACATCATGGCAGAAAGGGAAGGAAACATATCCTTCTTTACATGGCAACAGAAAGGAGAAGTGCAGAGTGAAGCTGGGGAAGCCCTTTATAAAACCATCAGATCTTGTGAGAACTCACTATCATGAGAACAGCATGGAGATTTCAGTTGGAACACAGCCAAACCACATCCTTCCACCCCTGGCCCATCCCAAATCTCACGTCCTCACATTTCAAAACCAATCATGCCTTCCCAATAGTCCCCAAAGTCTTAACTCATTTCAGCATTAACTCAAAAGACCACAGTCCAATGTCTCATCTAAAAAAATGAAAAGACATACCAGAGACTGGGTAAGACTAAGTAACTTATAAAGGAAAGAGGTTTAATTGACTCACAGTTCCACATCACTGAGGAGGCCTCACAATCATGGTGGAAGGTAATGAGTGAGCAAAGCCACACCTTACATGGCAGCAGGCAATGGAGCTTGTGCAGGGGAACTCCCATTTATAAAACCATCAGATCTAGTGAGAATTACTCACTACCATGAGAACAGTATATGGGAAACATCCCCATGATTCAATTGTCTCCACCTGGCCCCCACCCTTGACACATGGGAATTATTACAATTTAAGGTGAGATTTGGGTGGGGACATAGCCAAACAATATCACACATCTTCTTTCAAGCAGAAATTGTGGGTTTGAGGCTGAATCAATGTATTTGTCCACCCATCAGATGAACTACTTGGTGGTATTATAGAAAACCTAGTCTCTCTTCTCCATGAGCAGAATGGCTGCATCTCCAACTCCAGAGGTTCTAGATCCTGACCCAAACTTCATGGTCCACAGGAATCAACTGGAGTTTAGAAGATCCAGACACTGCCTCATATACTGATTTCTGCAAAAATGAACCAATCATTTCCTCAGTCACCTCCAGGAAAGCACCATCAATAACTGGATCGTATGTAATCCAACCACAAACTGAACTATCTCTTTGAATGGTAGAAACACCTCAATGCATAATGTAGGCTTTAACTAGAACCTTAGACACGGTATCAGAATAAGGCTACTAACTTGGTTCCTCCTCAAATCAATTTTATTTAAATATTTGTTCAACATTCCCTTAGCAGGAATATGATGATATTAAATTTCCATTCTCAAAAATTATATAAAACATATATATATAGTGTGTTTTATTTAAATGAGAAAATTTATTTAAAACATATATGAAACCATTTGCTATGTAAATAAAGTAAACCACATGTTCCTGGTAAACTGCACTACAGTGTGCCTTAATTGGGCGACATGTATAAAGCCATCATTCATATTAGAGTTTCAATCAAGGAATTAAGTCCAACAACTTCAATAACTCAAGTTTGTCACCTGCTGTATCAGTTAGGATTGCATTTGATTGAGTGGCTTAATTATACTATACTGGCTTTTTTAAAATTACAAAGAGACTATGTACAGAGTGGTTTAAATTATTAAAGTATTGTGGTTAATCCCAGTCTCCCCACTGATTTGTACTAAATCTCTGCCCTGCTCTGTTTCCCAAGAGGCTGACCTTCATGGGCAGCCATACTCAAGATCTTCTGCCCTCTGGCTTAGGTGATGAAATGGTTAGGCTTTGTGTCCCTACCCAAATCTCATCATGAATTGTAATCCCCAGGTATTCAGGGAGAGACCTGGTGGGAAATGATGGGATTATGGGGGTGGTTTCCCCCATGCTGTTCTCATGATAGTCAGTAAATTCTCATGAGATATGGATGGCTATAGTGTTTGGCAAGTTCCTCCTTCGCTCACTGTTCTCTCTCCTGCCACCCTGTGAAGAAGGTCCTTGCTTTCCCTTTGCCTTCAGCCATAATTGTAAGTTTCCTGAGGCCTCCCCAGCCATGTGGAACTGTGAGTCAATTAAACCTCCTTCCTTTATAAATTACCCAGTCTCATGTAGTATCTTATAGCAGTGTAAGAATGGGCTAATAGAGGTGGGAAGAGAAAGGATCACATATTGATCTCCCATAGTGTCTTCCCCACCACTCCCATGCCTCCTGCCCTTATTGGCACAGCTGTAATTCTGGCAATTACTTTCTTCTATAGCCACAAGTTTTATGAGGCAGCTCCTCTTCTCTGACTCAAGTTCTTGCTGGCTCCAGTGAACACTGTTTCCTTCCTTAATCCTTCTCACTTCCCAGCATTTCTAGTCCTTGGGTGTTGTATCATCTCTTATTAATTCCTATAATGGTTAATTTTATGCATATATTTGGTTGCGCCATGGGATGCCCAGGTATTTGGTCAAACTTTATTACAGGTTTTCTGTGAAGGTGTTTCTGGATGAGATTAATGTTTAAATCAGTAAACTGTGTAAAGTGGATGATCCTCCATAATGTGGGTGGCTCTCATCCAATCATTTGAAGTCCTGCACAGAACAAAAGACTGACCCTTCCCAAGGAACAGAGAATTCTCCTTCCTGACAGCCTTCAAACTGAAACATCAGCCTTTTGTGGCTCTACGGTAGCCATCCAGCCTTTGGACTGGAACTAGGACATTGGCTCTGCAAACTTTGGACTTGCCAGCTTCCACAATCGTGTGAGCAATTCCTTATAATAAACCTCTTTTTAAAAATCTTCTATTGGTTCCATTTCTCTGGAGAACCCTGAAATATAGTTCCCTTATTCTTGTTACTATCTCTATAAATAGTCTCTTCATTGAATTATTTTTTGAAGTGTTTTGGTCCTTCACCTGTGTCTGCCAGAACACTACATGACACATAAGGTTTTTCTTTCGTCTTCACAATGTTCAAAGGTAGGCAATCAGGTTCAATGCAGAAGTCCACAGTGTTGCTCCTTCTGTCTCCCTATTTTGCCATCCTTGGCAAGTGACTTTCATTAACATACTTCCAGGATACTCCATGTTCTAGAGGAATAAAATGTGAAGGGACTGAGAGCTTTCTCTTACAAGGTGTTACTCAGAAATGTAATTTTATGCCAGCACCTTGGGTGGCTGAGGTGGGAGGATCACTTGAGCTCAGAAGTGCAAGACCAGCCTGGGCAACACAGTGAGACCCTTCTCTACTAAAAAAAAAAAAAATCAGCTGGGTGCGGTGGCATGCACCTGCAGTCCCAGGTACTCAGGAGGCTAAGGCAGGAAGGTCATTTGAGCCCAGGAGATTGAGGCTGCAGTGACTTATAATAGCACTACTGCACTTCAGCCTGGACAACAGAGTGAGACCCTGTCTCTAAAAACAGCAACAACAACAAAATGTAATTTTAACCACTGCCGCCTTACCCCCAATATACTTTAGCCCATACTTTACTGTCCAAAATCTTGCCCATGGGCACTCCTACCTGCAAGGGAGCTGGAGATATTGAGCGTTTTGTTTTCTAGTCTTAAGATAGAGAAAGGCAAGGAATGAAGGAGCTAGTCAGGGGGTCAGAAGGCTCACCCTCAACACCTGCCACATTTGCTCTTCTTGAACCTCATATCCATTTTCCTCCTATGCCACCACTGCTCTCATATGTCTTTTAACACATTTTCTTAAAAGGGAGAAAAAAGCCTTTTCCCCTGACCCAATTGCAAAATTATTTTCCTTTCTGCCATCATCCTTGACTTCTGATTCTGCATCACAAAAGCCAAAACACAAATTCTTCTGTCACAGCAGCCCCCTTCAAAGGATGCAGAGAGAACATGATGGACCAGAGAAACCAGAATCTTCTTAGCAGGTAGAAGGAAATGAAAGTCTAGGAACACACAGACATTAATACTTTGCATGCCATTTTATCTGGTTTCAGAATTTTGGCTGCTGACAACCGCCAGCTCCAGACAACTATCAAGTGTCTGGTCTTAGAGCTGGTGACACCACCTGTAGTTACATTATGTAATTTGCACTTACACATCACCAAAATTCTAAACAGAAATTAAAAAATACATAATATATGTACATTTATATAATTTTTTATCTCAAAATTTCTAACATCATATGGTCACACACGGCTGCCTCACCCCCCTGAGCATCATATTCATGTTCCAGATAGGCTTTGTTAAATAGAGGAAGCTCTCCCCCAGTTCCCGGGAAGAGACACAAATTTATACATTACCAATTATTACATACTACTAACTGCTTAGGGTGTGGTCTGAAGACATCTGAGTTAACTGGCACCAAAATTCCAACAGCAATTCAATGACCCTATAATCAGCTCTCTAGGCAGTTGCTTCCTAGCACTTAAGGAGTAAAAGACTATCGAAGAACGACAACAACAACAAAATCAGTATTCAGAGAGAAATGTAAGACAACCAGGGGAGAAAGATAGACCTTCACTGTTGAATCATCTCTAACTTGTGATACACTTCCCAGACATCTTAGCCTTCCTTCAGTATTTCCCTCCTAGGAGCAGCCTCAATACTTAGATACTAAGATGGACAGTTCAGTGACACTGACCTGAAATATTCTGAGGTCAGCACTGAAAAAAGACTTCCTCTATTTTCAAAGATCATTGCATTGCTTTCAATATAATGACCTAAAAGATATTTGGAAATTAGTTTAGAGGATCAGAAGCCCTTTAGAAAAGGTGATGCTCTATTTTGTAAGTAAATATATTTTGATCTTCCCATTATAAATCTTTATATCACGTTGTCTTAGTGTTTCTTAGAATGGTTGTTCTATCGAATACCAGAACATATCAAATAAGCATTCAACCTAAATAAATACTTTTGGATCATTTCTGTCAGTATTTTACATTTTCAGTCATACTTCATAAGCCTAATCACAACCTTTGAGTTCAAATAATAATATTATGAATCAATTTAACATAATGCTTAATACTTATTAAATTTAATAAACAATTGTTAACATTGTAAGCCAGATAACTTCACTTTATAAACAGGAAAGAAGCCATGCTATTGGAATCCATACATATTCC
Organism: Homo sapiens; assembly: GCF_000001405.40. NCBI lineage: Eukaryota > Metazoa > Chordata > Mammalia > Primates > Hominidae > Homo > Homo sapiens. The sequence goes on from NC_000021.9 coordinate 25,506,933, forward strand.
TTCAAATCTGTACCTCAATTTATTGTTTTTATGCCTACACACTTCAATCGTTACTAAAAACCAGCTGCTTTCCGTGTATATACCATGCCGCTCCTCCTTAAATCAATTGCAGCTTCTCTTGATTAACCAATGGTAGAATGATTCACTATGTCAATAAATATTCTGAATCATAGAACAATGTAGAGGACGTGGCAGACAGCTGCTGAACATATTTAAACCTCATATTTCAGTTTAAAAAGGCACGTATCCTAAAGTGCATGTCAGTCTCTGGATAGCAAAATTACAGCGATGTAGTTTTCCTCACTTGAAATTTACATTTTAATGAAAGCACTTTCATGTATTAATAGGTAAATCTTTTCAGGCCACTGCCAAGACTCATTGCTTTGCAATCTCATACTGTTTTAGAGATCCTAGTCCACTACATTAAAAATGTGCTTATAAATGTTAAGCCTCCATAGTATATTTTAAAGGATAGGGAAGTATTTTCTCTTTAATAGAACTAGTTTCAACATTGATACATCATTTTTAATTTACAGGAGAAAAGGTATTATCAGAGAGCTTTCTCTCAGTTTATATAGAGGTAAGACCATTCTTAGCCTCAAATTCAAGACTACTACCTTTCTGAACTCCAGTAGGAACTATAGTCCTACTGTAGGACTATTGACTATAGTCTTAGTTCCACCACAAGATTGATGAGAACATTGCAAACAGAGCACTAATAAGTTCCTATTTCTTTGAAAAGGTAGCTGTAAACCTTCAGCACACATGCTAGATGCCAAATACTCCCTACTGGCCAAGTCATCAATTGCAACATTGAGTGCCCCCAGTGCAAAAAACAACATGGTATCATCCAAGATCAGTAAAAGCATACATAGTTAATGTAGCTAGCACTTATATAGCACTTTCTTTGTGCCAGGTATTATTATAAATGCTTTACATAAACTGATTCACCTAATCCCCACAAATAACCCTGTATGGTAAGAACTACTATTGTCCCTATTTTATAGATGAGGAAACCAGGTAAAGAGAAGTTAAGTAACTCTGCTCAGGGTCATCAGCTAGAAATTAGCAGTATGTCCTCAGAATCTGTGATATTACATAATATGCTGACCTAAAGGAATATGTTCAACTATCAAGAAACTTAAAAATTCCACTGAACAAAACCTTTCAGATGAAAGAGATGTGGGAAAATTAGCAAGGTAATAGATTAGATTAAGGAAAAGTAAAGAACTGCTAAGCCACACACTGTATTAATAAGCAAAGCATTGTGATCAGAGAATACCCCACTTCTGTTTGCATTAGAGATAAAGGATGCAAATAATGCCTTTGATTAATATTCTCTTTAATTAATAGGAATCCTGGGCTGTGATAAAATGTTTCAAACATTGTATCTGAGAGTTCTGAAGTTGCATGAAAGACTGGGATTGATTGATAAATAACAGGCTCAATTCTCCCTGTGTGATGTGCTGGCCAGCACAGCTATTCAGCTATTCCAGGAGGCAGCTCTCTGAGTTTGACCCAACTGATTTGAGCATTATCTCGCTGTGCAGATAATGTCACAGGAATAGGAAGCTTCTGAAAGAGCAGCATGGCCTTGCTGACTCTGCAGTAGCCACAGAGATAAATGCCTACAGATAAAATGACCACCTCATCTAGGTTTGCCGGAGACTTTCTCAGGCTTAGCACTGAAGTCCCACATTCCAGGAACCTCTCTTTCCTGGGAAAACTGGAACAGTTTGTCATCCTAGAGCCAGTGTTTTCTTGGCTGTGGGCGAAGTAGCTGGGGGTTGAGGCAAAGAACAGAGGCCTCAGAAAGACAGATTTATATCCCAATTCTGCCTCTGCCACTCACAATACAATCTGGGACAAGTCACTTACCCTCTCTGAGATCTCATTTTCGCTATCTGGAATATAAGTATAATTGCCCCCATTACTTTGTCTGAAAAATAAATGAGAAACCATGAAAAGTTTCTGAAAAAGTGTCTGACATAAAATAGCTGCCCAGCAAATAGTAGGTGTTCGTACTATATTCCAGGAATTATAAAATCAAACCGTAACTATATAAGCAACTCTGTCTAGACAGGGTTTTTTTTTAATTTTCTTGAAGTGGGAAGGGGGTGCATTTATGATAATGATTATTTCAGCTTTTAGAAAGTCAATTCATTTAATGGGATTTATTTATCAAAAAGCCGTGTTGACTCATGCCCAATGGTTGTAAGATCACGTTCTTTCAAAACTCCATTTATGAGTAAAATTCAAATAGTCTTTTCTAAAGTTAATATTTAAGAATGCATTTACATTTGAAAAAATTGAAAAAATGAAGACAGCACTTTCATTTCAGTAAAATTTTAGGAAGATAAAGGTCTGTGGAAACAAAATTATTCAAAATGTCCAATTACCTCAGTTACACTATAAGGTTCTTAAACTAACCTGGGTTTTTATCTAACAAAACTCTGGTTTATACTAAGTATGTTTTAAAATTTTACTTAGAAGAGAATCAGTACATAATCCATATTCTTTAATATGGCCAGCTATGATAGGTTTCCCAGAATAGAGCCCTTAAATTCTATAATTTTTATTTTTGCATAGATTTTTAAAATTCATTTTTAAACAAATTATTATTTTTGTGTCCTATGTTTTTCTCTAAATACCTACTAAAGTAAATGCAATTTGCTATACTTGAATTTTTAATTACATAAAAAGAAGGTATTTTGATTACTTAATTTCAAAATTCAATCTCTGATTATCTACCTTCTACTATAGAAAGGCTTTAATACACACTCCCAAATACGGAAGAAAAAGTGATGCATTCCACGCTGGAATCTGTTTTACCTACCTAGAAAGTCTTTTGCTAAAGTACAATATTAAATAAGAATTTTCAAATCTTACTAAAAATTTTCCTTCCTAAAATAATATTTCTACTGTATTTTAGGAAGCGTTTTATATTTCAGCCCATAAAATTGTCAGTTTATGACATGATACAATTTAGGCTGAACAGTTAAAAGATTCTGAGAAGGAAACTTGAATTGCTCAGAGAAAGTGTAAAATCCCATGTGTTACTAAAATCAAGGGACTGTCATGATAAAAATTTTCTGAATGCCTTGCAAGTTGGATACTTCATTTAAAAACTCCCCACCCACAATGTTCTCTGAAGCATATCTTAAAGCCCCAACCAACCCTTCCATTCCTTAGCATAGAATACATGTTGGTTTCTTTTTTGCAACATGTGCTTTCTTTAAAGTCAAATATATGACACTGAATCTTGAAACATTACAGGAAAGCGATTTAGATTCTTCTGGTTACTGCAACATAGCAAAAAAAAAAAAAAAAAAATTAAAAATCCCCTGTCTCTACTGCTCATGTTCCCTCTTAAATAACAACTCTTTAAATAGAGATCCCTGTTAATATTTTATGAAATAATGAATTGTCTTTTCCATTCATATTTCTTTATATTTCACATCGTGTCTTATTTTTTCTCTGCTCCCAGATTTCTGATAATTCTAGAATCCGTGAGATGAGTCCAAGCAATACATTCAGTAACTAATCTAAGCATTTGCAGCCACTGAATGTATCACCTGGACTTATCTTTTGAGCGTATTTTAAATTGGGTAGAGAAGACTCTAAATAAAAGTCTTTCTCTTTCTAATATAATGCATTTGTAAAGAAGCATATTAGATCTGTTAAATAAATAAATATTTACTAATTAAGTTTGCTGTCAATGTTATAAGCAAATTACTTTACAAATGGCTGATCTGGAATTTCAGGAGCTCAATTGCTGAAGTAACTTATTTATTCAAATATTCTTAAACTGTTGTTGTATTACCACAGTGCAGTTCTATCCATGAAACTGAACAAGAAAATCAAATTCACCTGAATGCCTAAGAGAGCTCCTCATAAATCCGTAGTTCAGTTTTGATTTGTAGGAGAAAAAAGAAAAATAATGCAGATTGTTCCAACTATTCTCTACTCCCTAAATCTCAAGATTTCAAATTTTCACTAATATCAAATGCCACCTCACCACCACCAAACAGAATCTGTTTATTGAAGGAACAAGGCCAATTGGGTGGGTTTCAAAGAGATCATGTTCCAACAATTAGTTTCATTTTCAAAGTTTAACTCTTTCCTGAATACTGTTTAACTGGGAAAATGAACTGAAAGCCCATTGAAGATTTTATACCTTTCTACTTCCTGGCCATGAAATGTGGCCTTGGAGTCTTAGAGGTAGATAGTTATATTTTAGAGAACCTTGAAGCTGGTTTGTTGTAGTAAGAGAATTTACATATTTCTAGATGTTTAATTTTTGTCTACAACAAAAATTAAAGTTTAAAAATGTAACTAATAGGAATGAACATTGCTTTGACTATTGAATTAAAGAGTAAAGAAAAATGGGTATTATATCATTAAAATAGAACAGAATCAAATGGTTCATTTTAGCACTTCAGAAAGGTTGTATCATCAGTGTGTTTTTGGGCCATTTTTTCCATTTATTATAAACTCATGATTGCTAACGGAATTCAATAAAGTACTTAAATTGCACAATAAAATATTCCCATGCCACTGAAACTCCTTAGCTATTAATTCAATAATTTTTTGTAACTTTTGTGAAACATTTTACCTAATATTTTATGTATGTAAGTGTAAGCTAAAAGTTTCTTCACTGTTTTCACATGATCAATGGCTTATTTGACAGGCATTTTCTCTTTAAAAAAAAAAAAAGAAAAGAAAAAAAGATATTTCCCCTAGGCTGGTGCAGTGGCTCAAACCTGTAATCCCAGCACTTTGGGAGACCAAGGCGGGTGGATCGCTGAGCCCAAGAGTTCAAGACCAGCCTGGTCAACATACGCAGACCTTGTCTCTACAGATAATTTAAAAATTAGTCAGGCGTGGTGGTGCACATCTGTAGTCCCAGCTACTTGGGAGGATGAGGTGGGAGAATCACTTGAGCCTGCAGTGAGACATGACCATGCCACTGCACTCCAGCCTGGGTGACAGAGTGAGACCCTGTCTCAAAAAAAAAAAAAAAAAAATATATATATATATATATATACAGTAAACTTGCAAACACAAATGGCCTCCTTGATTCTAGTTACTTTGCACACTTTGTAAAAATTTAAAGTAATAACGAGCACAGCTTCTCACACTCCCTGCTCTATAACTCTTTCCTCATTACCCATCTCTAAATTCTTCTAACTGTGGTACAGTTCATTGAAAAACAAAGCACTGAGTGAGCTAACATTGAAATTGTAAGAATAGTGGCTATTACTGCATAACAACAAGCAGAAGAGCAACATCTATTCTTTCTTGCTGCTGGAAACCATAGAAGGGCTTAGTACAATCACTCACTATGATTAACTCTCTACATTTTAACCACATAATTCTCAACATGAGGAAGAAGCTAACCTGTTGACTTGCCTAGAGACAAAGAATAAGAGAAACCAGAATTCAAAACTGCAGTTGATAGCAGACCATGGCGAAGACAGACCAGAAAATGTCAGGCCTGGGAGTCAGGCCTGTGCAGAAGTCCCCTGTGCAGGCCTGGGAGTCAGGATGTGCAGAAGAAACATGTGGGGCAGTTCACAGGCCAGAGATCAAGTCCTCTTGAGAGACGACTCCCTAGAGAAAAAAAAAAAAGAAAGAAAGAAATCAGAATTTAATGTCACCCAATTAAAAAAAAACAAGAAGCAGATTCATAGAGATCATGTGATTGGCAGAATAAAGGCCCCTGCTAAAGACGTCCTGAGAACCTGTCAATATGTTATGCTACGTAACAAAGGGAATTAGGGTTGCAGGTGGAATTAAGGTTGCTATTCAGCTGGCCTTTTTATAGGGAGATTTCCTGGATTATCTGGGTGGGCCCAGTGTCATCACAAGGGTTCTTAAAAGTGGAAGAGGGAAACAGAAAAAGGGAGCCCAAGAAAGAGAAGTGAAAAGGGACCAGGGCCAGGGAGATTCTATGTTGTTGGCCTTGAAGATGAGGAAGGGGATCACGAGCCAAAGCATGTGCGCAGCCTCTAGAAGCTTGAAAAGTCAAGGAAATGGTTTATCTCCTAGAACCTCAAGAAAAATATGCAGCCTGTCAACACCCTGATTTTAGCTCAATGAGACCTGTATCGGCCTTCTGACCTACAGAAGTGCAAAATAATAATAAATTCGTGTTGTTTTAAGCTACTAAGTGTGTGGCAATTTGAGTTGGCAGCAGTAGAAAGCATAGATAAGTGCTCAGGAACTGAGAACAAACAGAGAGGGACAAACAGGGCATTTGATAAACATGGAAATAATGAAAAAATGAGTGAATAAAGAAATACAGGGAAGTCAGCAACTACATTTTGGGATGCATTAAAGATAAAGTCTTTATCAGCCACACAACATAATGATGACAAGTGATCTAGAGACTCATCTTAGCAGCCATCTGCCCTGAACTATCCCATTCTAAGGAATGTCGACAAACCATGTCTAGTGAAGTATGAGCAATAATTAATAAGAAAAAATGTAATATTTAAATATTAATTTTAAAATAATGAATAAAAATCAGGCTTATTTCCCAATCCCCCAAGTTATAATGGCAGTTAGTCAAGACTGAGAAAATGGTTATACCTTAAAGCTGCTGACCTTTCATCCAGCAATTAATGCAATCTCATTCCACTCTGTTTCTCCCACCATACAAAACGTCAGTCACCCCACTGCACCATGCTCTTCATGTCTCCTAGGCCTTCAAACCTACTACTGCCTCCCTTGTCTCCTGGTTAGCTCCTAGGTATCATTTATTTTACAGCTTTCCTCAAAGAAACCTGCATTTGGCTACTGATTGAGTTCAGTCCCTGTATTAGTCCATTCTCACACTGCTATAAAGAAATACCTGAGACCGGATAATTTATAAAGAAAAGAAATCTAATAGGCTCCTGGTTCCACAGGCTGTACAGGAAGCATGGCTGAGGAGACCTCAGGGAGCTTTTACTCATGGCAGAAGGCAAAGCCAGAGCAGGCATCTTCACATGGCCAGAGCAAGAGAAAGAGAGAGAGGGAGGAGGTGTTATACACTTTTAAACAATCAACTCTCATGAGAACTCACCCACTATCACGAAAACAGCACCTGGGGGATGGTGTTAAACCATTAGAAACCGCCCCCATGAACCAATCACCCCGCACTAGGCCCACCTCCAACATTGGAGATTACAATTCGACATGAGATTTGGCTGGTGACACAGATCAAAATCATATCAATCCCCTATTGCATATTCCTGTCGATGCTTGTATACTCCACTTTAGGGCATTTGTTTCACAACTGGGATTTTCCAGTAAACCCTAAAGCGGGAATGCTGGTACAGACCAACAGTACAGAGAAGCATCAAGACCATTTTGTATTCATATCAATACAAACCCACTCTTGCTGGTTTAACTGGACCAAGCCGGCTCTGCTGGGCTGTCACAAATGCACCCAAAAGACAGGAATAATGTCTACCTTACTCAACATTAACTTCTCAATTCTAGTGCTTTGTCTGATACAAGATAAGTGTTCTGACAAATTTTTGTGGCATGAAAAAATTGAAAGGCCAAAACAATAAAATCTAGGTCTTTTCAAAAAATTCATTCTTGTATTCCAATTTTCATTTTCGTCACAAAAATGAGTGTTTTGGGCTACCATGTATATTCTCCTTAAAAGTTAATTTATACTGGCTCTTATACTTTTTTTCCCAGCAAAAAGATTACAAATATTTTCTGACCTATGTTTTTAGCTTAAAACATAGGTAAACTATACATTATGTCATATATGCATGTGCATATAAATATATACACACACTATGTCAGTCAAGGTCCTCCAAAGAAACAGAACCAATAGAATGGATGGATGGATGGATGGATGGATGGATGGATGGATGGATGGATGGAGACAGATAAAATATCACGAATTGGTTTACATGATTATGGAAGCTGAGAAGTCCCACAATTTGCCATCTATCAGATAGACAGGAAAACCAATGGTGTCGTTCCAGTCTAAGTCTGAAGGCTTGAGAACAGGGAGCACCAATGGTGTAAGTTTTCATCAAAGTTCAAAAGTCTTAAAACCAGAGAGACAACAGTATAAGTTAAAGTTCAAGTACAAAAGCCTGGGAACCAGGAGCACCAAAGATGTAAGTCTCAGTTCAAGCGTGAGAAGACAGATGTCCCAACACAAACAGGCAGGGAGGAAAGGGATGAATCTTCCCTTCCTCCACTTTGTGTTCTATTCAGGCCCTCAACAGATTGAATGAGTCCACCCATATTGGAGAAAGCAATCTTCTTTACTCAGTCTACCTATTCAAATGCTAATCTCTTCTAGAGACACCCTCATAGACACACACAGAAATAATGTTTAACCAAATATCTGGGCACACTGTGGTCTAGTCAAGTTGACACATAAAAATAATCATCACACACATACATATTTATTTTTAGTGATCTTTATTTGTACTAATGTGTTTTGATTCTAGATTCATGGAATGCTCTCACTCTCATTTCTGAAGATTCAATGAGCAAGAGATTTCTGGATTCATCTGGCTGAGTGAAACTATACTACCGATTCTTTTAATGCCATGTGAATTAAAGCACATACACTTGAAAATAACAAAATTAATTAACCAGTGGTACTCAAAAAGGGCAATAGACTATACTTATTTCACATACTTATTTTCCCAATAAAGATGGCCAAGAAGTAGAAGAATCTGAAGCAGACTCAGGCACTGTAGCATGGTGACACTTCATATCCAGATCACAAACTAGTTAGTCATCAAAATCATGACTATATCAATACCTCCATATGTCAGTTTTCTATTGTTGCCATAACAAATTACTGCAAATTGAGCTCCTTTAAACAACTTCAATGTATTCAATGTATTATCTCATAGTTCTGTGGGTCAGAAGTCTGGTGAATTCAGCTGGTTCCTCTGGTCCAGGTTTCACAGACTGAAATCAAATTGCTGGCAAACTGGACTCTTATCTGAAGGCTCTGAGGGATAACTCATTCAAGTTGTTGGAAGAATTCAGTTTTCATGACTGCAAGGCTAAGGATCATATTTCCTGGCTAGCTGTTAGCCAGGAGCCTCCCTCAGCCTCTTAAGGCTGTGCAAATTCCTCATCATGCTGCTCCCTCCAACATCAAACCAGAAAGTTCCCATTGAGTCCCTGTACTTTGAATTGTTCTCGCTGCTGCTGCTGCTGCTGCATCTCTTCTGCCTCCAGTTGGAGAAAGCTCTCTGCTTTGAAGGCTTTATGTAATTAGATTGGGCCTACTTGGATAATCCAGAATAATCTCCTCATTATATGGTCAGTAACTTTAATTACATCTGCAAAGTCCCCTTTGCCAACTAACATAACATATTCACAGGTTGCAGGGATTAGGGCATAGACAGCTCTCGGAGAGAAGTCTGGGGAGGGAACATGCTGCCTACCACATCCCACATCTAAAAGGAAATACATACAGGGGGTGGCAGTATCACCTTTCCTCTCTTCTGACTCAGGAATACCGCAAATGGTATCTAGAGAGAAACTGGTAAAAAATTGGAAATCAAGAATGGAACTCAATCTTTTTGAAAATACTTAGAAACTGTCTCAAGATAATTTTTAAATCATTTATTCTATCTTATGATAATTTAAAATAACAACTTAATAACAGTGAAGATAATAAAAATATTTATTGAGAACCAGATGGGCCAGATTGACTGTGCTAAATTCTGTTCAGTATATCATTTATCATAATTAATAAACACAACCACACACACACATCTATTTCTGTACCTCCTGCTCTGTTTTTTTTAGGCTGACTGCATATTACTAGATCAGAAATACATTGTTTTATTACTATTACTTTGAAATATATTTTAACACCAAGAAACGTAAGTCTTATTTCTAAACACCCTTCATTCCACACACACAAACACACATATTCCTCTTCTATTTAAATTTATATTAGCTATTCTCACTCATTAAATTTTTATAATGGAATTTAGGTACATATAATTGAATTAATCATAATCCTCAGTCAATAATTATTGGAATAGAACTATTTTACCTTATTTATTTAGCGTTAATGAATAAATAAAACTAAAACTATTTAAAAAGTAACTATGGAAGGTGATGGATATGTAAATTTGTTTGACTATAGTAATCATTTTAATACATATATGTATATCAAAATATGGTGTACACCTTAAATATATACTTTATAGTATTTATTTTAAGATAATTTAAAAATAATGATATTGAACAAATACCCATTAATATACCACCCACCCAAGACTGAAAATATCAACACAAATTTACATATCCTCCCCACTTTTATTCTCCTGTCTCTCCTCACACACACACACCTAGAAGTAACCACTGTCTCAAATTTTGTGTTTATCATTTCCTTCCTTTGTAAAATAATTTTTTACATACCAGCATGTTTAATCAAATGTTTATTTTACTTGTTTTTATCTTTATAAAACATCACTTTTATAAATGACTTCAGAATCATTTTTGTCAAATCTGCTCCCCAACAAAATTTTACAACTTTAATTGAGATGCATTATATTTATAAGTGACTTGGGGAAGAATTATTATCTCTGAAATCATGAATTTTCATGTATTAGTGGTTATGACCATTCCCACTTATAATTTGTATCTCTCTTCATTGCTATTCTTTTTGTTGTTATTTGAGGTTTGTCTGGCAATTTTTTTTCAATAAGCTGTATTTTGGATGTATACACTAGAATTTGTTTTTAAACCTATAATTTCTGAATTGTCTTTATTTGCTCTATCCAACTGGTATTCTTAGATTACTTATATTGCCTTCTTTTAACTACTTATATTAACCTTCAGCCTGTTTCATATTTATTTTTTATTTAATAAAAAACATATTTAAAATTCTAAATTATACTCTTGAGTTACAAGTTACAATCTTACTATTCTGGTTGTCATACTATTCAAAATATTCCATAATCACGATTTTGTTCTTTGTGTACATGTTAAAGTTACTTAGTATAATTGATTTTTTAATTTCCAAGTGATTGGTTTTTAAATCAAACTTACATTGTTAATTTCTATCTTTCCTACACTGTTCAGAGTTTTTGTCCTGTAAATCTTGTGCTTTTTATGTAACATGCAGAGTTTGTGTTCCAATATGTGATCATGTTTTAATATTATGTGAACATATTCTGTTTATAGTATATAAAAATTAATAGTAATAATGATATTATTAAGTGTTTATTAGTAAAAGAATAGTCTGGAATATGCTTCAAAACATAGCAGCAATAACTCACTAAATACACACACATACACAAAGTGGTATAGATAGGTTTTTAAAGGATGGCAAAATATGAATTTTACCTCTTATCAATATAAATTGGCTATAAAGACAGAGCAAGTTGACCAAATAGAAGCCTTCACCAATCATTCTCCCTGCAGGAACACCAAATAGAACAATTATCAACACAAAAGAAGCACCTTCATAAGAACCAAAAATCAGGTGAGTGATCACAGTACCTGGTTTTAACTTCATATCACTGAAAGAGGTGCCGAAGAGGATAGAAAAGATAGTCTTGAATTGCCCACACCACGCCTGCCCCATCCCCCAGCAGCAGCCATGTGGTGGAGAAAGAATCTGTGTGCTTGGGGGAGGGGGAGCACAGTGACTGTGGAATTTTACATTGGAACTCAGTGCTGCCTGTCACAGCAGAAAGTAATAGTGGGCAGAACTCAGTCAGCACCCACAGAGGGATAAGTTAGACCAGCCCTAGCCAGAGGGGAATTGCCCAACCCAGTGGTTGGAACCTGAGTTCCAGCAAGCCTCACCATTGTGGGTTAAAGTACTCTGAAGTCCTAAATAAACTTGAAAGGCAACAGGGACTGCAATTCCTGGGCAAGTCCTGGTGCTGTGTTGGATTCAAAGCCAGCGGATGTTGGTGGCATGCAACCTTGTGAGACACCAGCCGGGGTGGCCAAGGGAATGCTTGCATCACCCCTCCCCAACCCCCGGCAGTGCAGCTTGCAGCTCCAGGAGAGACTTCTTTCTGCTTAATGAGAGGAGAGGGAAGAGTAAAAAGAACTTTGTCTTGCAACTTGGATACCAGTTCCACCACAGTAGGATAGGGCACTGGGCAGAGTCATGAGGCCTCCATTCCAGAACCTAGCTTCTGTACAACATTTCTAGGCACACACTGGCGCAGAAGGGAACCTGCTCTTTTGAAGGGAAGGATCCAGTCCTGTCAAGAATTATCCACAGCTGACTAAAAAACCTTTGGGCCCTGAATAGTCAGCAGTGGTACCCAGATAGCACTCACCATAGGCTTTGAGTGAGACTCAGAGACATGCTGGATTCCCGTATGATCCAGCACATTCCGAGTTGTGGGAGATATGGGGAAAGCCTCCTTCTTCTTGAGAAATGGAGAGAGAAGAATAAAAGGGACTTTGTCTTGCAGCTTAGGTACCAGCTCAACCACAGTGGAGTAAAACACCAAGCGGGCCCTTAGGGTCCCTAATTCCAGGCCTTGGCTCTTGGACAGCATTTCTGAATCTGCCCTGGGCCAGAGAGAAACCCACTGCCATGAAGGGAGAGTCTCAGGCCAGGCAGCACTCACCTCAAGCTGACTGAAGAGCCCTTCAGCCTTGAGTGAACACTGGCAGTAGCCAGGCAGTACTCCCCCTGAGCCTTGGGTGGTGGTGGACACAAGGAAAACTCCTCTGCTTGTGGAAAGGGAAGGGAATAGTGAGAAGGACTTCATCCTGTGGCTTGGAGGCCAGCTCAGCCACAGTAGAATAGAGCACTGGGGAGATTCTTAAGGTTTTCCAGGCCCTGTCTCCTGGAAGCATCTCCGGACCCACTGGCACTTGGGGAACTCACCACCCTAAAGGGAAGAACACAAGTCTGGCTTGCTTTGCTACCTGCTGATTTTAGAGCCCTAGGACTTTGAGCTAATATAGGCAGTAGCCAGGCAGTGGTCACCACGGGCATTGGGCAAGATCCAGTACCATGCTGACTTCAGGTCAGACCCAGCACAGTCCCAGTGGTGGTGGCCACAGGAGTGCTTGCATAATCCCTCCCCCAACTCCAGGCAGTTCAGCATAGGGAAAGAGATTCCATTTATTTGGGAGAAAGTAAAGAAAGAGAACAAGAATCTCTGCCTGAAAATCCAGAGAATTCTTTCAGATCTTATCCAAGACCACCACCAAGGTGGTACCTCTACAAGTCTGCAAGAGCCACAGTGTTACTAGGCTTGAGGCATCTCCTAAGGCAGACACAAGTGTCATGACCAAAACTCAGATTACAACACCTAAGTCCCTTAGAATACCTGGAAAGCCTTCCTAAGAAAGATGGGTACAAACAAGCTCAGACTGTGAAGACTACAATAAATACCTAACTCTTCAATGCCCAGACACTGATGAACACCCACAAACATTAAGACTATCCAGGAAAATATAACCTCACCAAATTAACTAAATAAGGCACCAGAGAACAATTCTGAAGAAACAAAGATATATGATCTTTCAGACAGAGAATTTAAAATAGCTGTTTTGAGGAAACTCAACAAAATTCAAGATAACACAGAGAAGGAATTTATAATCCTATCAAATAAACTTAACAAAAAGACTGAAACAATTAAAAAGAATCAAACAAAAATTCTGGAGTTGAAAAATGCCACTGAAGAATGCATCAGAGTCCCTTACCAGAAGAACTGATCAAGCAGAAGAAAGAATTAGTGAGCTTGAAGACAGGCTATTTGAAAATACACAGAGGAGACAAAAGAAAAATGAATTTAAAGGAAGAAAGCATGCCAAAAAGATCTAGAAAATAGCCTCAAAGGGGAAAATCTAAGAGTTATTGGCCTTAAAGGGGAAGGAGAGGGGGAGAAATAGGGGTAGAAAGTTTATTCAAAATGATAACAGAGAACTTCACAAACCTAGAGGAAAATATCAGTATTCAAGTATAAGAAAGTATAGAACACCAAGCAGATTTAACCCAAATAGGACCACCTAAAGACATTTAATAATCAAACCACTAAAGGTTAAGGATAAAGAATTTTAAAAACAGCAGGAGAAAAGAAACAACACACAATGGAGCTCCAATACATATGAGAGCAAACTATTCAGGGGAAGCTGTATAGCCCAGGAAAGAGCTGTACGACGTATCTAAAGTGCTGAAGGAAAAAACTTTTATCCTAGAATAGTATATCTGGAGGAAATAGCCTTCAAACATGAAGGAGAAATGAAGACTTTTCAAGACAAACAAAAGTGGAGGGAATTTATCAACACCAGACCTGTCCTACAAGAAATGCTAAAGAGAGTTATTCGAGCTAAAGGAAAAGAACATTAATGAGCAATAACAAATCATCTAAAGGTACAAATCTCATGGGTAATAGTAAGTACACAGAAAAAATGCAAAATATAATAACACTGTAATTGTGATGTGTAAACTACTCATATCTCGAGTAGGAAAACTAAAAAGTAAGCCAATCAAAAATAACACCTATAACTTTTCAAAACATAGATGGTACTATGTAGATATATATAAAAACAACAAAAAGTTAAAAAGTGGAAGACAAATTTAAAGTGTGCAGTTGTTATTAGCTTTGCTTGTTTTTTAGTTTGTTTATGGAATCAGTGTTCAGTTGTCAAATAGGTAATAAAATTTTATTTGCAAGCCTCATGATAACCTCAGAATCAAAAAACATACAACAGGTATGCAAAAAGTATAAAGCAATAAATTAAAACATATCTCCAGAAAAAAATCACCTTCATTATAAGGAAGAAAAGAAGCAAGAGAAGACATCCAAACAACCAGAAAACAAATAACAAAATGGTAGAAGTAAGTCCTTACTTATCAATAATAACATTGAGCCTAAATGGACTAAACTCTCTAAGCAAAAGACACAGAGTGGCTGAATGGATGAAAAAACAAGATCCAACAATCTGTTGCCTTCAAGAAACACACTTCGCCTATAAAGACAGGCATAGACTGAAAATAAAGATATGGAAAAAAATATTCCATGCAAATGAAAACCAAAACAGTGCAAGAGTAGCTATACTTAAAATATACAAAATAGATTTAAGGACAAAAGCTATAAAAAGAGAAGAAGAAGGTCCTTATAACATGATAAAGGGGTCAATCAGCAAGAGGATGTAACAATTCTAAGCATACTTGCACCCAATACTGGAACACCCAAATGTATAAAGCAAATATTATTAGACCTCGAGAGAGATAGAGCCCTATACAATAATAGCTAGATACTTCAACATCTCACTTTCAGCATTGGACAGATCATCCAGACAGAAAATCAAGAAAGAAATATCAGACTTAATCTGCACTATAGACCAAATGGACCTAATTGATATTTACAGAACATTTCATTCAACAGCTGCAGAATGCATATTCTTCTCCTCAGGGCATGGATCATTCTCAAGTATGGACTATGTTAGGACACAAAACAAGTCTTTAAATATATTTTTTAAAAAAAGAAATTACATAAAATATTTTATCTGACCACAATGGAATAAAACTAGAAATCAATAACAAAAGGAATTTTGGAAACTACAAAAACACATGAAAATTAAACAATATGCTCCTGAATGGCAGTGGGCTAATGAAGAAATTAAGAAGACAATTTAAAAATTTCTTGAAATAAATGATAATGGAAACACAACACACCAAAACCTATGGGATCCAGTAAAAGCAGTCATAAGAGGAAAGTTTATAGCTATAAGTGCCTACATCAAAAAGGTATAAAAACTACCCAAAAACGCGTCTTTAAGAACTTAAAAAATCAGGAGTAAATCATACCCAAAATTAGTAGAAGAAGAAAAATAATGAAGACCAGAGAAGATATAAATGAAATTGAAATGAAGAAAACAATATAAAAGACCAATGAAATGAAAAGTTTGTTTTCTTGAAAAGATAAATAAAATTGAAAAACCTTTAGCCAGACTAAAAAAAGAAGAGAAAAAAATCCAAATAAATAAAATCAGAGATGAAAAAAGAGACATTACAACTGATGTCACAGAAATTCAATGGATCATCAGAGGCTACTATGAGAAACTATATGTCAATAAATTGGAAAACCTAGAAGAAATGGATAAATTCCTAGACACATACAACCAATCAAAATTGAGCCATGAAGAAATCCAATACCTGAATAGACCAAAAATGAGAAACAAGATTGAGCCACAATAAAAAGCCTCCCAGCAAAGAAAAGCCCTGGACCCAGTGGCTTCCCTGTTGAATTCTACCAAAGTTTTAAAGAAAAACTAATACCAATCCTACTCAAACTATTCCAAAAAATAGAGGAGGGGAGAATATTTCCAAACTCATTCTATTAGGCTGGTACAAATGCAATTGCGATTTTTGCCATTGAAAGTAATGGCAAAACCCACAATGGCAAAAACCACAATTGCCTTTGCACCAACCTAATATGAGACCAGTATTACACTGATACCAAAGCCAGACAAAAGCACATCAGAAAAAGAAAACTACAGGCTAATATCGCAGATGAACATAGATGCAAAACTCCTCAACAAAATATCAGCAAACCAAATTCAACAACACATTAAAAAGGTCATTCATCATGACCAAGTGGGATTTATCCCTGGAATAAAAGGATGGTTCAACATATGCAAATCAAACAACGTGATACATCATATCAACAGAATAAAGGACAAAACCCATATGACCATTTCAATTGATGCTGAAAAAACATTTGATAAAATTAAACATCTCTTCATGATTTAAAAAAACAAAAAAACAAAAAAAACAAAAACCCTGGGCATGATGGCTCACTCCTGTAGTCCCAGCACTTTGGGAGACTGAGGTGGGTGGATCACGAGGTCAGAAGTTCAAGACCAGCCTGGCCAAGATGGTGAAACTCCGTCTCTACTAAAAATATAAAAATTAGCCAGGCATGGTGGCAGGCGCCTGTAATCCCAGCTACTCGGGAGGCTGAGGCAGAGAATTGCTTGAACCTGGGAGGTGGAGGTTGCAGTGAGCTGAGATCACACCACTGCACTCCAGCCTGGGCAAAAGAGCAAGACTCTGTCAAAAAACAAAACAACAACAACAAAAAATCTTGGTAAAGAAGGAATGTACCTCAGCATAATAAAAGCCAGATACAACAGACTCACAGTTAGTATCATACTAAATGGGGAAAAATTACAAGTCTTTCCTCTCAGATTTAGAACATAACAAAGATGCCCACTTTCACCACCATTATTCAACATAGTACTGGAAGTCCTAGCTGGAGTAATCAGACAAGAGAAAGAAATAAAGGTATCCAAATTGGAAAGGAAGCAGCCAAATTATCATGGTTTACTGATGATGTGATCTTATATTTGGAAAAACTTAAAGACTCCACAAGAAAACAATGAAAACTGATAAATTCAGTAAAGTTGAAGGATACAAAATCAGCATACGTAAATCAGCAGCATTTCTATATGCCAACAGCCATCCGAAAAACATTCTGAAAAAAAATCAAGAAAGTAATACCATTTACCATAGCTATGAATAAAATTCAATACCTAGAAATTAACCAAAGAAGTGAAAAATCTCAACAATGAAAACCATAAAACACTGATGCAAGAAATTAGAGAGAATACCAAAAATAAAAGGAAAAATATCCCATGTTCATGTATTGAAGGAATCAATATTGTTAAAATGTTCATGCTACTACTCAAAGCAATCTACAGATTCAGTGCAATCCCTATCAAAATTTATATGGAGCCACAAAAGACCCAGAATAACCAAAGCTATCCTGAGAAAAAAAAAAAAAAGGAGGACTCACATTACCTCACTTCAAATTGTACTACAGAGCTATAGTAACCAAAACAGCAGAAAACAGGTACTGGCATGAAAACAGACACAAGAACATACCACTGGAGAAAGGACCATCTCCTCAACAAACGGTTCTGGGAAAACTGAATATCCATATGCAGAAGAATTAAATTAGACCCCTATCTCTCACGATATACAAAAATCAAATCAAAATCGATTAGAGACTTAAATCTAAGACCTTAAAATATGAAACTACTAAAAGAAAACATTGGGAAAACTCTCCAGGACACTGGTCTGGGCAAAAATTTCTTGGGTAATACCCCACAAGCACAGGAAAGCAAAGCAAAAATGGACACATATGATCACATTAAGTTAGAAAGCTTCTGCACAGCAAGTAACAAATTTAACAAAGTAAAGAGGCAACCCACAGAATAGGAGAAAATATTTTCAAACTATCCATCTGACAAGGATTAATAACCAGTATATATAAAGAGCTCACACAACTCTGTAGGAAAAATCTAATAATCCAATTTTAAAATGGGCAAAAGATTTGAATACACATTTTTGAAAGAAGACATACAATTTGCAACCAGGTATATAAAAAGGTGCTCAACATCATTGATCACCAGAGAAATGCAAATCAAAACTACAATGAGATATCATCTCACCCCAGTTAAAATGATTTTATCCAAAGACAGGCAATAACAAATGTTGGCAAGGATGCGGAGAAAAGGGAAGCCTCATACATGATTGGTGACAATGTAAATTAGTACAAGCACTATGGAGAACAGTTTGGAGTTTCCTGAAAAAACTAAAAATTGAGCTACCATATGATCCAGCAAAACCACTACTAGGTGTATACCCAAAAGAAAATAAATCAGTATATTGAAGAGACATCTGCATTCCCACATTTATTGCAGCACTATTCACAATAGCCAAGATTTGGAAACAACCTAAGTGTCCATCAACAGGCCTTCTTATTCTTTAGTTATTTTTTGCCTGAAAAAAGTTAATTAAATCTTTTTTTCTGAAATGTGAATCTAATTCTCCTCCCACATCATTAGAGATATTGCTAAATTATCTTTCTTGACTGTATCTCTACCTTTTTCTCTTTTTCCAGGTTTTTTCCTCCAACATACCAATATTCTTACCAGTTTTTCTTTTTAAATGCCTTCTCTTTTGACCTTCTTGTTTCTCGTAGCTACTATCCTACATCATTCTCTTTAATGTCACACTACTTCCTACTTGCAAAAGTGGTCTACACTCTTAAGTCTCCAATTTCTAACCACTTTAAAACACTGCTGTAAAACAATTCTACTTCCATCTTTCTCGACTCTCAACATTACTTTTGTCAAGGTCATCAAAGTTTTTTTTGTTTGTTTTTTGTTTTTTTTTTTGAGACGGATTCTCACTCTGTTGCCCAGGCTGGAGTGCAGAGGCATGACCTCAGCTCATTGCAACCTCTCTCTCCTGGGTTCAAGCGATTCTCGTGTCTCAGCCTCCCAAGGAGCTGGGACTACAGGCATGTGTCACCACGTCCAGCTAATTTTTTGTATTTTTAGTGGAGATGGGGTTTCACCATGTTGGCCAAACTGGTCTTGAACTCCTGACTTCAGGTGATCTGCCCACTTTGGCCTCCCAAAATGCTAGGATTACAGGCATGAGCCACCACGCCTGGCCAAAGACCATTTTGTTGCCGGATTCAAAGAAAATTTTAAAATGTTTATGTTACTTAACTTCCCTGCTGCACTTGACTTTGCAGAACATCTCCTGGCATCACAAAATTTCCTCCTCAGTTGGCTTTTAAGGCTTGACTCCCAATAAGTGAAGGGTGATTACATAAATGTTGCTACATTATATACTAAAGTATATAATACAACCATTAAAGATATGAACAAAAGCACCAACTGCATTTGTGACCCTTTCCATGGGATAGTCACCTTGAAGTACAACTCCTTGGCCAAAGAATATGAACATTTTGAGGGCTCTTAACCCATATTGCCAAAATGTTTTCCAGAAAAGTTTCACTGTCTCATTATTCCACACCTACTACTCCTAGCCTGTCTCCAGTATCCACATGAGTATTGCAAGAATAAAATGTGAAATGCTTGGCATACAATTAAAGAAAAAAAAAAAGATTTGACTCCCTTGCGATTTTCCTCCTAACTTTCTTGCTCTTCCACTTTTTCCTCTTCAGTTGTCTCTTAAGTACTGGGGTTCTCTGCCAGGCTTGGTGGCTCACACCTGTAATCCCAGCACTTTGGGAGGCCAAGGCAGGTGGATCACTTAAGCCCAGAAGTTCGAGACCAGCCTGACACAGGGAACTCTATCTCTACTAAAAGTACACAGATTAGCTGGTGGCACACGCCTGTAATCCCAGCCACTCAGGAGGCTGAGGCAGGAGAATTGCTTAAACCCAGGAGGCGGAAGCTGCACTGAGCCAAGATCATGCCACTGCACTCCAGCCGGGGTGACAGAGCAAGTCTCAAAAAAAGAAAAAAAAAAGGTTTGGGGTTCTCAGACTTTTGCACAAGCCTCTCTTCTCACACTAATACTTATCCTAGCAGACATTACATAATCTCCATGGCATCAAGTAATGCCTATATGCCAGTGAGCTCCAAAATATATACCAAAAACTAAAATAAATGCTCTGAGCTCTAGATCATTTAAGCCAACTAGGGTCTTATATCTCCACTTGGATATGTGATAAGCATCTTAGATTCAAAACTAAATGAATGTGATCAAAACTAACTGCATAATTTCCTCCCAATACTTCCTTCATAGATTGTATTTTTGCCTTCTCCCAAACCAGAAACCTAAGAATCATTCTTATTTCATCCTTCTCCCTGACCCATACTGTCAGTTGTCAATTACTACAGTTTCTACCTTCTAAATTTATACCTGTTGTAACTCTCCGGCACTACCTTTATTCAGGTTCTTGTAACTGACCAGTTGGATCATTGTCAGTCTTCACTGTCTCCATTCTTGCTCCACTCAATACATTAATTAGATTTCTAATAGAATTATTTTCCTAAAATACAAATGTGATTATGCCACTCATATGCTATATCTTTCAATAACTCTCCACTGCTTTGAACATAAAATTCAAACCTCTTAACCTCATACACCAGTTTTTAATCCAGCCTCTCCCATTAATTGTAGTCTTATTACTGTCCAACTCATACCCAGTACCTCGGCCACACTCAACCATTTTTCCCTAACAAGGCATTCACTCCCTTTGCATATATGTTTCCCTCCAACTGACAAAAACTATTACCTTTCCTTGGTTACCTGAAAAATTCCTATTTATCCTTTCAGATATCTCATATACTATCACCTATTCTCTCCACCAGAGGTTGTGTCTTACAATTCCACCTTCCAATTTGGGTTAGATTTTTTTCCAATTTTTTGTATTCTTCTTATAATCAATTATAACAAATATAATTTTAAAATTACTGTCTCTGATATTGAACTAGGAATTCAATGAGGACAGAAATCATGTCTTATAAATCTTTCTTTCTGAGGGCCTATCACCAATGCCTTGTGATCAAGATAGAGATACATAGTTTAAATGAATGAAGAGCAAGTAGTTCAACACAGACATATTAAGAATATAGATGCATTATAAGGACATACAAGGAAATGGCCAAATCATCAAAAGCCTTGTATGTCAGATCAGGATTTTGAAAGTCATCAGAAGATTTTAATAGGAAATGATATAATTAAATGAACACATTTAAAAGCTCATCTTCTTGGTGAATAGACCATGGAAAGATAAAACTGGAGAAACCAAGAGGTTTTGAAATGGGATGAATAAACAATTATGAAAGCCAAGACAATGACTGTGAGGATAAAGAGTAGGAGGAAAATATAAAAGATACTTTGAGAGTGGATAGAACTAAATGGCCAATTTGATATTTGTTAATGAGGCATTGAAAACCAAAGTCATCTCCAAGACTTCTCCCTGAGTGACTAGGAAGATGAATTATTCATTTGTAAATCATTAAACCACATTAAGCATATGCTCTGAACCGGAAATATGCCAGATGCCAAGACCACGAGATAAACAAATAAAACACAGTCTCTGCCCTCCAAAATATAAAGGTGTAGTGGAAGAAATAAACATATGAACATGTAAAAGAATGTAATAAATGTTATTTAAAATCTATAGGCAACATCCTGTGGGAAAACAAAAATTAGCACTTAACTCTGTTTGGGAATTAGTAGTACATAAATGTACTCTTAGTGGAATCATCTCCAAAAACTGTGAGGTACAGTCAACTGAAATAGGAAATTCAGGAAGTGGAGCAGATTTTGAGGACAGAAGGGATACTATTTTCCATTTGAACCAGTTGAGACTGAGTGGTCTGTGGGTAATGCAGGTGACATTCGTCACAGAGTCAGGATCCAGAGTTCATGGAGAAGAGCTGGCCTAGAGACTTCTCACACCAGGATTACTACAATGGTCTTGTATTAGTTTCCTGTGGTTGTGGCAAATCAACACAAACTAGATGGCTTAGAACAACCCAAACTTATTCCCTCAGTGTTCTGGAGGAATCTGAAATCAAGATGTTGTCAGGGCCATTCGCCTTCCAGAGGGTCTATAGGAGAACTCTTCCTTGCCTCTTTCAGCTTCTGGAGACTGTAGGCATTCCCTTACTTATGGCAGCACCACTCCAGTCTCTGCCTCACTGGTTACATTCCTTCCTTCTCTTCTGTCTCAAATCTCCCTCTGTCTTTCTCTTACAAGGACACTTTTCATTGAATTTTGGACCTACCCAGATAATCCAGGATGATCTCCTCATCTGAAAATCCTTACCTTAATTGTATCTATGAAGGCTCTTTTTCCAAATAAAGTAAAATTCATAAGGTTCTAGAAATGTGGACATATCATGTGGGGGCCATCATTCAACCCACTGTGGGTATCCTAACTGATTTCCCTATTTCCACCGCAGGTTGCCTCCTTCAGTCAATTCTCAATACTATAGCTAGAGGAAACCTTTTAAAGCTTAGATCAAGTTGCTTCTCTGTTCAAAACCTCCTATTAGCACCCACTGCAATTAACAGCCAAATGGTTTACCAAGTTTGAGCATATGTGGCCCCCAGTTACCTCTCTGGCATCATCACCTCCTTCTGCCCCCATGTTCACTCCACTTCTGCCCCACCAACCTCCTTGGTGTTCCCTTAACATGACACTCCATCTAATTTACCATATTGTAATGGTTAATTTTATGCCAACTTGACTAAGCTACAAGGTGCCCAGACATTTAACCAAACATTTTTCTGGTGTGCTTGTGATGGGAATTGGGAGTGAAACTGACATTTAAATCAGTAGACTGAGTAAAGCAGATTGCCCCTCCCTAATGCAAGTGGGCACCATCCAATCAGTGGAAGGGCCGATTAGCACAAAAGGCTGACCCTCTCCTGAGTAACAGAGAATTCTTCCTGCCCAGTGACCTTCAAACTGGGACCTCAGCTTGTTACTGCATTTTTGGACTCAAACTGAAACATAGGCTCTTTCTGGGTCTAAAGCCTGTCAGCCTTTAGACTGGAACTACATCTTTGGCTGTTCTGGTTCTCAGGCCTTTGGACTCACACTGGAACTAAACCATGAGCTCTCCTGGGTCTTTAACATGCCCACTCACCCTGCAGATCTTAGGAGTTGTTAGCCTCCATAATTACATGAGCCAATTTCTTATAATAAATCTTATATATGAACATCCTGTTGGTTTTGTTTCTCTAGAGAATCCTAACACATGTATCTTTTATCTATTTATCTTATTTGTTGTCTGTATCCCACTAGAATGTAAACTTCGTGAAGACTGGGAACTTTTTTTTTTAATTATACTTTAAGTTCTGGGATACATGTGCAGAATGAGCAGGTTTGTTACATAGGTATATATGTGCCATGGTGGTTTGCTGCACCTATCAACCCGTCATCTAGATTAGGCATTTCTCCTAATGCTATCCCTCCCCTACCCCCCCGACCCTGCAACAGGCCCTGGTGTGTGATGTTCCCCACCCTGTGTCCATGTGTTCTCATTGTTCAACTCCCACTTATGAGTGAGAACATGCCATGTTTGGTTTTCTGTTCCTGTGTTAGTTTGCTGAGAATGATGGTTTCCAGCTTCATCCATGTCCCTGCAAAGGACATGAACTCATCCTTTTTTATGGCTGCATAGTATTCCATGGTGTATATGTGCCACATTTTCTTTATCCAGCCTATCATAGATGGGCATTTGGGTTGGTTCCAAGTCTTTGCTATTGTGAATAGTGCTGCAATAAACATACGTGGGCATGTGTCTTTATAGTAGAATGATTTATAATCTTTGGGTATATACCCAGTAATGGGATTGCTGGGTCAAATGGAACTTCAGGTTCTAGATCCTTGAGGAATCACCACACTGTCTTCTACAATGGTTGAACTAATTTACACTCCCACCAAAAGTGTAAAAGTTTCCTATTTCTCCACATCCTCTCCAGCATCTGTTGTTTCCTGACTTTTTAATTATCGCCATTCTAACTGGTGTGAGATGATATCTCATTGTAGTTTTGATTTGCATTTCTCTAATGACCAGTGATGATGAGCTTTTTTTCATGTTTGTTGGCTGCATAAATGTCTTCTTTTGAGGTGTCTTTTGAAGTATCTGTCCATATCCTTTGCCCACTTTTTGATGGGGTTGTTTTTTTCTTGTAAATTTGTTTAAGTTCCTTTTAGATTCTGGCTATTAGCCCTTTGTCAAATGGATACATTGCAAAAATTCTCTCCCATTCTGTAGGTTGCCTGTTCACTCTTGTAGGGTCCAGCCCTATGGGGCTTAGCGGGTGTTCTCCCCATATAGAGATTGTAATAAATAAAGACACAAGACAAAGAGATAAAGAGAAAACAGTTGGGCCCGGGGACCACTACCATCAAGACACGGAGACTGGTAATGGCCCCAACGGCTGGGCGCGCTGATATTCACTGCATACATGACAAGGGGGTAGGGTAAGGAGAGTGAATCTCCTAAGTGATTGACAAGGTGAAGCAAGTCACGTGATCACAGGACAGGGGGCCCTTCCCTCTTAAGTAGCCAAAGCAGAGAGAGAGAAGGCAGCATACGTCAGCATTTTCTTCTCTGCACTTATAAGAAAGATCAAAGACTTTAAGACTTTGACTATTTCTTCTACCGCTATCTACTACGAACTTCAAAGAGGAACCAGGAGTATGGGAGGAACATGAAAGTGGACAAGGAGTGTGACCATTGAAGCACAGCACCACAGGGAGGGGTTTGGGCCTCTGGATGACTGTGGGCAGGTCTGGATAATATCCAGCCTTTCACAAGAAGCTGGTGGAGCAGAGTGTTCCCTGACTCTTCCAAGGAAAGGAAACTTCCTTTCATGGTCTGCTAACTAATGGGTGTTTTTTCAGACACTGGCATTACCGCTTGACCAAGGAGACCTCAAGAGCCCTTATGCGGGCGTGACAGAAGACTCACCTCTTGCTTTTTAGGTCACTTCTCACAATGTCCCTTCAGCACCTGACCCTATACCTATCAGTTATTCCTAGGTTATATTAGTAATGCAACAAAGCGTAATATTAAAAGCTAATGATTAATAATGTTTATAATAATGATCAATAATTGTCTATGATCATCTCTATTTAATTTGTATTATGACTATTCTTATTCTAACTATTTTTTTATTATACTAAAACAGTTTGTGCCTTCAGTCTCTTGTCTTGGCACTTAGGTAATCCTCTGCCCACAACTCTAATGATAGTTTCTTTTGCTGTGCAGAAGCTTTTTAGTTTAATTAGATCCCATTTGTCAATTTTGGCTTTTATTGCCATTGCTTTTGATGTTTTAGTGATGAAGTCTTTGCCCATGCCTATGTCCTGAAGAGGACAGGGAACTTTTGTCTGTCTTGGTCACTAGTGTATCTGTACTGCCTAAAAATACGTTTTCTGAATACATGGGATGTATTCAGAAAATCTCTTGTTGGATTAGTTCATGGAGGTGTACTCAACAAAACACTGTATTTTCCTTCCAATTTAAATAACAGAGTAAACATACTATTTCTTATTTCCAATGGATCCTGGTTCACCTAAGATATCAACGGTCTTTGGCAGAAGAGTCTTGCATGAAAACAAATTCAAAGTACAGTAAAATGTCAAAGAAAAAGGGTAAGGTTCTGAATCATGTAGATATCAAGGAGTTAAATATCCAATGAAAAAGATAAAAGGACAGATAAGAATGTCTTCTGAAAAGAAAATGTCAAAAATAGGATGTAATTGATAAGTTTTAGATTATGCCTTTGGGATCAAATATATCAAAAAAGAAGTTAATTCAAAGCTTCTATAAATGTGTGTGCATAATTATATTTCTGGGCTTCTTTGTTCTGAATGTTTTCTGATTTACAGGCTATGATGTTTTTATTAAAAGAGAAAAAGCCATTAAATTATATCATTAAAGAATTTGAGGCAGGGCATGGTGGCTCACACCTGTAATCCCAGCACTTTGGGAGGCCGAGGCGGGTGGATCACCTGAGGTCAGGAGTTCGAGACCAGCCTGACCAACATGGAGAAATCCCATCCCTACTAAAAATACAAAAATTAGCTGGGCATTGTGGCACATGCCTGTAATCCCAGCTACTCGGGAGGCTGAGGCAGGAGAATCGCTTGAACCCAGGCGGCAGAGGTTGCAGTGAGCCGAGATGGCGCCATTGCACTCCAGCTTGGGCAACAAGAGCAAAACTCCGTCTCAAAAAAAAAAGAATTTGAAAATTCTGGCTTCTGGTTGAAGACGATTGATTGACTAAGCACATGCATTTCCTTTTCTCCCCGACAAACTCCCTTTGAAATGACAGATTATAAAAACATGAATGTGGCAATGCAGGAAAACCAGGAAGGCTTGGACAGAAACATTGAAGAATTTTTTGAAGATATAAAGGGATAAGATGGATGCTGAACTTGAGAACTGAATGTCCTCAAAATAACAAATGTATAAGCAAAAAAAGTGAGTTTTTCCAGAAGAAATCCTGGACAACCTAAAAGCATAGACATCAAAATCGGAGCCATCTATTAAACTATGAATTTGTTGGTGAGGAATTTAAAGTATCACAGGGCTCTGAGTTTAAGATGCAGTTGAGTACACTTTTATCTCTTTTATCTTTTGAGGCTCTGTTATAGCCCAGTAAACCCACAACTGAGAGAATAGGAGGCAGCTATCAGTAAATATGGGATTTCAATGAATCTCTGGAAGACACAAAGCACAAGAAGAAATAGATATTGGTGATGCAAAACAGAGGAAGGAACAGCCTAAAATACACACAGAGGGGCTGTTCCAATGGAAAGAGCCTCCTGTCTGCCGGTAAAATTTAGAAATATTAGACTTGGTATGACAGATGGCAGAAGTGAAATACAGGGACAAAAAACAAGACACTAAAGAAGAAACAGTCGAACTTCTTCCAAAAGCCAGATTTATCTTCCTAAAGAAGAAAGAATGAGGGAGTTCCTCTCTTTAAAAAAAAAAAAATTGAGTGATTCTGATCAGTGGTGAATGAAAAACAATTGAGTGAACTGTCAGTTTTTGAGAACTGAAGCAGCACCTTACAGACTCCCTCTCTAGATCCTCTAAATCAAAGCATGTCTGTTGACAAGTCCCAACTGGATTGTTACTTTTGTGCATCAAGGTGACTGGGCTAAGGGATGACCAGATAACCAGCAAAATACTATTTCTGGGTGTCCCTTTGGGGGTGTTTCCAGAAGAGATTAGTGTTTGAATTGGTAGACTAAGTAAAGATGCACCCTCACCAATGTGGGTAGGCATTATCCAATCCATTAAGAGTGCAGATGGAACAAAAATGCCAGAGAAAAGGCAAGTTTGCTCTTTCTCTTCTAGAGCTGGGACATTCATTTTCTCCTGCCCTCAGAAATCGGAGCTCCAGGGTCTCAGGCTTTTAGACTCTGGGATTTCACCAGAAACCCCCCAGTTTCTTAGGCCTTCAGACCCAAACTAAATTATAGTACTGACATTTCTGCCTCTCCTGCTTGCAGACAGCAGACAGTGGGATTTCTTTGGCTTCATAATCACCTGAGCCAATTCTTCTAATGTATGAATGAATGAATGAATGAATGAATACACACACACACACACACACACACACACACACACATATATATATATTATCTTATTGGTTCTGTTTTTTTGAGGAACTTTGACTAATACACCACCCATGTTCACAGACCTCATAGCTAGCTTTTCTATTTTCTCACTTTTAAATATGAATGGAATACCAAGGATCACCAGATATTTGTGGGGCAAAAATGATATGCTAATCCAAAACAAAAAACCTCAAGGAAACAGATAAAACACAAAAAAACAAAAAAGAACTTAGAAAAATGCTAATTAGTCCTGTCAGAGAAATTAAAATAAAATGACAATTTACATTTTGTATGGTTCAAGGCTTAGTCAGTACTGGGGCCCTTTGAAAAATATAAAATTAGAAATATACAATTAGGTGCAAAAATAATATATAAAAAAGTCACAATTTAATTTACTGGAATCTTAGAGATTCCAGTCCCTTTTTTCTGAGATTTATTTAGCTAGAAAAGCTTTCATAGAAATGCTTCTTGATTTTAAGCTATTATTTACCTTTCTACTTAGAAGTTCTACAATTTCCAGCAACTTTTGGTACTAGAGTATGGGGCCACCTGCCTCATGGTAAATCTACTATGCCAAAAAAAAAAAAAAAAAGAAAGGATTTAGAAAACAAGAATGAGATCTTTAAAAATGTAACTGCCAAAAACCATCTATCAATAAAAGTTTTAAAAGATAAAATTCGGGAAACATCTCAAAAATTCGAAGATAAAGATATCTGTCCCCCAAAAATGAGAGAGATTAGATACAAACGCCAAAAATGAGAGAGAAAATTAGATAGAAACGGAATTAATTCAAGTAGCCATTGTCAGACCAATCAAGGTTCCAGGAGAAAAGGGTCAGAGACACCAGAGTGGAAATAATTATAAATTAAATGGAAATAATTACAAATTAAAAGAGGAGGCTTTCCCTGAGCAGAAGGACTCAAATTTTCAGACTAAAATATCCCTCTATGAGCCAAATAGATTGATGAGTAAAGACCTACAGCTGTATTGCATGACTTTAGAATGAAAAAGTTAAAAAGAAAATTCTAAATATTCCCAGTTAGAAAAAAAAAATACAAGGTCACATGCAATGGAACAAGGATCAGTCTAGCATCAGACTTTCATTGGCAACACTAGACACGAGACTACAATGAATCATGTCTTCAAAGTTCTAAAGGAGGAATTGGCAAATTATAGCCCATGGACCAAATCCAGCCTGTGGCCTCTTTTGAAAATGAAGATTTACTAGAATACAGCCACACTCATTCATTTACCTATTGTTTGTAGCTTCTTTTATGCTACAAAGGCTACACAGTTGAGTAGTTGCGGCAGAGATCATATGACAGGCAAAGCCTGTAACATTTACTATCTGGCTCTCTATAGAAGTCTCCTGATCCCTTCCCTGAAGGAAAATTATTCCCAACCTTTCAAATCATCCTGCAACCTTGAGGGTAAGATATATTTACAAGTTTTTAAGAACTAATAAATTAACCTATCATGTACTCTTAGAAAGTTATTAGAGAATGGAATACACAAAGTGAAGGCATAAAACTGAAAAGGAAAGGACATGCAATCCACCAAACAATGGCTCTAACCTTAAAAAGTGAGAAAAGTGACTGGGTGGCAACCAGACAGGGGCAACTGGTCCTTAACAGATTGGAAAGATAGAGGAGAGGTTTCCATTAAACATAAAACTTGACAGAATAGACATTGTGATGAAGAGCTAGGGGCAGGGAAGAAACACGGCTATGGTAAAGGCAATACTGTTCAAAGACGGAACTCTATTATCCCTAATAATTTACATTAATAATGTAAATACTTACTATTGAGTTTCAACTCATCCTATAAGCAAACATGAAAGATTTAATATAGTTGAAAAACAGAAAGTAAATGTGATCAATCATTATAGTGTAAAAGTAAATGTGCAGATAAAAGAAATCAAAAGGTGAAGAGGGGAGGAGACCTAAAGGAAAGTTCTTTTTTCTTTGTAATATATTCATCTCACAAAGTGGGTATATAAGTAATATATAGGTCAAAAGTAATAAAGAGATACAATGGTAACCAATACAGAAATCAAAAGTGATGATAGAACCATATTGAGCAGAGGGAAAAGAGGAAGTGTGGGGTACAAGTGAGCTAAAAAGTCTAAATCTGATAACATGACAGTGACATAAACATGTTATTTATAAATATGATTGAAATGACCTGGAAAAAAGTTTAATGTGTTTTAAATGACTGTTTTTTAAGTAACTTAAGAGGAAAAAATACATACACAGTCTTTTATATGTACCTATATAGTTAACATTTCCCATGGTCTTCATCTTTCCTGTGAATCTGAGTTACCACCTGATGTCACTTTCTCTCTTTCTGAAGGTCTTCCTTTAACACTTCTTGTAGTGAAAGGCAGCTAGCAATGAATTAGCTCAGCTTTTGTTTATCTTGGAATGTCTCTATTTTACCTTCACTTTTGAGGAATAGTTTGGTTGGCTGTAGAATTCAGTGGGCAGGTAAGCTCCCTGCCTCACCCACCACATTTCACTGTATTTCAGCCTCCATTGCTTCTGATGAGAAATCAGCTGTCTACCATATATGGCTAATCCTCTGTATGTGATGAGATGCTTTTCTTTTGCTGCTTTCAAGATTTATTTCTTCTTTATGGTTATGATATGTTTATCTGTGGTGCTTTTTTTTTTTTTTTTTTTTGAGATGGAGTCTTACTCTGTCACCCAAGCTGGAGTGCAGTGGCACAATCTCCCGCTAATTTTTTTATATTTTTAGTAGAGGTGGGGTTTTGACACGTTGGCCAGGCTGGTCTTAAACTCCTGGCCTCAAGTGATCCACCTGCCTCAGCCTCCCAAAGTGCTGGGATTACAGGTGTGAGCCACCATGCCCACCTATCTGTGATGCTCTTTATGTTTATACTACTTAGGATTTATTGAGATTCTTAGAAAATGCTTTTCATCAAATTTGAGACATTTGAGGGCCATTATTTTTTCAAACTTTTTTCTGTTCTTTCTCCCCTCTCTCCTTCTGGAACTCCCATTATTGGTACATTTTATGTTGCCCTAAGGTTTCCTTTTTCTTTAATCTTTTTTCTCCACATTTTTCAGATTGAATTATTTCTGCTGCTCTTTCTTCAAGTTCTCTTAATTTTTCCTCTGCTATCTTAAATTGGCTGTTGAAGCTGTCAAGTAAATTTTTATTTCAGTTATTTTATTTTTCAACTCTGGAATTTACATTTTTTTATATGTTCTGGTTCCCTTTCTATATTTCCTATATGTTAATTCATCATCATCATATTTTCCTTTCATTATTTGAACATAATTCCCTTTTAAGTCTTTGGACATATATACAAAACTTCCAAGTTTTGTATATAACTTGCTCGGAAGTCCTTGTCTATAACCCAAATCATCTGGGTTCACTCAAAGCAGTTTCTATTGTTGACTGCTTGCTTTTTAAGTAACTGAGTATAGAATATATTTTCCTGTTTCTTTGCATATCTTGAAAATTTTGTTTTAAAAGGTAAACATTTTTAAATATTATATTGTAGCAACTCTGGATTCTGTTTTATTTTTCTTAGGATTGTATTTTTAATAACTCTTTTTAATTACTTACCTAAACAAACTGTGAAATCACTAATGTCTCTGCTGTTTTTTAATTATTTTTGTTTTTTAGGCTATTTTCCTAAAGGTTTCCTCCCTTATGTACATAACTTAGTGGTAAGCCAATGCTGTGGGCAGAGGTTGAACTCAAATACCTCATTTCTATAAGGCTCTCACCTCTGTCCATTGATTTTTATGTTGTTGCAAAATGTATTCAATATTCTCAAGTGTCTCTTGGCTTTCACATTTCACCAGGCTCTCTCAGGCCTCTTCCAAGTATGTATAGATTTCTAGTCAACTGAGACTGTATGAAGAGATTATCTCAGCTTTTCTACGGATTTTTCATTTCCAGGGTCTCCCCATTAAATTTCTGGCTGGTCCACAATTCACCACCCGCCACCATCACTGTCAGGCTTACAAAGATATAGCTTTTCCCCATTTGGTACAAACCATGTCTACCCCTTTTAAACAAAGCAAAGCATTTTTGACAGAGGCAGGAGGCAGACAAAGCCCTAGGCAGACAGGGGCAGGTCCCCAGTGAAACCCAGCCTTCAAACCGAAGACAGTTTAAATTCTAGCTACAAGTTCTGGATAAATCCATGGACTGGATTGAGAACTTGTCTTCCTGTTTGGCATGCTTTCCTCTGATTGATCCCTACCCTTCACCTGTTTGCATATAACTACCCTTCCCTAATTGGTTTTTTACACTGTCTTGCCCACCTTTGAATGGTGCCTTTGTTCAACTTTTTTTGCATACTCACAAACCACTCAGCATGCACTCCCAATTCTAAGCCCATAAAAGCCCTAGACCCAGCCATACAGAGATAGACCACCCTACTTTGGATGGGGGACCACCCTCACATCCCCTCTCCACTGAGAGCTGTTTCATCACTCAACAAAATTCTTCTCTGCCCTCCTCACCCTTTGATTGTCAGTGTAACTTCATTCTTATTGGATGCAGGAAAAAGAACTTGGGACCCCTCTTATTGGATGCAGGTACAAAGAAGGCTGTAATGCTATGGCCCTCTGCCCTCCACAAGCAGTGATGGGGCACGATGGGAAGCAGTGGTGGGGCCAAGCCAGCCCTGGAACCCTGGGCCAGAGCAGGGTGACAGCCTGACAGCTGTTAACATGCTGCAGCCATCCAACAGGCTACGGACAGCAGGACTAAAAGAGCTAGTTAGCATGCTGTAACACCCCCTCTGGGGATTTGGGGTCATGAGTACCCCTGCCAGGGTGCCACTGCATTCCCCTCATCTGGACAACAGAGTCCACCATAGGAGTCACTTGTGACATACCTGGTCCAGCCACAAGCCCCACACAGAGTCTGCTCCTGTGCTGGTACTTGGAATGGCCAGCTGGATCCCACACTGACTCACTCACACACACCCTCCCACCAGGGGCTGAGGGTACAGTCACGGCAGCCATGGGATCTGCGCCAGAGTGCAAGCCAGGTGTGGTCCAGTGGTCTGAGTAGACGGGGTGTCTCCTGAGGCAAGCCCAGGCCCAGGAAAGGCCTGGGCAGAGGTGTCACCAGCCAGAAAATCCTGTATCACTTTCACCTTATAACCAAATTAAATTCACTCCCTCTGGCAGCAAGCTGTTTGTTTTCAACATCATTCTAATGCTGGTAAAACTCTTATTCTTGCCAACTAACTTGGGGAAGAGGGAGTAGGCACGGTACCACTCAAAAAAATAATAATAATAATAATAAAATTTAAAAAAAAAACACTCCTACTGTTCTCTTTGAAGTTCTAGCAGTTTTTTTAAGAATAAGTGTTTCTCAATTTGTTGTTTGCCTTTAGTTGATTTCCAGTGCCCAAACTCTTCACAGCTCCATAACTG
Organism: Homo sapiens; assembly: GCF_000001405.40. NCBI lineage: Eukaryota > Metazoa > Chordata > Mammalia > Primates > Hominidae > Homo > Homo sapiens. The sequence goes on from NC_000021.9 coordinate 25,540,273, forward strand.
GAAGTTCTTTATCCCAGAGAGATTTGAGAAAAAAATTATACCTAAAAACGCAAGAACAGACTGTTACAAAACAAACCATGCACAAAAAGCCACTTAGAAGTATTAGAAGTTATTTTTAAGTGCTTGAATAAGAAGAAATGTAAGCTTTAATTATGAGCTAATTAGAAATTAATAAAACCAGGACAACACACATAAAAACTAATGAAATTGAGACAAAATAGTACTCAAAGAAGTATTTTAGCTTTAAGTTTATTTATAAGAAATAGAGAAAGAAATTAGAAACTCAAGAAATTAGAAAAAAGACAATAAAATAAACTAAAATAAAATAGAAGGAAGCAAAGCATAAAGCTAAAAAAGGGAAGTAATGAAATATGGAAGAGAGAATGAATCTTAGTAAATAAATCCAAGAACTATTTATTTAGAAAAGACCAGTGAAACACACAAACTTCAAGCAAGTCCAATGAATGAAAATATCACTAGAATTTAAGCTCTATAAGTGCAGATATTTTGCTTTGTTTGCCAATGTATTCCTAGCACCAAGAAAATTGTCTAGCACATATGAGTACTCTATAAATATTTGTTAAATGAAAGAATGAATGAACAAACATTTTTAAAAAGTTTAAGGCTATGAAAACAAATATGTAAGAGAATTCTTTAAATATTGTATATGATACTATAAATCTTATAAATACACTCCTCAGAGACTCAAAAGCAGACTTAAACAAATAAAAGCATACTAATCAGTCATGGCTGCAATAGTTCTGTGTAACAAATAACCCCAGTTCTTTAAAATAATAACCATATGTTTCATACTTGTAGGTCTGCAGGTTGGCTACAAATAAACTGTAATATGTTTGGCCACCCCATGACCAAATTAAGTTCAACACCTCAGAGTTCCCTGACTCTGGGTTTTGGGCTCTAAGCCCCAGGCTACACGCTAAAGGTTAGGTTCAGCTCTAATTCATGTAGCTCCATGTTCACTTTGGATCAGAGACTACTCATTGCATGCTCTTCTCATGGCCGACCACAGAAGCAAAAGAGGCCAAGTCAAATCATGCAAGCACATGACTTGTACTTTAAATGCCTTCATCCATTAACATTCCATTGTGCAAAGGAAGACACTGGGACAGGAAAATAGGCTATACCCACTCTAGGGCACTGCACAGTCATGGCAGAAAGAAGTAGTGTTAGATTGAAAATAATCCAACCAGCAACAAAATCCAGCTTTACACATAATTAAAGATATGCAAAATAAGACCACATTGAGGTAACATCTTACTCATCCAGTTGAAAAAAATTCTAAATATATTTTGTTTTTGAGGTTGTGGGGAAACAGCCATTCTCATACATTGATAGTTGGAATGCAAACTGATACAATCCTTCTGGAAAGGAATTTGGTAATCCCATGAAAAGTTATATGTGCATTTATCCTTTGACACAGCAATTCCACATCTAAATATCTATCCAAAAAATATATCAGTGTGATAGTCAGTTTTATGTATCAACTTGGCTAGGCTATAGTTCCCAGTTATTCAATCAAATGCTAATCTTGGTGTTGCTGTGAATGTACTTTGTAGTGTGATAAGTCTATCATCAGCTTACTTTTAGTAATAAAGATAATCCTAGATAATCTGGGTGGGTCTGATTTATTCAGTTCAAAGGCCCTAAAAGCAGAACTGAAGTTTCTCTGAAGAAGAAGAAATTCTACCTGTAGACTACAGCTTCAGCTTGTGCCTGGGAGTTCTAGCCTACCCTTTCCCACGGCCAGCCCTACATGTTTCAGACCTGTCTAGCCATCCCTAACAATCACACAAACCCATTCCTTACAATAAATAGCCTGCTGCTTCTCCTTCTTGGGAGGAACCCTGACTGATACAATTGGTAAAAATACAAAAGACGTATTAGGTTGGCACAAAAAGTTGGCACATTGAAAGTAATGGGAAAAACCACAGTTACTTTTGTGCCAACCTAATAAACAAAAGTAGTCATTATAGCACTACTTGTAATTATAAAAAATTTTAAAACCACACAAATGTCCATCAATTTGGGGTCTATGATGGAAGAGTATGCAACTTTATTGAGAAATTATGACTATCTCTATCTTCTGCTAGGGGATGATATCCAAGATATACTGTAAAGTAAGAAACAAAGATGGAGAAAAGTGTGGACAGCACACTGCCATTTATCTAAGAGAAAGAAGCAGATATATAGAGACATAGATATATACATATTTATATGCACACATACACACATATATGCACATATTTTTTAATTGAGGGATATAGTATAAAAATATTTTAAGGAAAACAAAGAAGAAAAAGGAGAAGACAGGAAAAGAAGGTAAAAATACCTTATTTAATAAATTTGACTTTGAAACCAGACAAATGAATTACAAAAATATAAAACAGAAATAACTCAATACCTAAAAATCAAAAGTAAATTAAACAAGTAAACTTAATTTTGCATCAAAGTAGCAGCAAACAGGAAGAAATAATTTCAAGTAACTTTAAGACAAAGTAATTGGACTGCACATCCCTGTGAACTATACTCTAAGGACAAAGAGAACTAAAAACAATTATAAAGTATTAAGCTGTTTTCAGTAATAATAGTACAGCAATAACATTGGTGCTATACATTCTGGTGTGTGTGTGCATGTGTGTGTGGTTTGAATGAAGCAAACAGTTATATTGATGCTGTTGAGGGCCAGGATATTTGGCATCAGAGAGGAGACCTGCTGGTTTAGTATCAAATACTATATGATCTCATTTGTAGGTGGAATCTAAAAAAGTTAAACTCATAGAAATGGAGAGCAGAATAATAGTTGCCAGCGTCTGGTGGCGGTAGGGAAAATGAGGAGATGTTGTTCAAAGGGTGCAAATATTCAGTTATAAAATAAACAAGTTCTGGGGATCTAATGTACAGCATGGGTGGTGATGGGTGTGTTAATTAATTTTATTGTGATAATCATTACACAATATACACACAAATCATTACATGGTACACCTTGAATATATACAATCTTTGTCAATTAAATATTTTTAAATAAAAAAGAAATTGATTTTAAAAAGAAAAATAAAGCTAATATCATGTGGTTCTAAATCTGAGTTAGAAATGTTCATGAGAGGTGAGTTAATAAGGATTAATGCATCAGTCCATTTTTGCATCACTATAAAGAAATACCTGAGGTGACATCATTTATTTTTAAAAAGAGATTTAATTGGATCATGGTGCTGCAGACTATACAAGCAACTCTTCAGCATCTGCTTCTGGTGAGGGCCTAAGGAAGCTCCCAATCATGGCAGAAGGTGAAGGGAGAGCAGGCAATGTCACATGGCAAGAGAGGGAGTCGGGTGTGGGGGAGGTGCCACACTCTTTTAAACAACCAGGTCTCTTATGAACTGCCAGAGCAAGAACTCACTCATCACCAAGGGGATGATACTAAGCCATTCATGAGGGATCTGCCCCCATGATCCAAACACCTCTCATTAGGCCCCACCTCCAACATTGGGGATTACATTTCAACATGAGATTTGGAAAGGACAAACATCCAAACTGTATCATTGTAACCCTGAGCCCCCAAATGTCACGTCCTTCTCACACTGCAAAACATAATCATCCTTTCTCAATAGTTCCCCCAAAGTCTTAACTTATTCCAGCATCAACTCAATCAAAAATCCCAAGTCCAAATTCTCATCTAGAGATGAGTTCCTTCCACCTATGAGCCTGTGAAGTCAAATACAAGTTATTTACTTCCAAGATACAATGATGGTACAGGCATTGAGTAAATATTCCCATTTCAAAATGAAGAAATAGGCCAAAAGAAAAGGACAACAGGCCCCACACAAGTCCTAAACCCAGCAAGGTAGTCATTAAATCTTAAATCTCCAAAATAATCTCCTTTGACTTCATGTTACACAGCCAGGGCATATTTGGTGCAAGGGGTAAACTCCCAAGGTCTTGGACAGCTCCAACCCTGTGGTTTTGTAGGGTCCAGCACCCATGGCTACTCTCATGGGTTGGAGCTGAGTGCCTGCAGCTTTTTCAGGCTCAAGATACAAGCTGCTGGTGGCTCTACCAATCTCAGGTCTGGAGGGTTGCAGCCCTGTTCCCACAGATCCACCAGGCAGTGCCCCAATGGGGACTCCATGTGCAGGCTCCAATCTCACATTTCCTTTGGCACTGACCTAGTAGAGGTTCCCTGTGGGGGCTTCACCCCTGTAGCAGGCTTCTGCCTGGGCACCTAGCCTTTCCCATACATCCTCTGAAATCTAGGTGAAAGTTGCCAAGCCTCCTTCACTCTTGCATTCTGTGAACCTGTATATTTAACACCACATTGAAGCCATCAAGGCTTATGGCCTGCACTCTCCAAAGCAGCATTCTGAGCTGTACCTGTGGCCCTTTGAGCTGAGCCTGGAGCCAGAGTTGCCTGAAGGCAGAGAGTAGCATCCTGAGGCTGAGCAGGGCACCTATACCTTGGGCCTGGCCCCTGAAACCATTCTTTCCTCCTAAAACTCTGGGTCTGCGATGGGAGGAGCTGTCCTGAAGACTTCTGAAATGGCTTCAAAGCCTTTTCCAATTGTTTTGGACATTGGCACTTGGCTTTAGTCATGCAAGTCTCTCTAGCAAGTGGTTGCTCTACAGGATCCCTCCCCTGAAAATACTTTTTTCCTCCTCTGCCACATGGCTAGGCTGCAAACTTTCTAAATTTTTATGCTCTGCTTCCCTTTTAAATATAAATTTTAACTTTAAGTCATTTATTTTTTTCCTTATCTAATTGCTGTTAGAAGCAGCCACTCCATTGTTTTTTTGTTTGATTGTTTTTGTTTTGTTTTTTAGGATGGAGTCTTTCTTTGTTACCCAGGCTGGAGTGCAGTGGCACGATCTCGACTCACTACAACCTCTGCCTCCTAGGTTCAAGCAATTCACCTGCCTCAGCCTCCCAAGTAGCTGGACTAAAGGCATGCACCACCACACCCAGCTAATTTTTGTATTTTTAGTAGAGATAGGGGTTTTTCCATGTTGGCCAGACTGATCTCAAACTCCTGACCTCAAGGGATCTGCCCACCTTAGCCTCCCAAATGCTGGGATTACAGGCATGAACCACCATGCCTGGCACCACCTTATTCCTGAATGCTTTGCTGCTTAGAAATTTCTTCCATCAGATACCCTAAGTAATCACTCTTAAGTTCAACCTTCCACAGATCCCTAGGACATGGACAAAATGTGACCGAGCTCTTTGCCAGGGCATAACATGGGTAATCTTTACTCCAGTTCCCAATAACGTCCTCATTTCCATCTGAGACTTTGTCTGCCTAGACTTCACTGTCCATATATCCATCAGCATTTTGGTCACAACCATTTAATCAGTCTCTAAGAAGTTCCAAACTTTCCCTCATCTTTCTATCTTCTGAATCTGCCTGAATCTGTCTTCCTCAATCTTCTGCCTGTTATCCAGTTCCAAAGGTGCTTCCACATCTTCAGGTATCTTTAGAGCAATGCCGCACTCTTTGGTACCAATTTTATCAAAAATTTTTGTGTTGCTATAAAGAAATACCTGAAGCTGAGTAATTTATTTTTATAAAAAATGTTTAATTGATTCAAGGTTCTGCAGGCTGTACAAGCGTGGCTCCAGCATCTGCTCCTGTTGAGGGCCTCAGGGAGCTTATAATCATGGCAGAAAGTGTAGGGAGAGCAATGTCACATGGCAAGACAGTGAGCAAGAGGTGGGGGCGGGGAGGTGCAACACTCTTTCAAACAACCAGATCTCACATAAACTACCAGAGTAAGAACTCACTCATCACCAAGGGGATGGTACTAAGCAATTCATGAGGGATCTGCCCCCATGATACATACACTTCTAACATTGGGGATTACATTCCAACATGAGATTTGGAGGCGACAAGCATCTAAACTATATCAACTTGTCCAAGAATGGCTACCTGCAGGAGGAAGAAGCTGGCATCTGCAAGGCTCTACGAAAACAGATTACAACTCAGTTACTTGAGGCAATCAATACTGTCCAATACTGTCAAGATTTGGACTCAGTATCCTATTGCTACTGTAAAACAAATTACCACAAATTTTATGGCTTAGAACAAGACAAATTTATTTTCTTACAGTCTGAAAGTCAGAATTCTAAAATGGGTCAACAGGGCTGTGCTCCTTCTGGAGGCTCTAGTGGAGAATCTGTCTCTTGCCTTTTCCAGCTTCTAGAGGCTGCCCGCCTTCCTTGGCTTGTGGCCCCCTTCCATCCTTAAAGCAATAACCAGGCAAGTCTTTCTCACATCACATTACTCTGACATAAACTCTTGCTTTCCTCTTCCACATTTAATGACCCTTGTGATCACAATGGGTCACCCAAATAATCCAAGATAATCTCTTAATGTTAAGGTCAGCTGATTAGCAAACATAATTTTATCTAGCACCTTAATTCTCACTTGCCATGTAACATGACCTATTCCCAGGTTCCAGGAAGTAGGAGTTAGACATCTTTGAAGAGTCCGCTGCTCTGTCTACCAAACTACCCACCCAGAACATGCCAGGAAAGAGGTGTGTTCTTCCTCAACTATGAAGGCTAATGTGGGGGATTCTGTCACTAGTTTGTCATGTCATATGGCTGCAACCATAAAGCTGGGAACCTGTCCCTGATCACTTCAGGAGAATAGCAAATACTTCCCTAATCATGATCCTTAAAAGCCTCAAAGTCCAGAGGTGAAGTCACTATCCCAAAATCTAACACCTCACCCTATCAGGTTGCTGCGACCTGCCTCAGAATGTGAATGGCAACAGCAAGACTTCATTCCTGCTGCTGTCCTTGAGCACATCAATTTTTTCCAATAAACGTTAATCCAGCAAGTGTGGTGCTATTATTTGCTCCATGGAAACCAACTATAGCTTAGTGCTTAAAGCAATCAATCATGGTCAAACACAATGCTTAGACCCTGCTCTATTAGATAATTTTGGTGAGGGTAAGAAGGTGCTTAATGCTCTGAAAAATTAAATTAAAAGTTTTGTTACAAAAGATAGTAATGCTGTAATGGCAAAGAGAACAACAGCAACAACAGAAAAAAAGAAAACACACACACACACACACACACACACACACACACACACACACACACTACATCCAGAACCCATATTCACAGAACCCAGAGAGACAGGAGCAATAAGGCTGATTTTGCAATCGGCTGCAGCAAAAATGGGTTACATCCAGCTGCTTTCATTGGGATGAAACAAAAAATTATCTTACTACCCTTGTGGTACCTGGGCTTCCTATACCCCAAAATTAGTTACACAGGTAGCTGCTTCTAGAACCATGTTTGCATGCTGTATAACAGATTCTTTAATAATATGCAGCCTATCCTGGATTTGCTTGCTCATCCTTGGGCACTTACATGGTCTCAGGATATTTAACTCCCTGCAAGATTATGTTTGTATTTGCACACATTTTATTCTTCATAGAAGGCCGAAGTTGCTTACAGACTAACTCATATGTATCTTTTCTCCATATGAGGTTGAATCTTCTATTTTCCACAAATTGACCCAATGGGGATAGAATGTCTTGAATTCTTTCATGTCATTTCTCAATTAGAATAATTTGTGGATTCAGTTTTCAAGTATGATGGTAAAGTGGCATGTACATTTAGTAAGAGTGGTTCATTTAATGGTTAGAGATACAAGAAGAAAGAACAATGGCCTTCAGGATTTAAGCCTGTCAGATTCAGATTACAGAGAACCAAGAGAGTTAATGGTGTAAGTCTCAATCTAGGGACAGTAGATGTATGTCCCCGCTCAAACCATCAGTCAGAGAACAAATTCTTCCTTCCTCCACTTTTTGTTCTATCTAGGCTTTGAAAAGACTGCATGATGCCCACCTACATGGAGAAGGCCAAATTACTTTACTCAATCAACCAATTCCAATGTGAATTTTACCCAGGAACATCATCACAAGCTACCTAGAAATAATGTTTCATAACATATCTGGGCCTCTGTGGCACTGTCAAACTGACACATCAAATTAACCATCACAGTGGCAATGCAATATTTTTAAATGAACAAAGAAGGCAGTAAATTATAATCATTAGAAATTTTAGTCCTTCCTGATATAGTTCTTGTTATTTAACTTAAAACAAGCCAGGATCATAAGAGGCAGCATAAACACACTAAGTTAACAGGTGTTGAAGAATCAAAGATTCATAAGGTGATGCAAAATGAAACTGCTATCTGAGTAGGATATATAAAAGATAAAGAATAATTCTTTATTCTTCGTGTGGAGCTCAGGCTTAGATCATTTTTAGTTATGATTCTTTTCTATTATAGTTAAGCTATTTTGTTTATTATCAATAAAGCAGTTTTTTGTGTGTGTGTCTGTGTGTGTATACAGTACTATATTACATGAGAACTTTTCACACAATAAACTTTAGTTTAAAATATATTGGCCAGGTGCTATGGCTCACAGCTATAATCCCAGCACTTTGGGAGGCCAACGTGGGAGAATCACTTAAGCCTATAGTTTGAAATCAGCCTAGGCAACAAAGTGAAGGTCCTATCTCTACAAAAAATCAAAACGTTAGCCAGACATAGTGGCACATGCTTATAGTCTCAGCTACTAGGGAGGCTAAGGCAGGACAATCACTTGAGCCCAGTAGGTTGAGGCTACAGTGAGCTGTGATTGTACCACTGCACTTAAGCCTGGGTGACAGAGAAAGATCCTGTCTCAAAATAAAATAAAATAAATTATAAAATTAAAAGCAACTATACATTAGAGCAAGGGACTAGGAGCAGGGTAGCACTTGACAGCCTGGGCTTGTCCTAGTGACCCTGCTTCCCACTCTCCCCAGACGAAGGCTCTGACCATTCCTTTCCTCCAAGAAAAAACTCCTGGCTCCTGAGCATGGCTACAGGACCTTGGGATTTGTTTTTAACTGTAAACCTCACGTTTTGGTCCTTGCAGCTTGCTAAAGACACCCCAGGGATAGGACAAAGCATCCAAGCGATAGAGCGCCAAGGCCAGGCCTTCATATCTAGGCCTATTTTTCAGAGAAAATAAAGTGGGAGCCTGTCTAGACCATCTTTATCTTTTAATTGGGATCTCAGATATATTTTTCCAAGCTTAATGTTATTTACCTGAACATTTGTGTACAAATGGCCTTTAATATATATCCAGATAGATGACCTATCCAGATATGGCCTTTTATATATCCAGATAGATAGATAGATATAAAATAAGCATCCTGTTATAAAACTGCCAACACAATGTGGCATCACCACAGCCTAGTATGACATTCCAGGGATGAGCAGCTTGTGTGAGGCAGTGCCTATCCAGTTAGCCACCCTGCTGAGGATGTACCTCAATTAGAACTTTTGTGTGTGTGACATTGCCTTCTAAAGACATTCTAGCAGTGTGGTGTTGGTGTATGGTGTGGGAAACACCAAAGACCTTTCCTACCAGAATAATTTGTAACCCTCCATGTGAGCACACAGTGTATTCACCATTTTTGTATTGCTCTAAAGAAATACCTGGGACTGAGTAATTCAGAAAAAAAAAAGAGGTTTAATTGGCTTATGGTTCTGCAGACTGTACAGAAAGCATAGCACCAGCACGTGCTTCTGGGGAGGCCTCAGGAAGCTTCCAATCATGACAGAAGGCAAATGGGGAGCAGGCACATCCCATGGTAGAGCACGAGAGAGAGACAGAGCTGTCAGGGGAGGTGCCACACATTTTTAAATGACCAGATCTCATGTGAACTCAGAGCGAGAGCTCACTTATCACCAAGGGGATGTCCCATCCCATTCATGAGGGATCCACCCCCATGATCCAAGCACCTCCAAATAGGCCCCACCTCCAACAATAGGGATTACAATTCAACATAAGATTTGGGCAGGGAAAAATATCCAAACTATATCACAAACCTAGGAGGCTCTCCCATTATCACGTTGGGAACCTGCATTTAAATTAGAAGATGAGAAGAAACATCTGGGGTTTGTACCCAATTCCCTTACACTGGCATTGAGAGAAAGCTAGTAATACATCTATTATCTTGTCACTACCCAAGAGATGGTACTCAGAAAACTGAACACTTGGGCACCAAACTTTGAGGAAATGATCACTTCATGTAAATGAGGTTATCCCAACAGAAAGATAATTTACATCTCCGAACATCAAACGGCTCTTTGGGGTTCCAGTTATATTCCCGCTGTGTAATATATGCTAATTCCTAGAGTGGAGGACCCATACTGGCAACAGCGGTGACCTGAGCCCTGGGGCCTGATGATCCGGCACCGTGGATATTTGCTTGCTCTGCTTTGAGGAAGAAGGTATCTGTGGTAGAACAAGATTCTGATTTATATCAAGCTATATTCCTAAGATCTCTCTCATTACTTATCCTTGGTCTCCTTTGGATCATCAGGTCCTCAACAAGAGGTGAAATTATTTGTAAAGAGACATTAAAGAGCTTATGTTACTTTTAAGTCACGTATGGTTCGTTTCTCACCCGGTTTAACCACTATGGGCAGTTCCATTTTACTGGCAACAGGGAAGTTTACTACCATAGAAAATTAGAGTTAGCAAAAGTATTCCTCCCACAGTTCTGTTTGCTGATTTTCTCAGAAACTGCCCTCTTACTGCCTACAGAATATAAAATCAGAAGGAACACCGTGGTTATTACCATGTAAATTCTTAAGACAGAGCCAGGCTCATTAATTTCCAGGAACACAACTAAAGCTACTGCGGTTGAAATATAGTAAAAATGAAAAATGCACAAATGAAGTCTGAAGGGTAAAGTGGGACCCAGATGCTGTAAAACTGCAGATCAGGTTGGAGTTTACTTTTATCCTCAGTGCTATGGCAAGCTATGGCAGAATTTCAGGTAAGAATGTGGCATCAGAGTTAGGTTTTTAAAAGACCACCCTGGCTATGTATGCATTATGGGAGGAAAAGGGAAGGAAGCACGACAATTGTCTAAGCAAAAGAGGATGGTGGTTTGGACTAGGGTAGTAGCAGTAGAGATGGACAGATGTAGGTGGAATCAGGCCATGGTTTAGAGGTAGAGTCTATACAATTCTTAATGAACTGGATATGTGGAGTGACAGAAAGTAAGAAATAACAGGTGCCCGAACGATAAAGTAGAAGGTGGCAGCAACTACTGAGATGATCAAGATCAGGGAGAAATAAATTTGACCATATAAATCAAGAGTTCTACCAGCTGCCACCCTGAAAATCAATTTCTGTTATTCTTCAAGTAGGGGCATTCATAAGTCAATATAATTTTATTAATCAATATTGTATTAGTCCATTCTCACACTGCTATTAAAGAAATACCTGAGACTGGGTAATTTACAAAGAAAAGAGGTTTAATTGGCTCATGGTTCTGCAGGTTGTCCAGAAAGCATGGTGCATCTGCTTCTGGGGAGGCCTCAGGAACTTCCAATCATAATGGAAGGGGAAGGCAGAGCAGCCACATCACAGGTGAAAGCAGAAGCAAGAGAGTGAGGTGGGAGGTGCTACATACTTTTAAATGACCAGATTTCATAAGAATGTACTCACTGTCATGAGGACAGAACCAAGGGAGATGGTGCTAAACCATTCATGAGAACTCTACCCCATGATCCAATCACCTCCCACCAGGCCCTACCTCCAAGGGGATTATATTTCAATATGAGATTTGGGTAGCGACATATATCCAAACTATATAAAGATATGCCAAATATACCAAACACTGTATTTATTAACATTCATAGACCCTTAATTTGTTGAGTCAAAATTGCACCCCTGTTTAGGTCATCTTTGAATATATACACTTGCTATTCTTCTGTTGGCCTCCTGTTTCCTAGCAAAGTTAATTTAATTCAGAATTTATTGATTAACTACCTTGCACCTAACACTAAATACTATGCTAAGTATTATGAGGAATAGTAATTTAGTAAATAAAACATGAATCCAGTTCTTGAACATGTTACATTTATGTTAGCAAGATAAAAACAAACACTGATAATGCAGCTCAATAAGAAAATCAAATGATATAGTATGAAATGCAACAGTTAATAATAGAGAAATCTGGGCCAGATGCAGTGATTTATGCCTGTAATTCCAGCACTTTAGGTGGCTGAGGTAGGAGGCTCACTTGAGGCCACGAGTTCAAGACCAGCCTGGGCAGCATAATAAAACCCTGTCTCTACAAAGAATAAAAATTTAAAAAAAAATTGGTTGGGCATGGTGGCACATGCTTGTAGTCCTAGCTACATGTGAGGCTGAGATGGGAGGATCACTTAAGGCTAGGAATGTGATGTTTCAGCGAGCTATGATTGTGCCACTGCACTCATCCTGGGTGACAGAGAGAGACCCTGTCTCTAAAATAATAATAAAGAAATCTGACCATCAGTGCCATAAGAGTTTGGACAAAAAGTTTAGACTATGAAAGCTGGATAAGTCAGGGAAGATTTTTTTAGAAGAATAAATATATAGAACTCCAACAAAGAGCTGTGTTCAAAATACAGGATAGAAATCAGCATGACTAAAGTTTTGTTCTCTGATGATATCAAAGATATTGGTCACTTCTACAAAAAAAAAAAAAGAATTTTAACTACACATTCCTTTGAGGCTTGAAGAAAACGTGGGAAACTGAGATATTCCTTTTGTGTTTATCTACCTGAAAGCATTTTGTTATTTCAGAGATAACTGAGCCTGGAACTTATATAGATGCATACGTTTTCTGTAAAATAGAATAATGTCAAGTGACCTCTTGGGTATGTTTGTATTAGTTTCGTAATGCATTTGTTTACACGAATGATAATCTTGAAGCTCAAGGTTAGCTCATTTCCACAGTTTACTGCCCCTATTCATGCTACTCCCTTGGATTCACTTTGTCCCACACCCTAAACCTAGCACCGGGATAAGTTTAAAATTATATTCAACAGAATTAACATTAGAATGCTGTTCTTAAAACAGACCTGGAGATGCAAAAAAGGATTTAAAAGGCCATTGGGATAGCTGAATAATTTAAAAATAAAGCTTGGTAAAAAGAAAACTGAAATTATTGTATTTATTACAAAAAGCATACACACCTGTAGAAATCATAGATGAGGCCCCTACAGAGACTGGTGAGATGCTTCTGAGCAAGGACCCATGAGGGTTGCAATTGCCCAGAGGTATAGAGGATACCATTCTGAGGTCTCCAAAGATGGTCCTCACCCCTGTATGTTTCCCCTATAAATACTTTTAAAAACCTGAAAAAAATGAAAAAGAAGAATACAAAAAGAAAGCCAAAAACCACTTTCATAGTCAGAGAGTGTTGTGGACTGAATTGTACCTCCCCTCACCTAATTCATATGTTGAAGCCCTGACCCCCAATATGATTGTATTTGGAGACAGGGCTTTTAGAATTAAGGTTAAAATGAGGTCAGAAGGATGGTGTTCTAATCCAATAGGACTGGTGCCCTCATAGGAGGAGGAAGAGAGAGATCTCTCTCTCTAAATGCACACACTGAGGAAATTCCACATGAGCCCATAATGAGAAGGTGGCCATCTGCAAGTCAGGAAGAAAGCATTTCCTAGGCATCTAACCAGCTGGCACTTTGGTCTTAGACTTCCCATACTCCAGAACTATGAGAAGTAAATTTCTGTCTTTTAACCACTCAGTCTATCATATTTTGTTATGGAAACCCTAACGGGTTAATACAGGTTTTGATGCCAAGAAATGGAATGCTGCTATAACAAATACCTAAAAATGTTGAAGCAGCTTTGGAATTGAGTAGTGTGTAGGGGCTAGAAGAGTGTTAAGGTCCATGCTAGAAATACAGACATTAAAAGCAATTTCTGGTGAGGTTTCATACGGAAATAGAGAGTTGGAAAGAAAGCTTCGATCTTCTCAGTGAAAAGGTAAATACACATAAAGAGAACGTTGGCAGAAATATAGATGTTAACAGATATTCTGGTGAGGTCTCAAATGAAAATGGGGAACATTTTATTGGAAACTGAAGAAAAAGTTACCCTTGTTACATAGTGGCAAGGAACTTGGCTGAATTGTGCTCATGTTCTAGTGTTTTGTGGAAGACAGAACTTGAAAGCAATGAAACTGGATAGTTAACAGAGAATTTTTCTAAGCAGAGTGTTGAAGAAGTGGCTTTGTTCCTCCTGGCTGGTTTTAGGAATATGTGAAAGGAGAGAGATTAATTGAAGAAGGGATTGTTGAGAAAAAAAGAACCAGACTTGAATATTAGGAAAATTCTCAGCCTACCCATACCGCAAAAAATGAGAAAGCATGCTCTGAAGAGAACATCAAAGTGTAGCTGGATTATCACCTCATAAAGAGCTAATGAGATTATATGAGTAAAAACATTTTCATTTTTAACTGAAGGGAACAGAGATGGAACAAAATGAAGGAAAGCTATTGAACTTCTTGGATTTGACAAGACAATAGAGCTATTTGGCTGCACACATACGCTATTCTTAAAGAAGAGGGGAAAATGACCCTGCAGGGAATCCAGAGGTCATCAGGGCTGCCACCTTGGTTTCTAAAGGTCAGATGGTCTCCACCTGAAGTCTTGGAGGCGAGACCTCCAACTAGAGCCATTGGGGTGATGCTGCCATCCCACTGGGTCTGAAGGACAGAGCATCAAACCAAAGAGGATTGTTCTTGAGCCTTTAGACCTAATGGAGTTTGACTCACTAGATTTTTGGACTTGCTTGGGACCTATCACCTCTTCCTTCTTTTCTACTTCTCTTTTTTGAAATGGAAATGTTTACCCTATTCCTGTCTAACCATTGAATTCTGGAAGCACATAACTTATCTGACTTGCCCAGGTTCACATCTGGAAAGGAATTTTGCCTCGTGATGAATCACAGCTGGAGTCTTATCCATATCTGATTTGTAGGACATTTAGATGAGACTTTGGACTTTATGTTGGACTTTTGTGGGCTATTGAGTTAAAATATATATTTTTTGCATGTGAGAAGGAAGTAAATTTGGGAGGCCATGGGCAATATGCTATGATCTAAATTGTGTTCCCCCACAACGTTGGTGTTCCTACCATCAACGGTGGATTGGATAAAGAAAATGTGATATATATACACCATGGAATATTATGCAGCTATAAAAAGAAAAAATCATATCTATTGCACAACATGAATGCAGCTGGAGGCCATTATCTTAAGCAATCACCAATAAAGCCCTAATCACCAACAGAAATTTGGAGATGGGGCTTTTAGGAGGTAATCAATGAGGTTATAAGGCTAGGGCCCTAATCTAAACAGGAGTAGTGGCATTATAAAGATAGGGAGAGAGGTGGGTATATCTCTCCACATGCACCCACCAAGGAAAGGTCATATGAGAACATAGCAAGAAGGTGGTTGTCTGCAGGAAGAAAGTGCTCACCTAGAACTGAATCAGCACCTTGATCTTAGGCTTCCTGCCTCCAGAACTGTGAGCAATAAATTTCTGTTATTTAAGTCATAGTATTTTGTGACAGTCCTAGGACTAATTCAATGAGCAATATGAGAGTATCACTGAGTTCTCAGCTTGGTTCCAGGTGCCTGACTTATACATGTTGGTCTTCAGGCAGAAAAAGAACACAAGAATAGACACTGCTGTCTCAAACTGTAAAAATTTTAGAAGTAAACCTAGATATCAAATTGGCAAAGAATTTGTGGCAAAGTCCTCAAAAGCAGTTGCAACAAAAGCAAAAATTGACAAATGGGACATAACTAAATTAAAGAGCTTCTGCACAGCAAAAGAAACTATCAACAGAGTAAACAGATGATAGAATGGGAGAAAATATCTGCAAACTATGCTTCTGACAAAGGTCTAATATCCATAATCTAAAAGGAACTTAAACAAGTCAATGAGCAAAAACAACCCCATTAAAAAGTGGGTAAAGGACATGAACAGACACTTCTCAAAAGAAGTCATACAAGCAGACAACAAACATATGAAAAAATGTTCATCACCACTAATCATCAGAGAATGCAACTCAAAGCCACAATGAGATACCATATCACACCAGTCAGAATGGCTATTACTATAAAGCCCCAAAATAATAGATGTTGGTGAGGCTGCAGAAAACAAGGGAATGACTATACACTGTTTATGGGGATGTAAATTAGTTCAGCCACTGTAGAAAGCAGTTTGGATATCTCTTAAAGAACTAAAAATAGAACTACCATTCAACCCAGCAATCCCATTCTGAGTATATACCCAAAGGGAAATAAATTGTTCTACCAAAAAGGCACATGCACTTGTATGTTCACTCCAGCACTATTCACAATAACAAAAACATGAAATCTACCTAGATGTCCATCAATGGTGGATTGGATAAAGAAAATATGATATATACACACCATGGAATACTATGCAGCTGTTTAAAAAACCAAAATCGTATCTTTTGCACAACATGGATGCAGCTGGAGGCCATTATCTTAAGCAAATTAATGCAGAAACAGAAAATCACCTACTACATGTTCTCACTTGTAAGTGGGAAATAAACATTAAGTACACAGGGCCGGGCATGGTGGCTTATGCCTGTAATCCTAGCACTTAGAGAGGCCGAGGCGGGTGGGTTACTTGAGGCCAGGAGTTCAAGACCAGCCTGGCCAACATGGAGAAACCCTGCCTCTACTTAAAAATACAAAAATTAGCCTGGCGTGGTGGTGCACACCTGTAGTCCCAGCCACTCGGGAGGCTGAGGCATGAGAATTGCTTCAGCCTGGGAGGCAGAGGTTGCAGTGAGCACTCCAGTCCAGGCGACAGAGCAAGACTTTGTCTCAAAAAAAAGCGGGGGGTACACATGGACATAAAAATGGGAATAATATACACTGGAGACTACAAGATAGGGGAGGAAGGGAGCGCAGCATGGGATGAAAAATTGCTTAGTAGGTATTATGCTCACTACCTGCGTGATGGGTTTAATTGTACCCCAAACCTCAGCATCACACAATATACCCTTATAACAAATCTGCACATGTACTCCCTGAATATAAAAGTTGAAAAAAATAATAGACACTGTTGGTGCTCAGAGAAGTCTCCCCAGTTATTTCAGAGAGGAAGGGGGTGGGAAAGACAGTGTAGAGTAATTTACTACAGGTGACTCATCAATTCACAAACTGAACCTTTAGACACTGAGCCAGGCCAGCTGAAATAAGAATATGGTTGAGGTCAGATACTGAGGGAAGTGAGTGCTATGGGGGGGCAGGTGGAGGAATTTTCTCTATATGTGATGTGATGATGATGACATCTATATGGAAGCAGAATGGTTCCCTTCCAAGGTTGTTCAAGAACCAAAATATTTTGAGAATCTTCGTCCTTTCCCCAGAACCTAACTTTTCCTCCATTATATGAAAATTTCCAAAAGACTGTGAAAACCTACCTTCCCAAAATGTTCAAATGAAGAAAATGAGCCAAGAGCAAAATCTCTACACTACCAAAAACTTTAAATTTTATGAAAAAAGTTATCTATGGAAGGCAGTGTATGTATAGACAAAAGAATTCTTAAGAGGCATTTGATGAGTATAAATGACTAAACAATTAGAGCATAGCTAAAAAGAGTCTGTAACTCACTGCAGAAAACACTAGTCTCCTTTGCAGAGGTTTGACTTTATTCCAGTGTTCCTTATGAAGGGGTGAATGGGAAAGATAAGGTTGAAAGGTTCATTCTCTCTAATTTGTAAATTTCATCTATTTGATAGAAAGAGAGAGAAAAAAAGCCACTCCTTTGCCCTCTGAAGGGAAAGGCATCCCAGCATTTAAGAGTATCACATAACACTCCAAAGCAGCAACCCATTTACAGAGGAAACATGAGTGAAAACAACATAGGCCAGAATTGGGCTTCCAAATGTTATAAACAGTGAAAGGAATAAAAATTAAATTATGATAGGAAAAAATTCTCTGATGCTTTGTTTGTGAAAAATAAAAACAAACACTCTTCATGAAATCTGAACATCTTATGAAGGCTACATTTTTTTAGCCTCAGGCATTAATTATGGTTGCGCCACTGATGGAGTCCAAAGGAAGCCAATTCAATCCACTTCATCCTCAGGGATGGAGAGCAACCACAAGTTTACAAAATAATTAATTATCTCCAGGTTATTGTACAACAGGGTAAACAGTGAACTGAAACCCTGTACCACAATAAATAAGCTGGTCAAGGCTGAAATGTGGGTCTATTTCTTCACTCACCATCTCTGTCTTACATTCTTCCAAAGGGCTGAACTTCAAGATCGTTGAGTACTAAACCTCCAGAAACTATTTTTATTTTTTTCTACCACTTTTTTTTTTTTAAGGAGAGAGATTGGAGGCTGGTTCCTAATCATTCCCTGTGATTATTGTAGGTTTCTGTAGAATTTCATGAAACTATGATGTTTTTAGCAAGACTTTGTCATTGATCTGTAGCTGTGCCAGTTGTCACAATCTATTCATCATTATTGATAATAAGTAATATCAAGAAGTACCACTCTTATCTGGAAGGTCATTGATGTGAGCTGCTCGGTCTCTGGAGGGTAAGATGAGGGATGAGAACACCAGCCCCATCAGCCCTGGAGACACATCCATATTACTTTGCGAGGGCTGCTGTGACAAGAGTACCGCAAACTGGGTGGTTTAAACAACAGAAATTTATTGTTTTTCAGTTCTGTGAGCTGAAGTCCAAGATCAAGATGTCAGCAGGACTGGTTCCTCCTGAGAGCTGTGAGGGAAGGATCTGTTTCAAGCCCCTCTCCTTGGCTGGTAGATGGCCATCTTTTCCCAATGTTTCTTCACACTGTCTTCCTTCTATATGTGTTTCTTTCTCTACACATCATGTTCTTTTTCTAAGAACACCAGTCATATTGGATTAGGAGCCAACCCTATTTTAATAAGACCTCATCTTGACTAATTACATCCACAAAGGCCTTGTTTCCACATAAGGTTATATTCTGAAGTACTGGTTGGTCTACAGCCATACCACCCCACACACACCCGATCTCATCTGAAGTACTGGGTGTTAGGACATCAATATATGAATTTGGGAGGTGGGGGGAGGGGGACACAATTCAGCCCACAACAACATCCATGGGGTACTTGTCCCGGCAGGTGGCCAGCTCTTACTTTCTCAAGCTATCCATTTGGAGCAGGTCCTTTTTTTTTTTTCTTTTTTTTTTTTTTTGAGACAGTCTCGCTCGCATTCCAGGCTGGAATGCAGTGGCGCGATCTTGGCTCACCGCAAACTCCGCCTCCCGCATTCATGCCATTCTCCTGCCTCAGCCTCCAGAGTAGCTGGGACTACAGGTGCCCGCCATCATGCCCGGCTAATTTTTTTTTCTTTTTTGTATTTTTAGTAGATTCAGGGTTTCACCATTCTAGCCAGGATGGTCTCAATCTCCTGACCTCATGATCCAGTCACCTCAGCCTCCCAAAGTGCTGGGATTACAGGATGAGCCACCGCGCCTGGCCTGGAGCAGGTACTTTTTATCCATCACCTTATTTAATCATCATATCCCTCTTAGTCTGCTAGGGTTGCCATAAGAAAATACCATAGACTGGATGGCTGATACAACAACAATTTATTTTCTCACATTCTGGAGGCTAGAAAGTTCCAGATCAAGGTCCTGCAGGGTTCGGTTTCTGGTGAGGACTCTCTTCCTGGCTTACAGGAAACCACCATCCCATTGTGTGCTCACATGACCTCTGCTTTGACTGATTTCTGAGAGAAAGGGAATTCTGGTGTCTCTTCCTCTTCTCATAAGAGCACTAGCTCTATGGGATTAGTGATCCACCCTTTTGACCTCATTTAACCTTTATCACCTCCTCACAGGCCCTATCTCCAAATGGGGATAACATTGGGGATCAGGGCTTCAACATATAAAGTTGAAGAGAACATGATTCAGTCTATAGTAATCCCTGATGGGAGACATCATTATTGTCATTTACAGGAAGCTGAGACATAAAAAGTTTAACGTTCAGATTCCACAGCTAGAATTAGTGTAAAATGCAGGTGTATTTGACTCCTAAAACCCATTTATCCATCCACTATTCTGGGTGTCTCAAACTGGGACCTAAAATGCGGAGGTTTGCACATGACCTGAAATTACTTCCACCACTGGGAGAAGGGAGGATTGAGCAATTTCCTGTTTCTATTAAAGTGCATTATACAAACTTGTCATTCTGGGGATGAAAGGTCACCCTAGAATTGCCTATGGGCAATTTCTTATAGTTCAACCTAGAATGAGAAATGGGAAATTCAGAAAGGCATTGTAGGCATCTGTAACCAGCAGAGGGACGTGCCCCACCTGGGTGGGGACCATGCATCCTTGCCACATGCCCCACTGCACAACTTCCCCAGCTCCTCAACGTCACATGGATCTGGAAAGCAGGGAGACTGGACTACGGAGCCAGCCCTCCAGGGTTGGAACTGAGTTTGAATCTCAGCTTGACTACTTACTAGGATCTAAGGTAACATGTTTAATCTCTCTGTGCTCAGTTTCCTCATCTGGAAATAGAGATTATAATGCTCCTCCCTCATATGATCATAGTGAGGACTGAAAGAGTTAATGCATATAAGGAGTGTTAGGACAGGATCTGGCACATGGTAAATGCTTTATAAGTGTTAGTTGTTATCATCATGATTATTCTTGTTTGAATTATAAGAGAAAAAGCATGTATCTTAAGAATAGAGGGTTTTAAAATGCTCCCAAGTTCCTTAACCAACCTGAGCCATCTGTAAATTAAGTACTATGGGATTTCCAGCTCTGACATGTATTCTGACATGTAACTGGCATCAGTTTAATACAAACTATTCTAAAATGTCTTGTGCCCTTGACAGGGAGGTCCAAGTACTGGATACTTGCAATGCAATCCAGCAGTGGCCCCGTCTTTCTTACAAAAAGGCCCCAGTCACATGTTGATGAGGCTAGATCTATTCCTGTCCTCCTTCTCTTCCCCATATTTCCTTATTCTTCTTCAAGTCTAAACGTTTATTGAACTGAGACCCATGAATGAGTTACTCGACTAGGCTTGTAGGATAAACTTGCCAGGCTTTAGATCTATTTGTTCCTTTCCATCCCCCAAAATCAAATGGCTGCTCCAGGAAAATGTTCCCCTTGTGGCAGGGTCCGGGAGAAAAGAGAGAAGCGACAAAACCAAAAATTAAAACGACCGAAGTCCCATATGCTCCAGGAATATGTCCTGGAGATGGGAGTGGAGGGCAGGGGGAGAATGTTGTTGAGGTCAAAATTTTTGAAGTTTTAAGTCCTATATCTTGACATCCCGAGTATAAATGCGGGTACCAGACACAGTACAAACGTTCTCAAAGCCCAGTTACGTATTCCAAACCAAACGCGGGCTCTTGAAGGGTGATGAGGTAGGGATGAAATCCAGGATCGCCTGAAGACCATTTCTTCCTCTCTTAGGGACCTGCTGGTCTCCAGCTGATTCGGTCCAGGAGGAAAAACCTCCCACTTGCTCCTCTCGGGCTCCCTGCAAGGAGAGAGTAGAGACACTCCTGCCACCCAGTTGCAAGAAGTCGCCACTTCCCCCTCCAGCCGACTGAAAGTTCGGGCGACGTCTGGGCCGTCATTTGAAGGCGTTTCCTTTTCTTTAAGAACAAAGGTTGGAGCCCAAGCCTTGCGGCGCGGTGCAGGAAAGTACACGGCGTGTGTTGAGAGAAAAAAAATACACACACGCAATGACCCACGAGAAAGGGAAAGGGGAAAACACCAACTACCCGGGCGCTGGGCTTTTTCGACTTTTCCTTTAAAAAGAAAAAAGTTTTTCAAGCTGTAGGTTCCAAGAACAGGCAGGAGGGGGGAGAAGGGGGGGGGGGTTGCAGAAAAGGCGCCTGGTCGGTTATGAGTCACAAGTGAGTTATAAAAGGGTCGCACGTTCGCAGGCGCGGGCTTCCTGTGCGCGGCCGAGCCCGGGCCCAGCGCCGCCTGCAGCCTCGGGAAGGGAGCGGATAGCGGAGCCCCGAGCCGCCCGCAGAGCAAGCGCGGGGAACCAAGGAGACGCTCCTGGCACTGCAGGTACGCCGACTTCAGTCTCGCGCTCCCGCCCGCCTTTCCTCTCTTGAACGTGGCAGGGACGCCGGGGGACTTCGGTGCGAGGGTCACCGCCGGGTTAACTGGCGAGGCAAGGCGGGGGCAGCGCGCACGTGGCCGTGGAGCCCGGCCTGGTCCCGCGCGCGCCTGCGGGTGCCCCCTGGGGACTCAGTGGTGTCGCCTCGCCCGGGACCAGAGATTGCGCTGGATGGATTCCCGCGGGCAGAGGCAGGGGGAAGGAGGGGTGTTCGAAACCTAATACTTGAGCTTCTTTGCAAAGTTTCCTTGGATGGTTGGGGACGTACCTGTATAATGGCCCTGGACCAGCTTCCCTGTTGGAGTGGCCAGAGAAGTGTGTAAAACACACTAGAGGGGCAGGGTGGAAAAAGAGACTGCCTTCAAAACTTGTATCTTTTCGATTTCATTTTGAAAAATAACTACAAATCTATTTTAATTTTACAAAGTTAGACTCATAGCATTTTAGATATCAATGTCTTCATTTAACAGAAGTGAAGATGGAGCAAACGCTCAATCAGCGTCTGTATTTATTCGCTCCTGTTGTGCCAGGGTGCGTTTTTGCCGAGCGGTTGCCTTTCTTTACTCACAAAACCCCCTTGATGTCTGTCCTCCACGTTTTACGAGGGAGAGCCGGATCTTTTGAAGTTTGTATCATCTAAAGCAGGTATATTGGGATGACTATGGATAGAATTTAACCTGAAAACACTGAAGTTGACAGCTGACAAAGATATAAGAATCCAAAGTATGTTAAAAATTAAGGAGCTGAGGCCCACAGAAGTGAAGTTACTTTTCCAGCATCACACAGCAGATCTAGGACCCTGTGTGATTTGAAAAGGCCAAGGTATCTAATGATGCTCATAATTTAGTTTACATTTTGTGTCAAATAGATGAGGTCAAGTGGACATTATGTGTATATTCCAAAGCCAAAATTACTGCTTGTAATATCCATTCATCTCTCCGAAGACGTAGTGCCTCTTTTATATGGCTTTAACCTAATGTATAATCGAAGTGAATTAGGGCAGCCAGACTTTTAATCACAGGACTGATCTTTTAAAAACGGGTATATGTAAAGTTAATTGCTTATCTATGTGAACAGTAATATACACTATAAAAAGTTTTCAAGGCAACTTCCTGCCTGTGGTTTAATTTGATAGTCACAATGATAGGAAATTGGCAGGGTTAGGTGGTGGTATCTACATTTTGCCCATGAGGACTTGTGGCTCAGAGAATTTGAGTTTTTTCTAGTAAGGTCACTAGGTCCCTAGTGCACAGCCTGCTTTTAGGTACGGATGTGGGATGGGGGTGTCGGCAGACCACAGGGTTTTGACTCTCAGTTTGGGCTCATTTCCATGACTCCTTGCTGCCTCCCTGATTTCTGTCAAATGACCAAAGCACATTTAGTAATTACTTCTGCTGCAAGGACTACTCCTTATTAGGCTGTGATAAGTAAGTTTCCTCACATAGTGGGTCAGCTCACTCTGGCCACAGGACCCAGCTTCC
The DNA here is from genome assembly GCF_000001405.40 of Homo sapiens. Taxonomy (NCBI): domain Eukaryota; kingdom Metazoa; phylum Chordata; class Mammalia; order Primates; family Hominidae; genus Homo; species Homo sapiens. Next base: position 25,563,791 of record NC_000021.9, read on the forward strand.
TAACCACACACATTAAGAAAGAGAAAAATTAGCACTGTCTGAGACCTACAACCACTTCAAGGGAGAACAGTGGTGTTTGCACAAATGTCTACTTTTGTTTTAACCTAGTCATGTGTAAAAAGTGTAATTCACTGGTCTTTACCAAAAAAAAAAAAAAAAAAACAACAACAAAAAAAAAACAGGCATCATAGTCTGCCTGTGCTGGACGCTATGCTAGACACTGGAGAGACAAAGGTGAGCAGGATAGGCACAACCCTACCCTTACAAACCCAGAAAGTTAGAGGAAAGGCCATCAGGACATTGCTGTGCAATTTGATATCATTTCAATTTTGGTAACATAGATATTTGAACTAATTAGAATGTGCTACAAATTTTGCCATTCTTTACTTTCCATATGCCAACATGGAAAATTTGTAACCCTCATCTTTAAATACCTCATCTTACCAGTCCTCTATAAATCAAAAAATCTACCCCAAAAAGCCCTAGGTTTTAACTTTTGAAAAGTTTTTTTTTATCAGCTTTTCAGGTCATGACTAAGATCTGCCATTCAATTTAAAGGAATTCTTTCATTTTAGAGTAATAGTTACTAAAATCCTTTATTCCTACCTCCTTGAGAATCTAATGGAAATTTTATATGCTCTTCCCAGAAAATTTTTGTTAATGTGTATCCTCACACACCAATTTGCATTCGATGTTAGCAGGCTAGAGACTTCCTTGAATCTCAGCCATGACCCTCTTCGGGGGTCCACTTTCATAATCAGTATTCTAAACCTAGTAGGCATAAATAGCTTGAATAGAGGAAAGTGGTATGTAGACTCTTGCCCTTCACTTGGACTGGGCACCTCTATCACTTGGACTGGGCACCAGCTAGTGCCCTTAACTAGCTGGTGTCTCCATTTTTGATAGTCATTGGCTATTGCTTAGCTGAAGCTATTGATTTTAACAGCCTTATTGTTTTGATATCAGGCTGCCACTCTGCAGAAGTCTAATACTGGGGAAGGAGCACCGGCCTGAGAACCATGGTTTGTTTCTAGGACCAACTCTGCAGATTTCTGTGCCTCATTTTGCTCATCTCTAAGATGGGTGGTTGATGGGTGGCAGGGACTGAACCATTTCTAAAATCCCTTACACTGATGAAATTCTGTGATTCCAGTGTAACTACCAAGCTCACTTTCATATACCTCCTGAGACACAGCTGGTCTTAGTGAATTTATATCCTCTATGTCCAAAGTAAGTCAAAGTAAGTACCACTATAATTCACTATAGAATGTATTTTTGTCTTTCACTGATCTTACTGGACTCAAAACTGTTACATGTTTCCTTAAATTAGATAGAATAAAAAAATTGTGAAACACTACTTTTCAAGGAAAAATATTACAATTTTAAAAGCCTCTTTTTATCCCACCTCTCAGTAGCTACAACTTTCATATACGAGTTTCACATATATATGAAAAAAATTTTCTTATCTCAGACTCTTAAGGAAATGCAATGCTTTTAATATGATCACTGCTGTGTAATTCTCATCTGCCCTGAAACACTTGTTCTGTCCATCAATCAATGTATTTGGGTTTACAATATGCAGAGCCTCAAGCAAAACCAGTGCAAAAGCACATCTATCCTCAAATAGGCACATCATATGTCTGAGCAGTTCAGCATCCTCACTCACAAGTCCAAGGCTCTCAGCAATGTGGAAGAAGATGTGATTCCTAAAATTACCACCCTTACACACAGTGACACACTCACCAGAAAGTGAGGCTTAACATAGCTTAAGTGGCTGTAGTTTAAAACAGATTGTGAATATCTGTGCTAATTCTGAGAAACAATTAGCAGACATATTAACCAATTAGCACAGATCACTAATATCTGTGCTAATTGTTAGGACAGATTAGCACAGATATTGCTACCTTGTGTGGGTAGACAGGGTTAAGGCACTGGCAGAAGGAAAGATTAGTGAGGAATATCAAATAGCTGATTTAATGAAATTGTGAGGCCGATGTTTGGATAAGGTGAAACAGTGCCCTACAATGACATTTATGCCAGTTCTCCATAAACAAGAGTGTTCTACACAAATTATAAGTTCCTGGCTGTCTTAACAAAATGCTATGGTCCTTTATATGCTCACACAAATAATGGTTCCAAGCATGGGAAACAGGTGCCAGATTGCCCAGGTAGGCATCCCAGCAGCATGCTCCTTAGCCACTGATTAACCTTGCGCAAGTTATTTCACCTGCCTGTGCCTCAAGGCCCCTGTGTTTCAATGGGGAGGGTGTGAATACTCATTCCTAAGGTTGTGAGGAGGAATAACTGAGTTAGTATACGTCAAACACTTAGGTGCTTGGCACAGAGGGAGCCTGTGTAAGTGTTTGCTATTATTTTGTTTCACTAGATGATCTTGTGTATTATAAGAAATCAATTTGGAAGGTGAGATACAAATGCAGTCTGAGAAAGTAAAGACGTTTTAAAGACATTTTACTGTGTCATGAATTTTCAGAGACCACACTGACATGGTAAAAAGTTGTTTGGTTTTTAGAATTTTTGTTTCAGAATGCATATCCTTCTCCTTAACCAAAAGAAAAACTACTAAAATACTTCTGAAAATTATTTCCAAGAAAACATTTTGGTGTACCTTTTAGCAGTTACTTTATGACTTAAAGATTAGGATGAACAAAATAATTATTTTAACTTGGCTTTTACCTGCTTGTAGATAACCTCTAATTTATATAATGGTTCAATTATACAGTGGTAAATGTATCTGGGCTTGTTCTTTTAAAATAGCAAGTGTAACATGTGATAGATGTAGGGTACTTACAAAGTACTCACCAAGCATTGATGACTGATGTCATTAGTATCATGGCTAACATTCACTGAGCCCTGATTATGAGGCTGGCACCCAACTAAATGTTTTGCATTGTCACTTCATCTTCACAAAGACTTTTTGAATAGGTTATTCTTTATCTCCATTTTCAGAGAAGCAACTAAGCCCTAAAGAGGTTTATTAACTTGCCAAATACCACACAGCTAGTAACACTGGTGGGGTCTGGAATGGAACCCAGGCAAGCTGAAAACGACAGAACAATGAACACTCCTACTTTTCAATTCGATTTGCTAATTGTTAATATTTGCCACACTGGCTTATCTCTCTGTATCCCTACCCATCTCTCTCTCTCTCTGTCTATATCTATATGCAAACCTGGCATCTAACTTCTAAATGCTTGAGCACGGATCTCCTAAGAACAAGTACATGGTTCTATGCAATGAAAAGACATGATTATGGCATCCAAGAGTGATTTTAAAAATCAAGGATGAAACTTAATTTTTACCCACAAGTCCAGACGATGATTTCTACCAGTATTCTCCAGCTTTACTCTGTTTCTTATACTTGACAGACTGAGCTCCAAGCCTGGAATCTTCTAAAAAGGGTCCACTGCCAATCTGGAATGCCAACAAATCTTATTAATATATCTCCACATTTGTAAGCTTCTACTAAATTCTCCAAGAACCTGCATATCAGTTAAGTCCTGAAATGCTCCAGTGCCAAATAAAAGCCCACTGTGCAGATAGAAATGCTTTTGGTGACTCTCAAACATTTATTCAAAGGTATTTAGTGAGTATCTGTCAGCTGTATATCCAGCACTGAGGGAAGACTCAGTCTCTGCCATCACATACACCTCAGCACTAAGAAGAGACACATGAAATAATTACCATCCAGTGTGATAAGTGCTCTGACAGAGGATGGAGTGAGGACTAGTCACCTTGGGGAAGACAGAGAAGCAGGGTCCCACCAGGAGATGAGAAGCCAGCCTCCAGGAGTGCGCTATCTGAGAGGGCAAGAGAAGGAAGGCAAAGAGGACGGGTCCATACTTGAACAACTTGAAGTAGGTGTATCTAGTGCCTAAGAGTGTGTATGGTGACATCTTGTGGAGCAGTGAACATGACCCTCATTTGGTTTGTTAAAGCATTGGGTCAAATGCCACGGGAATGTAACAGGTAAATGGTCTTTGCCTTATAACACAGGGTATCCCATCCGTGTAAGACAATGAATTTTTAAAAAGGCAAAACCAAACCTTTTGTTTACATCATTTGCCTTAAATAGTTCTTAGTACACAAATTCTTCCTTGCTTGGGGCCATTATGGTGTGTGGAAGTAGAAAAAGATAAACTGTAGCTTACAGAAATAGAAAAGCAATTTTTTCCTATGATAGAGGCAAACGGATACAAAAAACAAACAGGTAACACATAATAAGTTCCAAATGAGGCATTTTGTTGAAATTCAGTGTTGAGCATAAACAGTGAACTCAAATGCACAGAGGAGGCGTCATGGAAGGGTGACAAAACACTCCAGAGCAATAACAGCTACCCTATTTTCTGTTCCCTGGGAGTAGGGAGAAAAGACATCAAAATCAAATTATAAATTTAAAAAAGTATTAAAATTCTCTTATGGAAATATATTAAGAAGTTTGTTAGGCAAATGGAAAACGTTTTGTGGAAACAAGAAATAAGAAAGAATGGCCATCACTTAAAGCAACAGAATGTATCTCTCCCACTAGCTCTCCCCTCCCTACCCACAGCTTTATTCACATTTGTTCTATAACATTTCAGCACAGTTCAGACCTTCCGCTGAGCCAGTGTGAGGTCAGGGTGTTGAGGAAGCGAGTCCCTGCAGTCAGACTCCAGCTGGCTGTCGTCCTGCTTCTGCTTATTCCACAGAATGAGTCTGGTGGGGGAGAGGAAATTCCTAACCTGTTTTTTTTTACACATCTTCATCAGAAAAGCGAAAGCACTAATTACTGTCCATAATAAAACTACTGGGAAGGTTACTTAGCTTGTAAGTAAGTTCCACAAAGCCATTTCAGTAAAAACTTCCTGGTTCTAAAATTGGGAAAAGCAGGATAATCCTCTAAGGCTGACATTCTTTCTCTTTTGTGCATTTACAACTAAACGGTCACTGATACACATTTCCACAGTGACCCTGCAATATCCACATTGGCTTTCTTCTAAGACACTTCAAAAATACATCACACCTTTATGTGTTAAATATCACTATTGGCATATATCTTTAAAAACATTTATTTTCTTAATTCTCAAAATACAGAAAAGAATGTTATGCTATTGTGTGCACAAACTGCTATTTTCAATAAGGAGCTCTTAATTTAGAAAGTTGCTATTTTTCAATAAAGAGCTCTCAATTAGAAAATATCAAGAAGTGATGTTAAGTTTTTATGGAAATAAATAAAGTATCATGACATGAAAAGTTTATAATTTTTCCCCCAGCAATGGCTTACTCAGGGAATTTTTCTTATATGTAAAGTTAATGATCTGAAAAGTGGTAATCTTATCATTCACCAAGATTTCAGGATATAAGTTATTCCTACAGAACAATCCATTTTTACCTTTAAAGATGAGTTTGTGTACTTCAGAAGATGTGACGCCAGTTGGCCACCATCTCAATCAGTAGTAAGTCACACCATCAATCCCTTGTTAATGATGGAACTCATGTGAAGTCAAGAGGAAACATAATACTCTTTACCTCATTCCCTGGTAGCAGAGAAGTTGACTCATCTTTAATGTCAGTTATTGAGATGTAACACAGAATCATATTCTACAGAAAATATGTGATAAACTTTACACAAATGAATACACTTTAGAAAGGCAGTCATTTGGATTTTCTTTTTGTCAGAGAACATTGCAAGTCTTCCTGAAGAATTTCTGAGAAATTAAACACTTTATATGACATTTTACAGCATGTAGAGAGGTTGAAACTCAGAGAACTAAAACTCAGATGATAGTCTAAATACTTAATTTGTTGCTGCTTTATGCTGGACATGAAAAGTGTGAGCTTAAATTATAAATAAAAAACTATTGAGCTATCAAACTATTTGGGGTACATCCTTATCTTTCCTCTAAATTACTCTTTATTCCCATTAAAATCCACCTATCCCGGGTCCTCTCTCCTCAGCCCTTCACCTCTGCTTTCAAAGATGACTAACTAACCTAATAAACACATCTAAGGTGATGTGTCAACTTCAACCCCAACCCTTTTTCCCCAGATAACTTGTCTGCATTTCAAGAACAACCTACCAGAGACCTTACCTGTCACCTTGGCTCTCCCACCCAATGGAGATGGCTCTAATGGTAAGGAATTCTATCTTAAGTAAAAGGGAAGGGAAACACGCTGACAGATGCAGTTTTTATAAAGGCAGGTCATTGGGGCACCAAGTTGGCAGCCGCTTTCAACTTTTGATTCTACCTCAAAAGGTAACCAAGAAATCGTTGTTATTCTAAAGATTATGACAAGTCCAAAGTTTCACAGAATCCTGATTTTTATACACTTGCATTAATCACTGCTTACTTCCATGATGTAAACCAAAACTGCAGCGGCAGAATATAGAGAATCAGAATAAATTCTGATAGAAAAGGCAGATACTGTTTCCACATATACAAGTATATGCTAATTGCTTTTAGCAAACTGATCCAAATAGGAATCAACATTATTCCATCTTAATGATTATGTTTTTGATTGGTACACATAAATGTTAAAGTGGGAAAATATGCAGAGAAAGTTACCTAAACTAAATCACTTTAATTTTCAACAACATAATTACATTCCATTTCACCTACTAAAATGGCTTTGGACCTAGAATTTGTATTGCTACATCAATATAAGATGACTTTCAGTAAAAATAGATGTACAGTTGATTTGTAACAACAAATTAATAGTTTTAAATTATTTGTATATTTCAAGGTAAATAAAATTAGAGCTATCCCACAATCGCTTTGGTTATGAAATTCGACCACTGTAACTTTTTTTAAAGAAAACTTTATGGTGTGCAGTTCCTTTGGTATGCAAATATTAAATGGTTGGTGCTGAGAATAAGCAGCAATATAGAAATATATATAATTGTAGAAGAATATAACCTATGATTTAGACATAAAATGAGATCCTTACAAGATAAAGAGTTATGGAGATGGATGATAATGATAGTTGTAGAACATTATGACTAAGTGTTTAATATAGCGGACCTGTACACTTAAAAATGGTGAAGATGTTAAACTTACATTATGTTTACATTACATATTTCACCACAATAAAAAATTTTTGAAGGAAAACCAGAACTTTAATGACAAACTTAGGACATATTATGCTCTGAATATATAGTTTTGATAACGTCTTTCCTGGCAAATCAACAAGGTAAGAATAAAAGGATATTCTGAAATCTTTTTTTTTCTTTGGAGACAGAGTCTTGCTCTGTTGCCCAGGCTGGAGTGCAGTGGCACAATCTCGGCTCACTACTACCTTCTGCCTCCCAGGTTCAAGTGATCCTCCTGCCTCAGCCTCCTGAGTAGCTGGGATTATAGGCGTGCGCCACCACGCCTAGCTAATTTTTTTGTATTTTTAGTAGAGACGGGGTTTTACCATGTTGGTCACGCTGGTCTCAAACTCCTGACCTCATGATCCGCCCACCTCGGCCTCCCAAAATGCTAGGATTACAGGCATGAGACACCACACCCAGCCAGATATTCTTAAATCTTATGCTCACACTCCACCCCCCCCAAAAAAATTGTCCTTCAGGAAAGCATAATTTAAGGAAAAATTTCCCAAAGTGCCACCTTCAGCTTCATTCTTAGCACCAGAGGAAGAATTGCCTGTCATATAATGAAAGATCCTTGGTGTTATCATTAATCTAGTATACATAGTGCTTCCTCTTGGTAGATTTTTACCTACTGTGAGAAGGAATGATTTTGATACTCAGACAGTGTGTAGTAATTTGTTAAGAACATTTAACTTGGAACCTATGCTACACAGTAAAACTTATACTGACAATGGATATTTCATGTGGTAGGCCTAAGAAGTATTGTGGAGTGAGGGGACTGGAAGTATATCTGCAGAACTACCTAGTCAAAGACCCCAGTCTAATTTCTAATATATAATTCATATAAATTACTCTTGCATTGCTATACATTAAACATTATGCTTGTCACATTCTTACTTGGTTAGCACTGTCACTACTGATTGTCAGGCCTATAATTGTGTATAATTCTTCCCCTGCCACTTTACCAGCTGGTGGCCACACCGATTCCAGAAAGAACTACTTTATTTCTTATTACCTCATGAAAGCACCCTCTGCCCAGTGCCTTGGCTAATAGACTGGCCTTTGTTGTCTATGACCACTAATTCCCACTCAGGCATATAGCAATTCTGTTGTTGGTTGCTTAGCCCAGTCAAAAACACTGGAAGTGGACATAGACTCCACACTGATGAATGAATGACCTTCTAGTCATTCTAATGTCCTTAAAAGTCTACTATTTTTAAATTGTAGAATATATATATATATATATATATTTTTTTTTTTTTCTGGGATATTTCTCCTTTCTTCTGTTCATTAATGTTTTTCATCTATCATTGTGTTTTAAATATGACCTAAGGTTCTATAGTATATTTAGACAAACTTCTCATTTCTCTGCAGTGTTCGGAATTCATCATGCCTGTATGACAAGGTTGTGTTTGAGAACAAAAGGGGACCTGTGTGACATGTTTTATTTCAATATACATTTAGAGTTTGAACAAATAAAAAAAGCTATTAGAATTTTTAATATATATAACACATTATCAAAAACACTGTCACTTTTCTGAGTGCTCTAATCAGGCAATTCGTATGTATATTTAAAAAGAGGGAAAAAGCTAATTAGTATACTAAATATATTTATTTTAATACCTGTGCTCATATGTTATCTTTAAAGAACAGGAATAAAATTTATGGGTAGAATAGTATGCCAGCAATTTACCTTCAATACAAATTAAACACATCTTTTAAGAAAAGGGCGAGTTATATTGGCTGGGGTGGCACTAACACTACATTATTAATATGTATTTATTGAGCATTTACTGTGTCCAGGACCCTGTAAGGGGGAAAAAAAGTCCTTGTTTTTACAATCTTTATTGACTGAAATTCTGTAAAATGAATTGAATTCCTGAAGTGACATCATTTAACCCAAATTTTTTCATCATCAACTAATTCATCTCAGAAAACAGTAAAGTTTAAAAAAAAATACTATCAGTAAGAATAATATATTTCCTTGGTTTGGAAATTTCCAAACCACGATATTCTGCCCTGTCAAAATATATTCACTGGGGAATTTTTTACTTCATACGTTTCTTTTGAACTTAGTCACATTTTTATATCTAGCTGGTTTCATTATTAAATAAAAGAAAAGGTGATTCCCCTCTTGTACTGCAGGAGACCACATACTTGAATGATACTCTAACTTCTAGGTTCTGTTATAGTAACACTGAAATCAGAAACCTGTGGGAGAAATGTCACTTTATCTGAGAGAGTAAAATCAGACTCTAAAAGGAAGTAGCAAATTCATCTTGTTCTTTTTTTTAATCAACCCTCTGCCTAAGACAAGTAGTTTGAAACACAGAGGACTCTTTAAGTCATACTTCCTTTATGTAGTCAAAACCAAAGCCACTGGGTAGTGCTTTCCCCAAAGGAATCTCTAAATAGTAGACGGGGACATTTTCAGATAGATTCGTTTGTAGGCAAACCTCCATTGCTTGTATCACATTTCCTGAAAGAATAAAGGTAAAACTTCAACTATGTATTACAGAAAGAAAAATTCAGCCTGAACCCTACCCTTATAAAACAGGTTAATTGGGTTTTAATTTTCATAAATCATAAAGGACTATTTTGAACATTTGGGCCTTTAATTGTCTAGCTCCTAGATGAAGTACAAATCAGAAAAAAAAAAAACTGTACTGTGTCAGAATGCAAGCTTTCCTCTTTGCATTTTGGCATTTGAAAACTCCGAAGAGCGGTTTTTGTTTTTTATTTAAAGAAGATGATACATATGTGTACCCGATTCAAAACTAGAGAATAGAATTTAAAACATAATTTTCAAAGTCTTCAAATATGCCTAAAGGTAACAATGTCATCTTTTAATTGCCAATTTCTCTACCACTTTCAAAAAATTACTTCCAAGGATTTAATGAGCTCCTTCCTTTCAACAGAAAATGGACTATTTTCCTTTCAGATTTACTATATGCTGTCACTCCAGCTTTATAACCGCATGTGCATACACAAACATTTCTTTCTCTCTTGCAGGTGGCACAAACCAGGAAGGGGAAATCTGTGGTTTAAATTCTTTATGCCTCATCCTCTGAGTGCTGAAGGCTTGCTGTAGGCTGTATGCTGTTAATGCTAATCGTGATAGGGGTTTTTGCCTCCAACTGACTCCTACATATTAGCATTAACAGTGTATGATGCCTGTTACTAGCATTCACATGGAACAAATTGCTGCCGTGGGAGGATGACAAAGAAGCATGAGTCACCCTGCTGGATAAACTTAGACTTCAGGCTTTATCATTTTTCAATCTGTTAATCATAATCTGGTCACTGGGATGTTCAACCTTAAACTAAGTTTTGAAAGTAAGGTTATTTAAAAGATTTATCAGTAGTATCCTAAATGCAAACATTTTCATTTAAATGTCAAGCCCATGTTTGTTTTTATCATTAACAGAAAATATATTCATGTCATTCTTAATTGCAGGTTTTGGCTTGTTCATTATAATGTTCATAAACACCTTTGATTCAACTGTTAGAAATGTGGGCTAAACACAAATTTCTATAATATTTTTGTAGTTAAAAATTAGAAGGACTACTAACCTCCAGTTATATCATGGATTGTCTGGCAACGTTTTTTAAAAGATTTAGAAACTGGTACTTTCCCCCAGGTAACGATTTTCTGTTCAGGCAACTTCAGTTTAAAATTAATACTTTTATTTGACTCTTAAAGGGAAACTGAAAGGCTATGAAGCTGAATTTTTTTAATGAAATATTTTTAACAGTTAGCAGGGTAAATAACATCTGACAGCTAATGAGATATTTTTTCCATACAAGATAAAAAGATTTAATCAAAAAATTTCATATTTGAAATGAAGTCCCAAATCTAGGTTCAAGTTCAATAGCTTAGCCACATAATACGGTTGTGCGAGCAGAGAATCTACCTTTCCACTTCTAAGCCTGTTTCTTCCTCCATATGGGGATAATACTTTACAAGGTTGTTGTGAGGCTTAGATGAGATAGAGAATTATTCCATAAGATAATCAAGTGCTACATTAATGTTATAGTTAGATTAATCCAAGAACTAGTCACCCTACTTTATTAGAGAAGAGAAAAGCTAATGATTTGATTTGCAGAATATTTAAGGTTTGGATTTCTATGCAGTTTTTCTAAATAACCATCACTTACAAATATGTAACCAAACGTAATTGTTAGTATATTTAATGTAAACTTGTTTTAACAACTCTTCTCAACATTTTGTCCAGGTTATTCACTGTAACCAAATAAATCTCATGAGTCTTTAGTTGATTTAAAATAATTTTTATGGCCCATTTTCTTTTGCAAAGTACAAATTATAATTCCAGAAGCTATCTGCCAAAAAAAGACAATGGAAGAAAATTATGAGGACACTAAAGGGAACATTCCTGACTCCTAGGACACAGTATTCTCATGTAAGAATACCCATTTGGCTTTGCCCCACTTTCTGTTCAAGTTGTATGTGCTGCCAAGACAAATTTCTTCTCCTCACTTTCTGTTCAAGTTGTATGTGCTGCCAACACAAATTTCTTCTCCTAACACCTGGAATGAGCTTGTGGCTCCACGGAGCTCCCATGTAGGTAGAACACATTCAAGAGTGTTTCTTCAGGCCAGGCACAGTGGCTCACGCCTATAATTCCAACACTTTGGGAGGCCAAGGCGGGTGGTTCACTTGAGGTCAGGAGTTCTACACTACCCTGGCCAACATAGTGAAACCTCGTCTCTACTAAAAATACAAAAATTAGCTAGGCATGGTGGTGCGTGCCTGTAATCCCAGATACTCAGGAGGCTGGGGCAGAAGAATCACTTGAACCCAGGAGGTGGAGTTCACAGTGAACGAAGATCGTGCCACTGCCCTCCAGCCTGGGTGACAGAGTGAGACTCCATCTCAAAAAAAAAAAAAAGTGTCTGTTCAATTCATTTTATCTGCCACTGTATATCTACAAGAGGACTCCTTGCTTTGAGTCCCAGTTCTTCAAAATCCTGCTTGCTGCCTAAAGACACAAAGTCATAGAACATTAGGACTGGAATAAACTATTGTAGTATAACCTTCCTGCTGTTACAATAAAAAGCTATAAACATTACAAAGGCACTTAAAGAAAAGCTGTGCTGGGAAATGCCTTATTTGAAGAGCATTTGGGTACACTCACATGAAGCTTTGGAAAGTTACTTAATCTTCCTCTAAGCCTCAATTTCTTCATCAATAAAATGATGAATATATTTCATATTTCATAAGATGTAGGCTTAAATGAAATCATGCATGTGAAAAGCACAATGTCTATTATGCATTAAGTGTTAAACACAAACTTTCAAACTTTTACATTTCAGTCATTTAAATCAAATGATCTACCATAGCAGATCTCCCCAAAGACACTCTAGCTCCAAACTAACTATAATCAATCCCGTGGTGACGACCCAAAGAACCAGGGTTCCTGGGTTTTCTCTCACGCCCAGCCCACCTAGGCTTCTGACTGCCTATCTCCTCATCTTAGAGGGATTCCTCCTGACCAGTCATTACAAAAATTCTTGGAGCATGAGCAAGACTGAGTCTGTGTTTGGATTGGAGGAAGGGGTAAGTAACAAGGTATATATATGTATATGTGTGTGTGTGTGTGTGTGTGTGTGTGTGTGTGTGTGCGCGCGCGTTTGTGTTTAAGTTACAAACTAAGGATGGTTTTAAAAAATTGCAAAATGTTAAGAGATTTATCTAGGATCTGACCCACTTCCCCAGAAATTTACGGAATTCAAGACCAAGCCTTTCGTATTCACTGTCATCAGTTAGATGGACCCAGTAGCTAAAAAATTAAGGAGAAAAAAAATAGAGGAATATGAGGGAAAAAGTCAAGTCAGAGGACTGAAGAATATATACAGAACATAGAATATTAGAAATTTTCTGAAAATAGATGATAGCAAATACCTCAAGAAAGTGAGGAAACGTGAAAAGGGAGCTTAAAGAAAAATAATAGAGTCCATACATGGGACACAAGCACAAAAAGCTGACTGAGCATGTGGTTCTCTACTAATAATAACTGGAAAACAGTGAAACCAGCAGGAAAAACTTGCACATAAGAGTTTAACTTTCCACTTTGGGTTTCAAATTCTCCCATAGCAATAAGAGTAAGTGAAATAATGTTCACATAAGGATTTTTTTTTTTTCTATTACTGTAGTGTTTTGTTTTGTTTTGTTTTGGTTTTGGTTTTTGGTGGTTTTTTTTTTTTTGAGACAAAGTCTCGCTCTTGTCCCCCAGTCTGGAGTGCAATGTCATGATCTTGGCTCACTGCAACCTCCGCCTCCCGGGTTCAAGTGATTCTCCTGCCTCAGCCTCCCAAGTGGCTGGGATTACAGGTGCGTACCACCACGCCCAGCTAATTTTTTGTATTTTAAGCAGAGACGGGGTTTCACCATGTTGGCCAGGCTGGTCTCGAACTCCTGACCTCAGGTGATCCATCCATCTCAGCCTCCCAAAGTGCTGGGATTACAGGTGTGAGCCACCGCACCCGGCCTGTTACTGTAGTGTTTTAACAAATCTAAGTGTAATAGTATTAGTCTTCATTCATCTAAGACATACAAGTACTGGAATTTTTTAGGTGGGTTCCTCAAATGTCATCACAGTGGTGTCTTCTCTACATTCAGTCACTCTTCCGCCCTTCTCTGTAATGCTCAGGGATTTCCCAGTTCACTAGCACTTAACATAGTATGTCCTTACTTACTTTGGGGTATAAATGACTGCAATAGAAGAAGTGATATCCTTGAGGGATGAAACACGATCTTGCATATTCATATCCCTTTCAAATGTTTACTGACTTAATCACACCATTAGTTTTCTAAGTCCAAGTCTAAAAACAGAAATGAGTTTAAATACAGTGAACATTTCATTTTCACTATACCACTAAGCTGAAAGAAATGATTTTTGGTAAATAAAAGTTCATCACAGTGAAAAGTTCTACATATAACTGAAGATCAAAGGATTCTCACCTGGGAAGCTTGTCAAGATGCATGTTCCCAAGCTCCCAGGCTCCCACTCCCAGAGATTCTAATACTGTAATGGAGCTGAGGACACTACATTTTTAACAGGCTGACCAGGTAGTTCAGATTCAGGTGGTTCCTAAACCAACTCTGAGGAAGTAGTGGTTTTATATACGATGCTACTGTTGATGTGGCTACTAGGAATGGTGCTCAGCAGAAATCCTGCAACATATGGATCTGTTTACACACTATTCACTGTGTAATGAGAGTCTGCAACATAGGCTAAGTAATAAGAGATGTCTTGTGGTTGACCTCTCTGGAGATAAGCAGCAATGAAATTCCAATGAAGTTTCATCATCTCTCATCACCAAAACCATCCTAACCACCTCAATAAAATACACCTGACTTCCCCCGCTCCCCCGACCCACCACCCCAAAACCAGCTGCCCTATGTTCTACCAAAAGCTGCAACCAACCAATGACCTGATACTAACCCCAATCTATCAGCTGCTGCCTAGTGCAACAGAGAGGGAAAGTCAATGAGAAGGAATTGGGTGCCAGTTCTTGCTTTGCAAGGAGTGGGTTGACTAATGAGACAGCCACAAATGTCACTGCCATCCCATCTCACCCTTTCACCTGTGCTGCAAGGCTTCAACAATCATACCCAGTCTCCACTTAGGAAAATTCTGTCCTTTCTCAAATGCTGGCCACTCAGCAATGTGCTCCCTTAATCCAGGCCAAGCACATAGTAAAAGAACTCCAAAAAGGGTTACAGCCAAAAGTGATCTTTCTCCTCCATACTCCCAAAGCAGATTATAGCTCCTCCATAAACGTGCTTCGCATTGTGCCCCACGTTTGGTTTGTTACTTGTGTATACATTATCGTCTCTTCTAGATTGAGCTTCTGTAGGAAAGGAGAATCCTTTTCAATTTTTTGGTATTACACCCAGCTCAGGACCTTGCTCAGTTGCTTAAATTGAATGAGAAAATGTATCTAAGTACCCACTGATGTTGGAAATTCAACTTGTTCCAATATTGAGGACTGCCTATACCTGGCATATGCGTGTCCCAATTTGAGAAATTGTTTTTCAAGTTGACTTGTATGGATTCCTTACAGACGCTCAAGCATCAGTTTGGTTTTCCCTAAATCCTGCAGATCAGGAAGGCAGTATCCATGTTTGCTTTAAGAAATTTCATTACTATAAATATATGAAATATTATAAATATAAAAATTCATATATTATAAATATATGAAATTTTGTCTGCAGAATTTTTTTCTCAACAGGCAATCCTGACATAATAACCAATTTTGAGATGCTTCAAAAATAACACTGCAGTAGTAGCCACTCCTAAAACAAAATATTTCCCCTTTCCTTCAATATATGTAATCACATATGACATATAAAATCTGCTTATTGGATAAATTTATCTTTAAAAGACTATCTATATTTATTAAAAGTTAAAATACATATACTCTTTGACCTGGAATCAAGTACAACAATGTATTTTACAGAGCTACCAGCACACGTGTGGAATTATATATGTACAAGGCTACTAACTGAAGTATTAGTATAGTAACAAAAATTAAAAATCAACCATAAATAGGGAATAAATAATGGTACACCTATGAATGAAATACTAACTTCTAAAACACAAAGTAAAAAGAAAGGGAAAATAAGGAAAACTGGATTAATCCAACATATGACAGGAAAGGAGAAAAAAATAATGCAAAGAAATGATAATCACAGTAAAGTGAATACAAATTAAAATTTATCTACTAAAAGACAGTAATTCAAAGACTAGATTTAAAAGGAAAATAAGTTTTATGCTATTTACAAAAGACAGACTTAAAACCTAACAACATAAAAATGCTGAAAGTAATATACCAGGTAAACACTAAAAAAAAAAAAAAAAAAAAAAAAAACTAGTATTAACAATAGAACCTGATTTTCTAAAAAATAGATTAAGAAAACTAGATTAAAGGAGAAAATCATTATTACCGAGATAGAGAGGATCATTACTTAAATGATAAAAAGAAGCAATTTATCAGCACGTTTAAAAATCCCAAAACAGAATACACAGTGCTAACAAAATCATCTTAAAATAAAATAAGCAAATGCTGATTTAGCCATAGGAGAAACCGCCAAATCCACAATCATTTTAGGAGAATGGGTTTAAGAAAGGAAAAAAAAAAAAAAGATTTCTGTATGCTCTTAAGAGAAAATCTAAAAAATAATGACATGAAAAAGTTGAAAGGAATGGAAAAATATGTACCATTAAAAGGAAACCCGACGTATGAATGCCATTATCAGACAAAACAGATTTTTTTCTTTTTGAGATGGAGTCTCACTCTGTGGCCCAGGCTGGAGTGCAGTGGCACAATCTCTGCTCACAGCAAGCTCCGCCTCCCAGGTTCATGCCATTCTCCTGCCTCAGCCTCCCAAGTAGCTGGGACTACAGGCACCCACCACCACACCAGGCTAGTATTTGTATTTTTAGTAGAGACGGGGTTTCATCGTGTTAGCCAGGATGGTCTCAATCTTCTGACCTCGTGATCTGCCCACCTCAGCCTCCCAAAGTGCTGGGATTACAGGCATGAGCCACCGCGCCCAGCCAGACAAAACAGATTTTAAGACAACTAAGAAGTTAACAAGCTGACCCTACAATAAGCATGAAAATTTTGAAAAAGAATAGGAAAGGAGAACTCACCATAAGAGAAATTGAAACTTGTTATAAAGCTATAGTTGTTAAAACGGTGTTACTACAGTGGTACATGGACAGATAAATGGACCAATGAAGCAGACCCAGGCACTGAAAGGAACCTTTTATATGACAGCATGGCACAATCAGTAAGAATAGAGAGGAAATAGGCCAGGCACGGTGGCTCACGCCTGTAATCCCAGTACTTTGGGAGGCCAAGGCAGGCAGATCACCTGAGGTCAGGAGTTCGAGACCAGCCTGGTCAACATGGTGAAACCGCGTCTCTACTAAAAATACAAAAATTAGCTGGTCGTGGTGGCAGGCACCTGTAATCCCAGCTACTCGGGAGGCTGAGGCAGGAGAATCACTTGAACCCGGCTAGCGGAGGCTGCAGTGAGCCGAGATCACGCCATTGCACTCCAGCCTAGGCAACAAGAGTGAAACTCCATCACAAAAAAAAAAGAAAAAGAGTAGACAGGAAATAAATGGTCCAGAATAACTGCCTATCCTTGTGGAGGAGAGGGTGATTCAAAATTAGGTCCCTTTCCTCACTCTATATGCAAAAAACAAACTTCAAATAAATTATACAATTAAATGTGAAAATCAAGACTTTAAAATAAACAATGCAGTAGGCTGCTTTATAATATCAAGTTAGGGAAGGCTTTCTTAAATTTCATAAACATAAATCATAGAGGAAAAGATGAACTGTCTACCTTAAAATTAAAGACGATATAAACAAAATTAAAAGGTAAGCCAGACAAAAGAAATATTTGTAGTGACAACGGTTTAACTTTCTTTCTTTCTTTTTTTTTTTTTGAGACGGAATCTCACTCTGTCACCCAGGCTGGAGTACACTGGTGCAATCTCAGCTCACTGCAACCTCCACCTCCCAGGTTCAAGCGATTCTTGTGCCTCAGCCTCCCAAGTAGCTGGGATGACAGGTACGCACCACCACACCCAGCTAATTTTTTGTATTTTTAGCAGAGACGGGGTTTCACCATGTTGGCCAGGCTGGTCTCGAATTCCTGACCTCAGGTGATCCATCTGCCTCAGCCTCCCAAAGTGCTGGGATTACAGGAGTGAGCCACTGCACCTGGCCCACAAGGGTTTCACTTTCTAAAAATATAAAGAACTGGCCAGGTGCAATGGCTCACACTTGTAATCCTAGCACTTTGGGAGGGCAAGGAGAGCAGATCGCTAGAGGCCAGAAGCTGGAGAACAGCCTGGCCAACATGGTGAAACCCCATCTCTACTTTAAAAATATAAAAATTAGTTGGGTGTGGTGGCACTTGCCTATAATCCCAGCTACTTGGCTACTCAGGAGGCCGAGGCAGGGGAATCGCTTGAATCCAGTAGGCAGAGGCTACAGTGAGCCAAGATCATGCCACTGCACTACAGCTTGGGCAACAGAGTGAGACTTGGTCTCAAAAAAAAAAAAAATTATATATATATATCTTATATATATACACTATTATATATATACACACACACACACACACACACACACACACACACACACACAATTAATATGAGATGCCCAAAAATCCAATTGTAAAAAGGGGCAAAGGTTGTAAACTGGTAATTCATAAAAACAAATGAAGAGATGCTTATTGGTACTATATGCTCAGTATTAAGCAAATTAAATGAGATAGGATCGTGCATATTCAACCAACAAAATATCTGAATGTCTGAAAATAATAAATGTTAATGAGGGAGTGGAGAAAATGGGAATGCTCATACTGCTGATAGAGAGTAAACTGGTACAACTATTGTGGCAGCCAATTAATATTTAGTAAAGCTGAAGATGCATGGTCCACTGTGGTACAGGCCCTGGAGATATTATCAAATGTGTACACAAAGAAACACGCACAAGGATATTTTCTGCGATACTGTAATACTCAAAAGCCAATGACATCCTCAGTGGTCATCAATAAGAAAATGAATTAATGATGGGATTAATCATATAATGAAATACTATATAGCAGTTGAAATGAATGTACTCTTTACATGTATCAACATGCTATACATAAAAAACAATGATGAGCAATAAAAGCAAATTGCAAAAGGATATATATTATGAAACCAATTATGTTTAGTTTTAAAACACAGAGAATACTATGGATTGTAGTAAAAAAAAATATAAAATCATGAAGAGTAAGGACAGGTACAAACAGGATAGTGGTTCTTCTTGAGAGGAAGGAAATGACATAACAAGACCTTCAATGGATGTGCAGCTTTTCCTTTATTTAAACACAAAAGGATCTGAAGGAAATAAGGAAAAAGGTTGACAGTGGTTACAATTAAATAGTGGCTGTATGTCAACACTCTTGGTTACAAACAACAGGATCTACACTAGCTAGTTTAAACAAACAGAATAAAATGGCTCACAAGTCACAGGCGTGGAGGTCAGGACTACGGAGCCCCCAAAAATGCCCATTTTTATACCTTGGAGCAGCTGCGGGGGAAAAACTGCTAAGCAAAGCCTCCACACCTTGCACCATTACATGGGACCTCTGCCACTGCTGCCTTGAAAACCACATCACTGCTCCGTTCAACAAAATGTATCTCATACTACTCTTGTCTGCAAAGTACTTGCTTCCAGATTTCACACAGTTATGTCTAATTGGTGAGCCCATGCTACCTGTCTGAGCCACAGCTGCAAGGAAGGGCAGGAGATTAAATTTCATTCTTCTACTGGGTAAGGCGAGATCCACAGAGTGGGAAGTTGCCAAAAAGCAGGTGTTCAAACAGTGCTAGCTGCCCAAAAAGCACGAAAAGTGCCCACTCAAACAAGAGTTGGTGAAAATATTCTCTCTACTTTTCTGTATGCTCAAATATTTCACAATTTTTTTAAAGAAAAAATGTCGAAGTATGTAAATTCACAAACAACAAAGGGAATGGAAAAAAAATCAATAAACAAGAGACGTCAACCAAATTCTAAAAGACAAAAAGCTAAGTGACTAATAAAACACTAGAGAATGTCACCACCTAGAAAACATGTGGAGGAAGTTCCATCAGAGGCAGCCAACCGGCCCAGCTGGGCCTTAGCTCAGAGGCAGCAAAAGTTCATAGATGATAGAAGACAGTAGAGGGATTAGTTAAATCTAAACTAATTAAAAAGAAAGGAATTAATTAAAGGTCTGTATACAAACTGGTTGAACACTACCCCATCTTCAAATATAGAAGGGCCTAAATCCAGGAAGTGCCCCATGCAAAATATTGAAGGGATCTTTATTATAAAGTAAGTGAAAGAACAGTCTGGGTAAAACTAGGATAGTCAATTTAGAAATCGGTAGCCAAGACAAGACCTCTTCATTCTAGCATTTTAAAAACCCTCATCCTACCAGCCAGATTTACCTACTTATCCTTAGTGATGCTTATGAGAAGCCAAACCTTCCTCAAACCACAGAGCTGCCACTCAACCTCCCTACATCCACATCTTCAACTACAAACTGACAGCCAACAAACGTAAGACATTTGAAAAAAGCCTGAAACATGTAGATGAAAGACTAAGAAAAAAATCTGTCACTGGAGAAAAGAGATGATTCAGGGACTAGAAAGTGAATGAAGAAATGAATAAAAATTATATTGATATCTTCAGAGAGCTTCATGAAAATACTTCACATCCAGAAAACATGAAAAGGATTCTATGAAACAGAAGCAAAAGAGAGCTTTCAGAAATTAAAATATGCTTGACATAATGTGAGTAAAATATAAATGCAGGAAAAATAATAGAGAAAGGGAAAAAAATACAGAGGACCAATACAGACGATGCAAATACAGCTGAAAGGTATTAGAGAAACAAAGAACCTCCAGAGAAAAGAAAGAACAAATAAAGTAAAAAAACATAAAAGAGAGATGTCAAAAATTGAAAGGATCGCCTACGTACCAAGCAGAATAACTGACTGAAGACCTAGATACAGGTACAGGATTGTCGAATTTTACAACACCAAGAATAATAAGATCCTAAGTGTCCAGAGTGTGTTGAGAGAAGGGGATGCAGAGAACAGGTTATATAAAAAAGGAACAAGAATCAGACTGGCATCAGACCTTTCATTAGCAAAATCAGATGCCAGAAAATAACTGAGCTGCTTTCAAAGTTCTAAGAGAAAACTACTTTTCAATCTAGAATTCTGTATCTAGCTGAATAGTTCATCAAATGTAAGCGCATAACCCACTTTAGACATGCAATGGCTCACCTCTTAGACATTTTTTCCTAGAAAGGAGCTTAGAGACAAATGCTAGCAAAATGAGAAAGTTAATCAAGAAACAGGAAGATATGGACTCTAAGAAAAAGTTGACCTCACCCAGAAAAAAAAAAAAAAAAATACGGCCTTCAGAGGAAGCCTGTGCACAAGATGCAGAAAACTTGCTGACAAAGAAGCAGAAACTTTTTGGCAAAATATTTTTGTAAGACTGATAACCAAGGCTTACTCAAGGTGTGGGGAAACAGGCACTCTTAGACAGTTATTGGGAGTAACACTTGGCAAAACCTTTGGGAAGCCAGCATCTGGTAGCACCTGACAGTAATTCCACTGCCAGAAATCTATTTCTACAGAATTATTTATACGTGAGGCAACATAGAGTAGAACATAAGAGCATGTGAGTGAAACTACCTCCGTTCAAATTCCCACTTTACCACTTTCAAGCTCTATGCTGTTTCCTCATTTAAAAAATAGAAACATCTTCTCAACAGGTCACTATGAGGATTATAGAAAAGGTTCCACACGTGATGGGCTTCGCACAAGACCCAGCACATGATAAATACTCAGTTAATATTACTTATCTACAAACATTTGCCATTTTTGCACAAGGATGTTTACTGTGCCACTGTTCGGCAAAAAACGCAAGCAAGTATAGTATGGTCCTATTTATGTTTTTTAGAAATTACATTTATATTTGTATGTATCTGCCTAGATCTGTAGGAAAAAATAGAGAAAACATGCTAAAGTGTTGCATCCATGGAGCAGGAAGGGAGTGACCTGTTTTTGTACAGTTTTTACTTAAGCAACATGAAGTGTTTCATACTTTAGAGAAAAGAAAAAGTAAAGATCACTATCAATCTTGGGGAGAAAGGGTTAATCTGTATAAGCACACACAAACATTATATTTAAAACATTTATTTTATTATACATATTTAAATTTTAGAAAGTTATTAGGTAGATGTACATTCCTCTGTTGCTTTACTTTGATCTTCAGTTACCTGTAAAAACATGAATAGCTTTACTTTCCTAATAAACACTTTCAGTTTTACCCTTCACCCACCATTTTAAATCATTCCACAGCCCTCTTATAATGACCCTTTATCTTTCCCCTTAAATAGTAGAATAGAAAGTTAGGTAAGAAGAAAGATTTAAAGGCCAAGTAACCAATATAAATTATCAGGTAAAGAACAATAATTCCATTCAAAAATATAATCTAAGGCATATTATACCTAGGCTTCTCAAGTTGGCCATTTTACTTTTCAGCCGTAAAACAAAATCATTAGTGTAAGAAAAAACACCTGAAGTGCTGTAACAAGCTATTTTAAATCAGTTTATTTTCTTTTGGAGTATAATTCCATTTAGAATAGAACATATTACAGATTTAGTCTAAATAGATATCTCTATGTCCCTATTTCTATTCTGTGTCACTCAGACTCATCAAACAGACATGGCTAAATCTGAATTCAACACCCCAAAACCTGTCCTACCTGCATCATCTATCTTGGTAAAGGGCTCCACCCAGATACCTAAGGACAGCATTCAAGAATTCACTCTCTTCTTCCTACCTGCATATTCCATCAACAGTCCTACTAATTCAGCCTAAGTTAACTCTCACAGTCATTCTCCCTATCGCGGCTGAACTTTAGGACCTCATTCTCTTCTATCCCCCTAACAGAACTCTTGGCTTAAGTCACAGCTATATCCCATGCTACCCCTAGAATGAGCTTTTAAACAAGAATAGCTGATCAACAGGTCACTTCCCTACTCAAAATTCTCCAGTTACTCTCTAGCATCTCAGTGGGGTGGAGGAGGAAAGTCAGGAATGCAAGTTCCACAACACGGGACACAAGCCCCTCATATTCTGTTTTTGGACTGACTCTTTACCTATCCTACATGTGACCTGTACATTCAAATTCATCTTACATTCATCATGTTCTCTATGTAGGCAAGTGACTTCCTCTGAGATAACCTCCAACCCATTTTCCAACAGATTATCTGCATGGTCCACTTTTATTCACCCTTTAAAATCAGCTTAAGAGACTCCAATTCCTGGAAGCCTTCCTTAAGCAACTCCCCAGCTTGGTCTGAGTCCTCTTCTTTATGCCAGAGCCCCACATGTACACCTGAACTGTCTGCTTATAAGTCTAATTATCCAATCAACATTACTTCCCTGAGGCAGCAAGTAAATTTTGTGCATTTTTTTGTACCTCCAGACCATAACAGTACCTGGCACACAATAAACAATCAGTAAGTCTGTGTTGCATCAATGAACCACGTTTAATCTAATCCCTTCAGAAAAGCAAAATGGACAGTAGAAAAAAGCAACTAAACCAGAATAAATGTTTGAAAAAATATGTATTGACTAACATCACTAGATATTCTAGGTAAGACACTGTCTCTGCCGTTTTTCTACATTTTTCATTCCTTTAAAGTGTTCAGTTACTACTGCTTCTTTAATTTTCCAAACTATTTCTTTAATATTCTTTAGCTTTTTAAATTTTTTTTAATTTTACTTAACTCCAAGTAAACATGCTGAACATTTTTTCTTTAGTTTCTTCATCTAAAATGATCACTGTGACCAACTAAAAAGAGAAAATTACTCCATCCATTCAAAGGTAATTTCTTCTCATGAGAAAAAAAATTATATAACCCTTACTCAAGAACATTATGGTGAAGTCCCTAAACAATAATTCCTATCTACATAGTCATTAATAAAGACTAGGTTTATATATCATTATGAAAAATTGTCAATAAATATTTCTTGGGTAACCCCTTCATGTGCTAATGTTGTGTTCAAAATTTGGGCTTACACAAATATAACAAATCCTGAAAGGCTTAACAGACAGAAAATAAATGTACTGGCAAAGAAAACAATCAAAAAATAGTATGTGGACATATACAATCAAGCACAAACTTATATGAATAATTATTTGTTAGAGATTACTCTGAGACTGTTCCATGGAGGAGGTACGACTCAGGCGAGGTAGTGAAGAATGACTGCGTAGTAAATAGAAGGAGAATGGGAAATGGAGTCTAGAAAGAAAAACTATCATGAAGAAATAAGCAAACTTGAAAATAAGTTTAATGTGTGATGCTTAATGTGCCTGCAAGCTTAACCAGTGTTTGTGGCATTGTGGGAAATTAGGATAAGGAGGAAGTCCTAATGAGGACAGATTACACAGGACAGCTATCAGATAACCTAAGTAAAAGAGGCACACTTAGCCTATGAAATAGGAAACAGGAATAGTTGTGGTCAAGAAATACAATCACCCGGGCCGGGCGCGGTGGCTCACGCCTGTAATCCCAGCACCTTGGGAGGCTGAGGGGGGTGGATCACGAGGTCAGGAGATCGAGACCATCCTGGCTAACACGGTAAAACCCTGTCTCTACTAAAAATACAAAAAAATTAGTTGGACGTAGTGGTGGGCACCCATAGTCCCAGCTACTTGGGAGGCTGAGGCACGAGAATCGCTTGAGCCCGGGAGGTGGAGGTTGCAGTGAGCTGAGATCGCGCCACTGCACTCCAGCCTGGGAGACAGAACAAGACTCTGTCTCAAAAAAAAAAAGAAAAGAAATACTATCATTCCTACTCATTAAGTCTAAATGCTAATGACAAAGAATAAACTACAAAAACACAAACATTCAAATCTGGTTTTTCAGGACATTAGGATATTTGCACATTTACTGTTAATGGCTAAAGGCGGCTTTAAAATACACCTGACAAATCTTAATCCTCTAAATATTCATTAAGTTTACAAAATAAATCCTAAGACCTAACTGATACCATTACAACTATTAAGAACTATTACTATTACATAGTAATATTCTTATTTCTCTTCAAGTTCTACAATATCATTTTCACGATATTAACAAATAAAATCAAAAGAGAACTGCCAAGTTACAACTTTACCCTTACCAACACACTAGTGAACAATCACAACACTGCTTTGACTATTGAGACAACTTACTTTTTTCCTTTCTCTTTGTTTCTTTCATTTTTCCCCCCTTTGGTTGTTATTGGTTAATTTTGATGAATTTCTTTATAGAAGAGTACTCAATAGCTGTCAAAAACACTTACCATTTTCCGAGATCTTTCCAATAGCTTATCCCATATTGTAAAATGTGCCTTGAAAAGAAAAGATTTGCGATGAACTAAATGAAGCAGTAATGTCAAAGTAAAAAGGACAGAGTCTTTATATAGCTTTTAGAACAAAATAAATAAAAAGCTAGGCAGTACTAATTTAGATAAGTGGTTATAAAAGTGGATCATAGTAGCAAAAAAAGGTGCTACATGGGGATAGCTGCTTTTTTGCTTTCTTCAATCGCATGAACCCGGGAGGCAGAGGTTGCAGTGAGCATTTAAGAAAAAAACGCTTAAGGATTGAACGTGCCCTTCTTTCACTTTTGCCCATCTTAATCATTTCCATCATAGAAAGCATTTCTTCTAATAGGAAGCAAAAATCTGCCCTACTTTCCCATAGACTGTGGTTCAATCCTTAAACAGCCAGTTTCAACATTCTAGAAGTCATTCTTCAAATCATAAGCAATCACAAGAAGACAGTCATTAAAAACCAACTGTGACATCTTCACACTGAAATGGCAGAAGCAGAGGATTCATCAAGTTACCCTAAAGAATAAGTAAAACCTAACAAAGACAATAGTAAATTTTTTTTTTTTTTGAAATGGAGTTTCACTCTGTCGCCCAGGCTGGAGTGCAGTGGTGCGATCTCAGCTCACTGCAACCTCCGCCTCCCAGGTTCAAGCAATTCTCCTGCCTCAGCCTCCCAAGACAATAGTAAAATTTAAACTCAATTTCCTTAGTCCATAACAACCTCCTGTAGCAGAGGATTATCAGAATGCATTAAAGAAAACTGTGCAAAGTGTATCATGACCACATCAATTTTATTAGGTCAACTGAAAGTGGTAACAAGACATATGGGCAGGCCAGTGACTACTCCACACTGAATGAGCTCATAAAATCTATAATAAAAGGTAAAATTAATAAATATCAACATACAAACCCTTCCAGGGAAAGAGCTGACTGGTATGTTTAAAGGGAAAACCATGCCTGACTCAGGCGGAATGAACTGCTGGTGCAGAGACCTTAAGCTGTGGCTGGAATATAGTGAGTGAGGAAAGGAGTGGTGTTAGATAAAGTCAGAGAAGCAGGCAGGGACCAGATAATGCAGGGCTTTGTGAGACAGGGTAAAGAGTTGGGATTTGTTCAAGGGAAGCCATTGGAAAGTTTGGGGCAGAGGAAGTACATAACAGATTGTGTATTAAAAAGATCACTTTGGCTACTAAGTGGAAAATGCACTGTAGATGGCAAGAGTGAAAGCAAGGAAGGTGAGTGAAAACAAAGAGGAACTTGGATAAGGGAAGTAGTAGTAGATGAGATGTTATAAGGTGCATAGATTCAGAATATGTTTCAGAGTTAAAAGTTGAAAGGACTTGCGGATGGATGGGCTGGGGCATGGCTATGAGGGGAAAAGAGAATCAAGGATTACCTTAAACAACTAAGGAAACCAGGGGTATCCAATCTTTTGGCTTCCCTGGGCCACACTGGAAGAAGAATTGTCCTGGACCACACATAAAATATACTAACGCTAATGACAGCTAATGAGCTAAAAAAAAAAAAAAATCGCAAGAAAACCTCATAATGTTTTAAGAAAGTTTACAAATTTGTGTCTCATTCAAAGCCGTCCTGGACTGCATGCAGCCCATGGGCTGTGAGTTGGACAAGCTTGAGTTAAAGGATGATCCCATTTTCTGAAATTGGGAAGGCTAGGAAAGGAAGCAGGTATGTGGAGAAAAGTCAAAGTCAAATGTATAGGAGAGGTGTGCTAAATTTTACAAAATGAGAGGGATGAAAGAAGATATAAATAAATAAGAAGATACAGTAAGTTCATAGACTGGAAACCTCAACATATTAAAGATGTCAATTCTCCCCAAACTGCTATACAGGTCTAATGGACTTATCAGAATCTCAGGAAGACTCTGTTGACATTGAAAATATTATCCTAACATTAAATGGAAACTCAAAGAGACTAGAAGAGTTAAAACAATTTTGATTAAAAAACAGTAACAAGGGAGGAATTACTCTACCTGATTTCACAGCCTATTTAGAGCTACAGTAATCAAGACTGGGTGGTACTGGTAGAGAGCTAAACATATGTGATCAATGGAACAGAATAGAGGACCCAAAAATAGGCCTACATAAATATGCTCAGCTAATTTTTAACAAAGATGCAAAAGTAACTCAGTGGAGGAAGAGTGGCCTTTTCAACGAATGGTGTTGGAGCAATCTGACATCTATAGCCCACAAAAAAAAAAAAAAAAAAAAAAAACCTAAACCTAAATCTCACACTCATAGAAAAATTAACTCAAAATGGACCACAGATTTAAACAAATGTAAAACTCTAAAACTTTTAGGAGGGAAAAAAAAAAGGAGAAAATCTTTGGGATGTAGGACTGGTCAAAGAGTTCTTAGAATTAACCCCAAAAACATAATCTATAAAAACAAAAATGTTATCAAATTTTAATAAACTAGTTTCATCAAAATTAAAAACTTCTCTGCAAAAGGCTGCTCAGAGAATGAGAAAACAAGCCACATATACAAACACAAGGTACAGACAGAAAAAGAGAGAAATCTGAAAACTACATATCTAACAAAAAACTAGTATCTACAACATATAAAGAACTCTCAAAACTCAACTGTTAAAAAGTAAAACAATCTAATTAGAACACTAGCAAAAGACATAAACAGACATTGCACCAATGAAGATATACAGATGGCAAATAAGTACATGAAAAAATGATCAATACCATTGGTCAACAGAGAAATTCAAATTAAAACTACAATGAGAAATCACTACAAACATATCAGAATGACTAAAACAAAAAAAAAAGTAGTGACAGCATCAAATGCTAGTGAGGATGTGGAAAAACTGATCACTCACACATTGCCAGTGGGAATGTAAAATGGTACCGTCACTCTGGAACACTTTGGTTGTTTCTTAAAAAACTAAACATACACTTATCATATGACCCAGCAATTGCACTCCTGGGTATTTATCCCAGAGAAATATTCACAAAAACCTGCACACAATGTCACAGCAGCTTTATTTGTAATAGCCAAAGACTGAAAATAACTCAGATGTCCTTTGATGGATGAATGGTTAAACAAACCATGATACATCCAGACCAAGTAATACTACTTAGCAATAAGAATGAATGAACTACTGATATACTCAATGTACTCGGATGAAATCTCCAGAGAATTATACTGAGTGAAAAGTGCCAATCCCAAAAAATTACATACCGTTTGATCCCATTCATACAATATTCTTGAAGTGACAAAATTATAGAAAAGGAAAACAGATAAGTAGTTGGCAGGGGTAAGCAGGCAGGGTAATGGGGGCAACAGAGGGAAGTGGCTGTAAATGCGTGTGTCTATAAAAGGCCAACATGAGGGATCCCCGTAGTGAAGGAATTGTCCTGTATCTTCATTGTATCGCTGTCCATACCCTGGTGGTGATACTGTATTTTAGTACTGCAAGATGCTACCATTGAGGAAACCAAGTAAAGGTACATGGGATCTCTCTATGTCTTATAACCCAATTATCTCAAAATCAAAAATTTAAATAAAAAGATTAGCAAGGGGTGGGAGCAATGTGGAAAATGTCAGGCTTCGGGTCATGATGGATCATTAAAATTAGAGGGAAGAGCATGCCAAATTTAAGCTTAAAAGGCATTCCAGGAAGTCTTACCAATACGCACTCTAATACCCCCTCTGTCAATGTACCCTCACCTATGCTAACTTGAAATTTTTAAATGCTATGTCAATTTAATTTTTTCAACTAATGTTTCTTTTGTAATTGTATATTTACACCCTGGGCAACTTTGTTTTTAATCATAAACCTGAGTTTATAAAATATTAGTGTCACATAACTTAAGAAAAATTAAAAGTTTATATTCTTCAAACTGGTATAAAATCAAGTCCGGAATTATATCTATACCCAAATTGGAAGACCTAGAACTTTAAGCTTTACTTACTCTTAAGTGAACAGGTAAAGACACGCCCTGGAATCTTCGTATGAGACTTGGCTGGGTGGGTTGAAGATTGTGAACTGCTGATACTTCATACTGGAAACAAATACTTGTTCTTGGAATAAGAGGGCCCTCACTCACATCAATGAAGTCACCTATTCTGATTGATTTAAAAATAAATAAACAAAACTGCAACATCAAATAATTTGTAAGAGCTTGAAAAAGAAATCTCTTCCTTCTCTTTGCTGCTAACATCCCTAATCAAGAACATTATATATGGTTCAATTCAGTTTCTAATGACCCCTGACATAATGATCTCAAGTAAAGAGGCTAAAACTTTGAAAATTAAATCAAATGAACCATTTTCTTAATTAGCATTGATATAGGTTTTAAGGTCTTTAAGAGTCACGCAACACATCATGCTATCAAGCTGATCCAATTGCCTAAAACCGATCATCTACAACCTTACAATAACCCATGTAACGAAGCTGAGAATTCAGTGTGTAGGACAGATTGTGTTCAGAAACAAAGGGCAGTTTCTAGAGGAAAAAAGTGAAGTCCAATTCATAAAAACAGGAGGCTGAGAAAATGGATCCAGGTCATGAAGTCATTTCTGCAGAATGCATTGTCTTGGGACTTGCTCCCCATGGGAGAACGTCATCATAAGCAGTGGACCTTTCTCATCCATGCTTGAGAAAGCACATTCTGGCTTAACTTACATGTATCTTAAGTAATTACTAGTTAGTCAGTATTCATATGAATTACGATGTTCAATTCATCACAATGACTATCTTGCCCAGTTTCAAAACACCTAAAAATTACATTCTTAAACAGTGGTTTTCAACTCAAAATTAAATAAAAATAGCAAACAATAAAATGAGGATTATAGAAACCACAAGTGTTCCTGAAGATAATTTAAAGCTTCCATTTACCACCATAACAAAACAATGAACGAAGCAACCAAAAATAAGGTAATAAGAACAAAATAAGACACAAATTCATCTTTTTTGGTCATATGCTTCATTCAGATAACAATAAAGCTAAGCCTTACTCTAACATAGCAGCCAGTTTTTAGACTTTTACTTACCTGTGTAGCTTGACTATTCTCTCAGGGTTCTGAGATGCCTTCTCTTCTATGAAATCTACTTTGTACCTGAAAAGCAGCAAAGAAAAAAACATTTTTTTAACTCAAAATATGTAAAAAGGTGTTTAAAGATACCTCCCTTTCTCTTCCTCTTCAGCCATACTTTCTGAGAGTAGGTTACACTTGGAACCTCCCTTTAATCTGGCCACAGCCCCATGACTCTGCCAAACTGTTCTCAACAAAGTCACAGACCTGCTTGGTGTCAACCCAGTGGACATTTTTTGGTCCTCATTTTCTTAATACCAATGCTCACCTCCACTTCTCAATGTGTTCTTTCTTTCCATTTTTATTTCTTTGTTCTTTTTTTTTTTTTTTTTTTTGAGGCAGGGTCTTACTCTTATCACCCACCCTGGAATGCAGTGGCATAATTATAGCTCACTGCAGTCTCAAACTTCGGGCTCAAGCGACCCTCCTGCCTCAGCCACCCAAGTAGCTGGGACTACAGGTGTGAGCCACCATGCCGGGCTAACTTTTTTTGGTAAAGATAGGGTCTTGCCATGTTGCTCAGGCTGGTCTCAAACTCCTGGTGTCAAGCAATCCTCCTGCCTCAGTCTCCCAAAATGCTGGGATTATAGCGATGAACCACCACATCCAGCCTCAAAGTGCTCTTTCCATGGGTATCAGTGGCATTCCTTACTGCTTGTTATTTTACATCTCTGGCCACTCCTGTCTTTCTCTACCCTTTGAGAATTCTATCCTACACCCTCTTTTCACGCTAAGCATCCTCCCTAGGTCAGCCCCTTGAGCTACAACTTATGTAGTTGTATGTCCTATATCTCTGCTTCTAATCTACCTACCTCTTCTGACCACCAAACTGTATATCCAAGACCCATTTGGACATCCTCTAGGATGTTCCACAAGCACCTTACCCTGAAATTTGCAAACTGCACAAATTACCACCTCTTTCCCCGCCCAAACTTGTTCTTCCTCCTGAATTTCCTGTCTTAGTACGATACCACCAACCACCCAGGTGTCCATGTGAAAAACCTGGGAGATTTCCTTGATTCCTTTCTCCTACCATATCTCCTTTATTCAATTCATTATCAAGTTGTCAATTTGACTGCCCAGTATCTCTCAAATCTACCCAATTCTGTCAGTATAGCTAAAGGCACAGATGAAACTGCACAGCCCAGGTTCAAACCATGACTTTACCATTTACTATTGAGAGCTTTGTCTGTTTACCTCAGGGTGCTAAACAAGTAATATGTGTAGGTGCACCACAGGTGTATGCACAATTATGTGGCAAAGTTAGGGAACACTGGTTTATGCAAAAACACCCACTGACTGCTACAGTCCCCCAGGCACTAATAAGGGTGCCAATTCCCTTGAATACTTATCCCTCCTGACCCACCTCCAAGAGATGCTCCTGTCCCCTGAGAGTCAAAGCCACAAAAAGGTCCCACCCTTACTCCTGCAGCAGAAGGACTCAATCACTGACCCACCTTCAATGAACCAACTCTTTTGTCCTATCAAGCTTCCTCCAGAATTATCCCCTTCCTCCTACCACACACTCAACTAAGTTACAAAAGTCCCAGAAGCCGCTACCAGTCCTTGACAGTTAGAGGAATGGGAAATCTCAATGTGTACTGAATGGAAGTCAAAAGTACACTGTCCAGTAAAGTACCATGGTGCACTTAAATGTGATTAGTACTAGTTAAAATGTGCCTTAAGTGTAAAACACATACCAGGTTCTGAAGATTTAGTGAAAAAGAATATAAAATAACATCAATATTTTAATATTGATTACACTGAGTAACATTTTAGATGTATCATTTAAATAAAATCATTAAAATTAACTTCAACTTTTGTTTTGACTTTTTTTCAATGCAACTACAGAAAATTTCAAATTATACAGATGTCTCATATTATATTTCTTTTGGGCAGCATGTGCCTAGACTTTTGTCACAGAGAGTGACTTCACGTGTTCAGATAGTCCAAAGAATTTTCTTGTCGAATCAATGCTATAAATGGTGGTTTGGTTCTACAATACTATCTGTACTCTAGTTAAAACAGTACATTACAACTGGTTTCTAAATCCACTGGTTCCAGGACACGCTAAAAATGTTTCAAGAAAAAGTGTTTCATGGGCAAATATATTTGGGAAATTTTCAATGTCCACTTTGGGAGACCGTTGAGTGCGATGAGTAAAAATTTTTTTTTTTTTTTTGAGACGGAGTCTCGCTCTTTCGCCCAGGCCGGACTGCAGTGGCGCCACCTAGGCTCACTGCAAGCTCCGCCTCCCGGGTTCACGCCATTCTCCTGCCTCAGCCTCCTGAGTAGCTGGGACTACAGGCGCCCGCCACCACGCCCAGCTAATTTTTTGTATTTTTAAAAGAGACGGGGTTTCACCGTGTTAGCCAAGATGGTCTCGATCTCCTGACCTCGTGATCTGCCCGCCTCGGCCTCCCAAAGTGCTGGGATTACAGGCGTGAGCCACCGCGCCCAGCCGAGTAAAATTTTTTAAGCCACTGTTCTTCAAACTCAGCTTAACACAGTACATGGTTTCACATGTCAATTAACATCCTATAGAAGAATACTATAAGACAGACTGCTTTGAGAAATGCCAAGCTATAAAGTATGTGTCAAAAACACACTCATAA
This sequence comes from Homo sapiens, assembly GCF_000001405.40. NCBI lineage: Eukaryota > Metazoa > Chordata > Mammalia > Primates > Hominidae > Homo > Homo sapiens. The sequence continues at coordinate 25,596,550 of NC_000021.9, forward strand.
CCCAATATATTTACGATAACCTATCCCTATGAGAATTTGTAATTCAACTTCTATATACCTAAAGAAATTCTAATCAGTAAACTTTCACAATTCTTAGGTGCATATTTTGGCTTCAGACTCTGTTATTTTTTTTTTTTTACAGCACAGGTTTCTCTTTCTAGTTAGTTCTAATATTGTATTAGATTAATGTTAAAATTTAGCTCATGTTCTTACAACTGGTAGTAGAAGGTGAACTGAAAGTTTTCTGAGAACTGAGAAGCCAGGCAGGAATTAAAATGTTAAAGAAAATCCATCAAATGAATAATTCACATGCAGAAGATTAAGACCTGGCTGTGTAAACATTTTACTTCAGCTGTCAGCCCCCTCCCAAACTGCTTGCATTTTCAATCTTATCAGTGTCATTTTAAGTGTGGAGGGGTAGGAGAGAAACACTGCCAAATACACACAATTATATAGTCGCTTAACGTACATTATCACTTCACACTAGAAAGAAAAAAGGGAAACATGCCACTATGTTGATATAATGAGAAAGGCTGGTCCAAGAACAGAGAAGTAAAACAAAGTGAGAAAATTATCAAGGGACATGGGTAACATTTTCCTCAGCGAAATAAATGAGATCACAGAGGTCTCAGACTGGAAAATAATACACTGTCACATGTATATCAAATATAAAAATTTTTAAGACCTGAATTTTCTTTATTACATATAATACTGGGAGAGTTAGCCTTGATTTAAAGAAAGCCAACACTTACTTGCTGTGTTGAAATATTTCCAATGCCACTTTTGCTTCAACTTCCAGAGTTTCAAATGGAAGATCTTTATAAATTAAAGCATGAGCATCTTTTGTGAAGGAACGTAAGTTCTCCTTAAAAATGAAAGTAATAACCTTTAGTAACAATTCACTGAAAAGCATTTCTCCATAAGCCAGTTGAAACAAAACTCTATGCTTAGTACTGCAAATCCAACTAAAATAAAAGATAAAATCAAATTTGTTAGAACAGAAAGTTACTAATTTGCAACAACTGAAGTTTTGGACCATAAACTATAAAACTTCTTATTTACCTGTAATTAAGGTGTCAGCCTTCATTAATACTAATTATTAAAGAGAAAACTATACAGAAATTTTATCCAAATTATATAATTTCATCCAAATTATACAACCTTAAAATGTTTATTAAAACTATGATGCAGCAAGTAAAAATGCCAATAAATAAATAGCAAGACATAAAAATGTGTTTACAGTATGAATAAATCTAAGTTTATTAAATATATGGGGAAAAATTATTGTTTTCTTAATTAAGAAAGTTTCACTAGAAATGTAGCATCATCACCCACCCTGTGCAAAGTATAGCATGTCCAATATTAAAAGTTTCTGCTTAATAAAAATGTCAATTTTACACAATTAAAATGATGAAGAATACACATTAACAATGTGTTTAAGATTTTTAATAAAAATTCTAATTGAGCTTTCATACTGTAAATCATTACTAATAACACAGAAAAAACCAAGCACTATTACACAAGTAATTTTTATAATGAAATTATTTCCATAAAAATCCTATTAGACTTTTTTGCATGAAATGACTTCTCTATAAAGAATAATTTACTGTATAAAAAAATCAACATTCATGGTTTAATACAACTATTCCTTCAATGTAACTCTACCCTACTTTCTTTAAGCTGTCTACTCAACCCAACTCCATGGAGTCTGCAATCAGCTCACATATTTCTTTTGTAAGGTTTTATCTTTTAAAAAAGAAAAATGCAAAAGCCAAGCACAGTGGCATACACCTGCAGTCCCAGCTACTAGAAAGGCTGAGGCAGGAAGATTGCTTGGGCCCAGAAGTTCAAGGCCAGCCTAGGCAACATAGTGAGACCCCCATCTCTTTAAAAAAAAAAAAAAAGAGAGAGAAAGAAAGAAAAAAGCAGTTATGTTTCACAGATAATGAAAATTAAATCTTGACCTCAGTTTTTACCTAACTTGCCCCAGTAAAAAAAATCTTAAATTTGGAGACATACTTGAAAAGGAAGAAGCTACACTGACAGGAGCCCAGAGGTCATGAAGAAACAGTTCCAATCCCTTCCCTCCCCTCTTTCCATCCTCTTCTCTCTCTCTTCCCTCTCCCTTTTTCTCATTCTTTCTTGATTCCCTCTTCTCTCCCTCTCAATATTATGTAATATGCGCAGGATTATACAAAAAGTAATTTCCAAGGCCAAATTTAAAGCTGGATCTGCCCTTACTCCAAAATCCTTGCTTTTAAGAACCACTACAGTATTTTACTAAATCTAAGATGTATTACTAAGGGGAAAAAAAAAAAAAAAAAACACTACAAATTCTAATTGCAAGATACCATCTAATATAAGGCTTATATATTTTCAGAGATATTAAATATAAAAAGAATGTACACAGTGGAAATGATAAAATGATGTGCTACACTGCTTCCCCTTTTCAGATCTCCAGACTCCCAATACATAGGACATATAGTTTTGTTTAATTAAGAATTAGGTATTTGCCTATTCTCCCCAATCAGAACTACATCTCCAGGCTTGATCTTTGATAACCATCAGCACCCCTTACCTACTGAGCACCTGATCTAGACTGTCCTTGTTAGGCTCTGTTGCTACCCAAGTCCCAGACCAACAAGGACCATCCTCATTACAAAGGCAAACCATTCACAAAGAGTTTAGTTTGTTAATATTTCATTTGTTGATGCTTGAGTATTAGCTTTGTCAAAGTCTGATTCTTTAATTCACCCAGCTCTCAATGTGACCCTTGTATATACAGGGACCTCACTGTATGCAACAAGTTAAAATGGTTTAGGGGAGTGGTTTTCAAATTGTGCTCCAGCGACCCAAACAAGTATGGCTCCAGGCCCCCTACTACCACATGGGTCAAGATAGTTAAGTTTTTATATTTTATATCCTGGGCCTCTTGAAAACCACTACCTTAAAACCACTTAGAAGGAACATCAAGAAAAGGTCAAGCAGAACATAAAGTTTCAAGACAACTGACCATGTTGATGTAAATACTCTCATTCACATCCCTCTGTCTTAAATAGGCTGAAAAAGCAACAACACCAATAGATAGATAGATAGACAGACAGACAGATACATAGATACATAGATAGATACATAGATTCTTTTAAATGTTCTCAACATGCAGTACCATTCAACAATACTAACATAGGAATCATTCTAACAAAGAAAGGCAGACACTCTAAAATTAATACTCCAGAAGAATACACTTACTTTTGTTGGCATCCACTCATCAAGTTTGCTATCCAAAACTACGTCATAACAGAAGGCACCAGAAATTACTGTAAATCCAACCAAAATAAAAAGCAAAGTCAAATCTGCCCCAACAGAAAGTTACTAATTTGCAACAACTGAATATTTAGACCATAAAAAGGATTAGCACTCTCTCCCAACTCTACAAATTATAAAATGGTTGCCATTCTTCCAGCTGCTTGCCAGAGCTCTATCAAATTTCCCTTAGCCAAAAGATTGTCAACCCCAAATCACAAATATTTTTTAAACATTCAAGTTTTCTTCACAAATGCTATTGCCATACAGATTTCATACAGTTACCAGATGTAAAAATTCTGGGAAGCCAAGGCAGGTGGATCACCTGAGGTCAAGAATTTGAGACCAGCCTGGCCAACATAGTAAAACCCCATCTCTACCAGAAATATAAAAATTAGCCGGGCTTGGTGGCAGGCAACTGTAATCCCAGCTACTTGGGAGTCTGAGGCAGAAGAATCGCTTGAATCTGGGAGGTGCAGGTTGCAGTGAGCCAAGATCGCGCCACTGCACTCCAGCCTTGGCAACACAGCGAGACTCCGTCTTAAAAAAAAAAAAAAAAAAAAAATTCCAAAAGAACAAGATATTTAGTAAGTAGATAAATAACTTAATGGATACAAAATGTTACATTTCTTTTATATCCCCTAAATATCTTCTTTTTGGGGTTTTGTTCTTAGAATCATTTCTTGAGCTTCTTTCAAATATTTTAGGTATATCTACTTCTTTAAAAAAAAAAAAAAATTTGACACGTGATCCTACCATACTTACTATTCCAAAATCCTAGTTTTAGCAAAATTACAGTCCACACCCTGTCATTTCACCAAAGTGCTGTCACTTTCCAAAGTAATGGTCCTGTCTGGTGAAATATTACCACCTAAGCACAGCTCTTTACAGTAGTCTACTTATACTCAGATTTCCTCCTCCTCTATACATCCAATTTGGAAATATATGCTTAAAGTAAAAAATAAACGCTAAGGGCCGGGCACGGTGGCTCACGCCTGTAATCCCAGCACTTTGGGAGGCCGAGGCAGGCAGATCACGAGGTCAGGAGATCGAGACCATCCTAGCTAACATGGTGAAACCCCGTCTCTACTAAAAATACAGAAAAATTAGCCAGGCGTGGTGGCGCGCGCCTGTAGACCCAGCTAATCGGGAGGGTGAGGCGGGAGAATGGTGTGAACCCCAGAGGCGGAGCTTGCAGTGAGCCAAGATCACGCCACTGCACTCCAGCCTGGGTGACAGAGTGAAACTCCGTCTCAAATAAATAAATAAACGCTGAGATAGTGGAATTCCATGAAATTCATATTCAAGACAAACACTTTCCAGTAATTCTATGATGTTAATTATTAACCTGCAAAGACTACTTCATGTTTCATCATAGTAAGAAAGATTTTGTTACCCATGATAAATGACACATATGTATAATGGTAATTTATATTAGTACTAAACTCTATACGTCATCAAAAATAGGTACCAAAATATTTAAGGATCACAAAAAGACATATATGTATACACTACCAGGAACTTCTGGAGCTCTGACCAAATTGACCATATATTCATCTTTGAATGCCCTCTCTATCACACAGCCCATCATCATAGCACAGGAACGCCAATATGCCTAGAAAAAAAATATACATATATAAAATATATATAAACACACTGAGATTCACTAAAGTTTTGACAATATTAAATTTTAAGTGAACTTCTGACTTAGAAAATATTTCTCATATATCTCTGTTCACACAATGTAGCAACAGTTGCCATCAGGCCATGACGTTACCTCGACCAAGCAAAAATCAAAAAAGAATGAAGCATGAACCTCAGGTTCTTAGCAATGTTTCTGTGCAAGATTTCAAACACCATAATGGTTATCAACCCCGACAGATAGTTTTATTACCTGAAAGTATTTATTTTTAACCCACGATAAAGTTAACTTGTTAACAAACTTGTGCTAAAGTAAAATAAATATATTAATTATGTAACTTTGTATCATTTATAAATATGGAGAAAAACTCAACTTTTATGAATTATTAGTGACTCTTATCCTCTACCTAACACCCTAACACATCGTTCAGATTACTCATATTTATAGCAGAGCAGCAGGAACTGGGCTTTCATCTTACCAGCACATTTTGATTCATGGACATGCCTGATATGGTATCAGAGCAATGACCTGATCAGTCACAAGGAGAAACCTGCACCATACCTGTCCATTGTGTTCCCCTCCTGCTGACACTACTCTGTGCACTTTTCAGAAGCTCTTCTTAACATCTGAGGACTACAAAAGTGGGATCACTTCTCCATTATAAATTCAATGCAACCATATTACACTAAAAATAAGTACAGACCCAGGCCTTGAAGGCAAGTAGCAACATGTACTTCTTCATCTATCCTACCTAAATGTCTCTAAATGTCTGTTGAACTCCAGTCAGAATGCCTAGGTTCAAATCTGGGCTCCACTATTTCCTAAATCAGTAACCTTGGTCAAGCTGCTGAACTTCTCTTTGTCTCAGTTTATTCATCGGGAAAATGGGGAGAATAGCACGAACTCACAGAGTTTGTATGAAGGTTAAATGAGTTAATATCTGTAAATCACCTAGAACAGTGCCTGATACATAATACATACATACTCATTGTTGGCTATTACTGTCATTTCTATCATTTTCTTGTTCAACTATTTCAACAAATATTTATTAAACACCTACTGTATGTATATCAAGAACTAGGTCCAATAAGGGAAATGGTCCCTATCTTCACATTCGACCGTTTATGTTACAAGACAAAATTAAAATATCATATCTAGAGACTAGCCAAGTTGTGTGAGACCTTAGAGAAAAGAGGATTAATTTTGACAAGGAGAAACTTAGAAGTTTCCACAAAGCAGATGGCCTTTTAATTGAATTGTAAAAGATAAATAGGATTTTAATAGAGAGAAAAGAAAATGCTCACATTTGGCGAAAGCATCAACAAAAGCAAGGTGGATAACACAGCATAAACCATTAGTGACTGATATGGTTTAGCCCTGTGTTCCCACCCAAATCTCATCTCGAACGAAGGAGAGACCTGGTAGAAGGTGACTGGATAATGGGGCGGTTTCCCCCAGGCTGTTCTCTTGATAGTGAGTTGAGTTCTCATGAGATCTAATGGTTTAAAGGTGTTTAGCAGTTCTTCCCTCACTCTCTCTCTTGCCTCCATGTAAGATGTTCCTGCTTCCCCTTCTACTATGATTGTTAAGTTTCCTGAAGCCTCTCCAGCCATGAAAAATTGAGTCAATTAAACTTCTTTTCTTTATAAATTACCCAGTCTCAGGGAGTTCTTTATAGCCGTGTGAAAACGGACTAATACAGTGACCAAGTACTCTAAAGAGGCCAGAGCAAGGAGGAAGTGGAAAGAAGCAGGGGGGAGGCCAAGCTGGAAAGGCAGGCTGGGAACAGATTATACAGGGCCTGGAAAGCTATGTGAATGTTAACAGGTAGGCAAGTTCTTTAGGTTTAAGTGACATGATCCTTGGACAAGTCACTTAATAAAGCTGTTATATGCCTGTAAAAGAACAACTTTTAAGTAACGAAAAAAAATAGTGGGGGGATGGGTAAGCAGAAAGAGTTAAAAAGTTATTGAAATCATCTAGATAAGATGGTCAAAGGCTGAATTCAAGCAGTAGCAGTGGAAATGGAATCACCCACAATATAGAGAGTGATTAATGAATGTAAGTTGAACAAAGATATGAATATAAAAGACATAGCATACAAAAATACCCACAAATGGATGCCACTGATAAGTTCTGAACTACAAAAGTGCCTAATCTAACAGGTAAAACATTGACTAAAGAGTACGATACAACATTTGAACTTGGCCATATTTTTACATTACACCCCATAGAAAACAGGTCTTAATAAAAAGGTGAAGATACTGGGGAAATAGAAAAAGAATGTAGAGATAGAAATACCTTATTCACTTCTCCTGGATCACAATCTTTGAAAGTAAGAAATTTAATTTCACAGGACTTTGTTAAAGGCTTATACATGTCCCAAGGCTGTCCATCCACCAGAGCCAGAATGGACTTCCTGCAATACCACTCGCTTAAATCTAGAAATTTAAAACAGACTGATTATCTAACAAAATCCAGAGTGAAAAGTTACATGTTTAAGTGCTATATTTAGAAATATAACAATGGAAAGGCAAGATTCTGCAGACTGTCCTTTTTAGAGAAAAAAAGTATATTACGTCTATAATCAATTAAAAAAAAAAACCCTACAAAAATTAGCCAGGTGTGGGGGCACGTGCCTGTAATCCCAGTTATTTGGGAGGCTGAAACAGGAGAATCGCTTGAACCAAGATGGCAGAGGTTGCAGTGAGCCGAGATCACGCCACTGCATTCGAGCCTGGGTGACAGAGCGAGACTCTGTCTCAAAAATAAATAAATAAATAAAATAATACCCAATATACTCAAGGTCTTATTGGTTATTAACAAAATTACCCAAACCATTTACAAAATTTGTTCAGGCTACATCTAGTTTGAAATTAATTTGCTAATTATTAATGAAAAAAGTTACACTTGAATATTCAGAGAGCAGCATCATGGATACATTTGGATAGATACACACACAACTCAAAGTAAAAGGGAAATATATTAATACACACCTACAAAAATCAGTTCTAGATTGGTTTTGGGTCTTGCTCCCAAACCATCTCTTATTTCCATGACATAGATGCTTCAAGTTAAATACAGTAGTTACCATTTTTTAATAATTAATATTAACTCCCGGATAAGCCAATCAGCTCTGGTCTGTTTCATCATCCCAGAATGCAATGCCAACTGTTAATGCCAATTAGATGTTCTGCAATTACACAGCTACTCACAAAAGTAGTCAAACTACAAGGTCTAAATTATCAACCACTACATAAACCCCGTAAAGTCAGGGATCATGTCTACTTTTGCTCACTCATCAGTATATCCAGAGTCTAGCACCAGGCCTGGAATATAGCAGGTGTTCAATAACAGTTTACTGAATGACTGCAAGCATGAATGACAAGAACGTCTCATTGCAGGGGTCATGCTGAGGATGCTTCAGAAGCTTCATCACTACATGTGATGTGTATAAAGCTCCTTAAGGGCCTGAGTTTTGTCTTATCCTCCTCTGTAGTCCTAATGCCTATCATATCGCAGAGGTTCCAGAAATACTTGAAAACCAAATGAGTAAATATTTATAAGTACTAATTCAAATGCCAGAGTGAAGGAAGATTAAGAGTGAGTGTAGACTCTCTAGGCCAGTTTAAGCTGATAACTAAAGTTGTTAATTACTTAAATGGAATGGTTACTGAGTTTTCCAAAAGTTTAAGCAATGCAGCTAGTCATGCCTGTATCTGTTTTGGGGCTTCTTTAATTTAAATATTACCAGTTCTATCAAACGTACTATCAAAACATTTTGATCAAAAATAAAATATAGAAGTTCTTATTCCCTTCATTTCCACACAAAATCACACATGGGGCACAGTTGTCTCCTTTAAGATATACATAAATACTTTTACCCCAATCACATTCACCCCATGCACATTCCCACTCACACATTTACCACATGTACATCTAAATGTCAACAAAAATACAACACAGAGAGAGCCAAGTGGAAAGCAGATGATAGATTAAGTTAGGCTATACAATGAAGAGGGGAGAAAGAAAAAGGCGGCAAAAAAAAGCTGATCATCTGAGGCCATGGCAATCCCTTTACACCAAAATCCTTTCTTGAGACCTGCACGGTGACTCCTCCCACCACATCACAGCCCTAGCTAAAAGGAGCAAGCAAATTCCAGCTACTTGGGAGGCTGAAGCAGGAGGAGAGCTTGAGGTCAGAAGTTCAAGACCAGCCTGGGCACCACAGCCACCCTCTCTCTCAAAAATAAAAATAAATTAGCCAGGTGTGATGGTGGGCACCTGTAGTCCCAGCTACTTCGTAGGCTGAGGCTAGGAGTTTCAGTGAGCTATGATAGTACCACTACACTCCAGCCTGGGAGCAGGGCCAGACCCTCATCTCTAAAATTAAATTAAATTAAAGGAGAAAGCACACTAGTAACAATGCACTCAGGTCTGGTCACCTTCTGCCAGAAAATTATCTAGTACCATAAACAAAGCCAGATTCAAACAAGCGCCAGGCAGGACAATCTGTGCACTACAGTGCCAACCTTGCAATACTCAGAGTACCCTCCAGAACTACAGGGACAGTGAATAGACAATAAGGTGCCAGATAAAGAACCTCTGGGAAGTCCAGGGACTTCTGCGCCCACCACATCTGGCTAATTTATTTCTATTTTTATTTTTTGAGAGACAGGGTGGCTATGGTGCCCAGGCTGGTCTTGAACTTCTGGCCTCAAGCTATCCTCCTGCTTCAGCCTCCCAAGTAGCTGGGATTTGCTTGCTCTTTTTAGCTAGGTCTGTGATGTGGTGGGAGCAGTCACCATGCAGGTCTCAAGAAAGGATTTTGGTATAAAGGGATTGCCATGGCCACAGATGACCAGAAGTAATTACAGCATCCTGTCTCCTGCACCAGTGCTTCCACACAGCTTAAGTAAAAGGGTCAAAACTGTAACCTGATTCTGCTACTTACGCATGGCACAACTGTAGGGAGTTGAAATGTTTTTATTCATCACGAAGACAGTACCGGGGTCAGTTTTCCCAACATGCTTAACTTCTATCTTCTCAGTTCGGGGAGTTAATGATAACTGCCTGGCTTTCTCTTTATTAAAGAGATCATTCCGCATTTCTGTCAATTCTGTCGGTGACAGCTGAGAAGCTGACGATGTTGCTATAAATCCTGTGGAGAAGTTACAATAAATATGAAGACTGAAAAAATGATTAACGTACTGCCAAAAGTGCGCTCAGAGGTAAAATTAAACCAATTTGTAATATTAACAAACACCAGCGGAAGAAACAGAGCTGGCCCAGATACGTGCCTCTACTTTTAAATTTGGCTCTTTCACATCAGATCGCTATTTCCCACCAATTTCCTGTGTCGTGTTTCCAATCAGTGCTTTACAATAAGGGGCAAAAAGTAACCAGGAAACGGAGTCAAAACTGGACTAGAGTCATTGGGAAGGTGAACAAAGTGGTCGGTTTGACAGGGTCTGAAGAAAAACAAGAAAATTTCAGGAAACCAAAGGTCCCACACCGAAACTATCAATATCCAGAATGAGAAATGCTGAGTTTATATCCCAAAGGCCAAATCAGGGAACCTGCCAAGGCAAGTACGAGTATTCCTTGGGAAGACATGGACAGATGTGCACGGAACGTGCGCTGCTTCCCAGAGGCGGGCCCAAGCTCCTCCCGCGGCCTGGCTCCGACCCCTGGCCCCGACCCCTGCCCTTGCCCCTGCCCTCCGCCAGACCCTCGTTCCCATAAATTAGTCCTCCCAAGCTGTGCAAGAGCGACCGCCGCGGAGGGACTAAGAAACCCTCCTCCTTCCTCTGCCCCGCGGGACCTCCCCGGCCCCGCCTCAGACCCAATCTAGACAGACACCACTATCTAGGCCTCGCTCCCTGTCCCTACGGCCTCTGAAACTCACTCCATTTGATCCCGCCACCGGGTGCGACCAGCCAGAGCCGCAGCGCCCGGGAACCCATGGCCAGCGCCTCCATAGCAGCGGTGAGAACCGTCGCGCGCAAGTCCTTCTCCGCCCTCCTCCCCCGGAAACCGAACGCGCACTCGGAGTTCCGCAGGACAGGTCTGTTCCGGACCCAGCACTCAGACTGCTCGCCTCCACCGGGGGGCGTCAGGCCTCGCTGGGGATTCAGTGGCTGAGACCCCGAGACTCGGAGCCGGGGCGCGTTACCTGTGCTCGATACCTGGGCGCGGTCACCTACCCAGAGGTGCAGGGCCCCCAGGGCGGTCGGCCTGCCGCCCACCACGTAGGCTCTGCAGGGAAACAGAGTTCCACAGGCGTCGTTGCCCTCCGCCTTCAGCCCTCCGCGGGTTCGATCCCGGCCACCCAGGTGAAGCGCTTGCTTCCCTAAAAGAATATATGGTTTTCTTGGCGGGGGCGGGGGTGGGGGGGAATGGGGAAGGCGTCTTCTATTTTGTCAGCGATGACATCCTCTAGCGCGTGGCTTAACTTTCAATTGTGCCGGGTAGGTTCTTAGTTCGGCTGGAGTGGGTCTGCACCCCGGTTCTCCCCTTAGCTGTGGTAATAGAGGCCTCGGAACACGTCCCCTTGACTTTGGAGAGGACGTTGTAATTCCTAAGAGCTCTTTACAAATTTTCTAGTTTAGTTTATATAGTATAGGATGTATAGGAGAAGGCATCCCGGGGCAGAATTTTTGTCTCTAGTTCACTGATGTATCCCAAGCGCCCAGAACAGAGCACAGCGCAGTCAGCGCTCAACAGATGTTTCTTGAATGAATGAATGAATGAATGCCCTTGCAGGCAAACTTCAGCTCATTGTCTAATTTTTCTGTCCTACCAGGACGTGAGTGTTATTTGAAGTAAGCACTCTGTAGGTACAGGATGGAAATATTTTCATTTACAGTAGTTTAATTCTGTGGCTTTACTTAAGGGTGTCGAATTCAGCCTTTCCCCCACTCTGTCCTTTGCCTTGCAATTGGAATGCGCCGCCACCAGGTGGAAGTGCCGCCTAAGGTACAAATATGACCCTGCGCCACGATAGATCGACCGTCTCCTTGGCCCAAATGTTACACTCACAACCACTGCGCCAGGAAAGTGTAAGTATCTTCACTTTTTAAAATGGGAAATGTAAGTGACGGAGCTTGGATTTACATCCAGTCTACATTTTACCAGGCTACATTTCATTTAAGATCCTAATTCAAACCACGAAATGTACATATATACATATAGTGTTGGAGGGCGGGTGTATCTTTTGCTTCCTCAAATTTGCATACAGTTCCCATGAAAGCTGTCTGTTTCATCGGCCTTTTAGAGCCTGTACCCATTTAACCTTACCTAGAAACACTCTAGTGCCCTTAGAACATCTTAGAGCCACATTTAAGCAAAGCCTCTGAACATAAACTTAAGCAAGTTTGATCACAAACCCATTGGAGGCAGGTAATTGGAGTTCACCGGTATGAGAAATTAACCTAGTTGAAAGGTTGTCACTAGTGATAATGGCCAAAAAATACTATGTGCCAATCATAGGGCTTGGTTTATTAATTTTCACAACCTACCTGAGCAATTGGCATAATAATCTTCATATTCCAGGAAAAGAAATTCAGGTTTTAAGAGCTTGAGAGACATACCCGAGGTAAATCTTTGGCCAAGAATTCCCCCCAAATATTTTCTTACTCTGAATCTTCTTTATCTTGCCTTCTTTATCAACCAGCTCCCCAAATCTTAGTCTCACTCTGTCAATGTCTCTGCCAAATAAAAAGTATCAAGTCTGTAACAGTAAATATCTAAGATAAGCCTGGATCATTACTGTGCCAGAAAGCCTACAACTAACTATAAAATACAGACAAACAGAAACATGTTAAAAAGGACGGCGGACCAAGCTCGAAGGTCCTCCCGCTGTCCAAATTTGGGAGAGTTTGCATAACAAAAAGAATAATGCTGAAATATTATGACATGTATATTAAAAATTCATGAATCCGTAATGACACTCAAGAATAAATCAGTGTAGAAAGAGTGAAGAGAGTTTTCTGTACAAAAGAATGCCAGATAATAAAAGTCATAGGAATAATAGAATAGGGAAAATCACCATTCTGCATCTACCAATGTAACCATTGGTACAGGAAGGGATCGTCAATAGATGCTAAAATCAGTAGAGAAAGTTTGTTGAGGATCAGGGATATAGTCACATAGTCTCTAAGTATCACCTCACATATTACTGACAAAATACAAATGGATAAGTGAAACTTTTCAATGGAGAAATCTGGTGGATATCATCATCAAGTGGTCAAACTTATCATCACCCAAAATGAGACAATCTGACATTATTTGTGCTTCTTGGTTGTGATATAAACAATATTATCTATGGAGTATTCCTAACATAAATATTTAACCTGAATCTAAAGAATTATGAGGAAATCAGGTATATCCAAAAAGTGATATATTCTACAAAACAACTGACCTAAACTCTTCAAAAATGTAAGTTTTATGAAAGATGAACCCCCAAATAGTTAATAAACTGTCCTAAATTAAAGGAGACTAAAGAAATATACAGTTATTATCAATGCATGATCCTCGCTAGGTTTTGGATCAGGAAAAAAAATTTACAAAGAATGTTATTGTGACAGAGAAACTTGAACTGTATACTAAATAATATTATATCAATGTTATACTTCTTGGATACAATAATAGTGTCATGGTCATATAGGAAATAATCCTTATTCTTAAGATATATATATTAAAATATTTAGGAACCAAATATCACTATGCCTATAACAAACTCCCAAATGTTTCAGCAAAAACAGGGAGCTCTAATATTGAGGGAGGGAACAAGACAAATTTAGCAAATGTGGCAAAATGTTAACAATTAGAGAATCTAAGTGAGGATTTTAGTTGAACTACTCCTTCAACTTTATTCTGAAATGTTTCAACATCAAAACTTTGGAGAATAACTTCAGTGGTTTTCAACCATGAAAGTTTATTTTGCTTATGTTGGCTGTCAGTGATGGCAGCTACCAGCCAATTGCGGCTCTGCAACTTTATTCCAGAATCCAGGCCATAGAAGCAGCCCCTACTTGGTCTTGTGCTTCTTGTGGCAGAGGGAAAAGAATGCAGTTAACCACCTTGTGCACTGGCTCTTAAGAGCTTCTGTTCAGACTCACCTGTGTCTCAGCCACACAGTCCCCTGGCCCCAGCAAGTCCCCTGGTCAAGACCAATGTCAATCAAGTAGGATGCCTCCTGCAGGGAGCCAGTAAATGAGGTTATATACTTCACATTCAAGGAGGAATGCAAATCACTGGAATCAAGATTCAATAACAACGCCAGGTTTCATGGCTCACTCTTGTAATCCCAGCACTGTAGAGTGGCTGAAGTGAGCAGCTCCTTTGAGCTCAGGAGATGGAGACCAGTCTGGATAACATGGCAAAACCCTGTCTCTACAAAACAAATACAAAAAATCAGCTGGGTGTGGTGGTACTTGGGAGGCTGAGGTGGGAGAATCACCTGAGCCCAGGAAGTCGAGGCTGTAGTGAGCTGTGATTGCACCACTGCACTCTGGCCTAAATGACAGAGTGAGATCCTGTTCCAAAAGAAAAAAAAAAAAATCCAGTAACACAGTAATTTTCCCAAGATCGCAAAGATTATCTGGGGCTTAAACTCAGATCTGGCTGTCTCCAAACCCTATACTTTCTTTGTTCTCAAATTCATACGCTTTTTAAATCCAAATATTTGATTTTACATTTTCAAATCATTATACATTTACTTGTTGGGAAATTTTGTCTTTTAATGTAAAGGTGCCTAAGGAAAAGTTTCACTCTCAGTTCTTTTCTTGATTCACAAGTTCTTACCAAAACCCCACACAGGATACCACTGTTGAGAGTTCTTGATGCCTCTATCAGCTACCCCATTATTATGCCTCTATCAGTATCCCCATAAGATAGAGGAACATAACCTCTATCTTATGTTCCTCCTACTGACCCAACATGCAAGATACCAAACATATGGTTCTGTGCCTCACAAAGCTGTACTTTTAATCAGTTTGTGTTAGTCCAGATACTCTGAAGAACAGATACCAAGACAGAGGTAAGTATGCAAGGAAATCGTTAGGAGAAATGTTTGTAAGGGAAAAGGGGAAGGTGGCCAGGTAAGGCTGACTCCATGTGAAGAAGAGAAGGAAGGAAAATTGAATGAACGCATTCTTGACCACCAGTGCAGTCTAATAAAGTTTCAGCAAGATCATTAGGTAAATCCCCAAAGCCAAAGTGGGCATGCCTCAGTGTCCCCACTGTGCTCAGTCTTTGGCTGGGAGCAGCCCCTGGGAAGCAGGAAGCATGTTTGCCTCAAAGCAAACATGTTATTTCAGAGTTCAGCAGCTGGGGCCCTGGGTCAGTTACACTGCCTGTAATTGAAGGTCTAGGAAGCATACAAATAAGCTGTATTTTGGGAATCAAATAATTGCAGAAGCATTTGACATGCATTTTACGTGTCTACATAATAAAAACACATTTGTATCAATTATCGCACATCAGGGGTCAACACCCTCTACTTCCACCTGAGGACAAATTGCTGTGAAATAACAAGAGATGAATAGGCAGGTGTAACACATGGATTTTTTTTTCTCTTGGTATGTGATGTCATGAGGCTAAATGGTACCTTTATTTCTTTATATATATATATACGTATATATATACGTATATATACTTTAAGTTCTAGGGTACATGTGCACAACATGCAGGTTTGTTACATCGGTATACATGTGCCATATTGGTTTGCTGTGCCCATCAACTTGTCATTTACATTAGGTATTTCTCCTAACGCTATCCCTCCCCCAGCCCCCTACACCCTAACAGGCCCCAGTGTGTGATGTTCCCCTCCCTGTGTCCATGTGTTCTCATTGTTCAACTCCGACTTATGAGTGAGAACACAGTGTTTAGCTTTCTGTCCTTGTGATATTTTGTTGAGAATGATGGTTTCCAGCTTCATCCATGTCCCTGCAAAGGACATGAACTCATCCTTTTTTATGGCTGCTTAGTATTCCATGGTGTATATGTGCCACATTTTCTTTATCCAGTCTATTATTGATGGACATTTGGGTTGGTTCCAAGTCTTTGCTATAGCGAATAGTCCTGCAATAAACATACATGTGCAAGTGTCTTTATAGTAGCATGATTTATAATCCTTTGGGTATATACCCAGTAATGGCATTGCTGGGTCAAATGGTATTTAAAGTTGTAGATCCTTGAGGAATCGCCACACTGTCTTCCACAATGGCTGAACTAATTTACACTCCCTTCAACACTATAAAAGTGTTCCTATTTCTCCACATCCTCTCCAGCATCTGTTGTTTCCTGACTTTTTAATGATCGCCATTCTAATTGGCTTGAGATAGTATCTCATAGTGGTTTTGATTTGCATTTCTCTGATGACCAGTGATGATGAGCATTTTTTCATATGTCTGTTGGCTGCATAAATGTCTTCTTTTGAGAAGTATCTGTTCATATCCTTTGTCCACTTTTTGATGGGGTTTGTTCTTGTAAATTTGTTTAAGTTCTTTGTAGATTCTGGATCTTAGCCTTTTGTCAGATGGGTAGATTGTGAAAATTTCCGCCGTTCTGTAGGTTGCCTGTTCACTCTGATGATAGTTTCTTTTGCTGTGCAGAAGCTCTTTAGTTTAATTAGATCCCATTTGTCAATTTTGGCTTTTGTTGCCATTGCTTTTGGTGTTTTAGTCATGAAGTCCTTGCCCATGCCTATGTCCTGAATGGTATTGCCTAGGTTTTCTTCTAGGGTTTTTATGGTTTTAGGTCTTACATTTAAGTCGTTAATCCATCTTGAGTTAATTTATGTATAAGGTGTAAGGAAGGAATCCAGTTTCAGCTTTCTACATCCAGTTTTCCCAGCACCATTTATTAAATAGGGAATCATTTCCCCATTGCTTGTTTTTGTCAGGTTTGTCAAAGATGAGATGGTTGTAGATGTGTGGTGTTATTCTGAGGCCTCCATTCTGTTCCATTGGTCTACATATCTGTTTTGGTAGTGGTACTTTTATTTCAACATTATTCCTTATCAACTCTGTTGTGAGCTGAGGGGGCAATAGAGTGTGTGTGTGTGTGTGTGTGTGTGTGTGTGCGAGCGCACATAGGGGTGGAGGGGGTGAGAGGGTTCTGGAAAAATGAAAGGCAGATGAATACAAAGATATATACATAATCTACTCCTTCAGCTATCATTTATCATTTCTCCTCAAACCATCTCTTTCTTATCAGAAATTTCCTAATAGTAAGGGGAGAACCAAGGATACAGATCACAGATAGACTTTCTTGTACAAAATATTTTTGTTTCATTCACAGAAAATATAATATATGTACATATATGTATATATATGAATTGTGTTAATTTTTATGTTTCCAACCCTCATTAATAAGTACTAAATAATGTTTATTTAAAATGTTGATGATACGGTAAGTGTTGAAAATTATAAATATCACAACTTGAAGAGATAGTACAGATCATAATTTCACTCCCTTCTTTTAATAGGTAGAGAAGATGAATCACAGAAAGGCTAGTATTTGTCTCAAGGTCATATAAATGCTAGTATAGCATCTGGGGTCACTGGAAACGCCAGAGAATGCAGAAAATGCCAGGTCTCCTGAAATTGGCATGTGGTCCTTAAAATGCTCTGAATCGGCCGGGAGCGGTGGCTTAACGCCTGTAATCCCAGCACTTTGGGAGGCCGAGACGGGCGGATCATGAGGTCAGGAGATCGAGACCATCCTGGCTAACACGGTGAAATCCTATCTCTACTAAAAATACAAAAAAAAAAAAATAGCCGGGCGTGGTGGCGGGCGCCTGTAGTCCCAGTTACTCCGGGAGGCTGAGGCAGGAGAATGGTGTGAACCCGGGAGGCGGAGCTTGCAGTGAGCCGAGATCGCGCCACTGCACTCCAGCCTGGGCGACAGAGTGAGACTCTGTCTCAAAAAAAAAAAAAAAACAAAAACAAAAAACAAACAAACAAAAAAAAACAAAGAAAAAAAGAAAAAAGAAAAGAAAAAGAAAAAAGAACACTCTAAATCATCCCACCCTGCAGCAGTCACACCAAATCCTTCATTTCATAGCTTTGTGAACACTGCAAGAATTCGGCTCCTATTCTTAGAAAGTCAAAGAAGTGCTAATCCCTCAAACACATGTTAATATGGATTTTCTTTGATGAAAAGGAACAAATACATTCTTCAAAAGTAAACTTCTCCCTGGTCCCTCATCCTATTTCAGAGCAAGAAAGCCTATTAGACTAACAGCAAGCTCATTCAGAGTCTTTTAGAGGTGGGGGTGCTCATGGTTCCTTGGGAGTAGAGTTAGAGTTGATTAAGGTATCCTCTTTTGGTCAAACAAGATGCTTTCCTTCAGAACCCCTTCCGCTTAATTATATGTAATTTTTTTCCTATTCCTTCATTGTTGTTTGAAATTCCCAGCCTGGTCTGCCTTATTCCTTGTCTCTTAGCTTTGACACTTGCCTGCCTTCCCTCCCCTCCCCACCATCCAATCTTGACCTATCCTGGGAAGAAGACACAGATGGGTCCTGATCACCCAAAAGCCACCTGCACCCACTGACTAACTCCTGAAATGTGGTATAGTGAGGGGGAAAAGCCTAGGTTTGATCCCAGCTCTCGCCTTTGTCCATACTCTTTCTCTCTCTCTCTCTCTCTCTCTCTCTCTCTCTCTGATGTACACTTAGGATATTTAAAGTATTTTGCTGCAGTGAGCATCTGTCTATGTAATATCTGTGCACTGGTGTAAGTATTTCTTCAGAAGAGGTTGCTAGCAATGGAACTGCTTGGTCAAGGTTACATGCATATGACATTTTGATAGAGACTGCCAAGTGTCCATCAAAGCCGTTACCACACAAGACACAGCAGAAATATGTTTCTTTTAGATAGCACTTGTGAATATTATCCTGGTGATAAAAGGCGACACCTTCATGCATCTTTGCGTTTGTGACTAAAGTCCAGGGTCACACCCTCTAATCTTCCACCTTTTTTGTTTCATATTCAAGACCTTGTCAAACCTAGCCTGGCACTTATCTATTGGGGTCATCACAGAAAATGCAAACCCAGAGCCCGTAATTTCAACTTCTTGTCAATCTCTCATCCAAAGGGCTGGATTTTATCTCTAAATCCTGTTATTACCTTTTCCACCACACAATTGCATATCTTTAATTAGAATGAGTTTATCCAGCTGGACCTTTCTTAGTACTTTCCTCTTGATTCCCTGTCTCCTAATTGTTTTTACATTTTTTTTGTTGTTTTACATTCCACAAACAATGTAGTCTCCCTATCAAAATTCAAACTAAGAATATTTAGGGAGTAAAGCATGAAAGTCTTCCTTCTTAATCTTTTTGTACTATCTATATGTCTATAGCTATATCTCAAATATTATTTTGTAATCCATTATTTAATATCTAACTGTTCCATACTGATGGTATTTGGATTGCTCAAATAAATCCCCAAATAGAAGTGGTAAGGCAATGAAATATAAGGACAAGAAGAATAAAGAAAAAATAACTCCCTGAACAATTCTCTCTGTGACAACTGTGGGAGTATTTTGATAACTGTTGGCAACAGGACACTGCATGTGATGTGGGGAAGGAAACCTTGGCATTCAAACAAGCAAATGGTTTGGCGACAGTTTATTAAATTTCTGCCATGCTTGCAAATGCCAGTAGCAATTTCTCAGACTGCAGAATTGCTACACGTGTCAGGTTTGAGACTGTTTCACAATCGTCATCAAATAATTCATCCTTCAAAATTAAAAATTATATGAACTCTTTGAGTAATCGTCACTTCTAAAACAAATGTTTTACTGGAGTTTATGGATTTCACTTGCGCATTTTGAACACTTCTGTGCCATAGAATGAAGATAAGCAAAGCATCCAGGTAACACTATATGTAATTTAGTCTTACCGGGAGATTTCTATCAGACTATTAAATCTTCTTCAGACAAAAATAGTCCCCGTTTCTTCTTACATTTATAGCTACAAACGCCCACCTTTTAAAAGACTTCAGCATTACACTTTAAGGAGATAGAATAAGAAGAGCAAACTAAACCCAAAGCTAGTGGAAGAAAGGAAGTTACATAGATTCAAGCACAAACCAATGAAATAGAGACTAGAGAAACAACACAGAAAATCCAAACAAAAAGTTGATTTTTTTGAGAAGTTTAACAAAATTGACAACCCTTTAGCTATTGACAAAAGAGAAAATATAAATTATTAAAAATCAGGAATGAAAGAGGCCACATCACTACCAATCTTACAGAAATAAAAGGATTATAAGGAAAACTATGAACAACTATATGCCAACAAATTAGATAGCTTAGATGAAATAGGCAAATTCCTAGAAAGATGCAATTACCAAAAATGTAGTGGGAGAAATAGAAAATCTGAATAGGCCTACACGAAATAAAGAGCTCAAATTAGTCATTTCAAAATGTTCCATCAGTAAAAGACGGGTCCAGATGGCTTTACTGATGAGATCTGCAAAACATTCAAAGGAGAATTAATACCAATTCTTTACAAACTCTTTCAAAAGGTAGAAGGGAGAACACTTTCTAACTCACTTTATGATGCCAGAATTAGAATTACCCTGATGCCAAAACCAAAGAAATCACAAGAAAACAGAACAAAGTAAAACTACAGACCAGTAGCCCTTAGGAATATAGAAGCAAAAATTCTTCAACAAAATTCTAGCAAACTTAACCCAGCAACATATAAAAATGTTTTAACATATCAATATAATCAATGTATAAAATACCATATAACACAATAAGGAACAAAAACTACATGATCATCTAAATAGATACAAAAAAGTATTTTACAACATCCAACACTCTTTCATGATTAAAAAAAGCTCAATAAATTATGAATAGAAGGGAAATTGCTCAACCTAATAAACATTCAACAAACTAGGAAGAGGCATGAAAAGCAGTAAGATGCCCAACCTCATTAACCTCAGGGAAATGTACATAAAAGTAAAATGAGATACTACTTTATACCCACTAGAATGGCTATAATTAAAGAGGCCAATATTCACAAGTATTAGTGAGGAGGTAGATATACTGGAGGCCTCACACGCTGCCTGTGGGAATGTAAAGTAGTACAGCTGATTTAGAAAACAGGCTGGCATTTCCTCAAAATGTTGAACATGGAGTTATCATGTAACCTAGCAATTCAATTTCTACATAAATACCAAGAGAGTACAGGTAGAGTGGCTCACACCTGTAGTTCCAGCACTTTGGGAGGCTGAGGCAGGAGGATCACTTGAGCCCAGAAGTTTGAGACCAGCCTGGGCAACATGGTGAGACTCCATCTCTTAAAAAAGAAAAAAAGAAACCAAGAGAAATGAAAATGTATATCCATACTAAAAATGGTACATGCATATTCATAGCAGTGTTATTCACAGTAGCCAAAAAGTGGAAACCAACCAACTGTCCATCAACTGATGGATGGGAAACAAAATGTGGTATATCCATACAATGGACTATTACTCACAAAAAGGAATGAAGTACGATATATGCTACAACATGGATGAATCTAGAAAATATTATGTTAAATGAAAGAAGTCTATCACAAAAAATCATGCGTTTTATAATTTCATTTCCATTAAATGTACAGAATAGGGAAAGCTACAGAGACAGAAAGTAGATATGTAATTGATTAGGACTGGAGAAGTAGGATGGGAAATGGGGAGTGACTGCTAAGGGGAACTAGGTTTCTTTAGGAGGGACTAAAATGTTCTAAAACTAGATGCAGTGATGGTTGCACATCCCTGTAAATATATTAAACAATATCGAATTTACACTTTAAATGGGTGAATTGTATGGTATGTGAATTATATCTCAATAAAGCTGTTAAGAAAATTTCTGACCTGTCTGGCTGGCCTTCTGAGAGGATGCCTAATTCCTAGTCCGTTAATCATGACGCTTGCCTCTTCCCATCAATCTTGACATGCCTGGGGAGAAGACACAGCTGGGTTCTGACCACCAAAAACTAGCTGAATGCAACCATCATGAACTGCCTCTGAGTGTCTAATATAACATAGGCTGCAGAGCCAAGCTGCCTACATGCAAATCCCTGCTCTCCACTTCTTGGCCTTGTAACTTTAGGCAAGTTCATTTCCACTTCATGCTTCCAATTAATCATATGAAAAACTGCATTAATAATAATACCTGCTTCATAGCATTTGGGGATGACTAAAGCACTTAATGCGTAGATGGCATTTAGCACACTATCAGGTCGTTCAATAAAGCAGGTTATTGCTACTGCAACTAGCCTCTTCATACCCTGGAGGCTGATTCTAGCCCAGATTTTTGGGTGACTTTTTACTCTACTTCACATGGGAATGGCAGAAGTCACCTTCACTAGACTCTCTAATGCAGCAACAGGCACTAGACTTCTTTGCTATGCCATGAATTGGCAGCACAGCCATTTGGGCATGGGAAGCAAGTTAGCACATAACCACAGTTAAATGCAATTATATGTGTTTTTTAATTTTACAATTTTCTGAATCAAGTGTGTATCAACTAAAGGGACAGTTATTACCTCATTCTTAGAAAAACAACTGTATTATGGTTTACTAGAGAAACAAACCAATAGATCATATGGATTTAGATGATATAAATGTAATAAATCTGTAATAGAGAGATTTATTATAAGGAATTGGCTCATGCAAGTATAGAGTCTGAGAAGTCCTATAATCTGCAGTTGGCAAGCTGGAGACACAGCAAAGGAGTTGGTATAGCTCCAGTCTCAATCTGAAGACTGACAGCCAGGGGACTGATGGTGTAAGTCCCTGTCTGAGGGAAGAAAACCAATGTCTGTGCTCAAGCAGTCAGGCAGACAGAGTGACTTGTCCCTTCCTCCGATTTTGTTCTAGTCATGACCTCAATGGATTGGATGGTGCCCACCCACACTGGGGAAAGCAATCTGTTTTACTCAGTCAACTGATTCAAATATTCATCTCTTCCAGAAACAGCCTCACAGACACACCCAGAAATAATGTCTAATCAGATATCTGGGAACCCGTGACCCAGTCAAATTGACACATAAAATTAACTATCACAGGTCTACCCCTTGTCAACTTGGCATTCATACACTTCTCCTTAACCCATACTTAATCTTCAAATAAAAACATTAACAAGATTATAATTCCACCTAACATGATTCAACTGTTTTGTGTACAATTGAAAATGCACTAACTCCTTCCACAGAAGAGATGACGTCCTTGAGTGGTGCTTATTCTTCTTGATATCCCAAAAATTAAATACTAAGATGAGAAGTAACAGTACTTAAGTACTAGGAAGTCAAGTCATTATTCTTATATTACATGATAAGGGAATGAGAGGAAAGCAAACAATGATATTTGATATGTACATGTACACATACACATATAGATATGGATATGTATGTGTATATATACAACAAAATATTTACAATAAAATAAGGAGGAAATACTCATGATAACCATGGTCCTCATTTCTGTAATGGTCACATAGCCATAGTTGGTATTTATAACTACCTTCCTCCACTACCCCATCTATATTTTCTTGCCTTCAGCAATCACCTCAGCTGGTTCTTTGCCTTGTAGAGTGACTCAAAACTTCATTCCTAAAGGGACTAGGCCAGTAGTTGTCCTGCACGGGTTGGATTATTATAGTTTTCTTTTTTTATAATTTTTATTTTTTCGTAGAGATGGGGTCTAGCTATGTGGCCCAGGCTGGTCTTGAACTCCTGGCCTCCAGTGATCCTCCCACCTTGGCCTCCTAAAGTGCTGGGATTACAGACATGAGTCACTGCTCCTGGCCTGTTGTTGCAGTTTTCCGTTGGCTGTAATCACAAGGCATGGTAATACTAAGAGACACTCTGAGGGATCTCCTTTATTCCAGAGATGCTCTTTCTTACCTTCATTGTAAGTAGTCCAATTTCCCCTTGGTAGTCAGAACCAGTCACCCTGGCCAGCATGGTAGTTCTCTTCTTTGCCCTTTGGTTCAGAGTATGGGAGCCCAAAGTGGCCAAGTGGCAATCTTAACTTCCAATTCAATGGAATTGTTGTGTCTCCTGGTGGAAGCATTCCTCCCTCTGGAACTAAGACCTTTAGGCCAGTAGGCCACGTGGTTGCAGGAACAGGAAGCAAACATTTTGCTACTGGGTTACTAAGGATAATAGTGAGAGGTGCCAATTCTATTTCCACCCCTTGATTCTTGAACTCATGAATCTTAACTATGGGAGAAGCAGCACAATATATTGGACACCAATTCAGAGGATATACAGCCTTCTAGGAAGCCTTGCCCAAGCCCTGCAAGGTATTATTACCTATTGTCACTGATGCTGTAACTGAGTCTTCAAAAGGCACTGTTCTATTTAGCCAGCTACTTCAGGATAGTAGGGTACGTGGTAAGACCAGCAGGGTCCATATACCTGGGCCCATTGCCGCATGTCTCTTGCTATGAAGTGAGTTCCTTCATCAGAAGCAATGCTGTATGGAACACCATGATGGTGCATAAGGCATTCTATAAATCTATGGATAGTAGTTTTGGCAGAAGCATTGCAAGCATTGAAGGCAAGTCTGTGTCTAGACTAAGTATTCCGGTAAGAAAAAATGGTCCTCCTTCCACGATAGAAGCAGTCCAATGTAATCAATCTGCACCAGGTAGCTGGCTGATCACCCTAGGGAATGGTAGACTTAGTGTTGATCTCAGCTGCAGGCAGATTAAGCAGTCAGTGGTGGCCGTAACCAGGTTGGCCTTGGTGACTGGAAATCTATGTTTCTGAGCCCCTGCATGACTTCCATCCCTGCCACCATGGCCACTTTATTCATGAGCCTTTTGAGTGATAACATGGGTGGCAGGGAAAAGAGGCCAACCTGATATCCACAGAATAGGTCATTCTATCCCCTTGGTTATTAAAATCCTCTTCTTCTGAAGTCACCCTCTGGTGAGCGTTCACATGAAACACACATATCTTCACAATTTTTGCCCATTCAGAGAGGTCTGTCCATATGCCTCTTTTTCAAATGACCTGGTCACCAATTTTCTAATCACATTGCTTCCAAGTCTGTAACCATCCAGCCAAACCATTGGCCACAGACCATGAATCAGTACATAATCCCATGTCTGGCCATTTCTCTTCCCAAGTAAAGTGAACAACCAGTGCACTGTTCAAAGCTATGCCTACTGGGGTTACTGGGATGATTTCTTTTCACCATTGTCCTTCAGGGATGGCCCAGAGAGGGAGAGGGGCTGTGGTGCTGGAGCGCTCTTTTTTTTTTTTTTTTTTTTTTTTTTTTTTTGAGATAGTGTCTTGCTTTAGCACACAGGGTGGAGTGCAGTGGAGCAATCCTACCTCACTGCATCCTCGACCTTCTGAGTTCAAGCAATCCTCCCACCTCAGCCTCCCGAGTAGCTGGGACTACAGGTGTGTGCCATCATGCCTAGCTAATTTTTTATTTTTGTAGAGATGGGGTCTTGCTATGTTGCCCAGGCTGGTCTCCAACTTCTGGGCTCAAGCAATCCTCACATCTTGGCCTCCCAAAGTGCTGGGCCCCTGCCATTTTTAGGTGGTGCTTGCATATCATGCAGAATCCTTTGTAAACCAGGCCTGAGTTTTCTCTTCCTTTGTCAACTGATCATGGGGGAACTCTCAATGAGACCACAGGTGCAGGCTGGGAGAGAGAAGGCAATGTACCAGGAGTGGGGACCACGCACATTTGGACCACTTCTTCACGTAACTTACTTGTACCTTCAAATCCTGCATAGGACTGATCATGTGTATACCACTTCCATTTAACAACTGAGTGCTGCTCTGCACACCCAGCATTATTGCTTTGTGCGTCAGATAACACTCAGCTTATAATGGGCAGCTCAGGTCACAGGGTAACAATGGCCCATGGTTAAGCATTCAGTCTCTACTAAGGGCCAATAGCAGGCCAAAAGCTGTTTCTCAAAAGGAAATTAGTTATCTGCGAAGGATGACAGAGCTTTGCTTAAAATCCTAAGGGCCTTCCCTTTGATTCACCTTTAAGGGTCTGAAAAGGCTCCAAAGAGCATCTCTATCTGCCTCTGACACTTCAAGTACCATTGAATCTGCTGGATCATAGGGTCTACATGGCAGAGAAGCTTGCATGGAGCCTGGACCTGCTGCAGAGCCTTTTCTCATTCTAGGCCCCACTCAGAACCAGCAGCTTTCTGGGGTGGTGGGGGTGGGTCCTGAGGAGAATCAGCATCGTCTTACCTGGCAACAGCCTCGGTGGGGATGGTGGGGGGGCATTCTAGTTTGCTCTGGAAGTGTAGATTTAATGCCCTCAGAAGGGGATATAAAGAAATGCATTTAGAGGGCAGTGAACATTATAAACATTGAAAAAAAAAGCAGGGAGTGTGTTTGCAATTCCAGTTTTCAACTTTTCACTTACTTACAATCTGATTGCTGTTTGTGCAATTTGGGTGAATTTCCCTGTTGGTAGAAATCATCTCTGATAACCATGGATTTTATTCTCATCCCTTTCCTCTGCAATCTAAAATATTTTGACACCAGAAGGCCCTGAAGGTACAAGTAAGTTGCATGAAAATCAACCCAGTGTGCTCTTGCATGAATAAAAAATTTCCATCATTCTGTCAATGAGAACTTGAGAATCTAGGTGGTGATATATAACACATGGCCCAAATGTTGATAACTGATTATTTAATTTACAAACAGGCTGGCTGGCTGATTTTTACTTGCCCCAGTTTCATGACACCCCGTAATAGTTTAGAGCAGTGGTTCTCAAGCTTTTTTCATTATATCCCCCACCCAAGTAACGTTTTTAGACCTTTTCCTAATCTCCCCCGTGACATTTTAATGCAGTTGATCAATGATATATCTGTTTATGTACTGTATATGTATCTGTGTTTTAAAGATTAAAAGAGTAAGCTTTTTCTTCAACCCTCAACAGAATAATTTTCTTTCCCTTGGGAAAATATTGCCCCTGCTTGAGAATGCATGGCCCAAAATAGGTATCCAGATTTGATGCAGTAAGAAAATGTAGGATGAACAATCTTCCTCAAACGTGGCTCTTCTTTGCAGCTTGTTATTTTCAGTAGCAGAAAAGGAGGTAGCTATTTTATTACATTTGAATATTGCCTTGCTGTTCCGTGTGGTCCACGATCACCAGCACCTGGGAGATTGCTGGAAATGCAGGATCCCAGCCTCACCTTGTCCTGCTGAATCCAAATCTGCATTTTAACAAGACTCTCTGTTGATTCCGATGCATGTTGAAGCCTGAGAAGCACTGGTTGAGAGTTCAGTCCCCTGCTCAGTTGGAAAACATTAAGTGTAACTTAGTGTGAATAGAAAAAAATAGGCATAGGCCCTAAAACCAATGTTTAAGTCTCCCCATCCCTTTCTCTCAAGTCCTCACTAATACCCCAAGTTTCTTTCTTAAAAGTCATCAGTATTACTTTTCCAACTTAGACCTGAGTGTATTTTGTTTGTGTGTGTGAGAAAGGTTAATTTTATTTACTTCTCCTAAGCAAGCAAGGGAAACGGCCCGTGGAGTTTCACCCTGCTAGCTCCTCTGCTTCTTTCCTTGTGCTCTTCTATTCTAAAAAGCAGGGACCTTAGATTCAGTTGGACAGAGCAAGATAAAAACAAGAAAGAACACAAATTTCTGTTTTTCTCCCCAATAAATTGGACTTTCAACTCTCAGTCAAGACCTCTTTAAAGTTAAACTTATTTTAATAGTGATCATTTCTCTTGGATCAAGTGAATAAGTGGACCCAGGAACACAATAAAGAGATTTTCTCTATTTTTGCTATTTTGAAGAGCCAGCAAGTTAGTGCAGGGAAGAGGGTATAGAATTAACTCAATATACTTGGGCCCTTATTTATGAAGATGAGGTTAACTTATTAATTTTTTTATGTATGTGAAATTTTGAAATATGTGTGAAACATCTCAACCATACAGAAAAAGCAGAAAAAATAGTGTAACAAATTCTAGATACTCACACCTAGTACTATGGTCTGAATATTTGTGTTTCCCCAAAATTCAGATGTTGGAACCTAATCCCCAATGTGCTGGTAC
This sequence comes from Homo sapiens, assembly GCF_000001405.40. Taxonomy (NCBI): domain Eukaryota; kingdom Metazoa; phylum Chordata; class Mammalia; order Primates; family Hominidae; genus Homo; species Homo sapiens. Next base: position 25,624,555 of record NC_000021.9, read on the forward strand.
CAGGAGATGGGACCTTAGGGAGGTGATTAGGTCATGAGGGTAGATCCCTCATGAATGGGATTAGAGCTCGTATAAAAGAGCCAGAGGGCACCCTCTCCCCTTCCACGGTGTAAGGACTCGGTGAGAGGCATTATCCGTGAATCAGAAAATGGGCCCTAGCCAGACACTGCATCTGCTGGCAACCCTTTGATCTTGGACTTCCCAACCTCTAGAACTGTGAGAAATACATTCCTGTTGTTTATAAGCCACCCAGTTTATGGTATTTCCTTATAGCAACCTGAACAAACTACAGCACATAGGTTAGCAATTTGCCACATTTTGCTGCTTCTTTATTTTTCTGAAGTATTTTAATATAAATTATGGATAGTATGACATTTCACTTCTAATTCTACAGTGCGTATGTTTTTTTTAAGTAACTTTTTTATAAAAGATGAGTTTTAATTAACTAAAACTGTTGAGTTTAAAACTACAGGGATTTCCAGTAGCAAAAAGCTTCCATTATTCTTCCTATTGCTTTTTCTCCTAATAGCAAAGGTCAAGAAAAGAACTTGAACCTGCTAGAATTGTTCCAAGTACCAGCTGAGGCTTTATTCTTTGGTGTTTCAAAAAAAGCCTTGACAGTAGAAAGCTAAATTCTCTTTCATCATAAACCATTGATAAACTGTGGTCAAGTTGGGCCAAAAGCCAAATCCTTCCTCACTGAAAAAAATGCTGTGGAAAGATTTCGCTAAATAACAGTAGCTCTTTCTTAACTAAGAATCTCAGTTAATATTTTGGTGCTTTTAAATGCAGAAAGAGGGAAGGGAGGGTAGAAAAAAGTGATAAAAGGAGAATCAGAAGAGAGAAAAGAAACAGATGATCTTATGAATCCCCAATTTATATCCCCCAATTAAGGCATCTCTTTCTTCTGTCTCCCTATATCCCTTTCTATTCTAACATTATTGACCCACTACAATAAAATTAAGTATACTTTAGGCTGGGCATGGTGGTTTACACCTGTAATCCCAACACTTTGGGAGGCCGAGGCGGGTGGATCACTTGAGGTCAGGAGTTTGAGACCAGCCTGGGCAACATGGTGAAACCCCATCTCTACTAAAAATACAAAAAAATTAGCCAGACATGGTGGTGCACGCCTGTAATCCCAGCTACTCAAGAGGCTGAGGCACGAGAATCGCTTGAACGTGGGAGGCGGAGGCTGCAGTGAGCCAAGATCACGCCACTGCACTCCAGCCTAGGCCACAGAGCAAGACTCTGTCTCAAAATAATAATAATAATTATTACACTTTAAACAGAGACAGGGAGAAAATGTGTTCCAGTTCAGTGGCCGGGGGCAGTAAAGAAAAAAATAGCTGTAGTAGCTGAGTCCAGGTCGCTTACCATTTTGACATCTTTCCAGCCCTAGTATATGGTTTTGCTATTAGGAGAATTGCTTAATCTGGCTGGGTGCGGTGACTCACGCCTGTAATCCCAGCACTTTGGGAGGCCAAGGTGGGCAGATCACTTAAGGCCAGGAATTCGAGACTAGTCTGGCCAACATGGTGAAATGCCGTCTTTACTAAAAATACAAAAATTAGCCGGGTGTGGTGGCACATGTCTGTAATCCCAGCTACTCAGGAGGCTGAGGCAGAAGAATCACTTGAATCAGGAGGTGGAGGTTGCAGTGAGCCAAGACTGTGCCACTGCACTGCAGCCTGGGAGACAGAGGGAGACTCCATCTCAAAAAAAAAAAGAATTGCTTAATCCAGCCGGGTGCAGGTGCAGTGACGCATGCCTGTAATAGCAGCACTTTGGGAAGCCAAGGCGGGCAGATCACTTAAGGCCAGGAATTTGAGACTAGTCTGGCCAACATAGTGAAACTCTGTCTCTACTAAAAGTACAAAAATTTGTCAGGCATGGTGGTGCACGCCTGTAATCCCAGCTACTCAGGAGGCTGAGGCATGAGAATGGCTTGAACCTGGGAGGTGGAGGTTGCAGTGAGCTAAGATCCTGCCACTGCACTCCAGCCTGGGAGACGGAATGAGATTCTGTCCCCCCAAAAAATTTTTTTTAATTGCTTAATCTTTGTTTCTGAATTTGCAGACTCAAACATAAGAGCAGTGTAGTTTTCTATTTGAAAATGCCTTTAAGATCACATATCTCAGTCCCATTTTCTGTATACAAAGAACCAAAGTTCCAGAGGTGTTAGGTGGCTTCTCAGAGACTGGGTCTGAGGGAAAAGCTTTTTGCTTCTGGAATGGCCAGTATATCTCTACCTTTGATTTTTAGTGCTCCAGGATGTTGAGTCCCTATCCTAGGAAGGAATGACAAGGATGGTCACTTCCGCCACAGGCCCTCACCCTGCATCCTGCTTGTTAAACATCATCCACCCCAAGGGGCATTTTCAAAGCCTCTGCTGTTCCTTGCCATTGTGTGCCCTGGCTCCAAGCCAACAGACAAGCATTTGAACTTCTGTCTCTGTGATGACGTCTAGCTTCAGGGAATCAACAGCCTGGCCTTCTTTATAATGCTAAGCTTCAAGGAAGAAAATATCTTGCAAAACTGGTCCCATTCCCAGGAGCACTCCCATCTATAAGGTGCATGGCCAGCCTTATCATTCTGTGAAACAAGGAATCATTTTAAAGGCTGTGATACAAGAAAATATCTCCTTCTTTGACTTCTCCTGAGAAACAGAAATCTTGGCTAGTGGGGTAGACAGAATGTTGTCACTTAACAGAATATCAGTTATGAAACTAAACATTAATCTGCTGCTGTTCCAGTAAGCTACTTTTCAGTAGGGCCTAAAAGAGCATTCCAGAAAGACTAAAATCATCCACCTGGCTTAAAGGGGGCAGATCCAAGAACACAGCGGAATTTCTAAATCTTTGGAAGTGAAAATGCATCATTCTGTTTCTTGTACATCCAATTTTCATTGTAGCAAGGGAGATCAAGTTTATCCATGGTCTCTGACATCTTCTCAAAGATTTCTAAAGACGAAAGAATGCAGCTGATGCTGTTATTTTAGGTATAGAATTCCGTCATCATTAAGAATTTGATTAACAAAAATATATATAAATGTTTACAGCTATTCATTAGAGAAAAAATGCGTTCAGGATACATAGTAAACACCAAATAAATCATAAGCAGCCTGTTGTTGCTACGTACACTCTTATTTATCTGTCTTAAGTTGGAGTACCTAATAAATTCTGTACTTCAAAAGAATGTCCTAAGGTCTAGATCCAAAAAAAGGGCAACAATGGATTTAATCTTTTTTTTTTCTGTACCCCAGGACAAATTCACAAAAATGCAAAGGATTATTCTGAAGTTGTGTTTTTCCTTGTTGGCACAGTGGGAGAAATATTCTCTTGGCGAATAGGCAAAGTAATAGAATCAGCTACTAATAACTCAAGTATTACTGTTGCCAATTTGGCCCCATGAATGAAACACTTTAAAAACTGCCTGACTTTTTTACTAAGTACCCTGAAGAAATAATTAGACAAGGGTATAAATGTATAAGAATGTGCATCACAGCTTTAAAATGTTTAAAAAAATCAAAGTGACCTAAAAGTAAATAAAATGCAGTTTGTTCAACAAGTTATTATATCCCTACGGCCAACACAATGGTGCCGTCAGGGCTGATGTTGCAGTAGATTGGTTAACTTGGAAAGATGGTTGTAAGAATGAAGGTAACGTGGCTGAGCTGTAGAGTAAAGCCTTCAGATACAGATAGACCTGGAATCATGTCCTTGTTCTGCTGTTGGCCAACTGGATGATCTGGAAATTTATCTCACTCTGACCTTCATTTCTTTCATGTGAAGAATCAAAGTTGATAATGAAAATAGAACACTTGGCACTGAGACTGGCATATTGAGATACTGAAGCTTAAAAGTACCATCGGCTTAACAAATATGCTGTTGTTTTAAAAACTTATGTACGTTATATAATCATACTCCTGTCAAATGACATATGGATTTATATATTCATCCAGTAGCCAAATATTTATTGAGCATTTATTAACAGACAAGCACTTTGTTAGGCAAAAAGACTATATAATAACAATAAGCCAAAAATGACACAGACTTTGCCTTCAAAGAGTCCTGCTCATGACTGATTGTGATCAATTAAGTGTGAAACCCCAGCTATAATGCAAGAGAGGAAGGGGATAATGAGAGCTTGCAAGAGTGGGGTTGGATTCAGTTGGGAAGGGCAGGGAAGTTTCCTAAAGAAATGGCAGCTAAGCAGAGGCAGAAGGATGAGTAGGCTTTGACTAGATGAGATGGATATAAATGAGGAGCAGTGCACATAACAGTTAGGCACATTGAGTCTAGAGTCAGCCAGGTGTGCTTCCAAAGCTTGCTCCAGCACTGTCTTAGTTAGTTCAGGCTGCTATAACAGAATACCATAGATTGAGTGGCTTAAACAACAAACATTTATTTCCCACAGGTGTGGGGGCTGGGAAGTCCAAGATTATACAATAGATAGAATACCATAGATTGAGTGGCTTAAACAACAAACATTTATTTCTCACAGTTGTGGGAGCTGGGAAGTCCAAAATTAATGTATTGGCAAATTTGGTGCCTCTGAGGATCTGTTCTCTGGTTGATAGATGGCCATCTTCTCATTGTATCCTTTTTTTTTTTTCCTTGAGACAAGTCTTGCTCTGTTGGCCAGGCTGGAATGCAGTGGCATGCTCACAGCTCACTGCAGCCTCAACCTTCCAGGCTCGAGACATCCTCCCACCCCAGCCTCCCTAATAGCTGTAACTACAGGCACGCACCACCATGCCTGACTAATTTCTTGTGGAGAGGGCATGTCACCATGTTGCCCAAGCTGGTTTCCAACTCCTGGGCTCAAGCAATCTGCCTTCCTCGGCCTCCCAAAGTATTGGTGTTACAGGCATGAGCCACTATGCCTGGCATATAAGCAGAGAGAGGAAGCAAACTCTGTGTCTCTTCTCATAAGGGCACTAATCCCATTGATAAGTGCTCTGCCATCATGACCTAATCACCTTCCAAAGGCCCCACATCCTACTACCATCACTTTGGGGGTTAGGATTTCAACACATCAATTTTGGGGGGACACATAACAACTACCCACAAGCTGTCACAACTCTGGGCCTGTTGCTCAACTTCTCTGTCCCAGTGACCTCACCTGTAAAATGGAAATAATAGTTTTCCTTATTCAATATGATTATGAGGATTAAATTCTTAAAAGACACTATGAAAAAAGCTTAGCCTAGTGCCTAATGCATAGCAACTGTTCAGTAAATGTTAGATAATACTAAAGAAATAAAAGAATGAAGAACCAAATCAACTGCATAGCAGAAGCAGCATATGCCAAGGCTCTGTGGGAGCTCAATGAGAAAAAAAGATGAAGCCCTGTTGTTTGTTCTGCTTTTATTCTAAACACTGCTGGAAACCATTGAGGATTTAAGCAGGGGCACTCTGTGGGCTCCATCCTCTTCCTCTCAACCTTTCTGCTACAGCCACACCTTCTGACTCTCTTTCTGTAGTACTTGTGACAAGGCCTTTGCCCGTGATGTCCCCTTTTCACAGACTCTTCTTTCTACCTGCCTTCTCCTACCTCCTTCAGACTCCAGCCTTCAGATTCCCCTGTGAAGTCTTCCCTGACCTCCCTGATAGCACGTTCTTTTTTAATAGCACCCTCAGTGATCGCTTTGCCTGATTTATGTCTCTCTCTCCCACCTACATCTTCACAAGATGAGACACTGTCTGTTATTGCGTGCAGTTGTGTCCCAGCCACTAGCATAGTGACTGGCCTATTGTAGGCTCTTATTTCCCACTGGATAATGGAAGATGGAAAGAATAGAAAAGAAAGAGGGAGGAGGAAAAGTAGAGGAAAATAAGGTGGGGTGGGGAGGCATTGAGGCCAGCTCAATTTCAGACATTGATTTTGAGTGGTACATCTAGGTAGCCGTTTCTGAAAACAGGTGTGGAGGTCAAGAGAGGTAGACTAAGGAGTCCTTAGAACATGGGAACTCACTTAAGCCAGTGAATGAAGAAGAGCAGAGTCTTTGGATACAAGGCTTGAGGTCACTAACTATCAATATGGACAAGTTACGAAGTCACTGAATCCTCTTTAAGAGCCACACAGAGACAGAACTTGATCCCAGCCACACAGACCCCCGATAGCATGCTTCCCATATCCCCAGGCTGGTCACTTGGAGCACCCTGAATATTGATGATACATAAATGAGACACTCCTAATGGTTTGGCTTCTGAAGTTTATTAGGTACTTACTGATATCCATCAGTTATAGATAGGGTTGTTGAAATACGCGTAATCATACCTTTCCCCCAGCTCCCGCTAAGGTGTTGCAGAGATCTAAAGAGAAAATGCACATGAAAATACTTTCCAAATATCAAGTGTCAAACATGTGAAGATGACATTGTCATTACAGAGATCAAGTGACAATATTAAGGATGGTTTTTTTCTTTCTAGAAGGGAGAAATACATTGCATTAGAGTCCATCTTTTTAGACACTTTTGTGGTTGCCTCAGTCTATTCAAGGTTTTTTGTTTTTGTTTTTGTTTTAATTTGTACCACTCAATCTGTTTTAAGAAAATACCTTCGACTGGGTAATGTATAGCAAAAACTTATTGTTCACACATCTGGAAGCGAGGAATTCCAAGATCAAGGCACTGACTGAATCAATATCTGCTGAGGGCTCACTCTCTGCTTCAAAAATGGCACCTTATGGCTGTGTGCTCACATAGCTGAAGGGCAAAGTAGGTCCATCAAGCCTCTTTTTCTTTTTCTTTTTTCTTTTTTTTTTTTTTGAGACAGAGTCTAACTCTGTCACCCAGGCTGGAGTGCGGTGGCGCGATCTTGGCTCACTGCAACCTCCACCTCCCAAATTCAAGCAATTCTTATGCCTCAGCCTCCCAAGTAGCTGGGACTACAGGCATACACCACCACACCTAGATAATTTTTCTATTTTTAGTACAGACAGGGTTTTTGCCATGTTGGCCAGGCTGGTCGCGAACTCCTGGCCTCAGGTGACCCGCCCGCTTTGGCCTCACAAAGTGCCAGGATTACAGGTGTGAGCCACGGCACCTGGCCAAGCCTCTTTTATAAGAGCATTAATCCTACACATGAGGACTTCACCTTCATGACCTAATCATCTCCCAAAGGTCCTACCTCTTAATATCCTTACCTCAGGGGTTAGGGTTCAACATATGAATTTTGAGGGGACACAGTCATGCACACCATAGCAGTGGTTAGGAGCATTGGTCTTGAACTCAGAAACATCTGGTTTAAATCTGGCTCAATTATTCCTAGTTGCCTGGTCCTGAGTTAGGGAATTTTCTAAGCCTTTGTTTCCGCATCTGTAAGATGGAAATAATAGTACCTCCTCACGAAACTGCTTGATGTTGCCTATAAAGTGTTTTGCACAATGCCATCCAAATGGGCCTTAATAAATGTTAACAATTAATATCATCATCCTATTTTTATTTATTTATTTTTAAGACTGGGTCTTGCTCTATTACCCAGACTGGAGTGCAGTGGCACAATCTTGGCTCACTGCAACCTCTGCTTTGCGGGTTCAAGCAATTCTCCTGCCTCAGCCTCCTGAGTAGCTGGGATTACAGGCACACACCACCACGCTCAGCTAACTTTTGTATGTTTAGTAGAGATGGGGTTTCACCATATTGGCCAAGCTGGTCTCAAACTCCTGACCTCAAGTGATCCACCTGCCTCAGCCTCCCAAAGTGCTAGGATTACATGTGTGAGCCACTGTGCCTGGCTATCATCATTGTCTTTAAGAGTGCTCTGGAGAGCAGGGACCAAAGGAAAGAATTACTGAATCTATCTCAATTCCTTTCAGCATCCTCTCATCTGGATTATATTACCCAAGGTACAAGATGTTGCATTAGACTGCATAACTCCCTGCAACAGAATGGAGAGTTCCTACCCTTCCCACTTGCTGTTTAATTAAGGACATATATTAAGCATAGCTGTCCTAAGCAGGGACTCTCGCGGGAAATAAAGTATAACTTAAGTCATGTTATATGCAGAAAGACAAATCTTTTCCCTGCCCATGTTTTGGAGACTGCACAGGAAAGACCTAATGTGTTTATTCCAGGCATGGCTCTTTTCTTATCTTGGAGAATGATCTTGAATAAGCCATTTCACCATTATGGGCCTCATTTTCCTTAACTGTGAAATGAATAAGGGAGAAATGGTGGGGAGTGAAGTTGGAAAGTATCTGTACATTCTCCCCAAAGGTTTTCATTGTTAGGATTTCACGCTTGTAGACTAATGGATGCCTGTCCATCCTTTGTTTGATCCTGGCAAGTGTTTGTTAAATGTTATTTTCTCCCCCAAGAAAATTCCATTAAAAATCATTTTCATATCACCTAATTTCTTATAAAATTGCTAATTAACATTCAGTAAAGCACCAACTACTGAGTTGATAATAAATATGTTTTATAAAAGAAAGAAGCACCTGTAATCCCAGCACTTTGGGAGGCCTAGTTGGGCGAATCACTTGAGGTCAGGAGTTCGAGACCAGCCTGGCCAACATGGAGAAACCCCATCTCTATTAAAAATACAAAAATTAGCCGAGCATGGTGGTGCACGCCTATAATCCCAGCTACTCCAGAGGCTGAGACAGGAGAATCGCTTGAACCCGGGAGGCGGAGGTTGCAGTGAGCCGAGATCGTGCCACTGCACTCCAGCCTGGGCAACAGAGCGAGACTCTATCTCGAAAAAAAAAAGAAAAAAAAAAGCACTATAAAAGAAAGAACCACTAATAAGTGCTTTTTACTGATTTTAATTGGCAGGCAAAACTAATCTAATGATGTAATTTAGAAGCAGACAATCCTGAAAGAGAATGTTCCTGCTTATAGTAATTAAAACCAGGTGAGGCTAGTGAGTTGTTAATGTTTCTTGAAGGTACGTTTTGAGTACTGTATTGTTATAAAATACCTGAAGGAAGGTGTCACTTTGGGAGAGTAAGGTAAGCTACATGCTGGAGACACCGTGGGCTTCCCTGAATAGGTTTATTTGGCTAGAAAAGAGGGTGGGAGGGGCACAGCATGAATGTGCTTGTGGGCTCATCAGGACACAATGTTGAAGTCAGGCTTATTTCAAAAAGTGATCTGGGCCGGGCACGGTGGCTCACACCTGTAATCTCAGCACTTTGGGAGGCTGAGGTAGGTGGATCACTTGAGGTCAGGAGTTCCAGACCAGCCTGGCCAACATGGTGAAACCCCGTCCCTACTAAAAATACAAAAATTAGCTGGGCGCTGTGGGGGCGCCTGTAATCTCAGCTACTCAGGAGGCTGAGGCAGGAGAATCACTTGAACCTGGGAGGCGAAGGTTGCAGTGAGCTGAGATCGTGCCACTGCACTTCAGCCTGGGTGACAGAGGGGGACCCTGTCTCAAAAAAAAAAAAAAAGTGATCTGAGAAGATAATGGTGAGGAATAAAAGAAGTTAGGTAATTGGGAACCCGTTAAAAACCTTACATTCTATCCATAAGAGCTTAAACTTACATGAGAGACACTTGGGAATGTATGTGGTTCTGGAAATAGGAGTATATTTTTCTCTAAATTTCAGAGTGTGGGCACACTTTCCAGCACCTTCTCCACACCCATGGGGAAAAATAAACCATCCAACACAGAAATACCAAATCTGAGATGTGAGAAGTCACTCCATTTAAACCCAGCCCTTTCCTTCATTGCTTGTTTTAGGAAATGTGCCTCGACACCCTAGTGTTACTTTGAATTCAGAATTAGAATGGGTGGAAAGAATTAAAAATGGTAAGCTGTCCCAAAACACCAAGTCCTCATTTATATTTACCTGACAAAACTGCTTATAGAGTCAGAGTGAAAGTGATTGTGACAGGTGGGGGCAGGCACTATGCTCAAGGAGAAGAGAACAGAACTTAGAGGAACTCTGACAGTATTTCCTCCCCATTCCTCCCAAATTGCCCCATGCTCCCTGGTGCAGTGATTCCTACAGGCAGAACCACAACGAAACCAGTTCCCAAACACTTGTTAATGAAGCAGTATTAACTGCCGCCATTTCTTTCACCATCCTTTTGCTGATGTTTTTTAAGTTAGGAATTTATTATTTGTTTTTATGTAAAAAAACACACTGTCCTTTGACCAAAACTTTAGTCAGGGCCCTCTGAGTCCTTTTCTTGACTAGATCCAACCTTAGGCTTCCCTCTCTGTCTTTGTAGAATCCAGTTTGAGCAAGAATCCTGCTAAGTCAGTTTATTGAAAATTCCCCCCACCCAGTATCTGACCTTCGATATCTTGTCACCCTGGCCTGCCTTCAGCAAGAACCCTAACAAATCAGTTTAGCTAGAAACCCCTTATCCTTGATGTTTCTTCTTAGTACTTTTTTGTCCACTGACACCCCCCCAAACCCTGCTACTGAGTTAGAAGTCCACTTGTCCTTGTTGTTGGAATTGAGTCCAATTTTTCTCCCCCACTGCTGCAGTAGTTCCCATACCTATCTCCATGGCCTCCCCTTTGAATAAAGTCTGCCTTACCATCTTTAACAAGCGTCATGAATAGTTTTTTTCTTGGAATGTTCCTGAAACCACCATTGCAAAATTATAACTGAGACAGTGAAAGAGACCTGACCTAACCAACTCCATCTTCTAACCTCCAAGCTGATCTTGTTTATTCCTGGGCGTAGGCTGAACTAACTTTGGGAGGAACTTAGTTCATTGTTTATAGTTTGACACAAAGATGGTGACAACGTTTTCCCAAAACAAACCCCCTTCTTGCCTGGGGACTAGACTGCCTTTGTAGGACTAACAAATTAGCCACGAGATTAGAAATTATGGTTTAAGAGTCATTCAGGCGGAGGCTGTAAGATCCTGACCCTCCATAAACTGCTCCTAAAATCAGTGTTTGAGATATTTCGCAGACCCTGCACTTGATGGATCAGCTGGTGCCACCCCGACGGAGAAACTGGCTCATCTGATCTTGTGGCCCCCACCCGGAACTGACTCAGCACAGAGGACAGTTTCAACTTCCTATGATTTCATCTCCAACCCAACCAATCAGCACTCTCGACCCACTGGTCTTTCCCTCACCTACCAAGAATTATCCTTAAACACTCTGATCCCTGAATGCAGAGAGACTGATATGAGTAATGATAAAACTCCATCTTCCACACAGCCAGCTCTGCGTGAATGACTCTTTCACCATTACAATTGCCCTGTCTTGATAAATCAGCTCTATCTGGGCATCGGGCAAGGTGAACCCATTGGGTGGTTATATTCCTAACACAAAGAAATGATAAATGCTTGAGGACGTGGATATTCCAATTACCCTGCTTGCTACACTGTATGCTTGTATCAAATCATCACCTGTACCCCATAAATATATAAAACTATTATGTACCCATAATAATTAAAAAAATTTTTAAATATTTTTAATATATCTTATGCATTAGTTGCTTTACTAAGTATAAAACTCAAGTCTGCAAATTTTTTCTACATGTTTTTTGGAGGCTTGCTTTCTCTATTATCCATGTGGGCAATACCCTCATAGACACTAAATACAAGAGACAATTCTCAACCCTCTTTTTAGCCTTGGACTGTACAAACACCTCCACCTTTAGCTCCTGATTCTCTCCCAGTTCCTTTTGTACTTTTTGACTGCTCTTTCTTGTGTTCTTTCTCTGGGTTCTTTCTCTTCCTACCTCTTACTGCAGTTATTTCCTTAGATTTATCCATAAACATTCACTTCTTTGTCTGATTGATCTCATTCACTGCTCCTGCCTTCTAGAAAGTTCCTCAAACAATAATCCATAGATTCGTTGCATCAGAATTAATCAAGGTACTTGTTAATAATACAGCTTCCTGGGGCTGCTGAGATTAAAACTTCTGAAACTCAGAATTTTAACATAATTTTAAGGAAAGAATCATAATGAAGGAGCTCCAAAGGATTCTGGGGAGAAGATAGTCCAGTGATCACTGTTCTAGAAGATGCTGCTAATATTTATATTTATTTCTTTAGTCAATCCTGAGGGTTTCCTGTTCTCTAGAGCACTCATTCTAACAGTCTACTGGTCACCCCAGCTATATTTCTCTCTCTCAACTCATCCCAAACCTGCAGGAATTATGTATGCCCTCTATGTTTCTTATTCCTTTAATGACACTATTTATAACCTCCACATACAGCCACCTATGCTAGAAATCTGATACCTACATGTTCTCTCCTTTCTCACCCCTACATCTAGCTGATAACATAATCCTGTTGACCATGTTTGTGAAATATCATCTGAATCCACCCGGTTTTTCATTTATCACACGGTGACCATTTACTTCACAACTTGGTCTCTTTCTCAGGATATTGTAATAGTTTAGACTTGACTAACACCCTGATTCTCTTTTCTGTAATCCATCCTGCACATTTCAATATGAGTCATCATTCTAGAGCAGCACTCTCTTGTAGAACTTCCTGCAATGATGGAAATACATTTTCCAATATGGTAGCCCCTACCCTCATGTGACTATTGAGAAATTCATATGTGATCAGTGTCAGTGGAGAACTGCATTTTACATATAATTGAATTCAAATTTATATAGCCAGCCAGGCATGGTGGCTCACACCTGTAATTCCAGCACTTTGGGAGGCCAAGGCGTGTGGATCATCTGAGGTCAGAAGTTCGAGACCAGCCTGGCAAACATGGCGAAACCCCATCTCTACAAAAAATACAAAAATTAGCCTGCATGGTGGCACATGCCTGTAGTCCCATCTACTGGACTGAGGAGGCTGAGGCAGGAGAATCACTTGAACCTGGGAGGCGGAGGTTGCAGTGAGCTGAGATTGCACCACTGTACTCCAGCCTGTGTGACAAAGTGAGACTCTGTCTCAAATTAAAAACAAAACAAAAAAAATGTATATAGCCACTTAGATCTATAGGCTACCATATTGGACACCACAGTTCTAAAATATGAGTCTTTTCTTATCTCATTGCTTTCAAAAAGCTCATTAGCTGTAGGATGAGGTCTAGACAGTAGCGTGAATGCTCTTCGTACTCTAACCTCCCCTTCAGTTTCTACCACCACCACCACCTACCTCACTATCCCGATCCCACATACACTTTAGTACTGTAGAACCTTGCTTTTTCTAAATAAACCATAATTTTTCAATCTCCTAGCTCTGGATCCTGCTGTTTCCTCTATGTAGAATGCCTCTCCTTTATGTCCTTCCCTTCAGAATTTGACCCATTTTTCAAGGTTTAATAAAGAAAGCCCTGGCCCCACTCCCAACAAAAGGAACAGCCCCTTATCATGGACCTTGGACAAGCCATTTAGTGTCTCTCCGCCCAGTTTTCTCATCTGCAAAGTGGGAATGATAACATTTCCTCTTTTATGGAGTTGTTGGGGGATTAGATATTGCGTTATTCAGACTCCATCACTGAGAAAGCATGCAATAAAAATAGCTGTTATTATTTTCTGTCCTCCTGTAACATTTACCATGTGGTATCAGGCATCTTTCCTGATAAGACTCTGTCTCCCCTCAAGACTGTGAGCTTGTTAGCAAGAAAGCCTCTATCTTGTTCATGGTTGTCCTTCAGCATCCAGCACATTGTTGCCATTTGTCAAATGCCTTGGCTGGGTGGCAAATAAATAACTTAGTCAGTTACTCACATAGGATTGCATAGAATTTTTTTAAGTATGACATTTTTGTGTATATTTTTAGGGAGGAGTAAAAGACATATAGCTGTAGCAAGAATTAGAAAAAAGAAGATGCCAACAACTTTTCTTTTTAAGCATCAAATCCTTCTCATTACTGCCCAGAAAAACTGGCATAAGCTGTTGTTAAATCTGTGCCCCTTCTCCTCGGTTGACTGGAGTACGAGTTTTAACATTTTGCCATTTTGACTTTCCTTTCTGGGTCCCCTGGGTCCTCTCCTCCCACCCCCTCCCTGGGTACTAAGTTTTCATCACTGTCACCACGGCAACAGCAAGGATGCCTCATTCCTCACAGTTCTGCACAGCTAAACTCTGGTCGCCTTTGTCCACTGAGCTAGCTGAATTCTTTTTAAATACACCACTAAATCAACTATCTGCTGTACAGAACTTCATCCATTATTCAACCTTTAAAAAAAAACAAAAACAAAAACAAACAAAAAAACAAAAGAAAAAAACTGATGTATACTAATTTCTTCTCCTGGGAATGGCCTTTTTCCAGACCTGCCAATACTCTTGAATACACCATACATTTTTGGTCCCTAGGAACAAATATAAAAATTGCCAGTGTACGTGCGTCCAATGTAAGTGTGGTGCAATTTTAAAGCACGCAACAGAGCATTCATAATGGGTTTCCCTTTTAAAAGCACAGTAGACCAAAAATAAACCTGACAAAGGGCAGCTGTAGAGTTTTAACACGTGGAAAACTCCACAAGCAGCAGTTATGTAACTTGAAAGAAACATGATAAATATTTCACACCATTAGATGAACTTCCAACTCTGACACTGAAAAAAAAGCAAAGAACAAGAACGCGAGACAAATGCACCTCAAATCTCCAAGGAGCAAAAAGCTTAAACTGAGAAGGGACCAAGGCTGTACTAAAATCTGAGACCTGACTTCCAGCACGAGTCTTGATTGCTTTTTTTTTTCTCGAGTTCGAGGCGGAGCCCGCGAACCCCATCTCCTCAGAGCGCCACCCCCTCAGCTTCGCCCGTTGGGCAGAATTTTCCAAATATCTCCACCCCTAGGCTGAAAAGCCAGAAAGAAGTTTTGAGCCAACGAGGGGAAGAAAGGAGTTGGGGCAAAACAGGAGGCGTTTCCCTACCCGCATACATCCCCGTCCCCGAGACACCCAATCCCCCCACCCCCAGCCTGCCCGCGCCTCCCGCCCCCAGCTCCTCGCCCTGGGGACAGCTGGCAGCCCCGCGCGGACCAGACACAAAGCCGATCAATCCCGGAGGCGTGGGGGCGGAGGGACGACCCGCCGGGGCTTTCCCGGGCGCTGCTCTCCTCCTGCTGCCCCCTCGCTAGGACCCGGCGGACGCCTCGTCTGGTTTTCACGCCCTCTAGCCCCTACCCCCACACCCCCAAAACAGAACAGACCCCCATCCCTGGGCTGGAGGACCCGCCTCTTGGCAGCCAGCTGAGAAGGCGCCCCGGGGAGGGGGAAACTGACATCCCATCTAGAGCCGTCCCTCCTCTTCCTCCCCTCCCGACTCTCTGCTCCTTTCCCGCCCCAGAAGTTCAAGGGCCCCCGGCCTCCTGCGCTCCTGCCGCCGGGACCCTCGACCTCCTCAGAGCAGCCGGCTGCCGCCCCGGGAAGATGGCGAGGAGGAGCCGCCACCGCCTCCTCCTGCTGCTGCTGCGCTACCTGGTGGTCGCCCTGGGCTGTAAGTTGCTCGGGTTCCTCTACCCTTCCTGCCTGGACCAGCCTGCCCCCACCCTCCAGCCCCCCACGGGGCGCTGGCTGACAGTGTCTGGGCGGCTCTGGGCCGAGGTCGCCGCGGGGCGTCTGACCTTGCGCCCAGGCGAGCGGGAAACCCAGGGTGCCCGCGAGCGGACGCTGGGAGCAAGGGAGCGCGAGGTCGTGGGTTTCTTGTGAATTGCGTCTGATTTTGTCAGTTCTAGATACAGAAAATTAAGGGTTCCCACTAGCAGGTTCTCATCTGTTTGCAAAGTTGGGGTAAGTTTTCAGACAGAGGGACGTGATTCGAATGCAAAACTCACTACCCACTGGTAAGATGCTAAGACCCCAAGAAAGATGGCATCACTGGGAGGCGGGCGCCGGCCACACTTTGAGTCCCCGGGGAGGGGGCAGCGTCCGCGTGGTCTGGGCTCTGTAGCGTCCCAGCTGAGCCGGCGATATGCAGCGCACTTGTGGGGCGGAGGTGGAGGGAATTCGTGGCTGCTGAGCCAGAATTACTTTTATCCTCTCCACCTGCACATCTACATTCACTTAGAGAAGTCTGGTCTGGGGACTCTAGCCAGCTGCTCTGTCCTCAGGGGACATCCAACGGGACGATTGTTAGAAAGATTCAGAAGCCACATGATCCAGTAGCTGGGGAGACGTCCCAAAGCCAATTTCACCGGATGATTTTAAACAGGATTTTCACGGATTCTGGACTCATGAGATTTGAAATCCTGGGAACGTTGCCGTTATTTTGTTTTCTTCGCGTTAACTTTTTAGGAAAATGGAGGAAATTACAATAGACTAAGCAATGCAGTTCTACTTTTGCTTTTTCTTTTTTCTCTCACCTTTTTTGTTTTGCTTTTTTCCCTTCCTTCCTTCCTCCCTTCCTTTCTCTTTCTTCTTTCTTTCTCTCTCTCTTTCTTTCTGTCTCTCTTTCTTTCTTTTGTAAAATGAGTTATTGTTGCTATTCACGTTCTGGTAAAGTAACACTTATAATACTTAACCTGCGGGACGAGTGTCTAATACCACAATACAATGATATTTTCTCACGCCCTCGCTGCCCAAGTGATCATCGCACAGCTCAAGTGATGTGAGCCACGTCCCTTTGTGGAGGAGGAAGGTGCACATTGTCTCAGGCAAGGGACATGTACTGACCAATATTATATAAAGTCAAACCAGAAAGCCAAAGTTTCACAATGAAACCCTTGTGCAATTCTGAAATATCAATTGGTATCATATGGAACACACAGAAGAAAAAAAATGCACTCATGCTAAAAGGCAACAGAGAGGTAGGCTGGAGAAATCGTTAACAGAACAACTGAGAAAGTTATGTATTCTGCTGAAATTCTAAATTTCAAATAGAAAAGAGTGTGCCTTTTAGTGTAGAATTGTCACTAATTAAAAACAGAAAATCGTTCTGCTGTGCTATTCCTATTGAATCACCAACATAGAAACAATACACCCCAAGTCTGAAATTGTAGTGGAGAAACAACCAAGAGGCGAACAAAAGCATAAATGAATGGGGCTGAGTGACCTCTTCAAGCTTTAGGTAAATATAACACATTGTCTCTGCTAAACTTGATTCCTATAGGGGATGTATTTGGAAGTGTTGTGGGGACTTTTCTATATTGTTCCTGGGATACTAAAAGATCTGGCATTGCAAGAGTGTTTTCTTTGTATGTGGGTGTTTTTTTTTTTATGTTTAAAACAATTTTAGAACAGTTTGGATTTAAATAAAAATTCCAACGCTAGTATAGAGAGTTCTCATATACTCCACACCCAGTTTCCCACATTGTTAATATCTTACATTAGTATGGTACACTTTATTCAAATTTCCTTCATTCTTACCTAATGCCTTTTCTATTCCAGGATGCCATCCAGGCTACCATATTACATTTAGTTGTCCTGATTCCTTAGGTTCTTCTTGGTTGTAACAGTTTCTTAGGCTTCCCTTGCTTTCTCTTACTATAATGGGTTTGAGGAGTTCTGGTCAAGTATCTGGTAGAATGACTGCGAATTGCTGTTTCTCTGATATTTTTCTCATAACTAGACTGGGGTTATAGGTTTTTTGGAGGAAGATCAGAAAGTGGTAAGGGGCCTAGGTAAAGTGACATTTTCATCACATTATCTCCAGGGAACATACCGTACACATGACTTATTGCTGTTGATGTGAACCTAGGTCACCTGTAATCATACTCCTAATGTAGTGCATACCAGTTTTCTCCACAGATTACCTACCCTTTTTTCTTCATTTCCATACTAGATTTTTTTGGAAGGAAGTCACTACATGCAACCCACACTTCTTCAGGAAGGAGAGTTATGCTCCATCTCCTTGAAGGCGGAGTATCTTCATAAATTATTTGGAGCTCTTCTGCATGGGAGATGGGTCTCTCCCTTCCCTTCATTTATTTATTTAATCATTTATTTTTCTATCAGTATGGGCTCATAAATATTTGTTTTATACTTTGGGTTATAATCCAATACTATTTTATTTATTAAAGACTTAGTGGATTTCTTATGCTGTTATTACATATTCATCTTTTTAATATTCTTCCCAGATGTAACTGTGCCATTCTTTTGGCCACTCCTATCATTTATAATATCATGCTTACTCCCTTCTTTCCTTTTTATCCTGCTGTTTATCAGCATTCTTTATATCTTTCTTAGTAGTCTGGAGGATTGCTTTTTTGTTGTTGTTCTTGTTATTTAAACGATGATGTCAGTATCCCTGTTGATATATGGATATTTTTGTGTGTGTTTAGTTGAATTACATTTTTCTTTCCCACTCCATTAGGAAAGGAATTTCTTGATGTTTGCTCACCACTATATGTCCAGTGCTGAGCAAAGTTCCTGGTTAATAGTAGGTATAAATATATGCCTGTTGATTCTATGGTGCCTTAGTCCATTCAGGCTGCTGTAACAAAATACCATAAACGGAGTAGCTTATAAACAACGTTTATTTCTCACAGCTCTGGAGGCTGAGAAGTTCACAATCAAGATACCAGCAAATTCAGTGTCAGGCAAGGGCCCACTTCCTGGTTCATAGATGGAGCCTTCTCAGGGTGACCTCCCATGGCGGAAGAAGCAAGGCAGCTCTGAGGTCTCTTTGTAAGCGCACTGTTGTCATGACCAGATCACGGTCCAAAGCCTTCAACTCCTAATACCATCACATTGGTGATTAGATTTCAACATATGAATGTGGGGGGACATAAACCACAGCAGATGGAATGGGGATGAGGTAGGGTAGGTAAAAGAAGTGTATAGATTGAACTGATTGCAATATAAATCATGAAGCTCTAACTTCATGTTAAGTAGGTGGAGTGTTAGATTTCTCTGAGGCATCATTTAAGCTGATATGTCAAAAAATAATAGGAATGAGTATTCCGTGTTTGGTGGGGTGTTGTCATGCCTTTTGGGGTCTCTCAGAGCCAAGGAGCTGATCATGAATCAGTTCCTGATTCCACCTAACCAGTAGCAGCTGGTCCTCAGATCTGGACTGGAACCTGATCCAGGCGCTTAGCCTGAGTCTAATCTCTCATCAACTGATAAAGATTGTGGTAGGGGAGAGAGGTCTGAATCTTTTGTAAAATCACAAGGTTCTGCCTTTTTGCCAGAACTGACCCAAAACAGCACTCCAGGGAACCGGTACTAGGAAAATTCTGCCCTCTGTATCTATTGTTAAGAAGCAACTGCCATAATCAATTTGCTGGAGAGAAGTGGTTCCGTGCTGGCACAGTCTCAATTATCTGATGAACAGAAACGCTAAAATGGGCTTGTAGGTGGATTTAACAACCATTTCAAGACTATGAAAGAAATTATATTAGAAAGAATGAAGTCAAAAACAAAAACTTCAGCCTGAGCACAGTGAGTTCCCTATGACTGAAAACACTCATTTATCCTCCCACATGAGCAGTTTAATGAGAGGAGCCCACAGGAGCTTACGGATGTTCACCACCCATGGTTTCCATTGCATTGGTTTCCTCCTGTGGGCCTTCCTCATAGAGAAGATGTATTGGAATATAGAGGTAAGAGCTGCTAGCTTTATTGAAGTCAGACCACCAGGAAGCTATAAAGGCCATTCTTAAAATAATATTTTTTCATCCCATAGCAATATAGTAGTAACACTGCTGAGTCAATACTCCAGTATACCCCTCTTGCTAGACTGATGTTTTGAGGAAGATGGTGGTGAAGATGGAAAAGGGGAATCAGAACCTGGGTCAGGTGCCTCCTTTGGCAAAAGCAGCAAAATAAAACTTAAAACCAGGGATTGTTTTCTTGGACGGTGTTACTGTTAACAAGGCTAGAACTCAGAAAAAATAACCCAACTGTATTACTTTTCTATTTCTGTGAAACACATGACCAAAAACAAAACAATACAAATTGATTGTCTTAAACTTCTAGAGGTCAGAAGTCTGAAACAGGTCTCACTGGCCTAAAATCAAGGTATCAGCATGAAGCATTCCTTCTGGAGGTTCTAGGGCAGAATCTGTTTCCATGGCTTTTCCAGCTTCTGGAGGCGCCCCACTCACGGCCCTGTCCTGCCAGGCTGCCACCTGTCCCCACTCACGGCCCTGCGACACCAGGCTGCCACCTCTCTTGTTCTCTCTCTTCTGCTTCCTTCTTCCACTCATCAGGACCCTTGTCATTACCTTGGGCTTACCTGAGTAACTCTGGATAATTTATCCATTTCAAAGTCAGCTGGTTAGCAACTTTCATCCATCTACAACTGCAATTCCTATTTACCATGTAAAGTAAGATATTTATAGGTTCTGGGGAGTAGGATGTGGACATCTTTGTGGGGCTATTATTCTGTTTCTCACAGCAGCCAAAATGAGGTTATGCACAGCGACAGTGTTTTCAGTGCTGTAGCCAAGAATATTCTAGATTCCATGAAGCCACCATAACTTTTACCTTTAAAGTATAACTCATAGTGATATAAAGCTGGTTGGTTTTTTGGTTTTGTTTGTTTGTTTGTTTGTTTGTTTTATTTGAGATGGAATCTTGCTCTGTCACCCAAGCTGGAATGCAGTGGCGCAATCTCAGCTCACCACAACCTCCACCTCCTGGTTTCAAGCAATTCTCCTGCCTCAGCCTCCTGAGTAGCTGGGATTATAGGCTCCCACCACCACGCCCACCTAACTTTTGTATTTTTAGTAGAGACTGGGTTTCGTCATGTTGGCCAGGCTGGTCTTGATCTCCTGACCTCAGATGATCTGCCTGCCTTGGCTTCCCAAAGTGCTGGGATTACAGGCGTGAGCCACCGCGCCTGGCCTAAAGCTATATTTTTTATTAGTTGTATTTCAAATTGCATAGTATGGTGGTAAAGAACATGCACTCCAATGCAGCACTCTGTGCTCTTACCAGCTGTGTGATCTTATACAGGTTAACACCTGTATTATGTCAGTTTACTCATCAGTGTTGGTGATAATCCCAATAAGAGTGCTTACCTCATAGAGGTTTAGGGAGAATTACATGTATAACACACTTAGTAAACTGAAGAAGCCATTGAAGCCTTTTGACATTGAATATCAGTTTGATTTGCATTTTAAAGAGAATGCATTGGATGGAGTATGGTGAATGGAAGGATTGGGGTGGGGGGAGTCAAACTGGGGAGACCAGTTAGAAGTTATTGGAGTAGTCCAGGCAATTGCTTGTGTAAGTACTTATTTTATATAGTTTATTGATAAATATACTCACATAATTACACATACACATATAACCACTGACAATTGCTTTTTACAGTTGTCACCTAATGATGCGATGTGTTCTGAGAAATGTGTCGTTAGGTGATTTTGTTATTGTGTGATCATAGAGTGTACTTACAGAAACCTAGATGGTAGAGCCTGCTGCACACCAAGGCTATATGGTGTAGCCTATTGCTCCTAGGCTACAAACCTATACAGCATGTTACTGTACTGGATACTGTAGGCAACGGTAAACAGTTGTAAGTATTTGTGTACCTAAACATATCTAAACATGGAAAAGGTACAGTAAAAACAGCACAAAAGATAAATGGTACACCTGTGTAGAAACATATCATGAGTGGAGCTTGCAGGACTAGAAGTTGCTCTGAGTGAGTCAGTGAGTGAGTGGTGAGTGAATGTGAAGGCCTGGGACATTACTGTATACTACTGTAGACTTTATCAACACTGTACACTTAGGCTACACTAAATTTATAAAACAATAAAGTTCTTGTGTTACAGCAGTACGGGCGTTATAGCATCACTAGATGATAAGAATTTTTCAGCTCCATTATAATCTGTGGGACCACTGATATGGTTCATTGTTGACCAAAATGTCATTATGCAGTGCATGACTGCATTTGAAATGTAGTTAATTAAATCTGATCAGGAATTTAAGAAAAATGGCTCTTTGGTTTTTAAGGAAAAAATTTTTTAATCATGTGTGCTGTGTTTTCAACTTTCTGTTCAGTTCCCAACCTATAAACATGAAACAGTAGCTCTTTTGGTTACTATGTATACCTTCTTTCAATGTTATTCTCTCTCCCACACGTAAGTTTATTTTCAGTATTTGTTTCCAGTGTTTCCAGAGTTTCCCTGAGTTGTCACCCTTAGAATGGTCATTTTACTTGATTTGATATTCAGAAGAGTGGCCTTCTAAGTTCCAAAGTGTGTGAGTGTATGCATGCATCGGGTGTGGGGGGAAAGAGAGAGAGAGAGAAGGAGAGAGAGAGAGAGAGGGAGGATGGATGGATGTGTGCTCAGATAAATGCCTGCTGACAGCAACACAAAACCCTACTCTATGAATCTTCAGGCCAGTGAATGGGTAGGAAATGCTCTCCAGTTTGAATTGTTCCTACATTTTATGAGCAGAGAAGCAAATCCTGTGAAAGTATTTCAAGAGCTGCCCTCTTAGCTGTCCATTGTCTTGGCTCAGAAAGTCCTAAGGAAGAATCCTTGTAAACTTAACAGACAGGAATTTTGGTTTTTACTGGAGAGCTCTGCTTTTCTTTATCGCATGTCATCAGCATCAAATTTTTATTTGTTTTGTTGGGTTTTCTGTTTTGTTGTAGTTGTCAAAATTTTCTACTGGGATAATTTAGGACGGGCTTGTCTTTATATTTGTAAGGAGTAAAAATGCATAACCTGGTCTGTCTTCTTTATGCTAGGTTTGTCCAATTTGCTTGCTTTCATTTTGTCAATGCAGTCACCTGCTGTTTTTACTCTTCGCTTTCTTCACATTGTGAAACTTCCTAAATACATACTATGGACAAAACCAAAGATAAAAATGAATGAATTGTTAAACACATTTTCTTATATGTCTAACTAAAAATAATATATGCTTAGGGTAAATTCAAACAGAGCAGTAAGTTTACAAAACAAGAAATAAGTCTCCTTTCCAGCCTTCCTGACTCCTTTGCTTCTCAGATAGACCATCCTTAAGTTTCCTGCAAATGGTTTCAGGAAATTAGAAAAGAAATAGTTCCAGTATATATAAGCATACTCTTATAATTTCTTTAGAAATAAAGATCACAATTTATTATGCTTACTGCTGTATACCTTCCAGAAAATCAAATCATATTATATATAGTGTTGTGCACCTTGCTCCAAAAAGTTATTTATGTTAGTAATTAAGGTACAACCTAAAGCTCAGTCTACAAGCAGGACAGAAGATAACATCTTATAGAGGCCTTTAAAATTGTTGCACCAAAATGCAGTGGGAGCTATTTTCTAACTAGAACCACCAAAAATAATGGAACAAAATGATTAGTAAAACAAAGGGAAATAAACTTCCAAACCAGTAACCAAATATGGAAAGGGAAAAATTCCAAGCAAGATCCAGTTAAAAAGTCCAAAGGAGAACGTGTGTGCACCCAGAGAGGACAGAGACACTAGCACCAGCTAAGATTCACAGACAAGTGCAAAGGGGTGCTATTTTTAAAGGAGACCAAAGAGGAAATAATGACCACAAATAAAAAGGGAACATGTCAAACTTCTGGGCAAGTGCTAAATTTGAAAAGAGAGAATGGTGTTTATGTTTTTTAAAAAATGCACTAGAGGGCTGGGCGCTGTGACTCACGCCTGTAATCCCAGCACTTTGGGAGGCCAAGACGGGTGGATCACCTGAGGTCAGGAGTTTGAAACCAGCCTAGCCAACGTGGTGAAACCCTGTATCTACTAAAAGTACAAAAAGTAGCTGGGCATGGTGGCATGCACCTGTAGTCCCAGCTACTCAGGAGGCTGAGGCATGAGAATCACTTGAACGTGGGAGGCGGAGGTTGCAATGAGCTGAGATTGTGCCACTGCACTCCAGCCTGGGCAACACAGCAAGATTCTGTCTCAAAAAAAAAAATTCACTAGATGCATTTTCAAATAGGAATGGATTTTGATCAGAAGCAGAACTGACACAATGGAATAAACAATAACTCAAGTATGCATTTGTCCAATAACTGAAACATGCAGCCATCTATGTCATAAAACATTAAAATTGTACCTAAGCATATTGGAGACATGAGATTATTGTACTGTCCATATAGTGCTTTTGGATCCAGAACAAGTCAGGTTCTTTTGTGCCGTGTGTTTGTGTGTGTGTGTGTGTGTGTGTGTGTAAACGAGTGAACATCTATGCCATTTTATCTAGATACAGTACTTCTTCCCAACCTCCATTCATCTCTGTTGTTGTTGCTATTGTTCCTCATATGGCCAAATGCAATTTCTCCCTGAAGGTCTAACTCCAAAATTCCTTGCGCCTTCTCTTAATTCTTTCCAACTCATCAATTCCTCAAAGCTGATGTCTACTGTATATTATACTCTGGTGCTTTTGGTATATTCTTTATTCTCTTATGGCACTTACTGAGCTGTACTGTTACAATTTTTCCATGTATATCTCTCTGTATTGTGAGCTTGCTGGAGGCAGAGACAACACATCTTTAGGTCGTTGGTACCTAGAGTACTGCCTGGCACATTTAATACTTGATTAAGTAGAATTACATAAGCTGGAATTTAATGTTTATTTGTTTTGTAGCTTCATAAAATTATATAACTTTTTAGCAATAAAAACCTCAAGACATATGTAAAATTAATAGTCTCAAATGAATGCATAATATTACTGCTCCTAAAACTCCCTCCTCCTCTTTTTAACAGTGGCCTCCCTAAGATATAAGGAAATATAAAGACTGGTCTGCCTTATAGGATTTTAAGAAATTTTCCAGATTTCCTGATGCCTCCTTATATCCTAAAAGCACATAAGTTCCTCTTGAATTAGTAAGCATTGATTAAAAACTCAGATGAGTCAAACAATACACCCCTCAAAAGTTGCTTAATCTAGACTAGAACAAAGCACGTATTAGTGTGTTCTCACGCTGCTGTAAAGGACTGCCCAAGACTGGGTAATTTACAAAGGAAAGAGGTTTAATTGACTCTCAGTTTCGCATGGCTGGGGAGGCCTCAGGAAACTTACAATCATGGCAGAAGGGGAAGCAAACACATTCTTCTTTACTTGATGGCCGGAAGCAGAAGTGCCGAGCAAAAGCGGGGAAAGCCCTTTATAAAATCATCAGATCTCATAAGAGCTCATTCACTATCATGAGAAAAGAAAGCATGGAGGTAACCACTTCCATGATTCAATTACCTGCCACCGTGTCTCTCCCACAACATGTGGGGATTATGGGAACTACAATTCAAGATGAGATTTGGGTGGCGACACAACCAAACCGTATTAGCATGTTAGTTGTAAAAGTTCTACTCTCTGGAGCAGGGAATCTCCAGACTTTCCCCTCATGGCCTAATCTCTTTGTTACTCAATTGATATAATAGCAATCTATATCCCATAATGAGCAAAAGTTTATTAAGAGAGATGAGACAATAGAGACTGTTTTAGTCTATTTCTGTTGCTGTAACAGAACACCTGAGACTGGGTAATTTATAAACAAAAGAGGTTTACTTGGCTCCCAGTTCTGGAGCCTGGGAAGTTCAACATTGGGCAGCTACCTCTGGCAAGGCCCTCATGCTACATTAAAGCATAGTGAATGGCATCACATGTGGAAACACCTGCAGGAGCAGCAAGCAAGTATGTGCAAAAGAGACAAAACACAAGTGATGGCCTCATTTTTTAACAACCTGCTCTTGCAGTTACTAATCTAGTCCCATGAGAACAAGAACTCATTTGCTTCTGTGAGAATTAACCCAGTCCTATGAGAATGGGACTAATATCTTCGTGAGGGTGGCAGAGTCTTCATGACCCAAACACCTCTTAAAGGTCCTACCACCTCTCAACACCATTATACTGGGAACTCAATTTCCTATACATGAATTCTGAGGAACACATTTAAACCATTGTAGAGCCTGATAAAGTGATCTTCATTTCCAAATCAAAGATGATTTTCCTAGGTGTTCTTGTCCAGTATTTTTATAGGTTGGTGCAAAAGTAACTGCAGTTTTAGCCGTTACTTTTAATGATTTTGTGGGATCTTGACACTTGCTCATTAGCACTTAAAAAATTACCCCTGGATCCAGGTGAGTCATTGTCTCTGCCAAGAATCTCATTCAGCATTAGGCAAATGCCAAAATCAGATACATGTAAGAATCTCAGCTCCATTGTGCTACTGCCACCCAGGACAGCTATCTAAAGATGCTGGCATGTTCAAAAAACACTGAATCAGTGATCTTCAAACTTTTTTATATTACATATCCTACTTCATTTCTTAAAAGAGGATATGTCCTGACGTGTGTTTTAATAAATTGTAATATGTATTTCTGTATCAACATATTAATCATAAAACATATAATACATAGAATAAATATCAAATGAATGAGACAATGGAGAATTAATAATACACTAACGGGGCAGAAATGAAGTGGTTATAGCCCTATATTATAGTGTTCTATAAAGCCTCTATAAGTAAAATAATGTGAGATTGGTACATGAATAGACAGACAAGCCAATGGAAGAGTATATAAAGTCCGGAAATTATGCCAACTTCATTTAGAAATCACGTGTATGTGTGTATGTGTGTGTAAAATGGTAGCATTTGAAACCATGGAGAATGCTTAATCAATATTGTTACAACTGGGAACCATTTGAGGGAAAAATGGATCAGAACCTGATATTCTCCATGAGAATTAATTTCAAATGGATCAGAGATCTAAATGTAAATAGGTAAATAAATAAATAAAACCATACCTCCCCCCGCCAAAAAAAAAAAAAAAAAAAAAACAAAGTATGGATCTGTTCTTCTGTAAACTGGACTATAAATCAAATGAGTGTCTGCATGGAAAAAATAAAACACCCTAAACAAATCCAAAGATAAATGACTAATTGGGAAAGGATATTTGTAAGTTACATCTCTGACAGAGTATTATCACTGATATAAAAGGAACCCCTAAAAATTAAAATACAAATATCAAAATTTTATAAATGGCACACAAAAAACCCAGAGTTCCCAGAAGAAAAATTTAAATGGTTCTTCAAATATGAAGCTTTTCTCAGTATAACTTAAAATGCAAATTAGATTGTCCCAAAGATAGCACTTCTTCCCTTAGCAAAATCACATAAACTCATCCACATACTCTGTTATTGAAGTTGTATGGAAATAGGCATTCTACATACTGCTGATGGAGCTGTGAGATGATACAACTGCTATGGAGCAGCAATATGTAGAAAAATTCTACATCTAGCCTTTGACCCATCATATTCAGCAATATGTAGAAAAATTCTATATTTGCCCTTTGACCCATCAACCCCGTTACTGGGAACCTGTGTTAAAGCTGTAGTTGCAAAAACAGGACATGCTTTATGCATGGTGTTATTTCTTTTTTATGCATTGTATTATTTATTTCACAACTATTATAAAAATGATTGAAAACAAATGCCCATTTATAGGGGATTGGCTAAATAAATAACACAATGGTAGGCACTGTAGCGATATAAAGGAATGATGGTGATCTCTCTGTACTGTCATCTCCAAAATATAGTAAGTGAAAAAAGTAAGATGCAGAACAATCTAGTGCAACATGCTACATTTTGTGTATGACAGAAACACTGGCAGGTTAAACTGTTAACTAATGAAACTATTAACAATAGGTAGAACAGGAATGGAACAGACTTCTCTTACTATGTATAGCTTATTACATAGATTTCATTTTGAAATTTTAAATGTTTTATTTCAAAAGATAAAATTCACTAAAATAGCCTTCCCTAAAAATGGAAAACAAATGGAAATAAATGAACTTACTGAGCTGGGCATGGTGGTTTACACTTGTAATCCCCATACTTTGGGAGGCCCAGGCAGGAAGATTGCTTAAGACCAGGAGTTCAAGACCAGCCTAGGCCATATAGGAAGGCCACGCCTCTACAAAAAAGAAAAATAAATAAAAATTAGCTGGGCATGGTGGCATGCCTGTAGTCTCAGCTACTCACGAGGCTGAGGTGGGAGGTTTGCTTGGTCCTGGGAGATCGAGGCTGTGGTGAGCTGTGATTGTGCTACTGCACTCTAGCGTGGGTGACAGAGAAAGATGCTGTCTCTAAAAGAAAAAAAAAGAAATAAGGAAATGAACCTACTGTATATCAAATTAGTGATATAACCACATAAAGGAAATAATTATTTCAATCTGAACCTAAAAACATAATATTCCACCAAACAGTAGAATATATCTTAAGGACAAAAATAGCTACAAATATGTTTTAAACTTTAGTACTTTAAAATAATGATTTTGTTATTTTGACACTATGTTATATTATAGGAAATACAAATCAGTAATTATACTAATGTAAATAGAAATTAAGATTTTTAGTGTAGAAAAAAGAGATATATGTATAAAGTTTTTAAAAATTAAGTACAGGTCCTATAATGTTCTATCTGATTTGGAAATGTTCTATTTGAATTGAGTTTGAACTCACAATGCTTTCCTCTTTTCAAAGCTGCTTTTCCTATCTGTCTACTAAAAAGGCCCAGAAGACATCACAGCCTGTATCAATCAGCTTTGAAGAAGTAACAGATAACCTTAAAAACCTCAGTAGTTTGCCACCATATGCATTATATATTTGGCTTGTATTCCATTTTGGTGGCTCCAGATCAGCTGCTGAGTCTTTTCTCTACAATCTTCTTTTTCCAGGACTCAAGCTGAAGCAATTGACCCTGTTTGGAACAGACTGTCCTTGTGGCCTAGGGAAAAGCAAAGGACAAAGCTTAGCTCTGTCCTTAACAGCTCTAAAAGCTTCTACTTAACATGATATGTGCCCATTGGTCAAAGCACATCACGTGGCCAAACGTGGAACTGGGATGGAGAATTGTGTTCTGCCTGCTGGGAGGCCCTAGAAATCATACAATAATAAATGAGAAGGGAGTTAGGAGTTGAGGATAATAATATAAACTATTCTACAACCCCTTGAAAATGAGCATACTTAGCATATAGACTATAATCCCTAAATACCATTCCACACTAACAATGACTAGGAAACTTTGGAGGGACACCTGACTCCAGTTTTAAGGTTAGGCAATTTAAGATGAGCCTGGGACGGTTTGTTGCCCTGGTGTATTAGTCTGTTTTCACACTGCTATAAGGAACTGCCAGAAACTGGGTAATTTATGAAGAAAAGAGGTTTAATTGACTCACAGTTCAGTGTGGCTGGGGAGGCCTCAGAAAACTTAAAATCATGGTAGAAGGCAAAGGGGAAGCAAGGCACCTTCTTCACAAAGTGGTGGCAAGAAGGACAATGCCAAGTGAAGGGGGAAGAGCTCTTTATAAAACCATCAGATCTTGTGAGAACTCACTATCATGAGAACAGCATGAGAGAAACTGCCACCATGATTGTTACCTCTATCTCGTCTCTCCCTTTACACGTGGGGATGATGGGGATTATGGGGATTACAATTCAAGATGAGATTTGGGTAGGGACACAAAGCCTAACCATATCACTTAGAAAGCAAGGTAGCTATCAAAGACTAATGAGATTGTGCCCAAAGGACAAAGGAATTAACCTAAAAAGTCTTTCTTTAGCCAAACTGGAGGCAAGATGAGAGTCAAAAGAGAAAACATATACTGAATGCAATTGATTTAAATGTGTTGAATTTATTTCAAAATGCATTAATTATAAAGATACAAAAAAGAAAATCAATAAAATGTTTAAAAGTCATCACACTTTGGTCACCATTAGAATTAACTAGGTCAGTTACTCCTTACCCTGATATTTGGCAATCAAAATAAATACTTATCTTTATTCTGCTTTCTTTTAGGCATGTATGTGTAACCACATAGCCTTAACTTAGAAGGAAAAGTTCTTCTTTATAGAATTCAAGCTAATGAATGTCAAAGAAAATAGATAATGAAAAAATAATAGAATCTAATCATCATTTGCAGCATGTAATTGACTTAGGGTATGATTATTAATGGCTAAAATCATTAGACAAAATGTTGATTGGAGCTTTACAATGGAAGGATCAGTCTGTTATCACCTGAAACACTGATTAATCTTAGCATCATTGAAAGTAGGACAACCAGGGCAGGTGCTGTGGCTCACGCCTGTAATCCCAGCACTTTGGGAGGCTGAGATGGGTGGATTACTTGAGGTCAGGAGTTGAGACCAGCCTGGCCAACATGGTGAAACCCCCTCTCTACTAAAAATACAAAAATTCGCCAGGTGTGGTGGCTCGTGCCTGTAATCTCAACTACTTGGGAGGCTGAGACACAAGAATCGCTTGAACCTGGGAGGCAGAGGTTGCAGTGAGCCAAGACTGTACCACTGCACTCTAGCCTGGGCAACAGAGTGAGACTTTCTCTCAAAAAAAAAAAAAAAAAAAAAATTGGAAGCACATAGCACTCCCTGTGTAATATTCTTGCCCATCCCTCCAAAAAAAGAAAATGACCTTCACTTGAATGAAGCCTCTCAGCAAGCGAACTTTCATTACAGAAGGATAGATGCACAAATTAAATGACACCACAAGGTAGCACGTGCATGAACTCAGAAAGTGGGTTTTTCTGCAGAATAACTGACCAGGTTTCTGCAACAAGTCAGTGGCATGAAAGGTAAAAACAAAGGGGGAGAGAGGAAAGAGCAGGTCGGTGCTAGATGAAACACATGCATCTAAAGGCCTAAGAAGCAAATGTGATGCTGACATGTAGTGTGTATCCAGATTCAAATAAGACATCAGGGAAATGTGGCTAGATATTAAATTATAACAAGGAATTATTTTTGTTAGTTGTTCAAATGGTGTTATAGTTATATGTCTTTAATCTTTAGTGGTGCTTGCTAAAGTAATAAAGACAATTATTTGATATATATGATTTGCTTTAATATTCTTCAATAAAGTAAATGTAGTAAACATGATAAAATCTTTATAACTTTAATCTGGATGATGACTATATGGTGTTTATTGTTTATTGTCTCTATTTTTGTATATATTTGAAAATTTTCTTAATAAAAAACTATTTAAATCCATAAAATAGAAAAAAGATAGTAACATGATAAATATACTGAAATTCTATTTTTTTTTTTTTTTTTTTTTGTCCTTGAAGCCCTCTGGTCTTTTTTGTATGCTCCACTTTTCACCCTATAGGTTTAAAGAGAAAATAAATAGAACAAAGTGAATTTACTTGAAATATTTGAAACATCAGCTCTTTTTTTTTTTTTTTGAGACGGAGTCTCACTCTGTCACACAGGCTGGAGTGCAGTGGCGCCATCTCAGCTCAGTGCAATCTCTGCTTCCCGGGCTCAAGCGATTCTCCTCCCTCAGCCTCCCGAGTAGCTGGGATTCTAGGCGTCTGCCACTACGCCCAGCTAATTTTTTTTTTTTTTTTTTTTTTTTTTTTAGTAGAGACGGGGTTTCACCCTGTTGGCCAGGCTGGTCTCGAACTCTTGACCTCAGGTGATCCGCCTGCCTTGGCCTCCCAAATTGCTGGGATTACAGGTGTGAGCCACCGTGCCCAGTCGAAACACCAGCTCTCTTAAATCCTGTGCCTTAACCAGGGTAGTCAGTATAAGAAATGCAAATTATGTTTGAATAGTCCCTTTTAAAAAGCTATTTATTTAGTCTATTTCCCACTAATAGTTTTTTTTTTTTAATGCCTTTTAAAAAAAGAGAAAAGAAAACCAATTCAACCCTGTCATCAGCTAGAACTGCAAGATCCTGGGTTATACAGCAAAGTCTGTTAGTAAATCCACTGCATAGGAGCTACATTTTTTTTTTAATGATGTAGCGTGGACCTTTCAGTGAATTTCTTTTGAAAGGGACTTTAATATTTTATTCCCTAAAATGTTAAAATACTCATCAGATGAATGCATGCCACATTCATAGACTGATGGCAAGAAAAAGTGAATATAAAAAAAGAGTTGATTAAATTCCTAAAAATTTAAAATGTTTGTCTTGCATTTGTTTAGTGGAGACTGGTTCCATCAAGGTCCTCTTGTCCACCCCCAGGCTCCTTCTAAACAAGTAAAGAGAATACCTGCAGATATCTTACATTTGACACATCAACTCAAGCACATTTCAAAATTGGCCGTAGTTTCTAAAATATTCATTTAATGTTAAAGTTCTTGTCATTAATAACTTAGTATCAAGCTTCCTGTGAGTTCTTCATATGATTTAATTTCTCATAGTTCCTTTAGCCTTGAAGACCCCAAATCTATAAGGATTCTCTAGAGAAGATGCCGGTTATGGGAAAAGAATGGAAGAAGTAGAGGCATTTAGCAGCCACAATAGAATAGCCTGGGGCCTGTGTCAGCAGCATATGCACACTGTCATTGTAGCCATTTGTGTCAGAAGCTATTTCTGTGCTGGACAACACTTTCTCCAAATACACTATGAATTTATGAGCAAGGGAATGTAGATGTTAATGGAGGAAGAAGTTTCACTTCACCTCCCACTCCTTTGCGTCTTAATTTTAGAGTGGAAGCAAGATTGCATCACAGCCCTCCATGGGATATATATTCAGAGTCCTAATAATTTGAACAATCACATATTATTTGCTTGTACAATTATATATATGTTCAACTATTTATATTTGGCCACAAGTTACCAAAATTTGCTGAGTAATGATGAGACCAATCAAGACCAGCCTTTTTCATTATGTGGGCTAGAATGTTTAAGGAGATTTATTTCTAATTATTAGAAAATGAAAGGACAAAACATTTTGGGAGTGGGCTATTGCAACACTTCTTTTATAGAGCAGTTATCCCACTTATATGAATATTGAATACAAATGTTTCTTTTCAGAGAACAATGGACTTAGATCTATTTTTTTTTTCTTTTTTGGGATGGGATCTCTCTCTGTCACCCAGGCTAGCGTGCAGTGGTGCAATAATAGCCTGTGCTAATTTATTTATTTTTTTGTAGAGATGAGTTCTCACTATGTTGTCCAGGTTGGTCTTGAACTCCTGGGCTCAAGTGATGCTTCTGCCTCCAACTCCCAAAGTGCTGGGATTACAGGCGTAAGCCACTGCAACCAACCTGACTTTCATCTTTTACCTAAAAGAGTATTAGTCACATCTTCTCTTACAAGGTGACTCATGGCAGGTTCAAAAGGACAGGGTTGGTGGACAGAATCACCTTCACTTTTTAAACTCATTAATTTTATGAATTATATTTGTAATATGTATTTGCCAGTGGTACATTATTGAATTCATAAGTTAAATATCCATGTGAAATGTCTCTACTAGATGTTCAAAGGACCTCCTTATATCTAACCACAAACGTCAAATTTTGTTCACAAAGAAGCAAAAAGTATAATATAAATAAAATGGAACTAGAGTTCCAATGGGCTAGATTGAGTCAGTTCTGCCCTTAGTAATCATATGGTTTTAGAAAAGCTACCTTATTGTATGAGTCTTTTTTCCCTCATTTGTTAAATGAAAGGGTTTGATTTAATGATTATTTGTATTGTTTATAATTGAACATTTTATGTTTTTAAATGGGAAAATGTACCATATTTTAGCCTGTTATAATAAAATTATGTTATATGTAGCTAAGAACATGTTTTAAAATTCTAAACTGCCTCCTTTAGAATTCTCATTGGTTAGAACAGAGCCTGTTTTGGAAGGAAGCAAGAAAATAGGCTCCAAAAA
This sequence comes from Homo sapiens, assembly GCF_000001405.40. NCBI lineage: Eukaryota > Metazoa > Chordata > Mammalia > Primates > Hominidae > Homo > Homo sapiens. The sequence goes on from NC_000021.9 coordinate 25,657,927, forward strand.
TGCTGGATATTCATAAAGTTGACTGTATAGCATGTTATAAACTTTTTGTTTGATGCAGTAGGCAACAGGAAGTTGTTGAAGGTTTTGAAGAGTGGAATAATATATCAAAAAATAATATTGGAGATAAACAATAATTTTGCCCCTTACATATAGACTAGACTTGGGAAGAAAGGGTAACTGTAAGGCAGGCCTTAGGTAATGAGATCCAGGATTAAACTGGAGGCTGTCAAAATCGTTTAGGAAAAGTAGAATCCAGAAGACATTGAAAATAGAAATTGATAAAATGCAGTGATTGATTAAATATAGGGGACATCAAAGAAATCAAAACAGTAACTCCAAGGTTGTAAACTTGTAGAACCAGAGAAATCATGGTATTTAATTGAGAAGGAATTATTTATATATATATATTTCAGGAAGCAATAAAATAGCCAACTAAATGTGTCTCTAAAGACCATTGGAGAGTGGATGATCATGATCTGTACCTATCCCCTGTATTTAAGTGGTAAAATGGAAAGAGAAATGTATAACCACTCTGGGAAAAACATGGAGAAGATTAGTAGGAGGCAAAAAACTGAACTCTGGAAAACATACTTGTGAAAGAATATAAAAGAGCAGAGACAATGACAAAACAAGTGCCCAGAGTAATAATGGACAACCAACAGAACCAGTGTCATGGAAGCTGGGGAGGAATTTTGCAATGTCAATTGTTATCTAGAGGTCAGGAAGAATGAAGGGAAAAGATCAGGGTGAATTGTTGGGTAACCTGAGGGGATTAAAAAGTAAAGAAAAAACAAAATTAGCATTTGAATGGAACTTTACAATTGACAAAACACTTTCAGAGGAATTATTTTACTTAATTCTCATGTTAACATTACTGTGAGACCCACAGGACTATTTTTATTCACAGTGTCATAAATGAGAAACACGGGAGCTTAGAGTACTTTTAGGACTTATTCCAAGGCAGGACTTAGAGTTACTTACTCAAAATCCCACATTCTTTGCTATCTGGAAGACAAGGATAAAAAGAACATGCTGGAAAGTACCAACCAATAGTATATTTTCAGTGTCCCTGTCTCTCACCACATATAAATGCCTTCCATATTCACAACTCAAATCAAATTCAAAGCAATATTAACCTGAAGGGTAAGCCATAAGCCTGTAATAAATATTTCATGTTCTGAAAATATTATTTAACTAAATGGGAGAAATATCCAAAAATGAACACATTCCATATTGGAAGGGGTTTATTATCCAATTTAGTCATCCTAACAACATCACAGCAGATCATTTAAAATGAAAATAGAAAACATCCTCATAATTTTCTAGCCTTTTTTTTTTTTTGCTGTAAGTTCATATTAAAAGAATAACATTAATATTGTCTTAAGCAAAGATAAGTATTATTATACGTCATGCATTTCCTAAATTTCAATTATGTGTTATTTTTAAAATTGCTATGTGTGTCTGATGATAGGACACAAGGCTGTGTTTTTCCTTCCTTTTAAAATAAATAAATAACTCTTTTAGCTGATTTCTTTGGTGCCATTTTGTAATTTCTTTTGTCTTTCACTACTTCCCAACTTTAGTTTCCATAGGAACAGGATCAATCGGAAAGCATTTGGGATTCTTTCAAAATGTTGAGTCCAAGATTTCTAATTAGGGTTCAGGCACTTATAGTTTAATTAATATGAGACTTTTTCTGTGTTTTATTTTTGAAGGTGGAAAAAACTGGGTTATGATTTCATAATATGTTTGCCTTTTCAAAGATTTTTATTAGAGATTTGGATCAAAGAGCTTTAAGATCATTTAAAAATGTGTTAATACATGCCTGAAAAAATTAAATATATTATGCATACTATTCTTGACAGATAAGAAGACTTAAAACAATAATTATCCCAGTTAAATGCATCAAAATTAGTTGAATTATCCTTAGCTGAAAATTGATTCTTTGAAATATAACATAAACCTAGTGTCTTCTCCTATACCTCTTTTATAGTTTGTTGTTGTTGTTTTTCTGAGATGGAATCTCACTCTGTCACCCAGAGTGCAGTGGTGCGGATCTCGGCTCACTGCAACCTCTGCGTCCTGGGTTCAAGCAACTCTCCTGCCTCAGCCTTCTGAGTAGCTGGGACTACAGGCCACCCCCGACCATGCTCAGCTAATTTTTTTGTATTTTTAGTAGAGACGGGGTTTCACTATGTTGGCCAGGCTGGTCTCAAACTCCTGACCTCAAGTGATCCGCCCACCTCAGCCTCCCAAAGCCTGGGATTACAGGCCTGAGCCACTGCACCCAGCCCCTCTTATAGTTTTATTGTGAGAACAAGTATGGTCAATGGAAAATAATGTAGATGATAGATTTTACTTTTAAAAAATTACCATTATGGTCACATTACGTTAGCTGTATAAGACAAAAACATCCTCAGTTTATAAAAAAAGCATTCAACTTTCTATTAACAGAGAGTGTGCTCAAGGAATTAAATCAGGAATTATCAACAGGAAGGGGATTACTTCCCCCAGGGGGTACTGTGAAATTTTATGGGACCTATTCCATTGTCACAATGATGAGTGGTTGCTATATATTTGCTGAGCAGGGACCAGGCCTCTTAAACAGCTTGCTGTGTGCCAGACAGTCCTGCAAAATAAAGAATTTTCCTGAGTCCCTCATTTTTCATAACTCTCCAAAGTCCTGCTGCATGTTCATATAAGTGAAAACTTCATAATTATCTGAGCTTATACTGTAACTTACACTGTTTTACCTATAAACACAAATATTCTTTTGGACAGTCTTATCATATAACTAAATATACAAATTTGTATTCTAATGCTCACAATAACCATATATATATATATATATATATATTTTTTTTTTTTTTTTTTTTTTTTTTTTTTGAGACAGAGTCTCACCCTGTTGCCCAGGCTGGAGTGTGATGGCACAGTCTCAGCTCACTGCAACCTCCACCTCCTGGGTTCAAGTGATTCTCCTGCCTCAGCCTCCTGAGTAGCTGGGATTATAGAAACTTGCCACCACGCCCAGCTAATTTTTGTACTTTTAGTAGAGACAGGAGTTTCACCATGTTGGCCAGCCTGGAACCCCTGACCTTAGGTGATCCGCCCACCTCGGCCTCCCAGAATGCTGGGATTACAGGCGTGAGCCACTGCGTCTGGCCAATAACCCTATTCTTATATTCCTGTACTATTTGGAATGGTTTCTGATTTTACTTAAATCCCATTTAACATTATAAGTGTACACCAGGCATGGTGGCTAATGCCTGTAATACCAGCACTTTGGGAGGTGGAGACAGAGGATCTCTTGAGGCCAAGAGTTTGAGACTAGCTGGACTGGGCAACATGGCAAGATTCCATCTCTATGAGAGTAAACATTTAAGAAAATTTGCTAGGCATGGTGGTGCATGCCTATAGTCCTAGCTACTTGGAAGGCTGAAGCAGGAGGATCCCTTGAGCCCAGAGGTTCAGTGTTACAGTGAGCTATAATCATGCCACCGCACACCAGCCTGGGTGACAGAGCAAGACATTATCTCTAAAAAAAGAAAAATAAATAAAAATAAGTGTAGACTTCATTGTGTCTTCTAGTGTACTCACGTATAAGCATTTATGAATTAAAATATGTATTTTTTTATTTCTCTTTAACATTAAAGGGACATTACATTATTTCCCAAATTTTACATATATATAAATTTTATGTATATAAATTATATGTTTGTATATGTAATGTTTATTATCTATAAATTTCATTTCAGGATAATAAAGGAGGCATCAAAATTTATTATAAAATGAGGGTCTGATAGTGTTAAGAACCAATAAATTAAAATAAATGAATGCAAATTACATGTATTTCATCACTGCACTAAATTCTTAGGTTTGTGGTGGTTGAAAACAAAATTATATACTCTATTTTTAGGGAAACAGTTTTTCCCTTTCCAAGATTCATTTTTAGCTAACATGAGCAAAAAATTTAAATGGGAGAAAAATGTTAAAAAATAATTGCAGAACATGCTGCAGAATAACCGTGGATATGTATAGATGTGGGTGTGTTTCATTAAAATCTATTTAAGTATTTTTTTTCCTTTATATGTAGTTAAGGTAAGGATAGTTTTTGAGTTATTCGGTGTCAAAATTACTTTTGGATTTTTGTGCAAACAGGCTATAAACCTGTAACATTATCAAAAATGTCAACATATAGATAAAACTTAATACTTTTTTTTATTTTATTTATATATTTTGAGAAGATGTCTCACTCCTGTCACCCCAGCTGGAGTGCAGTGATACAATAAAATTCACTGCAGCCTCAACCTCCTTGGCTCAAGCCATCCCTCCCACCTCAGCCTCCCGAGTAGCTGAGACTATAGGCTCATGCCACCATGCCTGGCTAGTTTTTGTTTTTGTTGTGTAGAGACAGGGTCTTGCTATGTTGCCCAAGCCACTCTTGAAGCCCTGGGCTCAAACAGTCCTCCAGCCTCAGCCTCCCAGAGTGCTAGGATTACAGGCGTGAGCACTGTGACCGGCCTTATTTTTATATTTTATTTTTTTGAGACATGGTCCCACTCTGTCACCCAGGCTAGAGTGCAGTGACGTGATCATAGCTCACTGTAGCCTCAACCTCCTGGGCTTAAGTGATCCTCCTGTCTCAGCCTCTTGAGTATCTGGGATAGGAGGTGTGAGCCACCGCACCTGGCTATACTTAGTTTTTAATTTAACTGGTATTGTCTGTTGGTCTCATAGCCTAAGTATTGCAATACATTAAACAATAGACAGTTAATACTATATTTAAGTATATTTTATATTATATGTAAATATAGCTTATACTATTCTTAAAATACAGTACAAGAAGTTTATACATTTGATTTGAAGACAAAATATGTCCACTTTTGTTTATAACAGACATTTAATTACTTCCTATTGTGGGTTAAGTATGATGTAGACACAATCTTGTATCAAATAGTTCCAACATCATGCTCCTAACACTATCCAATGGGAGGATCAGACATGTAAAACATCCTAATTTTTTAAAAGTCTTATAAAAAGTACTATGTCAGATAGAGAAGGTTTGACTCTGTATGGGAGGACAGAAGGGGCCAGCGAAAGCTTTACTTTTCTTGACAGTTAAGTCAGGTGTTAAATAACATAGAAGTTCATCATTCGGCAGGGGAGTGTTGGAGAGAGGGGATTCCAGGCAGAGGGCTTGGAGAATGCAGAGAGCCAGAGTGTCTGGGAACTCCACCATGGGTGCCTTGAACATAGGGTTTGTAAGGGGCAGTAGTCAAAGGAAGGCTGGAAAGATGGGAGCCTGTTCCGAAAGGCCATTTGAAGGAACCTGGAATTCATCTTGAAGGTAACAGGAGGCCTCTGAAGGAAGCTAAATATCAGATAGTATTTTAAGGCTCTAACCCATGTAAGAGTAAGGAGGATGAACTGCAAACTTGTCCACATCTATATTCATCCTTGTCAATTTCCCTCCTGAATCAAAGGAAGAGGGTTGCTATGGTTTGAATATTTGTTCCCTTCAAGACTCATGTTGAAACATAATCCCTAATGTAGCAGTATTAAGAGGTAGGGCCTTTAAGAAGTGATCGATTCATGAGGACTCTGCCTTCATGAATGGATTAACCCATTCATAGATTAACAATTTAAGGAATTAATGAGTTATCATAGGAGCGGGACTGGTGGCTTTATAAGGAAAGGAAGAGAGAACTGAGCTAGCACTCTTGCACACTGAGCCCGCTCACCCTGTGATGCCCTGTACCACCTAGGGACTCTTCAGAGAGTCCCCACCAGCAAGAAGACCCTCATCAGATGTGACCCCTCTACCTTGGACTTCTCAGCCTTCATAACTGTAAGAAATAAATTCCTTTTCTTTATAAATTACCCCATTTCAGGTATTCCATTATCAGCAACAGAAAACAGATGAAGATAAGGGGTCTCTCCTACCCAAAGCTAATTTCACACCTGTGTGCATGATCCTATTTTTCCAGTCTCTTGTATTCTTTGTTGCAGCAATTAATCTCCTCTCTCTGTCATGTATCTTCAACTTATCTTCATTACTAGTTCTCTTACCACAGGCTATAAATATGCTCAAATCTCTACAACTTAATGTAGGAAAGAACCCCACTATGATTCTCCAAGGAAACTTCTTGAAACAGTGACATATATTTATTATGTCAATTTTCTTACTGACCATTCAGCTCACTGCACATTGCCTGTTTCCCATGCCATTGAAATTACTATCATTGTATCGCCAATAATTTACTAGTTCCTAAGTCCATGGCTTGCTTTATTTATTTATTTTTTATTTTACTTATTTATTTTTTTTTTGAGACAGAGTCTTTCTCTGTTTCCCAGGCGGGAGTGCAGTGGCGTGATCTCGGCTCACCACAACCTCCACTTCCTGAGTTCAAGTGATTGTCCTGCCTCAGCCTCCCGAGTAGCTGGGGCTATAGGCGCACGCCATCATGCCCAGCTAATTTTTGTATTTTTTGTAGAGATGGGGTTTCACTGTGTTGGCCAGGCTGGTCTCGACCTCCTGGCCTTGTGATCTGCCCACCTCGGCCTCCCAAAGTGCTGGGATTACAGGCGTCAGCCACTGCGCCCAGCCCATGGCTTGCTTTTTAAGTCAAAACCTTACTTGACCTTTCTAGAACATCGAACATTGTTGACACTCCCTCTTTGAAAGTCTGCCATTCCGTGATTTCCATGACATCATTCTGTCCTAGTTTCTCTTATTTCTCCAATTGCCTCTTCTCAATCTCTTACATGGTTTCCTCTTGGACTTTTTCTCTCTTATTCTACTCCAGTGTTTCCTGCTCTAAATTATATTCCTCCCTAGAGAGTCACAGTGCTCCTTAGCATGTTAGAGGCTCCAATAAGTCCTTTTATACAATGGAGAACTTTGTTTAACTTGTTAACCCAGTCTTTCTCAACCCAGTGTTTCTTTATCACCATGGAATCTGTATCCCTTTGTGAAACACTAAATGTCAATGGCCAGTCTGAGGGAGAAGATGCAGGAAAAGAACGTGAAAGAAGAGAATAGTGTCACAATAGCCACAAAATGTGACAAATCATAAAATGCTACTTAATTTCATCAACATAGATTGAAGAGAAAAGTTCTATGGGTTGTCTAGAGTGTTGCCTAGGGCTTTAACAGGAAAACTTCCTAGAGGTGGTGAGACTTAAGAGGGGTCTTGAGGGTTGGAGAAAATTGTAATAGGGAGGAGACAGCACTCCCACCCATGCCTGTACCTCCTCTCTGAGTGAGGGCTGTACAAGGGATAAGAAAGGCTACATGAACATCTCCTTTGTCCTTGACATGCCTCTGAAGATGGTATTAAGGTTTAAAGGCAAGTGCTTGATTATGTAAGGTTGTTTTAGATCAGCATTCTCAGAACAAAATAGACTATGGAACACTTTTTAAAAGACTGTATTGCCAGACCTCCAAAGGAACTCCTAAGGTACAATGCTCACTAGTTTTAAGTAGGCACTCAAATTAATTTACCACTATAATTCATTATGATGCTTGTATTAGGGTTGTCCAGACAAGTAGAACCAACAAGACATGTGTGTATGTGTGTGCATGTATGTACATATATGTATATAAAGAGACTTGTTTTAAGGAATTGGTTCATGTGATTATGGAGGCAAGCAAGCTACAGACCCAGGAATTGCCAAGGCTGCAGTTCAAGTCCAAAGGCTATCTGCTGGCAGAATTCCCTCCTGCTTGAGAGAAGTCAGTCTTTTGTTCAATTTAGGCCTTCAATTGACCGGATGAGACCCACCAACATTACGGAGGGCAACATGCTTTACCGATTTAAATGTTAATCTCACGCCACACACAGTGGCTCACGTCTGTAATCCCAGCACTTTGGGAGGCCGAGGCGGGTGGATTACTTGAGGTCAGGAGTTCGAGAGCAGCTTGGCAAACATGGCAAAATCCCATCTCTACTAAAATGCAAAAATGAGCCAGGCGTGGTGGTGCATGCCTGTGGTTCCAGCTACTCGGGAGGCTGAGGCAGGAGAATCGCTTGAACCCAGGAGGCTGAGGTTGCAGTTTGCTGAGATTGCGCCATTGCACTCCAGCCCGGGTGATAGAGTGAGACACCATCTCAAAAATAATAATAATAATAAAATGTTAATCTCATCCAACAACACCCTCACAGAAACATCCAGAATGTTTGACCACATATCTGAGCATCATTGCCTAGCCAAGTTGACAGGTAAAATTAACTATCACAATGCTATTTTCAATTGTATATCAACATTTTAAAAAAGCAAATAATTTTAAAAAATTGCTCACCTTGTGTTATTAAATTTAGAATGCTTTATTAAGCTTATTTTGATTTTATAGTAATAGAGATTTTTAAAAATTACATTGTTACGGCTTTTATTATTATTATTATTATTATTATTTGAGAAGGAGTCTTGCTCAGTCACCCATGCTGGAGTGCAATGGCGCGATCTCTGCTCACTGCAACCTCTGCCTCCCGGGTTCAAGCTATTCTCCTGCCTCAGCCTCCTGAGTCGCTGGGATTACAGGCACCCGCCACCACACCCGGCTAAGTTTTGTATTTTTAGTAGAGACAGGGTTTCGCCATGTTGGCCAGGCTATTTTTTTATTTTTTTGAGACAAGGTCTTGCTCTGTCTCCCAGGCTGGAATGCAGTGGCGAGATCACAGCTCACTGCAGCCTTGACCTCTTGGGCTCGAGTGATCCTCCCACCTCATCCTCCTGAGGAGCTGGGACAACAGGAGCACATACCATGCCCAGCTAACTTGTTTATTTTTTGTAAAGATAGGATCTCACTGTGTTGCCCAGACTGGTCTCAAACTCCTCAAGTGATCCTCCCACCTCCATCTCTCAAATGCTGGGATTACAGGCATGAGCCATTGCACCTGGTAGTTGTGGCTTTTAAAATCTCCTTTTAAGTTACTATCTAGAAAAATATTTTAGGAATTGACTCTATCATTTTAAGCATCAAATATATTCATGTAATTTTTTGTTGCAGCATAATGTGAAAATTGTTTCTGCACAGTAATGTCTTTTGTGTCAGAATTGGCTACTTCAAAATCTTTTGTTCTTTAATCCCGGGCAGTTATCTCTTAATTAAAAAAATTAAAGTGGTATATTCATTATATCATAGTCTCCCCTTATCCACAGTTTTCCTTTTTGCAATTTTACCCGTGGCCAACCACAGTCGAAAAATACTAAATGAAAAGTTCAAGAAATAAACAATTCACCTGGGATGGGAATCATCCCTTTGTCTGGTGTATTCATGCTGTAGAAGCTACCCACCTGTTAGTCACTGATATTGCCTGTTCCTGTCATCCAATCAGTGACATCGTTGTGGCTGAATGATTCGGGATCACTTGAAGCAGATGATTCTCCTTCTGATGTATTGTCAGAAGGTCAATAGTAGCCTAATGCTACCTCACGATGCCTGTTACCCACCTCATTTTATCTCATCACGTCGGCATTTTATCTCTTACATTATTACAAGAAGGGTGAATACAGTAGAATAAGATATTTTGAGAGAGACGTCATTCACATAATTCTTATTCAGCATATTGTTATAATTGTTCTATTATTCTTGTTATTAATCTTGTACTGTGCCTAACTTATAAATTAAACTTTATCATAAGTATGTTTGTATAGGGAAAAACAGAGTGTATATAGGGTTTGGTACTATCCATGGCTTCAGACATCCACTGGGGGTCTTGGAACGTATCTCTCATGAATTAGGGGGGACTAGTGTGTTCCATTCCATCTTCTCCATAATTCACTTCACTTCCATTCATTCAGCAAATATTTACTGAGTACCATATGGCAAGCATTGTTCTTCGCCCTTGGGATTATTAACAAAAATTAGTAGCCAAAATAAAGGGCCCCACCTTCAGTACATAAACACATATATAATGCATTAGAAGATAATAATGCTATTTTCAATTGTATATCGTTTGAAAATATGAAAAAAGAAAAAGAAAAGCAGGATCAAAGGAATCAGGAATGTCGAAGGGGAAAGGTGAGCTGAAGGTGAGCTGAAATATTTAATAGAGAGATCAGAGGAGATTTTATTAAGGAGGTGTCCTTTGAGCAAAGACTTGAAGAAGTGAGGGAGTTAATAGACATCTAAAGGAAGAGTCTTTCAGATGGAGGAAACAGCCAGAGTCTGGCCTGATTGAGGATGAACAAGGAAGCCAGTGTCCCTGGAGCAGAGGGAGGGAAGAGTCAAGAAAAGGAGGTTCGAAAGCAATGGGCCACTTTGCATAGGACCTTCTATGCCAATGAAAGAACTTCCCCTTCTACTCTGGGGAAATGAAGAACCAGTCCAAGGTTTTGAGCAGAAGAGTGCCATGATCTGACTTAGCATTTTAAAGGGTCACTCTAGTGGATGTGTTGAGATTAGATTCCAGAAAGGCAGGACAGAAGCAGGACAGTCAGGAGGCTATTGTAGCAATCCAAGAAAGAGATGTTAGTGCTCAGACCACAGTAGTAGCTATGGGAGGAGTGAGAAGTGGTCAGATTCGGAATGCATTTTGAAGGTAAAGTCAGTAGGTTTTGCTAATGAATAGGAATGGGCTGTGATACGTGGGATCACTAAAGATAAATGCCAGATTTTTCTCAACCAGAGCAATGGAATAATTGAGTTGCCATCATCTGAGGTGGAGAAGGTGGAACAGGTTTAGAAAGAAAGATGATATTTGGATGTAGAGTTTGAAATGTCTCATAAACTTTCAGGTGATAGGCATTTGGATCTGAAGTTCAGCAAAGATGTCCAGAATGGAAATATGTATTTGGGAGTGTTTAGCATGTCAGAGTGTTTAATGCCAGGAATCTGGATCACATCATTAAAGAAGGAAATACAGATAGAGAAGTAGATTTGACCAAGGATGGGAGCCATGAGAAGAAAAACTAGGAAAGTGTGTTGTCCTGGACGTTAAGTGTAGAAAGCGTGTTAAGAAGAAGGGTGTGATGGATTGTGTCAATTGAGGTAGTTATGGAAGGCATCATCATAAATTATGTTTTACAGAGGACGAGACACAGCCAAAGAGGTTTTAACTATCCAAAACATATCATAGCAAGGACAAAAAAGGAGGAAGAATTTAAACCCAGGGCTTTTCCACTGTAATGAAATAGTCATTACCTTTAAAAAGGTAGGGGAGGCCAGGTGTGGTGGCTTACACCTATAATCCCAGCATTTTGGGAGGCTGAAGCAAGCAGATCACTTGAGCCCACAAGTTTGAGACCAGCTTGGGCAACACGGTGAAACCCCATTTCTACAAAAAATAGAAAAATTAGCCAGACATGTTGGCTAACAGCTGTGGTCCAGCTACTCGGAAGGCTGAGGTGGGGGATCACCTGAGCCCGGGGAGGTTGAGGCTGCAGTGACCCATGATTGCGCGCCTGCACTCCAGCCTGGGCAACAGAGTGAAACCCTGTCTCAAAAAAAAGAAAAAAAAGAAAAAAAGAAAAAAAAAGAAGATGGGGGAAAAGTATAACCCTAACAATTCATTTTTCATAGAACATCCTCATACGCGATTATTGTAGAATCATTTGTGAAATGTTCTATCTGCGTCACCACATTGGATAAAAAGCAATGTGAAGTGAGGGGAGAGGGATGAGAAGCAAGTATTTATAGAGAATCTACTGTGTGCCAAGAGGTAGGCTAAGCAATTATGTACATGATTTTATTTCATCTTTACAACCAGCTAGGGAAGGCATTACTAGCTTCATTTTACTTAAACTGAGGCTGTAGCTTATCCAAGGTGACGTGGCTAGTAATTCACAGCACTGGGTTTCAAATACTGGGTTATGACTTCCTAAAGACAGAATGATTCTGTTTCCATCTATAATGAAGACTAAGACTTAAGTTGCATTTCTCTAATAGACTACTCTTTTCTTACCTTGCTAGACTCTAATGTTGTCTTTTATTTAATTTTAGATGATACTTACTCAAAAAGCCAAGCTGCTGAAAATAATAGTGGTAGAATACAATTTAGTTCTTTATCCCAATGGGGGTAAAGTCAGTTCTGATACCACCTTATTAAGACTAAGTGCTAAGATTATGTGCTAAGGCTGACTCTAAATAATTTCAAAACTTTTGGTAGATTCTGTCATAAATCCAGTTCTCTTCATGCTATGACAAACATCAAACAGCCATTTCACTTGAGTTATATTACGACAATTAGACTTTTGCCTACCATATCTGGACACAAATACCTTTGTTCTTCTTTCCAATACTCAATTTGAAAGAGTTTCAAAAATTTGACCTTGGCTGCGCATGGTGGCTCATGCTTATAATCCCAGCACTTTGGGAGGCCGAGGTAGGTAGGTCCCTTGAGCCCAGAGTTTCGAGACCAGCCTGGGCAACGTAAAGAGACCCTGTCTCTACAAAAAACACAAAAATTAGCCAGGCATGGTGGTATGTGCCCACAGTCCCAGCTACTCAGGATTGCTGAGGTGCAGTGATCGCTGGAGCCCCGGGAGATCAAGGCTGCAGTGAACTATGATCACGCCACTGCACTCCAGCCTGGGTGGCAGAGCAAGACCCTGTGTCAAAATTTAAAAAAAAAAAAATTGACCTTTATCCAATAGCACAAAAACTCATTTCCTGACCATTCTAGGAAGCAGCTCCAAAGGTCCCACTGATTTTAATGTGTGCAGATATTCACTAAATTATTTATTTTATTGGTCTAGTTCACTGATCCTAAAAAAGTGCGTGTTGGTGTTAGCTCACAGTTGGATGTGTAGGACTAGTTTTGAACTAAAAAAGTCAGAGAACTGTTTTTACCAAAAGAAAAGGGAAATTGTGGTTCCTGGATTTACAGGACCCAAGAAATCAGGGTAGCTAATTCTTAGGAATCTTGCCTGACAATTGTGAATATGACAGTTAAGCAATGCCAAACCATTGTTTCCATGTTCTGCACTTCAAAATAAATGGTTCTTGTTTTTTGGCTTCCTGAGGACTAATCAAAGGAAGCATGAAGCAACAATGGCTGGGAAGTTTCCCTTGGTTTTCAAATTTCTTCTGTAAGCACTTGTGGTAATAGAATTTAATTAATAACACTTGTATGTAATGTAAGGGCCAAGATTTTATGAGTCATCTTCCAGCAGGAAAGTTGAAAAATAAAATTCACACAGCTCTCATATTTTAAGAAATGAAGTTTGATAGAAAGTGTGCATGCTAAATCATTGGCCATATAAAATCTCTAGTATTTTAAAGGCTGAATATCAGATCATGGTCCGTGGAGACCATTTCTTTCTCCCAGCTTTGTGGGTGGTAAAATCGAGAAAGCTTAGTAAACTCATTAATAAGTAGAAGCCCAAAATTATGTGGAGTGGGATATTAGTTCCCTGTGTAAGAAAAATAATACAAAAAAATGCTTATTCTTGCAAATTTTACAAAATGTGCATGCATTGCTAAGCCTTCCCCACCCACCCTCACTTGGGCCTTGGTAAGTACTCTTGTAAGGGTTGGTCCCAAAACTTAAGCCTTATTAAACTCATGGTCAACCTGTATCCCTTTATGTGCCTATTTATTATATACAACCTATTTTAGAAAAAGATTATCTTTTTCTTTATTTTTTTTTTCTTTGAGACAGAGTCTTGCTCTGTCACCCAGGCTGGAGTGCAGTGGCACAATCTCAGCCCACTGCAACCTCCACCTCCCAGGTTCAAGTGAGTCTCCTGCCTCAGCCTCCTGAGTTGCTAGGACTACAGGCGTGCACCACCACACCTGGCTAATTTTTTGTATTTTTTTAGTAGAGATGGGGTTTCACCATGTTGGCCAGGCTGGTCTCGAACTCCTGACCTCAAGCAATCTGCTGGCCTTGGCCTCTCAAAGTGCTGGGATTACAGGCATGAGCCACTGCGCCCAGCAGAAAAGGATTCTCTTTGTTTGAGAAATGCTAAGATAACCTCATTTGCAGATTATACATTTAACAGATTGGTGATATTAGAGAATCCTTTTGATCTCTTTTTATGCTAATCTCTGCCAAACACATTAAACTGTTAGTGATTGTGGAAATTCACTCAGTAAAGCAGAGAAGTAAAACTACAAAGATATAAAGGAAGTTTGAAACAATACCAAACATCTACGTAGCGTGGGAGGTGGAGAGAGTTTAGTAGATGGTAGTGATGTATCTTGTCACATACATTGTTTAAGCAGCTATTTTTCTTTTTCTTTCTTTCTTTTTTTTTTTGTTGAGGTGGGGTCTTGCTGTGTTGCCCAAGCTTGTCTCAAACTCCTGGGCTCAAGCAATACTCCCAAATCAGCCTCCCAAGTAACTGGGATTACAGGTGCATGCCACCACATCCAGGTGGTTTAGTAAGTAACAAATACCTGTGGAATAATTATTTCTCTATCCCTGACCCAAACAGCCCCTGAGAAATCTGGGTGTGTATCAGCTGTTAGGGTGTTTTGTGCAGAGATGCACAGATTCTCACAGAATTTCAGAACCAGAGTTCAAATCCAGGTTCAGAGACTCAGTTTTAACCACTTGCCCAGAGCTGATCAAACTCTGGAGAAATGATTTACAATACCTAATCTTAAAAATGATTTATTTGACAAGTAAATGAGTAAGTATATTTCTAGTGAGAAATAGAACTGCCAAATGCTGGCAGTGGTTCTGTACTTTTAATCTTTAAAAGCTGTATCTAGGTCTAGGAGTTAGGTAACTACAATTTCAGATTAAAGAGCAATGAATAATCCTAATTTATATAGCTCTCAAAGTCTGATGCACCATCTCTGCTGTAGAGGTGCGCCTATACACAACGCAGACCATGTCTCATTAGTAAGGAGGGCACCCAGGCTTGTTGTTCTTTCTCTCTTTGCCATTACGCCAAGTGTCTGTTTTGATGTCTGACATCTTTCATATTCTTCTACTATCCACTAATGAAGTGTTAGGGCCATCGTTTTGTTTTCTGGTAACTTACTCTTAAGGAGAAGCAATTAGAACACAGAATGGCCAATAACCATGGCTTCCACTGAGTATGTGGCTCTTATTAGCATCCATTTTGGAAGGGGTATTTCCTTATTTTGTCTTGATAGTCTACTAGATTTGAATTGACTGTTGCCGTCTATCTAAAATCTATAGTTAATGTCACAGGTAAATGAATTGTGTTTGGCTGAGATTGTCACTTGGGGAAAATCAAAGACTACAGAATCCTAAAATGGCTTCTTCATGTCTGATGAGGAGTGCCTGGTGAGACATTCAGCCACTGATGGTTTTCCTGTACCACTGGCTACCATTACACAATTGAACATGTGCAGGACAATTTTTTTTGAAATTTTTGGGAATTTATTTTACTTCGAGAAGTTAATTTAATTACTTCATCTCTTTCTAATATCACTGAAAAATTTTAATCTAGTTGTTTGTGCAATGGAATGCCCTGGAAGTTTTCCTGAACTTAGTAATGCATGTAACTTATATGAAAATAACTTTATCCTCAATTCTGAATCATCAGTAGTCCCTCTTATACTTAAGTTGTCGAAGAACCAGAAAAGGGAGAGGGCATAAAACTTTTGTGCATAAATATACACGGTTTATTCAAATTAGTTCATTCACCATAAACGTTTACTCATTAACACTGTCTCTGTTAAGATGGAAATTTGTAGTATACTCTCTGAATAATATCTTTACAACCCTAAAGGTTGAAAATGGCTATGAAGCCATTACAGTGTGTCTGGCGGTCTTATGTCTGGAGCTACTTTCTCATAATGCCTTGTACTGATTTGAGGGCAGGGAGAGAGGAAAGGGGACTGTGGAGCAGACTAAGCAGATGGACATCTTGGCTTCCCTGCTTTCTAAAACACTGTGACCTCCAGCAACTTATTTAACTACTCTCAATTGTCATATCTCTTGATATGGTTTGGCTGTGTCCCCACCCAAATCTCATCTTGAATTGTAGCTCCTGTAATTCCCACATGCTGTGGGAGGGACCTGGTGGGAGATAAGTGAATCATGAGGGCAGTTTCCCCCATACTGTTTTCATTGTAGTGAATAAGTCTCACGCGATCTGATGGTTTTATAAGGGGTTTCCCCTTTTGCTTGGCTCTCATTCTCTCTTGACTGCCGCCATGTAAGATGTGCCTTTTGCCTTCCACCATAATTGTGAGGCCTCCCCAGCCACATGGAACTGTGAGTCCATTAAACCTCTTTCCTTTATAAGTTACGCAGTCTTGGCCAGGTGCAGTGGCTCACGCCTATAATCCAAGCACTTTGGGAGGCCTAGGTAGGTGGATCACCTGAAGTCAGGAGTTCGAGACCAGCCTGGCCAACATCATGAAACCCCATCTCTACTAAAAAATACAAACATTAGCCAGGTGTGGTGGCACGTGCCTGTGATCCCAGCTACTCAGGAGGCTGGGGCATGAGAATCACTTGAACCTGGGAGGTGGAGGTTGCAGTGAGCTGAGATCGTGCTACTACACTCTACCCTCGGTGACAGAGCGAGACTCTGCCTCAAAAAATAAAATAAAATAAAAAATAAAAAATAAATAAATTGCCCAGTCTCAGCAGTGTGAGAACAGACTAATATATCTGTCAAATGAGGATTTTAGTGCAGTGGAGTCATTTCTTACTTAGAAGTTAGGTTCTTAAGGGGAGAATTTATTCATAGTGAAAATTATCCTTAAATTCCTAAGATGATCATAAACTGACCAGGACATCAGCCACCAGTAACTCTAAAGTCAAGTGTGTCTTTTCTTTCTCCTTGCATTTTGGTGTGGCTTCCCTTTCTCTGAAAATAGGATACCAATGTCTCATTAAGAGGAAGGGCCAGATTGTCTAGTTCGAGAGACTGTAAAGACATGTGTCTGCCTCTTTTTCTTTCTCCCCTACTCTCTAAATCTAGTATGGTTAGACGATAATGAGATAGATGACCATAATATCTAGCTCCAAATTAGTTCCTACCTCATTGGGTTACTTTCTATTAATATACATATTTATCCATAATAAATACTGGGTGGCATTATTTTATTTGTCAATGCCAACCCTGTGCAACTTTTTATATTTGTTAGTATATGTGCTAATCTGTTCTCCCACTGCTATAAATAAATAAATACCTGAAACTGTGTAATTTATAAAGACAAGAGGTTGAACTGGCTCACGGTTCTGCAGGCTGTACAGGAAGCATAGTGGCTTCTGCTTCTGGGGAGGCCTCAGGAAGCTTCCAATCATGGAGGAAGGCGAAGGGGGCACAGGCGTCTCACATGGTGTGACAGGCATCTCACATGGTGTGAGCTAGAGCAAGAGAGAAAGTGGGGAGGTGCTACACACTTTTTGGCCAGGCGCGGTGGCTTACACCTGTAATCCTAGCACTTTGAGAAACTGAGGTGGGCAGATCACTTGAGACCAGCAGTTTGAGACCACCCTGGCCAACATGGTGAAACCCCATCTCCACTATTAGTACAAAAATTCACAGGACATGGTGGCTCATGCTTGTAGTCCCAGCTACTCGGGAGGCCGAAGCACGAAAACCAGTTGAGCCCGGGAAGCAGAGGTTGCAGTGAGCCAAGATGGCGCCATTGCACTCTAGCCTTGGTGACAGAGGGAAACTCTGTCTCAGAAAAAGAAAGAGAGAGAGGAGAGAGAGAGAAAGAGAGAGAGAGAGGAAGGAGGGGAAGGAAGGAAGGAAGGAGGGAAGGAAGGAAGGAAGGAAGGAAAGAAGGAAGGAAGGAGGGAGGGAGGGAGGGAAGGAGGGAAAGAAGGGAGGAAGGGAGGAAGGGCTACACACTTTTAAACAACCAGATCTCAGGAGAGCTCGCTCACTATCATGACAACAGTTCCAAGGGGATTGTGTTAAGCCATTCATGAGAAACTGCTCCCATGATCCCATCACCCCCCACCAGCCCGACTTCCAGCATTAGGAATTACAACTGAACATGAGATTTGGGTGGGACACAGATCTAAACCATATCAGTATAATAATTGTCTTTCAGTAACTATCAAAACCACATGGCCATAAATTTTTATTTTTATGAAACTTATGATATAACTGATATCCATACTTTTTATAATTTGCTTTTATACATGATAATGTGATACTATACATTTAAAACAAACAAAAAACTTCAGGCCGGGTGCAGTGGCTCACGTCTGTAATCCTACCACTTTGAGAGGCCAAGGTGGGCAGATCACTTGAGGTCAGGAGTTTGAGACCAGCCTGGCCAACATGGTGAAACCCCGTCTCTACTAAAAATACAAAAATTAGCCAGGTGTGGTGGCACATGCCTGTAGTCCCAGCTACTTGGGAGGCTGAGGCAGGAGAATCACTTGAACCCAGGAGGTAGAGGTTGCAGTAAGCCAAGATCACGCCACTGCACTCCAGCCTGGGTGACACAGAGAGACTCGTCTCAAAAAAAAAAAAAAAAAGAAAAAGAAAAAAAAAAAACAACTTATGTAACACTTCTCCAGTTTTTCCTAGTCATGTTTTCAATTAAAAGTGTTAATTTAAATAACACCTTTATAGTAATTTTAAAATTGTCATAATATAAAGTATATATTCTTAGTCAAACCAGACTATCTTAGATGAGTAATAGAGAATACAAAAACTTTTGTTTTTAAAGTTGGGAGGAAAAGAAACACAAAAGGTTTCATTTGACTGGGAATTATTTGACTTGGAGTTGTTAGCAGTTATGAAAATAATCATCTCTTCACCTTATTTTATGAACTTCTGCCAGTGCTTTTGGAACATGTTCATAACTGTTAAAGATGTTCTGAGGCTAACTTTAAGACAATTGTTGACCTCAACCAGCAGGCCTACATGACCATTTTCTTTTGTTTATTTTCCTATTTAATTTGTTCTGGAAAAGTGAAGAAAAAATAAAAATCACTTCAAGAATGCAGCCAACAGGGGCTATACCTAACATCTGCTAGTGATATGCTGATATAAAATCCAACATTTTGTTTTTATAAAAAGAGTTATTAGGTACAAGTTTTGTAAAAAGGAACTCTAAGACTAGAAAGGCTAAAACAAGGTAGAAATCTTATAAATTTTTTTAATTTAAAGATTCAGAGCTTTCTGTTCAAATAAGTTCCACATAAGTGACCATACATTTTAAATATTTTTACTTAATTTGTTGGTAAACCCTGAAGTAAATAGAATTAGAGGAAGAAAGGTAGCTAGAAGGAGAAGATACTTAAAATCACAAAAATAGGTACAATGTATGTTTGGATGACGGCTACACTAAAAGCCCAGACTTCACCACTACACAATATACCCATGTAACAAAATTGCACTTGTGCCCCTTAAATTTATACACACAAAAAGAAAAAAAAAAGGAAATAAATATTCAGCTACTAAGAAATACTACCGATAATTAATTTATTAAAGCTAATTCCCTTTATAATTTTTTGCCTACATAATTTTGCCAATTCAACTAATCCTCTTTTTTAACATCTGTGATACATCGTTTTTCTGTTCAAATATTAATATACACATAAAAAATGTACAAGGGAATTAACAAAATTCCTGAAGCTAACAGCTGTTATTTTTCACAGAAATTTTATAGTAATTTTTGACAATTTAAGAAATGTTTCTTAAAGGAAATTTTAACAAGTAGAAAACTGTAATTGAGAAAGAGAAAATGATTTTCTTTCTCAATGATTCCTGAAACCCAGTTCCTAAATCTTATAATCTCAGAGTGTACTAAAGTTTGCCTGAAATGAAGGAAGGCCAGAACCTACTGAAGAAAATAAACATTCTCAGTAGGCAGTGTGATGTTTGAAAAGTTCAAAGGTATGATGATACAGAGGGAACAAAGATTATCTTTCCCTATTTTGCCCCGAGGTTTTCCTCGACTGGTTTTCAGGGAATTTGAGTCTTCATTGTTTTCTCTAAAAAGTGTAATAAAATATTTCAGAAATCACAAGAATTGTCAGTCATAAGTAGAGTTTCTCCGAGGGCATTAATTCACACAGTGTTAAAGGAGACAAACAGACTTTTTCAAAGTATACTTTGAAAGTTTCACAGAACAATGGTTTGGCATTGGAATCACTGGCAAAAATGTTCAGAGATTTTGTCATCAAAAATAGGAGTAGGCCAGGCGCGGTGGCACTTTGGCAGGCCGAGGCAGGTGGATCACTTGAGGTCAGGAGTTTGAGAACAGCCATGGTGAAACCCTGTCTCTACTAAAAATACAAAAATTAGCCGGGTGTGGTGACGCATGCCTGTAATCCCAGCTACTCAGGAGGCTGAGGCATGAGAATCATTTGAACTCAGGAGGTGGAGGTTGCAGTGAGCCGAGATTGCACCATTGCACTCCAGCCTGGGCAATAGAGCGAGACTCAGTCTCAAAAATTTAAAAAATAAAAAATAAATAAAAGTAGGAGTAAAGCAACAAGGTAGGTCCCGTCTTCCCTACCTCACTGAAGAGGATTCTGGCTTGGTCTCCTGTCTCATTCCTTCCTCTGCTCTCTGAAGATTCAGACTCTATCTTTGGAGTCTATAACATGTGGGAAGCAGAAGAGAAGCTAGGAAATAAAGGAATGCAGGAGAAGAAAGGGATATGGGGGAAGAGAAAAGAAAGAACAGCTGCTATGTGATCAAAGTGTGTGGAAAAGGATATTTAAAAAGATTGCATGGACCCCTTTCATGGTTCTTGAAATATACAAGCAAAAGAGTTCTTTTGAAATGACTCCCTGGTGGACTTGACACCTCTCTAAGATTGAGCCACATGGGTCACTGCTTTCTACAGACATATTTACAGCTGTCAATAGAAAGGATCAGTTCAGTCCTGTACTCTTCACATAGACACCACGTTTGCCAGTTTCCCTATTGAATATGTTTGCCATTTAGAGCTATTGAACCTGCATATCACTGGTTTTCCTGTTATACTAGAAATCTAGTAATTTGTGTCCCACAGACTTTTGCAAATTAAAAAAATATATATTTTGAGTCACTGTGTTGCCCAGTCTGGAGTGCAGTGGTGCGATCATAGCTCACTGCAGCTTCAAACGCCTGTGCTCAAGTGATCCTCCTGCCTCAGCCTCCCAAGTAGCTGGGACTACAGGCAGGTGCTACCACACCCAGATAATTTTTAAAAATTTTTTGTAGAGATGGGGGATGTTACTATGTTGCCCAGGCTGGTCTTAAACTCCTGGCCTCAAGTGATCCTCCTTCCTTGGCCTCTCAAAGTAGTTCTGCAAATTTTAACTTCACAATTAGATTTGCTGTCCAGGCTTTTAAGGGAAAAAAGAAATTCTCCAGAATAGCGTGTGCTCCTTAAGAGTGATAAAATCTAGCACAATGGAAGACTAATTTACATGTTGATATATAGAGATGAATAAATCAAAGAAGAGTTGTCATGTCATATGAAAGATTTCTCTCTCCTTTCCAGGAGTATAATCAATTCTCTTTCATAGTTACACAATTCTGATTTTATACAAACTTTTCAAAATCCTAGAATTCATGGTTCTTTGCCATTCTTTATAGTCTATTGGTTTATTCCTGTTCCTGGTTGTTCAAACTGGTCTAAGTCTAGAGCAATGGTTCTCAACCAGGAGTGATTTCTTTACACCCATCTCTCAGGGGACATTTACTATTTAGGGACATTTTTAGTTGTCATCACTTGGGGGCATGGTGATACCGGCATCTAGTGGGTAGAAGCCAGGGATACTGCAAAACATCCTACAGTGCACAGGACAGCCCCCTACAACAAAGAATGATTGAGTGCCAGATATCACTAGTGTCAAGATGAAGAAACCCTCACCTAGACCTCCCCTCTGGGGTTACGTTGGTGTCCTACTTTCCTAGATCAGCCTCTTAGCTTCCACCTTCCTTTTGTGCTTCAGAGCCAGTCTTTTGCCTTCATTCTAACCACCAATTTCTCAAACTCTCCTGTCTTCATTAGACCAATGAAACTTTCCACCTGGAATCTTTGTTAATCTGCAATCCTTGCTAGTGTTCAGCTTGCGGGGATCACGGTGTGGGCCTAGTATAGCACAGTAATTAACTATGTGGGCTTCAGGTACTGACTGAGTCCAAAGCCAAATGCCACCGCTTACTTCTTCTATGATCATGGCCATGTTTCTTACTCTCTTTGTGCCTCAGTTTTCCCACCCTCAAAAATGTGAGTACAAATGGTACCCTGCCACAGAGAATTGTAAGAGTCAAATGAGTTAATACTTGTAAAGCGCCAAGTGCTTAATAAATGTTAGCTATTATTATCCTTTCTCAAGGGTCCATCAAGGTCCTTGTCCTCTAAGTTACTTCCTTCTCTGTACTCTAAGTCTGGAAAGCAGGTGTAATTTACTCATGATGGTTTCTCTTAAATGTTTGCCTAAATTGTGAATGTTTTCCATTAATCTAATGGCTAGGACTTTTGATGTGGAAAGGCAGAACATACCCTATTTTTCTCTCTCAGGTTTGGCTGTCCATATCTCTTCCCTGAGCACTTTGTGGCATAAAGGTGAGAGATGGGAAAGAGATGGAAGGAAAAATACTTCAGAACATTTTCATGGATGACTCACAATTCTTAGTCTGCAGATGGAAGCTGATGAATGAAGGGATGAGAGGATGGGTGCATCATGGGCAGCACCTAAGTTTCTGGTGTGAGTGGCCACATGGAATGTGATGCTTTACATAGAGATGGGATTTGTAAAAATAAGACAAAGTTTGGGGGCAAGCTGATCAGTTTTGCCTATGAGTTTGTGGTAATTGTGGGAAATGGAAATACAGATGTCCAGCAGAAAGCTGGGCTTACAAATTTAATTTCAAGAGACAGATTGGAGCTGGAGATGTGGAGTTATGACTTTTTAGCAAATAAATGCTAGTTGGGTCAATGAGAGTACAAAATACTCCATAAAAAGGAGGTAGTTTAGTCAGAAAAGCAGTTTCTGGATGGATGGATGGATGGATGGATGACGATCGATGGATGGATGGATGGATGGGCAGAACAAGGAGGAGGAAGAAGAACTCACAAAGCAGACAGAATGAAGCACCAGGATCAGAACAGAAGGATGAAGACTAGGAGAGAATCAAGTTACAGAATACAAGGGAGTCAACAGAGTCACATGTCATAGAGAGGTCAGGTAAGATACAGACTGAAAAGTGTCCGTTAGATATGCCAACAGATAGGTCATTTTCGTCTTGGTGAAAACAGGGTCAGTAGACCACAGGAAGACAGAGAACAGATGGTAGCATGAGTGGAGAAATAGCATTTCAAGTAAACTATAGAAATATATAGTCGAGAAATAACCTTCTTTAGATTTTCATGATAGGCTTAATTCATTCTTACATCATGTATAATTTTTTGGGTGAATAACGAAGGACAGCAGTTGGATTGTTTTGCCTAAATTGTCTACTTGAGATGACCAATGTATTTGTTCTCACTCTGCTAATAAAGACATACCCGAGACTGGGTACTTCATAAAGGAAAGAGGTTTAATTGACTCACAGTTCAGCATGGCTGGGGAGGCCTCAGGAAACTTACAATCGTGGCAGAAGGGGAAGCAAATACATCCTTTTTCACATGGCAGCAGCAAGGAGAAGTGCAGAGTGAAGGTGGGGAAAAGCCCCTTATAAAACCATCAGATCTCGTGAGAACTCACTCACTGTCACGAGAACAGCATGGTTCAATTACCTCCCACCAGGTTCCTCCCACAACACATGGGGATTATGGAAACTACAGTTCAAGATGAGATTTGAGTGGGGACACAGCCAAACCATATCAACCAACAATAATGCTTTGCATTATTCTGAGTTTGAAACAATTAATACCAATCCAATATTGTATACTTACAATACTTTCCCCAAAGAATTGCTTGCCTGGCCGGGCACAGTGGCTCACGCCTGTAATCCCAGCACTTTGGGAGGCTGAGGTGGGTGGATCAGGAGGTCAGGAGATCCAGACCATCCTGGCCAACATGGTGAAACCCTGTCTGTACTAAAAATACAAAAAATTAGCCGGGCGTCGTGGCGGGCGCCTGTAGTCCCAGCTACTCCCAAGGCTGAGGCAGGAGAATGGCGTGAACCCGGGAGGCGGAGCTGGTAGTGAGCTGAGATTGTGCCACTGCACTCCAGCCTGGGTGACAGAGCGAGACTCCGTCTCAAAAAAAAGAAAAAAAGAATTGCTTGCCTTCAGGAACTCTTCCTTAGTATCAGTTTGATCCGACCTCATTTACTGGACTTTTCTCATTAGTATACAATAAGGAATGGGCTCATTTATTCAACAAACATTTATTGTGTCTTGCTTTATGCCAGGCACTGTTCTGAGTGTTTGCGTTAATTTCAGAGACTATAACAGGCGACAGACTTGCACTTGTAGCATTTATATTTTAGATATGTATACTTATAGGAAAGTATTTAAATTATTTTTAAACGTGGTCATTACACTGGAGTATAGAATGACATCCATAAAGAAAGTGATGTAGATCAAAGACGGAATTAGAAAGTTATATTGATACTTTCTGATACTTTCTTCTTTAGTACTAATAATGCCTACCACACCAGGTTATTTTGAATATTGAATTTTACAGCATAAAAGCAAGTATGTGAAGGTGAAATGGGAGAGTTCCCTGATCCCCCTCGCAGGACGTGCGACAGGGGTGTGGCTCACCTGTTCTGTAGCCACCGCTGCTTGAATCCCTGAGGGGAGGGGCAGCATGCAGACAGACAGCTGCAGGAGCCCATGTGGGTGTGTGTTACAATGTGCCCTTTTAGCCTTGCCATCCACAGATGGCCTGAGTGTTAACCAGCTAAACGGACCCTCTGCCTTTTCGCATGGGCCGAGGGCCAGTGTGACAGCTTTCTGTATCCTGAGCTCTTGCCCAGCATCCCAGAAAAATCGGGTCACACACGGGGTTGAAGGATGAATGCAGGGTTTTATTGAGTGGTGGAGGTAGCTTTCAGCAGGATGGATGGGGAGCTGGAAGAAGGGATGGAGTGGGAAGATGGTCTTTTCCTGGAGTTTGGCCATCCAGAGGCCGAATACTTCTCTGACCACCCCCAGTCGAACTCCTCTCGGTGTTCAGACGTCTCTCCTCATCTATCTTTCTTTGCCCTGTTGTTCCGCCATTTGTCTGCTTGTCTCCTCATCTCCTCGCCTGCTCATCTGCTTCTAGAACCTGGGATTTGGGGTTTATATAGGTACAGGACAGGGGCATGGTGGGACAAAAGGCAACTTTTGGGGCATGAAAACAGGAATGCCTGTCCCCTTTGAGGGTCACGGGTCTCCAGGCCTGAGGGTGGGGCCTTTGCCAGGGAACTGCCTTCTTCTACCCAGTACTTCCTGTCTCCTATCTGTATCAAAGGTGCCTTTTTAAATGAAAATTTCTGTGTTAGTTTAAGGGAGTGATAATAAGCAACAGCAGCGTCATGTAACTATTAGATCACAGTAGTGGTAGCCACCACAGTCAGTTACTTCAGTCTATAGACCGGCTCTCAAAAATCATTGAAATGTTTTGGGGAAAAAAATAAAGATGTTCTGCTTGAATTTTTCATCATAATTTCATATACAGCTTATATACATTTATTATATATATATACAAATTTCATCAAAAGTATGTAAAATGACTCATTTCTATATGACATGGGTATTGTCAAGGATAAATTCATAAAGCTATTTATACTTTTAAATAAGCCTAAAGAGAATTAGCTTTTATTTGTGGGGCAATACCGTGTGACACTAGATTGCATATTAAGCTGAATTAAGGATGTAAGTTATTTTTCAATGATCGGGCTGGCAGGAGTGTGTTGTCTGGGGTGGGGTCCAAATAGATGCATGGATTCTACTTTGGAAAATGCTTAAAGGCCAAAGCTACAATCTAGAAAATAAACATGTATAGTTTCATTTGCTTTTTCCTATTTTGATCCTTTAAAACTATGTGTTATGAATTGGGTAAACTTGTCACCAAACTTTAGGACAGTTTTCTTGACTATTGCATCCCATTCAGACATTTGAAAATGAACTTTTGTATAATTTTAATTATCCTATCTGTTTTAATCTTTCAGATCATAAGGCCTATGGGTTTTCTGCCCCAAAAGACCAACAAGTAGTCACAGCAGTAGAGTACCAAGGTACAGTATCTTACTGATTTTCACAGGCTGTATTGTTTAAATAACTCACGAGAGTGACTCGTGTGATGTTATTTTCTATTTGTTGGGATTCTCTGCCTTACCTTCTACTAATTCCTCTGCCTGAAATGCTGCTTCATGCTGACTCCACCTCAAGAACATTTACTCCACCTCCTCAGTGGAAATTTTCGATATTCAATAAAAGACCGGATGTGCAAAGAAGGTCTCCTATAACTTAAATTATCTGCACAAAGCAAATCTAATTTGTGAAACTGGGAGATGGAGAGCTTGGAAAGTTTCTAGCCAGCTAGATATGATACATAGAAATGAACACTTCAAACTCCACTCTGTGTATTTAAGGTGATGTTAATATAGCTTACTTTGGGGTACCATGTTCTTATCTATTTTAGCTTCTTAAAAATGTTTATAAGGAGGAGTTAATTTAAGAGCATAAAGTTTCTGTTTTGCAAGATAAAATAGTTCTGGAGATTGTTATATGCACAACAATATACTTAATACTACTGAACTATACAGTTAAAAATGGTCAAGATGGTGAATTTTACGTTTATTTTGCCACAGTTAAAAAATTGTCAAAAGAAACTAGTAACCTATATATGGGCTTTTTAATAAGCTTTCATTGTTGTTGTTGTTGTTTTGTTTTGCTTTATTTTGTTTGAGATAGGATCTCCATCTGTCACCCACACTGGAGTGCAGTGTGGCATGATCTCGGCTCACCGCAACCTCTACCTCCGGGGTCAAGTGATCCTCCCACCTCAGCCACCCAAGATTACAGGCACAGGCCACCATGTCTGGCTAATTTTTTGTATTTTTTTGTAGAAACAGGGTTTCACCACATTGCCCAAGCTGGTCTTGTACTCCTGGGCTCAAGCAGTCTGCCCACCTTGGCCTCCCAAACTGCTGGGATTACAAGCATGAACAACCACACCTGCCCTATAAGTTTATTTCAAATATTGATCACCTACTACTTTTCCAAAGGATCCTTTATCTTTTATACAATTAATAATATTGGGCAATCAGAAGAATTACTATTTCTTAAATTTAATACTTGTTTAGGCCAGAGCTTATTAACATTTAAGAAACAGATCCTAAATGTCTGATCTCTCATCATCAGGTATGTCTTAGGTTCCTGGAGCTGGAGAAAGATAGGTTTGAAGGAAAGAGACAAAGATTGAAGTAAAGGCCTGGAGTGGGGGGAATTAAATGAGTTAATATTTACATAGTGCTTTCAATAGTGCCTAACACATAATATGAATTATGTGTGCTTGTTAAGTAAAAATATGCTGTAGTAAGAATCAGTCCTGGCTGGGAGTGGTGGCTCATGCCTGTAATCTCAAACTCCTGAGGCCAGGAGTTTGAGATAAGCCTGGAAAACATGAAGACCCTGTTTCTACAAAAAAACAAACAAATTAGACAGACATGTGGTGCACACCTGTTGTCCCAGCTACTCAGGAGGCTGAGGCAGGTGGATGGATCACTTGAGTGCAGGAGTTTGAGGCTGCAGTGAGCCATGACCATGCCAGTGCACTCCAGCCTGGACAACAAAGAGAGAGAATGTCTCAAAAAAAAAAAAAAAAAAAAAAAAGTTCATCATTTTAAAAAATGAGTAATTTAATAACAAATTACTTAAAAAATTATTAGGTTAACTAAGTTCTCTTAAGTTCTAACATTTTATATGCTTAAGCTATAGAACACTCTGGTATGAGTTAGTTTTAAACGGAGAGAGGTGGGAAGAGGAAATTAACGATTGAGGGAATTTGGGACTATGGAGCACCTCCAGGATGGATAAACAGGGCTGGGTGAGATGCCAGAATGGAAGCTGGAAAGGCCACAAGGGTGAGCACAGAGTGCGAGAGGGGTAAATGGACCAGGATGTCCCTGAGGGACCAAGGAAGTGAAGTTCAGTTCCACTTCTCACTTTCTTGGAGGTTCTTAATGCTGGGTCCAACTGGGTGCAGTGGATGTATATCCTCTCCCATCATATCTGAGTTAGGACATCAAAATTATATTCTTTAACCTTACATTATTTTTTAAAAAATGTATCAAGGTGAATTTCACATAACCTGAGATTTGTAGTTTTTAAGTGAACAATTCAGTGGCATTTGACACATTCACAGTTTTGTGCAACCACCACCTCTACCTAGTTCCAAAATGTTTTCATCACTCCAAAACAAAACCCTGTACCCATCTGCATTACTTTTTAATGCATGTTTTATTTTTAATATAGAAAATCCTTCCATAATGTATTGCAAGCAAATGTTAATCTCACTCCAAAATAAGTGTTTTCTATTTTCTTGTTTCATCTCACCTCTTTTTAATTAAGAATTTCATTTTAATTCTATTGTATATGTGTCTCCATCATTCCAGTTTTGGCTCTTCATAAGGCATAAATACATTTCTGTTTCTTCTACATTTTAGTCTTAGGACTAGATGCAGTAACTTAATTTTGCCGTAAGTCTATAATATTTTATGATTTGTGTATATGTGTATGTGTGTTTCACCCTATTTGTTCATTTGTTATGCCTTGTTTCTCTGAGGTCAAGAAATTATGAATTAATTCCTTCTTTCCAGCGCTGCTGTGCTGTATCACTTCCCATGATAGTGCCAAGAGCAGAAGGAGACTGAAATCAGGGCAGCTCTGCCAGGCTTGTAAATTACATGAGCAGCCCTCTGCAAAGGGAGTCTAAACCTGAAAGCTATAAATTAGAGTTTAATAGCAAGCATTTCTTCACAGAAGTAATTTCTGCTAAGTCAGAGCT
The DNA here is from genome assembly GCF_000001405.40 of Homo sapiens. NCBI lineage: Eukaryota > Metazoa > Chordata > Mammalia > Primates > Hominidae > Homo > Homo sapiens. The sequence continues at coordinate 25,686,723 of NC_000021.9, forward strand.
ATTTTGGTAGTATCAATTCTCTTTTTGTGTTATGTATGATTTTGATGATTTTTAACTTGAGCCCTGAGAATGAAATCAAAGGATAATTAGCAGTACAGAATCCAGGAAAATTAAAATTCATAATGATTCTATCTATGCGATTCCTAAATGTGATTATTTTGCCACATGTTGTTGCTAATGCTTTTTATAAACAAAGAATTCTCTTTTCTTGATCTAAAGGAAATAGATATTTTGGCAATGAAATAATCCCCTTAATAGAAAAGACTTGGCATATTTTCCTGTTTTTAATATGCCTTAGGTTGAGAAAATATAATTTATATCTATATTTTTTGCTATCTCCTACAGAGATAACATTTTATTTCAAATTGGAGTGATTTATAGGTAAATTTGTGATGGTATAAAGTATATATTTCTACGTCAAGGCAAGCTTGCAACTATAACTAAGAGAAATTCTTCAAGGGTGAAAACAATAATGACCATTTACAGAGCACATACTATATGTAAGGTGGTGCCATGTGCATCACACATGTAAATATAGTGTCTCTTTAATCTTAGTGACAACTTTGTAAGATGAGTACTGTTCTTTTTATCATTTTACAGATGTGGATATAATGTTCAAAAAAAGTAATTCTCCCAATATCACATACGGAGTATATGGTAGAGGTCTAACTCTGAAGCCTCTGCTATAAGCTACCATGTTATAGCGCAATAACCCTAAAGCCTGATACAGAAAATTATGCTGGCATAAGTACTGAATTTTGGCTGAAGAGAGAGAAGAGAATTCATGAGAGTTAGGTTGTAAGTTCATTTACTTCCTTATCCTCAGATATTGACCCCATGATTCCAGTATTTTTATTCTCTGCATTTGTTTCTTATGGCTGCCATTACAAAATACTACAAACCAGGTGACTTAAAACAATAGAAATTTATTCTCTCATGGTTCTGGAGGCTAGAAGTTCAAAATCAAGGCATTAGTACCCAAGGGCCTAGGCACTGGCTCTTTCCTTGCTTGGGATCTTCTTTCTCAAAGAACCATATAATGAATTCTCTCCCTCTTTTAAACCTTTGGTCAAATATCACCTTCTAAATAAGGTGAACTCTGGCTACTGTTTTTCAAAAATTGTAGCCCTGTCCCTAGCACTTGCAAACCCCCTGTACTCTGCTCTGCTCTCTTTTGTCTTCATAACCCTCATCAACTGCTAACGTACTAAGTAATTCACTTTATTATGTTTCTTGTTTATCTGACTTCCCCTGTTAAATTGTAAGATCCCAAAGGGCAAGGATCTTTGTTTCGTTCACTGATACAGCTCAAGAACAATGCATGGCAGACAGTAAGTACTCAACCTATTTTGGATGAATTGGATAAACCATTTCTCGACATTTTACATGGCCAGCGAGAGAGAGGCTGGAGTGAAGTCACTGGACTTAGGAAAATTATTGCTATATTTTCTAGTATAAGTTTCATAGAGGTTTTTCCACAGCGCAATAAGGACAGAAATTAGGAAGAATTCACCAGGAGGGGTGTGTGTGTGTGTGTGTGTGTGTGTGTATGTGTGTGTACACGCGCCCACACGCACGCACACACACATGCGTATCTAAATATGTAAAACAATGCAATTATTTAAGTGTAAAATTACTCTTAAGACACAGAAGACATGAGGAATAGGCTAAAAATGAGTGTGGGTGTGTGTTTAATTGTTGGAAACTCACAAAATACCGGAAGGAAACCTATCTACAACTCAAGACTCCGGAAGGTCACCACCCATTCTCCTTAATCAACAGAAAAGAACTGTGTTTCCTCAGACAGGTCCCTTAGCACACGTTTGTCTTTGTAGCATAATTGTAAACATGTCTGTAAAATGATGTCTCTTTGTAATGTAAAACCTGCTTTAAAAACTTTAGACATTCTTGAAAACAACTTTTGGTTCTTTTCTTCCTTGCCTTTCTTTTCTCTGCCCTACTTTCTATTTTCCATTACCTTTTATTCCATTTTTGTATGTCCAGCAATATGTGTGGAATGAAAAAAATTAGAAACTAAATATTCTGCATTCTTTTTTAACATTCATTTGCTTAACATTAAAATCAAAGGTATGAAAAGGATTTTAAAATAATTTCTGGTCAAAGATACTGTGCTTTTTTAGGTCAAACCATATGCCTTGTGGGGAAAAAAGTATTTCAGAAACATGGAATTGACATTCTAGAGAGCCTGGTTAAAAAAATACTTTTAAAAATATTTATAACTGGAGGTTTCCATTTGGCAACTTGAGGCAGTTCCCAGACTGGCACTGGGTTTTTTGTTTTTTTTTTTTTCTCTCAGACATCTCGTTTGGACAGTGAAAAGAAGGGGGTTCCTTTGGAGGCTCCAAGTATTAATGACACAATTGCAGTAAATTTCTTGTAATAAAAGAACTTAGCTACATTGAGGCAGTTACACTTGATGCTAAGATTTAATACTTTAATAATTATCTGGACTGAGGCAAGGTTATATAGGCAGTTGTTTGGGGGTAAAAATCAATGATTTATTAGGAGACCATATTGGATAGGTATTAATGTATTTGTAGAGAAGGTTGACAAAGAAGGGATCTGAGTGAGAATATAGCATGTTGTGGAAACTTTTCTGAGTTTCCCAGCATGTCCCTGGCTGGATTCAGTGCCTTTCTTGGGTACTAAGCATGAATCACCATCTGCATAGCTGGTATTCAGCAACACTGGGCTGAAACGCCATTATCTTAGTTGCCTCTTCTACCAGATGGTAGACTCCTTCAAGACTGACACTGGGAATAATAAGACACATAGTTAATCATAGCTGCCATTTGTTAAGTCCTTACTATGTCCAAGCCTGTGTGCTTTGCATATCTTATTGCATTTGAAGACTCACAACAACTCTGTGAAATACTAGCCCATTTACAGATGAAAACTCAAACTTGATAACCAGGGAAATAAGCACAGTGTCATACAGTTACTATGTGGAAGAGCTAGAAGGCTTCCAATTCATGGGACCTGTTGATGTAATTTATGAATGAATGAATGAATAAAACTATAAAGGAGTAATTTAAAGTTGTTTACAATTTTGTTACCTAGTTAAGTAAAATATAAATTCATGGGGACAATTAGAAAACAAGTATTTTTATTGTTGTTCCTAGAGGCTATTTTAGCCTGCAAAACCCCAAAGAAGACTGTTTCCTCCAGATTAGAGTGGAAGAAACTGGGTCGGAGTGTCTCCTTTGTCTACTATCAACAGACTCTTCAAGGTAAGCAGCTGTAGGCTTGAAGAGGTGTGAGCAAGAGAATGCCAAGTACAACCAGGATCCTTTAATTGGCAAATGAGATCGGACATGACTGATTACTGAAAATGTGTTTTTGTAAGTGTGAGATGAAAGCAACCATGTCTGAGACATAAAACACAATAGCCACAAAAGCAGAGAACAGAGGGAGGTGAAGCCCACTGAATCCCTGGACTCTTCTCTCTCAACTCAGGCATAAAGTATGCAAAATGCAATTGCTCTTATTGGCTCAGTAGATTAAACTCCGTTCCTTCCTTCCTTTCTCTTCTTTCTTTCTTTCTCTTTATTTCTTTCTTTCTCTTCCTTCCTTCCTTCCTTCCCTTTCTTGCCTTTCTTTCTTTTTTCAAGATTTTGTTCTCTTGCCCAGTCTGGAGCACAGTGGTATGATCATGGCTCACTGCAGCCTCCACCTCCAGGGCTCAAGTTATCCTCCCATCTCAGTCCCCAAGTAGGTGGGACTACAGGTGCACACCAGTATGCTCAGCTAATTTAATTTTATTTATTTATTTATTTTTTTGTAGAGATGAGGTGAGGTCTCCCTATGTTGCCCAGGCTGGTCTTGAACTCCTGGGCTCAACCCATCCTCCTGCCTCGGTCTCCAAAAGTACTGGAATTACAGGTGTGAGCCACTTGCCTGGCTATAGATAAACTCCTGAGGGAAAGGAATTAAAAAATGGTGTGGTTTGGAAATGGAAGGTTGCTTCTCAGTCATAATGCTGTCACCCTATTTCCTTAACTCCATTTGAAAGGTAGGCCACCACTGAGAAGCTCAGGGAGTTAAGACTTATGGGTGGGTTATGACAGCAACCATTATCAAGTGCTTTCTTTTCTTTTTTTTCTTTTGTTATACATTTCTTTCTACTACCTACTCTTGCCATTGAATATGTGATGAACTTATAATTTAAAATATTGATAATGATGGATGAACTGTTATAATGTCCATTTGCTTCAAAATAAACCAGTGGTTAATGATACAGATGAAACAAGATAAACCATGCATTGATTACTATTATAGCTGGTCAATGATACATTGAGGTACAATTCACTTCACTTTCTAATGTTGTGTATGCTTGAATCTTTCCATTATAAATATTTCTAAAGCTGGAAATACAATTTTACAAGTTAAAATAAACATGTTATGATTTTAAAATACTATGTATTTCTTTAATGTTAAAGAATTAAGTGAAAATGTTTGAAGTTTATAGAAAATTTAAAATATCTGCTCAAGTTCTTATCTGTCAAGATAAGACTACTAGCTGTAAGGTGTTAATAGCACAGCTGTCTTCACTTGAATTTTTTGTAGTTGCCATTTCTGGCATATGCAGAAATGCAAAACTATTATTTTATGCAACACTATTTATTTGAGCCATTGTACCTGCCTAATTTTTACATTTTTTTAAAGAGATGAGATCTGGCCATGTTCCAAGGCTGGCCTCAATCTTCTGTCCTCAAGCAATCTTCCCACTCAGCCTTCCAATTGGCTGGGACTACAGGTGCAAGCCACCACACCGGGTGCAAAACACTATTTTAATTCTGAATATGTTACTATCAAAAAATAAAATAATGTTTTTAACCATCTTTTCTTGTGCCGCAGTGTTACGTGAGCCACCACACATAAAGTTACTGTTCCAGTCAATTAAACCAGACTCCCTGGTTTTCTGAAGACATGAATATTTTTACAAGGGAACTAGAAAGGGAATGAGGCAAGCATTTGAGCTCAATTCTTTAAAATATAACATGGGGCTGGGCACAGTGGCTCATGTCTGTAATCCCAGCACTTTGGGAAGCCAAGGCATGCGGATCACTTGAGGCCAGGAGTTCGAGACCAGCCTGGCCAACATGGTGAAATCCCGTCTCTACTAAAAATACGAAAATTAGCCAGTGTGGTGGTGCATATCTGTAATCCCAGATGCTTGGGAGGCTGAGGCATGAGAATGGCTTGCAGTAAGCCAAGATCACGCCACTGCACTCCAGCCTGGGCAACAGAGCAAGACTGTCTCAAAAAAAAAAAAAAAATTTACATACATAATGTGGAAGGGCCTCAGTGGCCAGGCCTGCTGGCAGCTGCTCCTCACAGGGCCCATGCTAGAGCTGACAGCCTGCCAGGGAGCTGGGCACTCGGAGATGGGGTGGGAGCACTGGGGTCAGCCAGAGATCAAACACGTCAGTGAAGGCCCAGAGCAGCTCGGAAGATAAAATAACAGTCCACTTTATAAACCAACAGTGAAACATTAACAAACAAAGGAAAAGTTGATGACTCTTTGCTAGATGTTGTGGTTGAAAATAATGTAGATATTGATGGGTTTGTTGCATGGCAGGGAACCTTGGCTTGCTCTGTCACCTCATTTTTGAAAAGCACATATTTGAGAAGTTAGACACAATCACTGACAAGGAGATTGACATGCTTGATCTGGCATATGGACTGACAGACAGGTCAGAGTTGTATTGCCAAATCTGTTTGACAAAATCTATGGGCCATATGACTGTCTGAGTACCTGATGGAGTGGCCAGTGCCAGACAATCCACTGATATGGGCAAGACCACCTAAGCAGAATAAATAGCAATGCTTTCACTAAATTTTACCTATTTTATAATTATTTCTTAATATAATTAAATAAAAACATACATGAATGAACTTATTATTATGACCAACTTTACTGTTTTAATTCACCTTGTATAACTACTGAATTTTATAGTTCTGAAAATACGCAATTTTTATATTTGTTACATTAGAAAAAGGTCAGTTAAATATTAGAAAATAATTAATATGACAATACCTTACAAATTTTGCCTTACGTTTGTTTAGCAACTTTTAGCAAAATGTTTTCACATGGCCTTATGTCTGCTTACCTAGAAAGTAAATTTTTTAAAAAAGATATTATTATCCCTGTTTTATGTGAGTGAAGGCAAAGACCTAAAATGGCTTGTTAAGGGCCATCCAACTAATTAGAAAATATGTACACACCTGCATCTTGTTACTATAAGGTATATGTTAGACTGAAACTGGAGAAATTATGACTATCTTACAGCAGCAATTAGATCTGACTGCATATGGACAAAAACATTAATTGCTCAGTGAACTGCTTAACTGACAGTTATTAACCTTACACATAAAGATTTCAAAATTTTGATTCAGTGAGAAGTATAAGGTTGAACATAGGCATTACAACACTGCCAAAAAAGTTAGCCAGTAAACTAAAATTAGATATCAAAATGAAATAAAATATGAGAATATAAAACTATGCTTTTTTGAATTTTTTTTTTTTTTTGAGACTGAGTTTCTCTCTGTCGCCCAGGTTGGAGTGCAGTGACACAATCTCGGCTCACTGCAGCCTCCGCCTCCTGGGTTCAAGCAATTCTCCTGCCTCAGACTCCCCAGTAGCTGGGATTACAGGCGCCCGCCACCACACCCAGCTAATTTTTTGTATTTTTAGTAGAGACAGGGTTTCACCATGTTGGCCAGGCTGGTCTTGAACTCCTGACTTAGTGATCTACCGGCCTCGGCCTCCCAAAGTGCTGGGATTACAGGCGTGAGCCATCATGCCTGGCCTTTTGAACATTTTAAAAACTGTCCTTTCCAAAAGAAAAATTTTAAATAACAGCATCTATATACAACTTTTAGGCTTTAAACTTGAGTTTATTAAAAGGGAAATAAATGCTTTGGTTACTAAATGAACTGATTAGAGGAAGGTATTACACAGAAAGCTACTTGGATTATTACTAACATCAATGTCTTCTTTTTCTAAAAGGTGATTTTAAAAATCGAGCTGAGATGATAGATTTCAATATCCGGATCAAAAATGTGACAAGAAGTGATGCGGGGAAATATCGTTGTGAAGTTAGTGCCCCATCTGAGCAAGGCCAAAACCTGGAAGAGGATACAGTCACTCTGGAAGTATTAGGTGATGTGCATGTATGTGTGTGACTACGTCTCCCACTCCTTCTCCACCACCCAGCCCTGGGGGCAAGCAAGCACTGGTCCATAAACATGCCAGCATCAACTGGGAGCCTCAACCAGTCAAGTTACAGAGACCATAAGCATCACCTTCCTGGCAATCTCCTGGCCATTTCTCCCCCTCTCCTCATTGGCTGCTGAAATTTTAGTAATGCGTTATCACAAAGTATCTCTTTGTTAAAGGTGGAGGCAATTCCTAATGATCCTACAATATACATAGGAGTATCTTTCCTGAGAGTTTATTTTTCAATAGTTTTCAGCATATACACAGTTTCTCCAACCATTTAAAGTAGTATCACATGAGATGGTGGAGAAGCAATAACACACAAAAAAGTAGACTGAAGGTAGGATTAGAAGTCATTTGGTAAATAAAGGAAATTGACATTGATTATATACCTGATATGTTAGCCCTTTTCACATAAGTAATTTTACTTCATCTTCATTAATATGATTTTTATAGATGACCAAATGGAAGTTAAATGATTTAACAAGGCCATACAGCTAGAAAGTGTCTGGACTAAGATTTGAATCCAGATGGGGTTAACTCCAAAACCAGTATGTTTAGTTTCTATAAGAATCATGGATAGATTAGGCACAGGGGCTTATGCCTCTAATCCCACCACTTTGGGAGGTTGAAGTGAGAGGATCCCTTGAGGTCAGGGAGATTGAGACCAGCCTGGGCAGCATAGTGAGTCCCCTATATCGCTCTCTCTAAAAAAAAATAAATAAAAAGCCATTTGTGTTGTTATGCACCTGTAGTCTCAGCTACTTGGGAGGCTGAGGCTGGAGGATTACTTGAGCCCAGGAGTTCAAGGCTGCAATGAGCTATGATTGTGCCACTGCATTTTAACCTGGGAGACAGCAGGACTTTCTCAAAAAAAAAAAAAATAAAAAGAATCACTGATAGTAACAGCTCAAGATGGTAGTTTGTGGAGGAACACGATCTCTTCTCTTTCATTGGTGGTGTATAATCTACCAAGTTACAAGACTAAAACAGCTCCCCTTCCTTTTTCTTTCTTTTTTTTTTTTTTAGTATTTATTGATCATTCTTGGGTGTTTCTCGCAGAGGGGGATTTGGCAGGGTCATAGGACAATAGTGGAGGGAAGGTCAGCAGATAAACAAGTGAACAAGGGTCTTTGGTTTTCCTAGGCAGAGGACCCTGCGGCCTTCCGCAGTGTTTGTGTCCCTGGGTACTTGAGATTAGGGAGTGGTGATGACTCTTAAGGAGCATGCTGCCTTCAAGCATCTGTTTAACAAAGCACATCTTGCACCGCCCTTAATCCATTTAACCCTGAGTGGACACAGCACACGTTTCAGAGAGCACGGGGTTGGGGGTAATGTTATAGATTAACAGCATCCCAAGGCAGAAGAATTTTTCTTAGTACAGAACAAAATGGAGTCTCCTATGTCTACTTTCTACACAGACACAGCAACAATCTGATTTCTCTATCTTTTCCCCACATTTCCCCCTTTTCTATTCGACAAAACCGCCATCGTCATCATGGCCCGTTCTCAATGAGCTGTTGGGTACACCTCCCAGACGGGGCGGCCGCGGGGCAGAGGGGCTCCTCACTTCCCAGACAGGGCGGCCGGGCAGAGGGGCCCCCCACCTCCCGGACGGGGCGGCGGCCGGGCAGAGGCGCCCCCCCACCTCCCTCCCGGATGGGGCGGCGGCAGGGCGGAGATGCTCCTCACTTCCCAGACGGGGCGGGGCGGCTGCCGGGCGGAGGGGCTCCTCACTTTCCAGATGGGGCGGCTGCCAGGCGGAGGGGCTCCTCACTTCTCAGACGGGGTGGCCGGGCAGAGACGCTCCTCACCTCCCAGACGGGGTCGCGGCCGGGCAGAGGCGCTCCTCACATCCCAGACCGGGCGGCGGGGCAGAGGCGCTTCCCACATCTCAGAAGATGGGCGGCCGGGAAGAGGCGCTCCTCACTTCCCAGACTGGGCAGCCAGGCAGAGGGGCTCCTCACATCCCAGACGATGGGTGGCCAGGCAGAGACGCTCCTCACTTCCCAGACGGGGTGGCGGCCAGGCAGAGGCTGCAATCTCGGCACTTTGGGAGGCCAAGGCAGGCGGCTGGGAGGTGGAGGTTGTAGCGAGCCGAGATCACGCCACTGCACTCCAGCCTGGGCAACACTGAGCACTGAGTGAACGAGACTCCGTCTGCAATCCCGGCACCTCGGGAGGCCGAGGCTGGCAGATCACTCGCGGTTAGGAGCTGGAGACCAGCCTGGCCAACATAGCGAAACCCCGTCTCCACCAAAAAAATACGAAAACCAGTCAGGCGTGGCGGCGCGCGCCTGCAATCCCAGGCGCTCGGCAGGCTGAGGCAGGAGAATCAGGCAGGGAGGTTGCAGTGAGCCGAGATGGCAGCAGTACAGTCCAGCTTCCGCTCGGCATCAGAGGGAGACCGTGGGGAGACGGAGACAGAGAGGGAGGGAGAGGGAGGAGGAGGGGGAGAGGGAGAGGGAGCCCCCTTCCTTTTTCATGTTGTTCATGCTCCTTCTGAAATACTAGTGATGCACTAGTATAGGAGAAATTTAAATCAGAAAACCTTGCAGCAGATCCGGCCAGTTTATTCATTTTCTAGTGTTACATAACAACTAAATAGTTCTGTAGAGCGGAAGTCCAACAAGAAGACTGGGTATCTGCCCAAAGTATCACAAGGCTGAAATAAAGGTGTTGACAAGGCTGAGTTCTCATCCACAGGCTACGAGGAAAATCTGTTTCCAGGCTCATTCTTGGTGTTGCCAGATTTTGGTTCCTTGTGGTTGTAGGACCGAGAGGTCTCTGTTCCATGCTGGCTATCAGTTCGTGGGCCACACTCAACTCCTAGAGGCCACCACATTCCCTGTTACATGGTCCCTTCCATCTTCAATGAAAGAAAAGCATATCAAATTCTTGTACTTCATTTTTGTTGTTGTTTTGAGACAAAATTTTGCTCTGTCTTCCAGATCACGGCTTACTACAACCTCAAACTCCTTGGCTTAAGTGATTCTCCCATCTCAGCCTCCCATCTCAGCTGAGACAACAGGCACACACCTATTTTTTTTTTTTTTTTTTGTAGAGACATGATCTCACTATGTTTCCCAGGCTGGTCTCAAACTCCCGTCCTCAAGAGATCCTCCTGCCTTGGCCTCCAAAAATGCTGGGATTACAGGCATAAGCCACTACACCTAGCCTTCTCCTTGTGCCTTGAATATCTGACTTTTCCTTCTGTAATCAGCCAGAGAAAACTCTCTGCTTTTAAAGGTTCATGTGATTAGGTCAAACCCATTCATGAAATCATCCTATCTTAGAGACAATGGTTTTGGGGCCTTAGTTACATTTCCAAAATCTTTCTACTACAGTACCTAGATTAGTGTTTGATTGAATAACTGGAAAAAAAGTGTATTTATACCAAGGACTGCAATCTTGGGAGACCACCTTAGAATTCTGCAGTAGAAATACTGCAATCTTGGGAGACTACCTTAGAATACAGCCAGTTCTGGGTTTTGCTGGATAATAAATAGGTCACCTAATGAAGTTTGGTTTACTTTCCAGTCCCTGAGACCAGAATAACACTAATACCTGGACCAGGTATTTTCTAACTTGGCCAGTTCTAGACAGAATGGGATTTATAGTTGAGTACTGGGCCTGAAAAAAATACTCAGGTTTGGCTGGGCGTGGTGGCTCATGCCTATAATCCCAGCACTGTGGGAGGCCAAAGCAGGAGGATTGCTTAAGCCTAGGAGTTCAAGACTAGCCTGGGCAACATAGTGAGACCCTGTCTATACAAAAACAGTTTTAAAAATTAGCTGGTCGTGGTGGCTCGAGCCTATATTCCAGCTACTGGGGAGGTTGAGGTGGAAGGATCAATGGGTTGAGCTCGGGAGGTTGAGGCTACAGTAAACCATGATCACGCCACTGTACTCCAGCCTGGGTTATAGAGTGAGATTCTGTCTCAAAAAAAAAAAATCTATCTGCACACACACACACACACACACACACTCTCTCTCTCGCTCTCTCTCACACACACACATTCTCTCTCTCTCTCCCTCTCTCTCCCTCTCTCTCATTAGGCTTCTTTTAAATATAAGTGGTAATAAACCAATTGAAGAAAACAGTAGAGATCGTTTATCTAATAAAGAATAGCTGTTGTATAAGCTAAAGTAATGCTTATTATTATAACAGATAAGCCCTTAACTCTCAGTGAGTTGCTTAATAGTAAGTTCCTTTCTCACTTAAGTAAAGCCTAAATAGTTGGGACAGTGGTGGAGGAGCCATATTACTTTATTTCATGAAATCATTAGAGACTCAACCTAATCTTCTGACATCTTCAATATATGACGTTCCAAGGTCACCATTGTTGTTGACACCTACTTGGTAGTTGCAGGGGGTGGAGGATACGAATGAACATGTGGGAGGTTTTTAATTAGTCTGGCCCAGAAATGGGATATATCACTTTTTCCCACATTCCATTGGCCAGAACTCATGTATATGACCCCATCTGGCAACAAGAGTGCTGGGAAACATGGTCGACTGTGTGCCCATGAAGAAAGAAGATGGGTTTGTTGGACAAGTAAGCAGTCTCTATCACAGGGTCCAGTAATCACACCTCTTTACCTGGCTATTAAAACCATTGATTGTAGAGACAAAGTCAACAGCTTTGAAGAAAATAAACAACCTTGATTAGCTTATAAATAATCAATATCATTTGACTTCCATTGTTCAGTGGCTCCAGCAGTTCCATCATGTGAAGTACCCTCTTCTGCTCTGAGTGGAACTGTGGTAGAGCTACGATGTCAAGACAAAGAAGGGAATCCAGCTCCTGAATACACATGGTTTAAGGATGGCATCCGTTTGCTAGAAAATCCCAGACTTGGCTCCCAAAGCACCAACAGCTCATACACAATGAATACAAAAACTGGAACTCTGGTAAGGTCATTTCAAGATTTGACTTGATAACTGTCTTGCATTTGGATAAAAAAATTATTAGAACTTAAGATGACGTTTAATAGAGAGCTGATACCATTGCTTGCTAAGTGGAGAGAGGCAGGGGCACCAGGAAAGATGGCAGCACTTGTACCACGAAGTGATGGAAAGAGCTACTACAGGACATGGGAACAGAAAACAGAGACTGAGGGAGCTGACTGTGCAAGGACCAGTAAAAGAGCAAAGGGGCAAAGGCTCCTGAAACAAAGGAGCAAAGGCTGTGTGTTTATCTTTTCAGAATTTAAAAAGATTCTAGAATTGATAATCCTATAAATGATACCAATTAAGATTTTCGTAGACCCTAAGCTACTTCCTGGTAGTAACTCTGGCTCTTTAAAGGAAATGTTTATTATTTGCTGCTGCAGTGAACTCACTTGTGACTTAGGAAAGTGCATTAACCCTTTTACCAGGGAGGCCTTCATTTATATAGGTGGTGTTTCCTAGGAATTAGAAATACCTAGACTACTGAGTACTACCATGTGCTATAAACTTTAAAAATTGCGCGGCCGGGCGCAGTGGCTCACGCCTGTAATCCCAGCACTTTGGGAGGCCGAGGTGGGCGGATCACGAGGTCAGGAGATCAAGACCATCCTGGCTAACACGGTGAAACCCCGTCTCTACTAAAAATACAAAAGACTTAGCCGGGCGTGGTGGCGGGCGCCTGTAGTCCCAGCTACTCGGGAGGCTGAGGCAGGAGAATGGCGTGAACCCGGGAGGCGGAGCTTGCAGTGAGCAGAGATCGCGCCACTGCGCTCCAGCCTGGGTGACAGAGCCAGGCTCCGTCTCAAAAAAAAAAAAAAAAAAAAAAAAAAAAAAAAATGCATGCTGCCTTCTTAAGTAACAGTGCCCCAAAGCCCACTAAGCCTGATTCATGATGATGAATCAGGCAGTTATCTACAGCTGTCTTCTGGCCTGGAAAATTACTAAGTGCAGTCTCAATTTACAACATCAGGAAAATGCATGAAAACTTGCTTGGGGATACCCTGACCATGTGAAAATAGTAACTGTAGTCAATCATGGTAGGATTCCTATATCATTAAATATTTCCATGACTGTAGATCAACAACAGTTGACTCTGTGACTTTAGTATCTATTACTTTAGAGTCCAGATATTCTGTTTCCTCCAGTAAAATATTCTTATTGAAAGACTTTCTAGGAATACTGATGACAATCTATAAGCAAGCTCTGTGAAGCTAATTACATTTAAAAATAAAAAGTATTTTACTTTTTCATCTTTGATTATAGGAATAGAAGTGGAAGTTTAAAAAAGGGTCATTAAGCTTGAAGCTTTTTAAAAAAAATTCAGTCAATGTAATATTCTATGTCAGTTTAAAATTGTCTGCCTTCCAGCAACGCAGAATCACTATGACAGCGATTATCAAAAAAAAAAACTTAAAGGCGTGGTGATAATAACAATTTTAATAATTTTTAAAAATGTTTTTGAGACAGAGTCTTGCTCTATTGCCCCGGCTGGAGTGCATTGACGCAGTCTTGGCTCACTGCAACCTCTGCCTCCTAGGTTCAAGTAATTCTCCTGCCTCAGCCTCCAGAGTAGCTGGGACTACAGGCACCTGCCACCATGCCTAGCAAATTTTTGTATTTTTAGTAGAGACGGGGTTTCTCCATGTTGGCCAGGCTGGTCTTGAACTCCTGACCTCAAGTGATCGCTCGCCTGGGCCTCCAAAAGTGCTGGGATTACAGCTGTGAGCCACCGTACCCAGCCAATTTTAATGAATTTTGAAAGGAGGATATAATGCTTCATTCCTTTCATCTACAAGTGCACAGTAACATTTACAAACAGATCTTCTGATAAACAAGAAAGCAAATTGCTAAAGTGGCTGAATAATAAAGCCTATTGGATGCAGTTACTTCTTAAGCTCTGGCCTCTCAGCAGTCAGCAGGCGCAGTCAGCAGGTCTGAGTGATTTTACACTGAGCAACTGGGCAGAAAAACCTGCTGTCACACTTTGCTATATTTACTTTTCAAATTTATTTTTTCTCAGGGCAGTTGGTAAAAGCCCCAAGGCAAGTCTGAAAGGATACAGATTCACTTTCCTCAGCTAACCTCAACCCTTGAAATAGCTTGTGATGTCAAAGGAATGCACCTGGATTGAACTAAGATAGGTTCTTATGTGAGAAATGAACAACAAAGACTCCAGTGTATGGAAGCCAATGACTTCCTTTTAATTACCAGCTATAATATGCTGGAAGATCATTTTGGGTTTTAGTCTAACATATTATTTATATGTAACCTTGGCCATGAGTTCATGGTGAATATTCTAAAAGCATTCTGGCTTTGAGGAGAGTGACAGATGATTCCATAGAGTGGAAAAAAAGAAAAACAGGAAAACTTTCTCTCCCTCCATCTAGGAGGATCTAAGACAATGACCCTTCAAGGTGACCAGGATTACACTCCCTTTCTTCCCTCCCTCCAGCCCTTTCTTCTTTCCTTCCTTCCTTTCTCCCTCTCTCCCTCCCTCTCTTCCTTCCTTTCTCCCTCCCTCCCTCCCTCTCTTCTTTCTTTTCTCCTCTTCTTCCTTTTTGTCTGCCTTCATTCCTTCCAAATATCCTCCAAGGGGATAAAAACTACTGATAAAAATAACGAAGTCTATTATATCAATCTTAGCTTTTGGTTGCTTTGACAGGGATGGGAAGGAGCAAGGGCTGGCTTTTCTTTTCAAATTTAAAAAAATTCTAGAGTTGATAGAATCGACAATCCTATAAACCGATACCAATTAAGATTTTCCTAGGCCCTAAGCTACTTCCTGGTAGTAACTGGCTCTTTAAAGGAAGTGTTTATTGTTGGCTGCTGCAGTGAACTCGCTTGTGACTTAGGAAAGTGCATTAACCCTTTTACCAGGGAGGCCTGCCCTTCATTTATAAATGATGTTTCCTAGGAATTAGAAATACCTACACTACTTAATACTACCATGTGTTATGAACTTTAAAAAACACTCATTGCCTTCCTAACAGTACTGCTTTCATGGTTAAAAAAAAAAAAAGGAACTTCTCTGTATGTATTTTATCTTTGTTCTTCTCGTCAAATTAAGCAAAAGTCTAGCTTAAACTCCTTGAAGTCATGGCAGATTTTTAAATTCATAGTAAAGACAGAAAGTCCCAAATTTTTAAAAAGGAAAGACAAACTTAATGCTAAAATTTGAGGGACAGGGTTATTTAAAAAGTCTACTTATAGATCTATGGCTTAAAAAAATATATTTTTGCATCCACAAATAGCAATTTAATACTGTTTCCAAACTGGACACTGGAGAATATTCCTGTGAAGCCCGCAATTCTGTTGGATATCGCAGGTGTCCTGGGAAACGAATGCAAGTAGGTAAGCATGAAATATTGGGAGGAACAAATGGTTTGCAATTCGACTGTGAAGTACAGCAGTTGGGGGTACAAGGAGCAAGGAGCAGGAAATGTCTGAGTGACTTGAAGAATAAACAGGAGAGAATGACTAAAATTAACTTGATATGATGTGTTGCAAAGAAGCAAAGATGCTGTTTTTAAGCCATCTCCCAAATAAGCCAAAAATACTTAGTATTGTATTTAACAACTTTTTTTAGTTTTTTAAATAATCGTTTTTAAAATACATTCTTCTAAGTAGTCTTTCTCTCAAATAAAAGCTAAGTATCTTGTAGTCTAAATTGTTGAAGGTCCAGAAGTTTGAATTTCTGATATTTTTAAAATTCAGGAATGTATATCATTGATATTATTCACCAAATTAATTCAGGTGTTGACATTTATAGTCAACGTAGCACTTATTTAAGTAATCAGAAAGTATCCCTTTCAATGCTGCTTTGAAATTATCATTTAAAAAAATTCATCACAACATGTTTAAAAATTAAGGCATTGTTTTCTTTGTTTCCTTTATTCACATACGTCCCCATGGGTTTTTTTTGTTGTTGTTTTGTTTTTGTTTTTGCTTTTTTGAGACAGGGTCTTTGTCTGTTGCCCAGGCTGGAGTGCAGTGTCGTGATCTCGGCTCACTGCAACCTCTGCCTCCCAGGTTCATGCAATTCTCCTGCCTCAGCCTCCCAAGTAGCTGGGATTACAGGCATGCCCACCGCACCCAGCTAATTTTGGTATTTTTAGTAGAGACAGGGTTTCACCGTGTTGGTCAGGCTGCTCTCGAACTCCTGACCTCAGGTGATCCGCCCACCTTGGCCTCCCAAAGTGCTGGGATTACAGGTGTGAGCCACCGTACCCGGCCTGTCCTCATGGTTTTTACCATTACCTTGTCCTACCAGCACTATTTCTGTTTATTTTTCCTTCCATTTAAATGGTCCTGTTTAATTTAAACATCTACCTTTGCCTTCTCTTAAGGAATCATATCCAGGAAGTCATGGTTTTGATGTATTAGTTACTTTTTCTTAGCACACAATAAATACATAACGAATAAAATTTAAATGTTTGTTTCTCCACTAGGACCACTTTAATTTGAACATGATTCTCACATATCTACTCTAAGTACAAGTTAGCTTAAAAGTTAAAATTAGTTTGTTTAACGGTCATCCATTGATCCGAGGTGTTTTGTGTCCTTGGTTGGGACTTACATCTTTTGAAATACATACAAATTCATAAATTCATTTTTTTGGTTTTCTTTGTGAATTATAACTATATTCACATGTAACCAAAATTAGAATATGTTAACTGTCCTAAAGAAATTTTTTCAAAGTGCAGCAAGTAAAGCATGGATTTGTTGGTTGTTTATGGCTGCCTCACTATAAAACTCCAGCAGACTCCACCCACACTGGGCCTTTCAGCAGTTTAGTTCCTTTTCTTTCAGTAAAAAAAATGGTACCTTCCTTTTATAAAGACTTTTTTTTCAAAAAAAAAAAAACACAAAATATTTTCATACTTAATGTTACATTTTCTCTTCACTGAGGCATAATATGGCTGTATGACTTGCTCAACATCACAGAAAATGGTGAACAGGATGTAAGAAGTTAACTTACTCCTTATCTATTACTCTTCTGTCTCCCATTTCACTGAAGAAAAATAACATAAAATTCATACTACAACTTAGCACTTACAGAACAAGACAATTTTTTGTCAGTAGTTTCTTTTAGGGTGAATCCTTCCTTCATAGATGTCAAATTCATTGACAAACTACAAGACAGTTTTTTTTTTTTGTCAGATAATAGCCCTTACTTTGAATGCTTCATAGATGTCAGATTTAATGACTACTACAAAGTAAATAGAAGGTACACTTTGGTTCTCAGGAATTTCACTTACTGATTTGACTTTGCCTAAGATTATGATTACTGTAGATTTTTTTCTCTCTCTGCTCTTTTTAATCCAAGTAAATAAAAAGCTGAATCTTATTGACCTCTCAATACCCAAGCAAACTGAGTTTATACCAAGCAATAATTAATGTTTTCTACTCTGGTCAAATTACTTAACCTTTCAAAAGACTTATCAAGTTTTCTTTTTTAAAAAAATCAATTAATATTTTGGAGGTATTTAAGAAAATTAATAACACACTTGGCATTAGGAAAGAATTTCGAGACCAGAAGTTTTTATGATAAGCAGATTCACTTAAACAGTATCTCTAAAAAGATCATTTCCAAAATGTACATTGCTTTAAAATATTTAAATTATTTTTGAGAAAATGCTATGTAATATTTTCTCTAGGTTATTTAATCATAGGCTAATTAAAACTTGCTTTGTAAAATGGGAACTCTTTGAAGAATTGCTCCTTTAATAAATACATGGGAAGTATCTAAATGGCAGAAGAGTGTGGCTCATAAAATCCTCATGGACAAGATGGAGAAATATGGTCCAAACAATATTTTGGTGGATCCACACACAGTTGAATCCCATGCTCAGAGAATGTTAATAAATTGTGTTGTATGACAGGAGGTGTCTGCTAGCCTGTTACATAGTTGTTTCCTAAACAAATCCATGTTCATCATGTTATTAATGACTTGAATGAGAGTATTTTTAATAAAATTCTCAATTTGCAGAAATGTTAAGCTTGGAAGGTTAATAATGTAATTATTAGGCAACAGAATCAATCTGAGAAGAAGAAAAAAACTTCACAGTAGTTATTTCCAAACTTGGGTTCAAAAAATCCAGTTGCATTACATTAGAGGACGGATGCCTTAACAGTCATAGGAAAAGCCTCAGAGAATTTAATTCATTTTTCATAAATGGGATGACAGTTTAGTTGCATATATGTATATGACTGTGTATGTGTGTATACACCCATATACATATAATTGTATATCTACACCCATATAATTCAAGAAGGAACGTATTTCTTACACTTAGTTTTACAGAATAACAATGACATGTGCTTTTTTTTAAGAGACAGTCTTGCTCTGTCACCCAGACTGGAGAGAAGTAGTGCAATCATAGTTCACTATAATCTGAAACTCCTAGGCTCAAGTGATCCTCCAACCTCAGCCTCCTGAGTAGCTGGGACTCCAGGAATGCACCACCATACCCGGATAATTTTTTTAATTTTTTTATTTTTTAGAGATGGATTCTTGCTATGTTGCCTAGGCTGGTCTCAAATTCCTAGCCTCAAGCAGTCCTCCCACCTCAGCCTCCTGAGTAGCTGGGATTACAGGCATGAGTCAACATGCCTGGCACCATGTGTTTTCTTTGACGTTGAGTTTTTCTTTATTTGTGAAATTGACACAGTTGATGATGTAGGAGAATTTTAAGTAAGACGTGGGGTAGGGAGTGGCAGTAGAATACTTGAACTCATTGAACTTCAAAGATTGCTTCCAGTCTTTTAATCCTGTGAATTATTACACATCTCCAAATGAATGCAAAAGAATACATTTTATTTTTTAATCTGAGAAGTTTTTAAAATTTAGTATTTTTCCAAAGCTTAAGTTCTGTTAATATTTTTAATCAATTTTGAACCATGTCTTAGAAGTGAGTTAGTTGAACAGGCTTCACAATCGTTAAAGTATGCTTTATGATATAGCTGCAAAGGGGATCTTTTTTTGAACCTTTTCAATTTAATGACTGCATCTGTCCGTGTAATCCACATATATTTATGCGTAATTTATTTTACATTCCAGATGATCTCAACATAAGTGGCATCATAGCAGCCGTAGTAGTTGTGGCCTTAGTGATTTCCGTTTGTGGCCTTGGTGTATGCTATGCTCAGAGGAAAGGCTACTTTTCAAGTAAGTGAATTTCACCCTTCTTTGGCAGATAACTTTCTATGGCTATGGAGTTTATTTATGAGATACTGTTTCTCCTAGGAAGTTGTTTTTTTGTTTGTTTGTTTGTTTTTCAGACAGAGTCTTGCTCTGTTGCCCAGGCTGGAGTGCAGTGGTGGCAAAATCTCCACTCAATACAACCTCCACCTCCCAGGTTCAAGTGATTCTCATGTCTCAGCCTCCCAAATAGCTGGGATTGCAAGTGTGCACCAACACACCCAGCTCATCTTTGTATTTTTAGTACAGATGGGGTTTCGCTATGTTGGCCAGGCTGGTCTCGAACTCCTGGCCTCAAGTGATCTGCCTGCCTTGGCCTTCCAAAGTGCTGGGATTACAGGTGTGAGCTATTGTGCCCGGCCCTCTCCTAGCAAGTTTTAACAAACTCTGGAGAATATTGTTCATTTATTTTCTGCTATAGAAAATGTTCAGGATGACATGCAGGTGGCTTATGAAACACCTTGGCAAACCTAGGGAGAAAAGGCAGAACTGCCTAGTTGCACATTCCAGGGAGCACCACAGAATATGCAAGAGGCATCCTTGGAGTGGTGCAGTGCAGCGAGACAGAGATATTCAATGTGAACGGATATTTATAGTATCTTTGCATGTTTTTAAGATTTTTTTTTGTTTGTTTTTTTGAGACGGAGTCTCACTGTGTCGCCCAGGCTGGAGTGCAGTAGCGCAATTTCGGCTCACTGCAAGCTCCACCTCCCAGGTTCACACCATTCTCCTGCCTCAGCCTCCCGAGTAGCTGGGACTACAGGCTCCCGCCACCACGCCCGGCTAATTTTTGTATTTTTAGTAGAGACGGGGTTTCATCGTGTTAGCCGGGATGGTCTCAATCTCCTGACCTCCTGATCCACCCACCTTGGCCTCCCAAAGTGCTGGGATAACAGGTGTGAGCCACCGCGCCCAGACAAGATATTTTTAAGTTAGGAATTGTATATCTCAAGATATAAGTTGATTTCAAATTCTTTAAGAAATTTCATTGAAATAAATAAGTGAAATATTTCATCAGTGTAGAACAGTGAAATGTTGAATGTTAAATTTAGGACAACTGTATTTAGAAGAGAATTGTTCAGCTGGGTGTGGTGGCTCATGCCTGTCATCCTACCACTTTGGGAGTCTGAGGCGGGAGGATTACTTGAGGTCAGGAGTTCGAGACCAGCCTGGCCAACATGGTGAAACCCCGTCTCTACTAAAAATACAAAAATTAGCCAGGAGTGGTGACATGCACCTGTAGTCCCAGCTACTGAGGAGGCTGAAGCAGAAGGATCACTTGAACCTGGGAGGTGGAGGTTGCAGTGAGCCAAGATCATGCCACTCCACTCCAGCCTGGGTGACAGAGCAAGACTCCATCTCAAAAAAACAACAAAAAAAGAGAATTGTTCAGTCAAAAATAGAAACCTATTGTATTTATGAGAGCTACTTCTGTACACAGTTTTGAATTCTTCAAATTTAGACCTCTTGTAACTTCACACCTCCATTTGATAATGCAATAGGTTTGATGTAAATGGGTGGGATTTAAAAATGTTTTATTCTCTTAATGCATTTCTTCACTCCCTCTTTAATATTATTGGAGAGCTCAGAAGCTGCAGCATTCTATCAGGGCCACTGGCAATAGTGTGTAAAATAAAATTCTTAATTGAATTATAAATTTATAGCATATACAAGTTCTAGACCCATTGTTTTACAGCGAACATTAATTTCGGAATTTAGATTTTTAAAACAATTTTTTTTTTTTGAGACAGGGTCTCACTCTGTCACCCATGCCTGGTGCAGTGGTGTGATCAAGGCTCACTGCAGCCTTGACTTTCCGGGCTCAAGCAGTCCTCCCACCTCAGCCTTCTCAAGTAGCTGGGACTACAGGCACATACCACCACACCTGGCTAATTTTCTTTTATTTTTTGTGGAGACAGGTTCTTGCTCTGTTGTTCAGGCTGGTATTGAACTCCTGGGATCAAGGAATCTTCCCATCCCAACCTCCCAAAATGCTAGGATTACAGGTGTGAGCCACCACTCTTGGCCTTTAAAAATATATTTTATGCCAAAAATAAACTTAAATATAAAATGTGTTCCTAATAATACCTACAACTAGGTATTATGTCTCATAAAATGTTTCCGTGGACATGGATTCAAAGAGATGCCCTATAATTAAGAATAACTGGGCTGGGTGTGGTGGCTCACACTTGCATTCCCAACACTTTGGGAGGCCGAGGCAGGAGGATCACTTGAGTCCAGGACTTCACGACCAGCCTGGGAAACATAGGGAGACCCTTTCTTTACAAAAAATAAAAAATAAGCCAGGCATCGTTGCACACACCTTTAGTTCCAGCTACTCAGGAGGCTAAAGTAGGAGGATCGCTTGAGCGCAGAAGGTCGAGGCTGCAGTGAGTTGTAATCTCACCACTGCACTCCAAGCTGGATAACAGAGCAAGACACTGACCAAACAAACAAACAAAAAGAGCGGCTCTGTCAATTAATACTTGTTCAGTGCTTCAATTTAGCCCACTTTAATGTAACTTTATGAATTGAATCCAGCTGTGGCCCCCTGCTGGTCATCAGTGAAAGTACAGACAAATAAGATAACTCTTCCAAAACTCTTGTCATCTTTATCTATAGCCTAAAATAATACTGGTCTGAGTTTTTTTAATGAGGAGTTAGTAAAAAAATTTTCCTAAAATATTGAATTAATTAAAAGTTGACTTGAATATTAGGAGTTCGTTACCTAAGAATGTTACTCTGATTTTTCATCTAGCAGAAAAATCTATCCAAGAGAAGCATATTCTTGAATATATGTTTAGGACAGAGGTTGGCAGACTACTATCTGTGGACCAAATCTGCCCTCCCCGCCTATTTTTCTATGGCCTATGAACAAAAATGGCTTTACAGATGAACATTTACAATCTATTTGATGATAGGGCCCGCTGACTTTGAACCCCAATTAAGAGAAATGTTATCTTCCCCAAAAGCATTCCATTTCTCTAACTAGTAGGCCTGTTTTTCAAGACTTTTATTATTATTGTTATTATTATTATTATATTTTTATTTTATCCATAAAAATGTTTGGAAATTTGTTTGCTCTCTTGTTACTTAAGTACCTATATAGTATCCTCTTGGCCCCAAAGCCTAAAATGGTTGCTGTATGGCTCTTTACCAAAAAAGTTTGCCAACTCTTAATTTAGAAGGTATAAACGTCAGCAAGTGAAGATTAAAATTAATAAAAATAAATTAAACCCAAACTCATTTTTATATGAATCTGTATCATACCATAATAACCCTTGCATTAATGATATATACTTTTTCTTTTGTAGAAGAAACCTCCTTCCAGTAAGTATACTTTCCTACAATGCATGTCTTTCTCCTATGTCAACTAATTTTCTATTAATCATCTGTTTAAAGTCAAAAGAGAGAAGTTGGGTTATTTGTGTAGGTTTACTCTCACAAGAAGTTACTCAAGTTTATCAAGAAATACATCTGTATTAGGCTGTTCTTGCATTGCTGTAAGAAAATACCCGAGACTGGGTAGTTTATTGTAAAAAGAGGTTTAATTGGCTCACGGTTCTGCAAGCTGTACAATCCTGGCACCAACACTGCTTGGCTTTTGGGGAGGCCTCAGGAAGCTTTTTACTCATGGCTGAAGGCAAAGCGGGAGCAGGCACGTCACATGGCAAAAGCAGGAGCAAGGTTGGGGAGGTGCCACATACTTTTAAACAACCAGATTTCAAGAAAACTCAGTCACTATTCTGAGGACAGCATCAAGGGGGCGGTACTAAACCATTCATGAGAAATCCGCCCCCATGATTTAATCGGCTCCAACAAACCCCACCTCCAACATTGGGGATTACAATTCAACATAAGATTTGGGCAAGGCAAATATCCAGACTCTATCAACATCCCACTTCACACTTCATACCTACTTGTAAATGGTAGTACAGAGAGAATGATGATTACCCAGCCTACTTGTAAATGGTAGTACAGAGAGAATGATGATTACCCAGACAAGAAATATGGTCACTAATTTGATTTCATAGGCATTTGTATAAACTAACTTAAAAAAAATTTACTGTATTTTGCTAAATTGAAAATTTTCAAATAAAATTTTAGTTAACAGTCATTTTTTTATATTAATTGAATACCAATTTTGTGCCTAACACTGTTCTAAGGAATGGGGATACAGCAGTGAACAAAACAGGCCAAAAACCCCACAAAACTCTGCCTTATGGAGCTTACATTCTAGTAGAGAAAGGCAGAAAATAAACAGGTAATACTATATAGTATATCAGATAGGGCCATTATGGAGAAAAATAAAACAAATAAGAGAATATACAATACAAAGGGTAGGAGTAG
The DNA here is from genome assembly GCF_000001405.40 of Homo sapiens. Taxonomy (NCBI): domain Eukaryota; kingdom Metazoa; phylum Chordata; class Mammalia; order Primates; family Hominidae; genus Homo; species Homo sapiens. Next base: position 25,710,470 of record NC_000021.9, read on the forward strand.
AGATTCTAATTTCAAATAGGGTGGTCAGAAAGGATCTCACTAAGTGATTTTTGAGAAAGGCCTGAAGAGGGTGAGGAAGCAAGTTGTGCAAATAACCATGAGAAGAGCGTTCAGGCAGAGGGGAGAGAGCAAATTGAAAGATCCTGAGGCCAGGCAAGCCTAGAATATCTGAGGGATGTCAGCGGGACCAGGGTGGCTGGAACAGAATGAGAGAAACAGAGGAGATGAGCGTACAAAAGTAGCGGTGGGGGCAGATTGTAAGGAGTCCCTTTTAGGCAGTCGTGAGGAGTCTGGCTTTGGTCTGAGTAAGATAGAAAGTCACTGGAGGGCTTTAAGCAGAGGAGTGGTGTCATTTTAATTTTTCAAAACTCACACTGGCTTCTCTGTTAAGAATAAACTATGAGATGACAAAAGGTGGAAGCAGGGAGATCAGTTAGCAAACTACCACACTAAGTGAGGCAAGAGAAAATGGTGGCTGGTGCCAAAGCAGTGTTGGAGATGCTGAGAAGTGACAGTGTTTTGGATATAATGTTTTAATAACTTGCTGATCTGTTGGATGTGGGCTGTGAGAGAAGCAGAGAAATCGAAGATGGCTTCAAGGTTATGAGAAGGATGGAATTACCATTTACGGAAGTGTGGAAGATTTTAAGAGGAGAGAGTTTGGGAGTGGTGATGGGAATAAGTGGAGAGGTTGGAGTGTTTGGAATTTTAATATTTGATATGCTTATTTGATTCCAAGTAGAGGTTATCAGTAACTGAATATTCAAAATCTAGAGTTTGGGGAAATAACTGGAAATGGAATTGTAGGAGTCATTGGTACATGAAATATGGGTGAGCTCCCCAACGCCCTGTAGTTTGTGTGTACTTGTTTTATGACTGTCCTTCTTGTATGTACAGATCTGGCAGACCTAACTTTGGCTCTATGGGCGTAGAGAGAAGATGGATGACAAACTATCTGAGGCTATGGCAGCTGGGAGTGGAGAAGATATACTGAAGCCATGGCTTCAGACAGTTTGTCATCTCCTAATTCCTTTGAAGAATCATCTGCCATTGACTTCCTGTTCCCAGATTTCTGGCTCAATCCTGGTCTCTCAGTCTCGTAAGATCCTAATACAAGTCTAGGTTGAAGTTCAGATTATCAAGAATTAGCAGTAATAAAGCCAGTGAGTTCAGAAGGGCAGGGTAGCTGGAAAGTGTTGCTACTTCCCACCCCTAACCTCCAGGTGATTGTGAGGACTTCTGCTTTTATTGAGTGACACGAAAAGTAATTGGAAGGTTTTGAGCAGAGGGGAGACATCATCTTACGTAAGTGGGAAGGGTGACATAGCTGCAGTGAGGGAGGTTATTCTTCTATCAGTATCTCTAGCAAATCAAGTAGTAATCTGGTGGGGAATAACTTCATTCCTAGACATATGCCCTCACATTCATTAAATCTGTGGCCTTCAAAATATGTTCAATAACGAAATGGATGACTGGAACACTAGTCACCATGTAAAACTTTTTCCACGGAAAAATAAATAAATTTTGAGATTATAATAGTCAAGCTTTCAAAATATTAAATGTTAATATATTAAATTAAAAGTTAGTAAGTCTCTGGTTTGTGTATTCCACAAAAATCTTTAGTATACTAGCCACAAGCTACATTTACGTGCACAAGGCTTCACACTGATGTTTTGTTGCATGACTTTCTCTGTGAATATTGTCTGTAAATATAAGAAATTCAGTAAGAATTGTCTTTTTTTCTACCTAAGATATATGTTCATGTTCTTGCTGAGAAAATGTATGGAAGTAAAATTAACTAAAAGAGCATATATGTTCCAGATTGGAAGTGATAATGTAGTAAATATTGTCTTTTATATTCCACAAACAGGAAGAGTAATTCTTCATCTAAAGCCACGACAATGAGTGAAAATGTGAGTATCTTTAAAGCATATTTATAGAATGAATATGTTTGGGGAATAGGGCAGGGAAATGAAGTAATTATATGGACTTTGTGAATTTTCACTTTTAATACACTTTGCACCAGTGTCTATCACTGGTGTTTAAAAGGAGCTAAGTAGATGTTAGCTTCTGTACCCTGTCTAGGATGGCATGATAAAGATACCTGGCATTTCCAATAGCAGAAGTGATCTTTAATCATATCATTATTTGTTTCATGGTATTTTCTATAATTAGTCTGCCTTCTTAGTATCACTAGGTCTGGCATTATCAGCTCCCTTTGACAGATGAGTAAATTAAAACACAGGTTCTTACAGGGTAACAGTGGTGGAGCTGGGACCCAGGCTCTTTTCTTCCCTGTAGCTTGACCAAGCAGAGTGGTTCCAGCAGAGCTGTGGTTCTAGGACTCACCTTTGGTTATGTGAAGCACTTGGAACATTTTAGGGCTATGCAATGTCTTAGTCATTTGGGCTGCTATAACAAAAATACCATACACTGGGTAATTTACAAACAACAAATTTATTTTCAGTTTTGGAGGCCAGGAAGTCCACAATCAAGGCACCAGTAGACTCAATGTCTAGTGAGAGCCTGTTCCTCATAGATGGAGACTTCCTGCTGTGTCCTCACATAGTAGCAGGGGCAAAACAAGCACCCTCTGGCCTCTTTGGTACGGGCACTAGCTCCATTCATGAAGGTCCTGCCCTCATCACCTAATCACCTCCTAAAGGCCCCACCTCTTAATAGTATTGCATTAGGGATTAGGTTTCAACATATGAATTTTGGGTGACACAAACATTCAGACCAGAGCACAGAATATCCTGTTATAATTGAAAGGAACATTTCAGAAATGTTTGAAAAGACGCAGTAATTACCTAACTCAGAGGTTTTAAGGAACATAATTTAGACACTTGGACCCTTTGTAAACACTACATTGATGCAGCAAATACCATTGTTACTCAGATTTTGTAGCTCTTTGGATGGATATTCAGCCTTCTGGATGATTTTCTCAGGAATATAGTGGGTTGGGGCAGGGGGAGTTCCTATGGTTTTAGAGGCCTAAGTCGTTTCTTGAGAAACAAAGCATGGGTTCTCAGAAATGCTTTACTCATCTATGGCAGGAATTCTGTCAGATTTCTTCTCAGTAGAGTCTGGGGGGTGGGGTGGGGCGGGGGAGCCTGGACATCAGTATTTTAAATGCTTACCCACTTTTCTGTAAAAATTTGATTTTCAAAAACTGTTCCAGAAACTATTACAGAATTCACCTTATTTTGTGGTTTACTACACTGAAAGCTTACTGATGTTTAATTAGGGGACAAGAAACTTTGTTCCCACCATTTTTGTGCCTACAATTTATGGAAAGTCTTTGTTTCTGCAATTTACAGAAAGTACTCTTGGAGTGTGGAATCGAATACTCCCATCCCTCCAAACAGTATGAAGCACATTGTGGCTAAACTGAATGAACAAAAGCCATTTATTTTTTCTTTGCCTTCCTCTCAGTTGCCCTTATCAACTAACAGCTAGAGTCCCCTTCAGTTCTCTTGTGCCCTACCACAGGGTTTCTCAACCTCAGCACTACTGATATTTTGGGCCACATCATTCTTTGGTGTAAGGTGCTGTCCTGTACATCATAGGATGTGTAGCCACAGGCCTGGCCTCCAACACCAGATGCCGGGGCATCCTCCTAACAGGATTTGTCTGCCTCTGCCTTCCAGTCCTACCTCTTTACTCTCTAGGCAAAGCTTCAGAGTACCTTGTCTGCTAGGAGTTAGTTAGTTAATTCCCCATAAAACAAGTTTAATTAAATATATACTGGTTTTGGCCAGGTGCAGTGGCTCACGCCTGTAATCCCAGCACTTTGGAAGGCCGCGGCGGGCGGATCACGAGGTCAGGAGTTCTAGACCAGTCTGGCCAATATGGTGAAACCCCATCTCTACTAAAATACAAAAATTAGCTGGGCATGGTGGCATGTGCCTGCAGTTCCAGCTGCTTGGGAGACAGGAGAATCACTTGAACCCGGGAGGCGGAGGTTGCAGTGAGCTGAGATCACGCCACTGCAGTCCAGCCTGGGTAACAGAGCAAGATTCCATCTCAAAAAATAAAATAAATAAATAAATAAATACTGGTTTTTACCTGTAGAATTCTTACAATAAATATAGCTTGATATTCATAAGATTTATGTTTCTTTAAATATGAATTCATATATTTAAACCTGTTTTTTCTTTCTTTTCCTAGGATTTCAAGCACACAAAATCCTTTATAATTTAAAGACTCCACTTTAGAGATACACCAAAGCCACCGTTGTTACACAAGTTATTAAACTATTATAAAACTCTGCTTTGTCCGACATTTGCAAAGAGGTACACGAGGAAATGGAATTGGTATTTCATTTTAATTTTCATGACTACTAACTCACCTGAACTTGCTATTTTAAACAAATAGTTCTGTCGACACCTAAAATATAATCTGGCTTCTTGTGTCTGGACTAAGTTAAAAGAATTAAAATACTTTGTAATGTCCTGGGCTTTGGGAAATGTTAACCACGTCCTAACTTCTAGAGAACGTTACTAAAATATAACATACTGATTGTGAAGTCAATCCACAGGTCATGAAAATATAAATCAGACTCTGCACGAGAGTCTGATTTAGGGGGTCCAACAAATACTCTGACAGATGCAAAAGGAACCTCTGGTCTCATTTCTGCCAGAATCCTCTTTTCTCCCCTAATATCATCCTTATTCTGATGCTCGTTCATCACTAACACACCCACAGAAAGGAGGAAGCGGGATGGGTCTTATGCCCAAGGATTTGCACTTTGTGTTTACTTCCATTCCTGGGAACTAAAAGCAACATCAAAAGAAATGCCTAATGGCTGGAGCCCACAGGTGTGCACCACAGGATTTGCCTGGTGTGTGTCACTGATTTCTTCATTAAACGTAATTTAGATGGTCAAACACAAACCCAAGTGGCTTATTTCACCCCTACTGCTGCTTGCCACTGCTTCCTTCTTGTAAGATTTCTTTGAAGAGGATCAGTGACTTTGACATCAGAACTCACCACTGGAGCCTACACAAGTTTGCAGATACCTTTCCCTGCAGGAGTGGTGACTTCACATCTTTCTGTCTCTAAAAATTGTGCAGTGACATTCCGGGCCAAGTCCCTTAGTCAGGGGTTGACAATTCTGCTTTTGGACAAGGAGGGATGTGGAGGGAAGAAGTAATAGTCTACCAGGAAAATGAGACGAAAAAGCTCAGTATGACTCCCTGCATCTGGTACCCCTCTTGAAACACAGTGGGCACATGAGCAATGGCTCAAACGAAAAGTGGATCTAATGTGGGTTTCTCAACCGATGAACCACAAAAGCTTCCAGCTACTATTACAATGTGAAAATTCCAATGATCCGTTTACCAGAGCAATTAGACTATGTTAAAAATTCATATCATTTGTAACTTCTTTTAATTACTGAATTGATATTAAAAACAAAATATGGCTAGGGCATGTCCTATTCTTCTGGGCAAATGTGGATGAAAAGGTCACTTGCTACCTTTGACAACTATGAACATGATGGTTAATCTTCTTTCTTTTTTTTTTTTTTTTTTTGAGACGGAGTCTCACTCTGTCGCCCAGGCTGGAGTACAGTGGCACAATCTTGGCTCACTGCAACCTCCGCCTCCCCTCCGCCTCCCAGATTCAAGCACTTCTCCTGCCTCAGCCTCCCAAGTAGCTGAGATTATAGGCGTGTACCACCACACCTGGCTAATTTTTGTATTTTAGTAGAGAAGGGTTTCACCATGTTGGCCAGGCTGGTCTCAAACCTCTGACCTCAAATGATCCACCCCCATCAGCCTCCCAAAGTGCTGGGATTATAGGCATGAGCCACTGCACTGGGCAGGTTAATCTTCTTTCAAAAGAGTCTGCTCTTTCTACCCAATTGGCGAAGCAAATCCCCAGGATTCACCGAACAAATGGATTAAGCACCCACTGAGTGCCTAGCATGTGCCTGGACACCAGGCCACCGGGAAGATGCTCCCCCTTTGACTTGTCTATGACATGCTATGTCTCTCACCAGATCCCTTCCTGGAGGTCGGGCTTCTGTAACATGGCTCTGCCCCCAAAATAAAATTTTCACCACGAGTCAGGGATCGGCAAACATTTTCTGTAAAGAGCCAGAAAGTAGATATTTTAAGTCATAAGGTCCCTGTTAACAACTACTTGACTCTGCCATTGTAGCACAAAGGCAGCCACAGACAAAACAAGCAAGTAGTCATGTCTGTGTTCCAATAAGACTTTATTTACAAAAACAGCAGGCACAGACAAGATTTGGCCCACAGGCATAGATTCCCAACTCATGGTGGTGAAGTACAGAAAAAAACACCTGTCTACAAGCTTTTGTAAGAAATCAGGCTAAATGTTACCTATGTTTTGGTTGGAAGATTTCTTTGGTTTGAGGAATGCTTTCCTCTTGCATTGGCATGCCAAGAGGATAGATGACTCTGAAAGACGCCTCTTCAGACATACCTGTCATCACACAAGATCAACTTCTTCAGTTTAAATGACACAAATCCATATTGTGGAAGGAAAATATGTAGTGCCTTAGCTTCACTAATAGTTGTAAAACTTCTTTTTAAGACATCAAAGGCTAGAGGATTCATTTTATGCAGTGCGAACATCTAATAACACTCTCTGTGTCAAATATATATTGTACATTACCTTAAACTATTGTAATAGCTAGGTAAAAATCCTTGTATAAAAGAATGTTTTCCCCCACACAAAGGGCAGAGTATTGAGCACTAATTTCCTATTAAAAGTATATATATGTATCTGTGGGTCACTGGTGTCCAGACTTGTATTTGCATTTGTGTTTACTTGAGGAACTTGAACACTAACAACTGGTAAAATCCCATTGTAATTCTTACAGCATTTTGACTTTATTTTCCTGCAGTGAATTGTGTTGTGTAAAGATTAGGGCTTTAAAATCTTATTAGCAAGCTTTGTTTTGTTTTAATTATTGTTGCTGTTGTAACTAGATTTAATTTATTTTTAGTTGGAGGTTTGACCTAAGTCTGGACCAATTGATTGCTTTTCAATACAACTTTGCAAAGAACTTCCTTTTTCCACAGGTGGCTTTGTTCGATTAAAGTCTACACTAATAAAAATAGCTGAACTTGTTAAACTTTTTAGCCCCATATAACAGTGCAGGGAAAGAGTCATCCACCTATTGTTATTCATAAAACCCAGGAAACTACACCCTCTTACCTTCTGTAGCTACAAGGCTAGCTGCTGGTTAGCTGCTTAAGATTAGAATGTCATCATCTCTGGATGGCTGCCAACTTCTCAAATGCTGAGAAAAATGCTCTGAAAATAAAAAGCAACAACTATTTATTGAACACTTTATATATGTCAGAGGTGGGGATGGATGGGGGTGAGGATGTAGAAAATCTCATTCATCTCAGCGATACTATAAAGTGGGTAATGTCATCATTTTGCAGATGAGGAAACAAGAGTTACTGACTTGTCAAGTTCATGGAGCTGAGGAGTGAGGAATCAGGGTCTGTGGGGACCCAGATCAGTCTGATCCAGGATGTTTCACACACCATGTTTTTCTCTACCCCCAGGCTGACTTCCTTTTAAATTCTTTGCTGTTATTGTTGAGATGGGGTTTTGCTCTGTCACCCAGGCTGGAGTTCAGTGCCGCGATCACGGCTTACTGCAGCTTTGACTTTCCAGGCTCAAGTGATTCCCCCAGCTCAGCCTCCCAAATAGGTGACACCACAGGTGTGTGCCATGCCCAGTTAATTATTTATTATATTTTTGTAGAAGGGGGGTCTTGCCACGTCGCCAGGCTGGTCTCAAACTCCTTGACTCAAGCGCTCCTCCCTCTTCGGCCTCCGAAACTGCTGGCATTACTATAGGCCTAAGCCCGGTCCTTTTATTTATCTATTTATTTTTAAATTTTATGTATTTATTTATTTTTTGAGACGGAGTCTCGCTCTGTCGTCAGGCTGGAGTGCAGTGGCGCGATCTCAGCTCATTGCAACCTCAAGGGTTCAAGCAATTCTCCTGCCTCAGCCTCCCGAGTAGCTGGGACTATAGGCGCGCTCCACCATGCTTAGCTAATTTTTGTGGTTTTAGTAGAGATGGGGTTTCACCAAGTTGGCTAGGATGGTCTCGATCTCTTGACCTTGTGATCTGCCCACCTCGGCCTCCCAAAGTGCTGGGATTACAGGCGTGAGCCACTGTGCCCAGCCGAGCCCAGTCCTTTTAAATTCTTGTGCGCTTCTCTGTCACACTTTCCTTTCACCCCCAGTTATCTCTGGCCCCTCATCGCCTTCCTGGTCTCACTGCCAGACAAAATACCTTTTTGTCATGCCTTTCCCCTAACCCAGTCTAAATATCACAGTGGGCCATTTCATTCTCTTCCACTCTCCTCTCATTCTCCGAAGATGCCCAAATCTCTAATATTATTTTGAAAAATATTGAGGCTAACCAGGATGAATGCATTTAAATCCTATCACCACCACTGCCCCCTCCTATCTCTAAATCTCTCCATCTTTAGCCTCCCATTTATTCACTGACTACATCATTCATTGTCTTATTTGATTCTTCAGTCACTACTTTCATCCTTTTATCTCAGGCTTTCAATAGCATCTCAACGTTTATCTCCGGGAACTTCCACCCTCCAGTACCCTCTCAGTCACAACGTCAATCTCTCCAGTTCCAAAGGCTCCTTTTCCCTCTAATCTCTTCTTCCCCCCACCCCATCCATCAATTTGCCCCATTTCTCTCGAACCATGTCAACTCCCTTCTCCTTTCCCCTGGCTAAACCCTTTCACTCTTCCTTTACCTAGTCTATCACAAAATCTAAACTCCTCAGCCTGGAATTCAAGGTTTCCCACCCATCACAGACATATCCCATCATATTGCCACAGCCTACGTATTCAGCTATATGTTCTACTAACTTCTTCGGTTGCCTCATGTACCCATTAAACTGAGCTATGGTCATTTTATCTTAACCCATTTCCCCCTCCTCTATACACTTACCTATAACACCCTATCCACCTGGAATGTTAATTCTCCTAACCACAAGACTTGTATATTCTATCTACTTATTAAGAGACAGGTCAAATTCCACCCCCTCTAGGACAGCCTTCTCTCATTTCCCCTGCTGGAAACTCTTTCTTCTCTGAATTTCCGTAACCCTTGATTCACTTACTGGTTTCTACCCCATAATAGGAATGAACATGTTTGACACCCCTACCAATCTGGAAGCATTTTGAGAAAAGAACCATGTTTTACACAACTTTATAAGACCCAAAGAATTTAACAGCATCTAACGTGGTTGGTATTTAATGTGATAAATGAATTTTTAAAAATCAAAGGAACACTTGTCAAAGAGCAAATTTAGTATTTAACTATAAAATTTCCCCATAAATTTAGTTCAAATATTAATAAATGATTGTATTCTGAAATATGTAATTATAATAGTTATCTAATATGTGAAGTTACAAAGTTGTTCCATGAATGAAGGCTGGATGGAAACTATTTTTCTCATACCAGTCTTTTAGCAATTAGACATGAATTTCCACACAGTTCTTAAGAAGCTCTTCAAATATTTTTCCAACTTTCAAATTTTAAAATTTAATTTTTCATCTTTTGTTTTCTCTTTTTGGAACACTTTTAGTGTTAACAGTTGGTTAAGAAATTCAAGGTAAACTAAAAGCTTTCATTTGTGATACTTTCAATATTTGTTTACTTTTCAATATATGCTAAGTTTTTACTTGACCAGGTTTGAAAAAATGTACTAATTAAGACAAACTGGAGTGTAAAATGTCTTTTTACTTTCCACCAAGAAAATGCTCTCAAAACAAGTTAAGTGTGTGTCAACAAAGGACCTGTTTACCTTCTTTGAGATTGAAAGCAGGCTGTTTCAAAGCTCCATTTCATGATCCTTTATTTTCAACTTCAAGTGTGCTATTTATAAAGTTTCTTAAAGATGGTATAAAAATAGAGATTTACCAAGAGCTATAGTTGGAGTCCTAAAGTTGCTTATGGTTTTTTTTTTTTTTTTTGAAATGCAGTCTCGCTCTGTCACCCAGGCTGGAGTGCCGTGGCGCAAACTTGGTTCACTGCAGCCTCCTGGGTTCACGTAAGTCTCGTGCCTCAGCCTCCTGAGTAGCTAGGATTACCGGCACCGGCCAACATGCCTGGCTAATTTTTGTATTTTTAGTAGAGACAGGGTTTCACCATGTTGGCCAGGCTGATCTTGAACTCCTGACCTCAGTGATCTGCCTACCTCGGCCTCCCAAAGTGCTGGGATTACAGGTGTGAGCCACTGCGCCCAGCCAACTTCTTAATTTCTCATTCTCAAACTTTCTTTCCAAATATTTACTATGGAATTTAACTACTGCTGAATTGAAGTTACTGTAGGTTAAGAAACATTTTCTTTCTAAATTTTAGGATAATATATACCAAAGAGAATGAATAAAAGTTTTACAAAGACGCTATGTTCATATAACAGGATGTTAATTGGGACTTTCTCTGTTGCCTAAAGACTAGAAACAAGTATCTCACTTTCTAGGGAAAATGAAGGCTGGACGCAGTGGCTCACACCTGTAATCCCAGCACTTTGGGAGGCTGAGGTGGGAGGATCATTGGAATCTAGAAGTTCGAGAACAGCATGGGTGACGTAGTGAGACTGTCTCAAAAAACTGAAAAACTAGCTGGGTGTGGTGACATGCACCTGTAGTCCCAGCTACTCGGGAGGCTGAGACAGGAGGATCACTTGAGCCCAGAAGGTTGAGGCTGCAGTGAGCTGTGATCACACCACTGCAACTCTAGCCTGGGCAAAAGAGTGACACCTTGTTTCAAGAAAAGAAAAGAAAAAAAAAAAGAAAAGAAAAAATACATTGGGTATAAATACCCCTTCACTGTTGATGAAGAGACAGCCACCCTGAAATAATTACTCCAGTCCACCACTACTCTTTACCCTTCACCTCATCACACAGTCCATATAAGCTGAAGTGTGTATGGATGGATTTGGGATGGGAAGGAACGAGGGGATGGAAAGAGACAGAGAATGAGTTTGCCAAAGTCATAAGGAGTACTATTCCCCCAGGTCACCCCCAAAGGAAGTAAAGAGAATATTTAAGACATCACTTGCAAAAACTGAAGGCACCTGCCAAGGAAATAGGAGCTATTTGAGCCAGTGGAAAGGGAGCTGGAAAAAAATATCAAGAAGAGGGGGAGGGCCAGGCGTGGTAGTGCATGCCTGTAGCCTGTAGCCACTCTGGAGGCTGAACTGGGGGGATTGCTTAAGCCCAGGAGTTCAAGGCTGCAGTGAGCTATGATCAAGCCACTGCCTGGGCAACAGAACAAAAGCCCATCTCTTAAAAAAAAGGAGAGCGAAAAAAATTTGCCAGGCATGGTGGCGGGTGCCTGTAGTCCCAGCTACTCGGGAGGCTGAGGCAGGAGAATGGCGTGAACCCGGGTGGTGGAGCTTGCAGTGAGCCGAGATCGCGCCACTGCACTCCAGCCTGGGCAACAGAGCAAGACTCCATCTCAAAAAAAAAAAAAAAGAGCAAAGTAGGGGAGGATGGTGAAATATACCTGTTTTCCCAAGATTTCTTAGGTCAAGGACATGAGTGTCCCGTGGATCCAGTAGGCACCATTGGAAGTAGTTGGCGTTCAGCCTTCTTGCCAGTGTCTCACCAGACCAAACATTGGAAACAGTGTGTACTTACCATTCCAGTGGGAGCTAAGGGGTGTTTGGAAGGGAGTTGGCATGAACCTGCCATTTAAGGGAATGGAATCTGTACAACTGGGAAGACCTCAGCCACAGGGCCCCGCAAGAACTCATACATGCACCTTACTAGAGAGCTAGCATTTGGAAGGCTGCTACACCAGGAGCAGCAACAATCAGAGAAATAGTAAAAAACAAACAAAAAAGCCTACACTAAATGTTAAATAAGTAAAAATTGCCTAGCCTTCCTGGGTTACTATTAAAGGTAGTGCTATGTAAGTAACAGACACATGTCCCTTTCTAGTTCCCCTTACCTCTCCTCAACTCAAATTTCCTCTTCGTATAAGGACACCAGTCAGATAGGATTAAGACCTACCCTAAAGGTCTCATTTTAACTTAAAGTCCCTGTCTCCAAAGTCACATTATGAGGTATTGGAGGTTGGGCTTCAATTCAATCAAAGTATGAATTTTGGGGAAACACAATTCTTCATAACACCAGGCAAGGGGTAAAATAGCCATTTTAAATAACCACAAGGCTGAGATCATTTGTCATAATCACATAAGGTGGTTCTGAATGGTTAAGTGCAGGACAAGGAGTGACCTGGCAGGCTGAAGTGCTGCACAAAGGCCAGCATTTGCAGGGTTGGAGCAGCCTAGCCAAAAAGAGGAAGGGGCTCTGAGGAAGACGAAGCCTTGGTTAAGATCTGTGACTCACAGCACCACGAGAGGTTCAGTTGGAAAACAGGGAGTGCTTGCCTGACCAAAATTTAAATGTAAATGCACAGCCCTGTAATATAGGGCACGAGAATAGGATGCTTCTTACAGTCAAACAGAACCCTGTTTCAATAATGAACAAAGAGACTGGGACATGCAAGCAATTCCACAGTTGTGAGACAAGTAAAAAATGTGTTATGAGATAACTGTGTTAGCTGATAAAAGGTAAAATTCAACTAAACTTTGAATGAAGAAGGAGGTAAAGAGACAGGGAGAGGAAGCATATGCAGAAAAGGTCAGTTTGTTCTCTACTGACTGGCAGTTCCAGCTGACACAAGATGGCTTTGCAGCCACAGGTAGGTGGAGGAGAGCTGTTTCAGGGGAGGTTAAAGGAAGACCCTGGGACAACTAGACTTCCTCGATTACCTTTAGATAGTGCCATAATTAGACACCCGATTCTCTGTTCCAAAGCCTGCAATTATTTAAATAAAAGTAGTTCAACTGTTCTGTCACTGCTTAGCCACATTTGAAGAAAAGTGGGCTGTTTCTTCCTACTGTACTGCCCTCCCCAATTCCGTCTCTACACATCGTATTAATCATATCTATGTCATTAGGAAATATTTGTAGATCTTTCAAAAAGGTATTCCCTAGCAGGTTTTGCCTTCAGCTACAGTATGCCATAATAAAAATCTATTCCCTTTGGCCCAGGCGCAGTGGCTCAAGCCCGTAATCCCAACACTTTGGGAGGCCGAGGTGGGTGGATCACCTGAGGTCAGGAGTTTGAGACTAGCCTGGCCAACATGGTGAAACCCTGTCTCTACTAAAAATACAAAAATTAGCCGGGCATGGTGGCGCACACCTGTAATCCCAGCTACCCAGGAGGCTGAGGCAGGAGAATTGCTTGAACCTGGGCAACAGAGCGAGACTCCATCTCCAAAAAAAAAAAAAGAACACTGTTGGCTTCACACTTTTACACTTTTAAAGAAAATCTTAAAAATCTATTAAAGACCTATATTTATTAACACATATCAGAGATATTGTCAAATACTAAAAAGACATGGCTGCTTTTCCTTTAAAATTTACTTTTTTTAAGCCTGATTTTGACCATTAAAATATTTTTTAAAATAACTTCCTTGAGAGACAGTTATAGTCACTAAAATTTTGACCATGTCTGATATGCCACTTATCTAGAATGTATCTGCTGGAACTCTTCTTATTAGGACAAAACAACACCATAAAGTTTACTCTTTTAAAGTAAGTTCCTTTATAGAACCCCCGTCATCCCTACCTTTCCCTCATCAATCTGAACAGAACTGTAACAGACTCTGTGATCTGCAAGCAAAGATGAGGGACCTGGGTTACTGGGAGAAAATTATTTAACATTTGAGGAGATCAAAGTTAAACACAATAGATGTTCCAAGACATATAAAAAATTACACTCAGATTTCTGAGAAAGCTATGACCAAGAATTTATAAACCATTTCTTCATGTTCTAAAGGAAGGGTAACATCCCTCCACAACAAGCAGGGTTATGTGCAAGTTGTGTCCAGTTCATCCAAGGTCTCCATCTGCTTTATTATAACCAAATGAAAGGATCTAAAAACAACTCTAACACACAGAACTCAATTCATCAAGAACACACTCAACATCACCAAATAATTTATTTGGACTCAGAATTAAAAGAACATTTGACAGTTATGAAATGCATGTTTATTCTGAAACTTCTAACTAGTTGTACAACTAATCCGTGACAAATTACCAGATTAATTTTACTTTATTTCTTCAGGCCTGGGGTTTTTCGATGACTTCAAATTTGGGATCTAAGAAGAGGGGGAAAAAAGGGTCAAGCTTAGCCAAATTGCAATAAAATGGATTATGTAGAATGCTCAAGATTTAACTCATCAATTTTCTGATTTTTTTAGTAAACACTGTTTGTAAACATTTACATAGAAATATAGCTAAACATTTATGCAACACTTTCTATGAGCCATGCATTCCATTAATTGACTTTGCATATATTATGTCATTTAACTACATATGCAGAAGATACTATAATTCTCCCCAAATGTCAGATGAGGAGACATGCACCAGTTAATTACTCAAGATTACACAGCTGAAAGTGATTATAAGGATTCAAGATTGGGCAGTTCGATTTCAGATCCCCACCATTTAATCACTATGTTATGTGATCTCCTATACTGCTCTTATTCTAACAGCAAACATTTAGCCGGCAGCTTCTCAGGCACACGTCATGGTCCTAATAAATTCACATGTCAACACTGTCATTCAGTTCTCTAAAAATCCAGGTAAGTGTAAATATTCTTCACTTATCCCCCACAAGAATGAATCTGTGATTTATAAGACGTACCTTCAAATTTGAAGGTGGGAAATGTATTCATGTCTGCATTACCAAACATTTGCTTGAGCTTAAAAAGCTCCCTCTCCAGCTCTTGCTGATACTCTGAACTAGCATCAACAGGTCCTCCAGATGTCCTGTTAAGTAAATGAGCAAACAAAAATTAATTTTGTGTACTAGCTTACAAAAACAAAATTACTTTTCACCACCACATTCCAACAGATCTTTTTTTTTTTTTCTTTTTTGAGACGGAGTCTTGCTTGGTCGCCAGGCTGGAGTGCGGTAGCATGATCTTGGCTCTCTGCAACCTCCGACTCCCTGGTTCAAGCGATTCTCCTGTCTCAGCCTCCCAAGTAACTGGGATTACAGGCACACGCCACCATGCCCAGCTAATTTTTGTATTTTTAGTAGAGAGGGGGTTTCACCATGTTAACCAGGATGGTCTCGATCTCCTGACCTCATGATCCGCCCGCCTCGGCCTCCCATAAGTGCTCGGATTACAGGCGTGAGCCACCACACCCGGCCAATAGACCTTTTTAAAGCATTCATGTAGTCAAAGAAAAGACTTCAGAAAGAAAATAAGTATTTCTACTTCAATTTCAATTCAAACTATTTTATTACGATGAGGTTTCACATAAATGAGGTATCCTCAAACCAATCTCTAACATTCAAGGTTTCTCAGAATCACGGACACTCACTAAGTCAGAATTTCTCAGGGTCTAAGTTGCAAAAGGTGTATCGTTAAGTCTACAGGCTCTGGAGTCAAAGACTGGTCCTGTTTGAGTGTAAGTTCAACTATTCAGCAACTGCGTAAACCTGAGTAAGGCACAGAGCACTCTAAATTTTAGTTTCCACAACTAAATATGAAGGTTCTACCAAACGAGGGTGTAAATGCACACGTACCTCTAAGCACAGTGCCTGGCACACAGTGAGTACTCAATTATTATCTACTAATATCATCTGCTTTAAGTCAGCCATCACTAAATGGCTTTTAAAGACCTTAGACTTTTAAGTTTCTACCATAGGGGTCCTATTAAAGAAGCAAATTATTTCCTACCCTCAGAGATTTTGCAATTTCGAAGAAAAAAATTACATGTTTACAAACATTTATGCTGTAAAGGAGTGATGTGATGAGCTTCAAAGACATGATTTAACAAAAAGCTATTCAAGTTGAGGAAGAGATTACTTTTGCTAAGCTAATCAGGGAAAATTTCATTTTAAAAAGGTGGCATTTGAGAAACATCAGGCATCTGGGGCCAGGGTTTATTTTGAGACCTTCTAAGATGGAAAAAGCAAAGACATAGAGGTGGTAAGGGATTGGCTGTATGTGGGGAATGCTAAGGAGTCTAGATGGAAAAACCAGCAGACCCCAGATCATGGGAGGCCCGGAATGTTAAGCCTGGGAGTTTGTATTTTATTTGCCAAGCAATAAAATGACAAAATTAGACTTGTGCATTTTGGGAAAATAAATATAGCATTATGGACCAGCAGCAGGGCCAACTGGGTCTCATTAATTCTTTGAAGAAATTCTTCTGTTTTTGTCATAAATACTACTGCCTACCTAGCAATGAACAATATTCTAAATGTAAAAAAATGTACACATGAAAATTCCTTCAAGGGTAATAACATTTTTACACATGCCTATGATCAAAGTATACAGTCTTATTTAAGTTAAAGAACATGCACAAAAAATACATAGGTGGCTCCAATTTAAGAACTTGTTATCAATATTTCTTGTTAGAGACCCAATTTTCTTTTAGATTAGCACTGTCCAATAGACCTTTTTGTGATGTTAGAAACGCTCTCTGTCTGTGCTGTCCAGTGTGGCAGCCACTAGCCATATCTGGCTATTGAGCACTAGAAATATAGCTAACATGAATGAGAAAATGAGAAACTGAATTTATAAATACACTTAATTGTAATTAGAATTTGAATAGTCTCATGGATAACGGCAACCAAAATGGACACTGCGGTTCTAAATAGATCCTTCAACTAGATACTCTAATACTGGTTACAGATGGATGATGGCTATTTTAACTTTAATATGCACTCTTGTGATAAAAAGAGGCCAGAAATCATCTACCTCCTCAACTGAATGTAAGTCTTGCTGCTTATCTTGCTTATTACTATATTCCTAGGCTCTCACATGATGCCTAGGACAAAGCAGTCACTCAGAAGATACTTGTTCATTTCACTAGCAAATACTAGGCATGCTAATGTATTGAATAATTTAATTTTTATAATATCCTATGAAATGGGTAAGTACTACCATCATCCTCCTTTTACATATGAGAAAACTGTCCTACAGAAGTTAAACCTGCCCAAGGTCATAGAGCTAATTAGTGGCAGTGCTGGATGCCAGCCCAGGGTCTACCCTCAGAACTCTCCATGTGTTTGTTTGCACAAACGAATGAATGACCCACAAACAAGACTCCTTAGATATAGGGTACACCTAAGAATTCACTTCTTACTAGATAGGCTTTTAAAGACAGTTAAAATGATGCAAACAGCATCAATACTCTAATATAACACCACATTTGGACAGAAGACACTCAAAATTCCCTGACGAGTCCTGCACATCTGGTTACTTAACAGTATGATTTTTGGCAAATTCTAACTTTCAGCCTTGGTTTTCTCATATATAAAATTGGGGTAACATCTATAGGGTTGTTGTCAGAGTTTCATTACCATGTCTACAAAGCACAGAGTAACTTACTACATTTTAATCCCTTCACTATTTCTCCTCCTCAGTTTTGGCAATGGTAACACCTTTGTTAGTTACCTCGCCTCAAAAGTCAGTTTTCTTTTATTGTTCCCTCTTCTTCCTCTCCAGCAGCTCACCAAAACCAGGCATCAGTGTTTCAATGTCTTGACTCTGTCACTTTTACATTACCACTGCTATAAAGTCAAGGTTCTCATCAACTAATGCTTAGGTTACATTTTGCTAACATGTCTGTCTTTGCTCTCTTCTCATTTCAATCCTTCCAATACCCTGGTTAAAATTATCCTCCTAATTCAGAGTAATCTTCCATCCCCACAGTCATGTTCAAAAAGCTGTAATTTCTCACAAATGCCTACCACATATCTTACTTGCTCAGTCTACAATCAAGGCCTTCCATAATCCCTCATTCTAACCCCATACCATCCTTATACTCTTCATATACCCTATACTCCAGGGAAATAGAATTATACCATTCACCAAATATATTTTGTGCTTTCTAGCACAAACTAAGGCATTTTCATGCCTTAGTTCACACCATTCTTTCCTCCTAAAAGATACTCTCCTCTTACCCTCATTTATCTGTCCAACCTTCATACACTGATCTTTAAAACCTAGAGTAAACCCCTGGGTGTACAGGTCTACTGAAGGCCTCCTGTGGGTTTGAGAACTGTTTCATGCTATAAGGAAAATGATGTGAGTAAATTCTTCACGTTTTTTTCTTTAAACTGGGAAGATGATCCACAGTTGTCCATGAGATTCTCAAGAGGGATGAGTACCCAAACACTGCCTTCCAAGAAGCCTCTAAAATGCCTCTAGCTGGAAAGGAGTATTCTTTCCTATGAACTCCCCAAGCACCCAGCGTTTCCCTACCTTAGCACCTAACTCATTTTACCTTATATTGTATTTATTTGCTTAGAAGCTTTCTACTCCTATCGGACTTTAAGAATATTGTAAAAATGCCCTGTGGCCCATCACGGTTAATAGCCAAGTGCTTTACACACAGTAGACAACTATATGAAAGAAAATGGAACTATGAATTGGTGCGCCTCACTGTTCCTAAGATTTGGGTTTGGACCTGATGACAGCTAAGGTGGTCATTCCTTTCCAAAACTATGGTTCTACAATTGTTTTTCTTGGACTTACATTATGTCATTTCAGAGTCTTTTGTCCTTTAATATACATTCTCAGAGATCTGTAACTATGGAAATAGCCTTTTAAAAAAAAGAGCTGTGTTTATACATTTCCCCCAAATTACAATGTCACAGAAAGGCCACTAAATTGAGGCTAAAATATACTTTGATAATATATTTTTCCCCAATTAGTTTTATGATCTTCGGCTAATCAATGTCTAAGGGAGTTACTTTTTTCAAACTTAGCTGCTAAATGATTTCCAAGACCCTATGTATTTCTATAAATTGATGTGGTTTATAATACATGACATGACAGTAAGAATGTATTTTAAACAGCAATAAATTTAGTAGGATTTTCCCTTGTAACTCATATAAAGATACAGTTTCTGACTTAAAAAAATCAAGATCCTTATCTTCTTTTTTGAGGGCACCTAATGAACCTCTATGTCAGAGATGAGCTCAGTGAAGGTCTAATACTTTCAAATACCAAGTCATTTTTATTACCACCTTGAAACTTACATACTTTGAATATTTATATTTACACTGTAGTTATTTATTCACTTACTGTCGCTTAGATTTGTATTCTCTAATCTTGTCCACAAAGAGTTTCTGTATAGGATCAAGTTCCTTATTAAATGCCACTGCTGTAACACCAATGTTCCTCCGCAAATGGACTGAGACGGCTGACCGAATGACAGAGGAGAACCTGAAGAGCCTCTGAAGAATCATGCTGATTCTGTTACAGAAAACAAGCAGCAGAAACGTTAATATACTTATTATAAATCACCTCTAAATATATCATGAGAATCAAATTCTACTAATTGCTACAGAATTACATCATATCAGATCTCAGTCTATACCTGACCACAGTTCCCTTCTCCTCCTTATTCCCCATTGCAAGTTTTTTAGGTCTTAACCAAAAGGCTCTGGGATAATGGAACAGTTAGAAACTCAGGCCTGAAGCTTCATCAGGGTTAGAGCACAAAATGTGAGGTGAGGTATTTCTTCCCCCTTGAACTTAGTCATGGATCAGAGAAAACAGTAGAGGTAGACTGTTGCAACACTGTCCGCTCCTAACAGGAAAAGTACACTGGCCCCCAAACTAATGTACAAGGTTTCCCATACCTCAGCCGGGCATGACAACCTGAAAATGTGTACTTCACAGGCCCACAGAGGGAGAAACTGCTCTGCCTGTTACAAATGGATTCCAGCCATTTAAGAATACTGTAACAACTAAATCAAAGTCCAGAAGAACCAGCAAAGAAAAACAGCAGCCAGTCCAAATGAGCTGTGCATGACAGTGGGGAGGATCCGGCAGTCCAACTTTATCAGTGAAATAAATTGGTGAAGGAGATGGAAGTCTGAATTTTAAAAATAAGGACTTATGGCCAGGTGCAGTGGTTCACGCCTGTAATCCCAGCACTTTGGGAGGCTGAGGCTGGTGGATCACCTGAGGTTGGGAATTTGAGACCAGCCTGACCAACAAAAAGAAACCCTGTCTCTATTAAAAATACAAAAATTAGCTGGGCGTGGTGGCGCATGCCTGTAATCCCAGCTACTCAGGAGGCTGAGGCAGGAGAATTGCTTGAACCCAGGAGGCAGAGGATGCAGTGAGCCGAGATTGTGCCATTGCACTCCAGCCTGGGCAACAAGAGCAAGACTCCGTCTCACAAAAAAAAAAAAAAAAAAAAAAAAAAAAAAAAAAAAAAAGACTTAAAGACTTTCAAATCCCTAGACTTCCTTAAGCTAAAATATATTACTTTCTAACTAAAACATTTCAGTAGAGGACAATTCCTGTTGAGATTTACTTTAGTGATTTAAAGATCAAATGCAAAAAATAATCCAAATTACAACAAATAGGTACAAACAGGAATTCTAGAAGAAAAGGAATAAAGAGGGCCAGGCACGGTGGCTCATGTGTGTAATCCCAGCACTTCAGCCCGAGGCAGGTGGATCACTTGAGGTCAGAGGTTCGAGACCAGCCTGCCCAAAATGGTGAAACCCTGTCTCCACTAAACATACAAAAATAAGTCAGGCGTGCTAGCGCGTGCCTGTAATCCCAGTTATTTGGGAGGCTGAGGCAGGAGAATCACTTGAACTCAGGAGGCGGAGGCTGCAGTGAGCCCAGATCACACCACTGCACTCCAGCCTGGATGCAGGGCAAGACTCTGTCTCAAAAAGAAAAAAAAGGAAATGATTAAAAGAGACCATAAATAATTAGTAGAATACATTTTTCTCAGATTAAGGCCGAGTCTATAAACTGACAGGGCTTGCCAAACCCCATATTGGAACGGTGACAAAAGGCTCACAATGCACCACAGCCTGGTACAATTTCTCAATCTTTTTTTTTTTCAGACAGGGTCTCACTCTGTTGCCCAGAATGAACACGGCTCACTACAGCCTCAGCCTCCTGGACTCATGCAATCCTCCCACCTTAGCCTCCCAAGTAGATGGGAGCACAGTTGTGTGCCATCACACCAGGCTAATTTTTACTTTTTTTTTTTTTTTGTAGAGACGAGGTCTTGCCATATTGCCCTGGCTGGTAAAATTTCTGAATCTTCAAGTGAAAATCTGATATGCTAACATGTTTCCCATGCCCTCCCCAAATTTCCTAATAGCAATACTGTCATCATCACATTGACACCGGACTTCTACTAAGTTATAATAGGACTAGTGGAAGTATACAAACTATGTTATTGGTCTAAAGTAATATAGAAATTAGATATAAGTATTTAGAGGCCAGGCGAGGTGGCTCATGCCTGTAATCCCAGCACTTTGGGAGGCCGAGGAGGGAGGATTGTTTGAACTCAGGAGTTCAAGACCAGCCTGGGAAACATGGAGAGAACCTGTCTCTAAAAAATTAGAGCTTGTATTTTAAGTGACTTCATTGTTTTGTTTTTTAAATTTCATTTCTTTTGTAATTCATTTTCACTGTATTCAAAAGTGTCCACAGGAGTGGGTGTGAGAATGGCCCTTTACCACTCAGAGTTTGAGCAGCACTAGCTAGAAAACTGTAGAGTCGCACAATAGTTCTCAAAATAGGGTTGGGGGTGGGGGAAGAAGTGAGTTTTTTTCTCTCCAAGGAGACATCTGGCAATGTCTTTAGACATTTTTGGTTGTTCTCACCAAGCTGAGTGCTACTGGCTTATAATGAGTACAAAGCCAGGAATGCTGCCAAACACTATAACGACAATAACAGCCCTCCCACCCCTAAGAATTATCTGGTCAAAATGTCAATAATGCCAAGGTTGACAAACTCTGGAATGGCATGTAAAAATTATCAAAAGAAATCTACAATGAGCCAGGTGCAGCGGATCATGCCTGTAATCCCAGCACTTTGGAAGAACAAGGCAGGAGGATCACTTAAGCCCAGGAATTCAAGACCAGCCTGGGCAACACAGTATGACCCCATCTCTACAGAAAAAAAAAAAATAGCCAAGTGCGGTGGTGGGTGCCTGTAGTCCCAGGTACTTGGGAGGCTGAGGCTGGAGGATCACTTGAGCTTGGGAGGTAGAAGCTGCAGTGAGCTGTGATTGCACCACTGCATTCCAGCCTGTGTTACAGAGTGAAACCCTGTCTCAAAAAAAAAAAAAAAGAAAGAAAGAAATCCTACAATCAGGCCGGGCGTGATGGCTCACGCCTGTAATCCCAGCACTTTGTTGTAATCCCAGCACTTTGGGAGGCCAAGGTGGGTGGATCACCTGAGGTAGGGATTCAAGATCAGCCTGACCAACATGGAGAAACCCCGTCTCTACCAAAAATACAAAATTAGCCGGGAGTGGTGGCACATGCCTGTAATCCCAGCTACTCAGGAGGCTGAGGCAGGAGATTCCTTGAACCCAGGAGGCGGAGGTTGCGGTGAGCCGAGATCGCGCCACTGCACTCCTCCACCCTGGGCAACAAGAGTGAAACTCTGTCTCAAAAAAAAAAAAAAAAAAAAAAAAAAAGAAATCCTACTATCAATGCAATCAACAAAATATGCTTCACCTGACAGAATGAAAGCAAACTGTTTGAAGAAATTAAAGAATTCATAACATATCACTTTTATACCCCATCAGGGAAAAATACTTGAGAAAAGGCTACAAGCAAACAACAAATGACCTCACAAGGTCATGTGCCACTTATTATCATTCCTATGTTTAAACACACAGAAACTGAGGATTAGAAGTATCTGGTCAAAGTGGTCGGGCGCGGTGGCTCACGCTTGTAATCCCAGCACTTTGGGAGGCCGAGGCGGGCAGATCACGAGGTCAGGAGATCGAGACCATCCTGGCTAACACGGTGAAACCCGGTCTCTACTGAAAAATACAAAAAATTAGCCAGGCGTGGTGGCGGGCACCTGTAGTCCCAGCTACTCCGGAGGCTGAGGCAGAAGGGCGTAAACCTGGAAAGTGGAGCTTGGAGTGAGCAGAGATCGTGCCACTGCAATCCAGCCTGGGCGACAGAGCGAGACTCTGTCTCAAAAAAAAAGTATCTGGTCAAAGTTACACAGCAAAATCTAACTTAACACATATATGCAAAAAAAAAAATTGTGCAATTCAATGCCACTTTCCCTTCTGGCAAACTAAGGACATGCTTAACATTCAGCAATAGGTTCACCCGACATTTGCTTAGCCCTAGATACTGTGCAAAGTACTTCCATATATATCCTTTCCTTGTACCCTTACAGCAATACTCTCAAAGAGTTAAAGTGTTCTTATCCCTGCTTTACAGATGATAAAACTGTATCTAAGAAAGATTAAGCTGCACGTATTCTCACAGTTAATTTGCTCTAAGTCTGACTGCATAGATGTTACTCCTTCTGCAACACGGGTAAAATCCACTTTCATTGTTTCAATTATCCACCATGTAAGTGCCTATGATTCCCCAATCGCATTTCTAATTTTAGTATTCATCCTGAGCCCCAAATCTATCCACAGCATTCAACAGTTCTCATCTCCCTTATAAGTCCTACGAACTCATCCAAAAAACGAACACATAATCCCATATCAAAACTTGTTCCTTCTCCTTTAATCCCTTTCATTTTTTTTCACTGATTAGTGAATGCATATTGTCCACTAAAACGCAGAAGATAGTCATTACACAAATAGCTGTGAAATACCACCTGACATAAATTCTCTATTCCAGTACCATCGGGTGCCACGAGAGCATATGATAGCGTCTGACATGATCAGAAAGACTGGGGAAGGCAACAGTAAGAAAACACTAGTCTGAGCAGAGGCCTTGTTCTGGGTGGGAGCATGGTTCTATTTATAGTGATGACTGACCGGCCAAAGGTTAGTAGGTTCGCTGCCTCTTCAGTGCATATTCCTATGAACAATCCATAAAGTCGCCTAATGAAGTGTTAGCACCATCGTTTTTAGGTGGGATGCAAACTTTCAATATTATGACTAATTTTTTCCCTCTTAATGGTACACGTTCTGCCTAAGTAGCCTAGACGCTCCCGTGCGCCCGGGGCGGGTAGGCCTGGCCGAAAATCTCTCCCGCGCGCCTGACCTTGGGTTGCCCCAGCCAGGCTGCGGGCCCGAGACCCCCGGGCCTCCCTGCCCCCCGCGCCGCCCCGATTTGCCCTCAGAGAGGGTATCGATCTTATTTCTGGGTCTACGGCAAACTCCAAGGTCTACAAACGTAGAGGTCAGCTGTGACCCCGGGCCAGGCCGTGAAGGTCCCCAGGACACAGAGCTGCTCTCTCCTCCTAGTAAAGGTGAGAGGCAGCCCAGGCCTCGTGAAAAAACCCAGAACTGGAGTCCCAAAAGGCCACGCTGATCTAGCTACCCTCCCAGTCACCTTGCACTCAGTCCCGAGCTGCCAAAGCCTCCGCCGCCACCACCTCCGCTCTACTTCCGGCCCTGGCTCCGCCCCCACACGCCTACCCGCCATCGCAATGCATTATGGGCCGCCGTTTCAGTCGGTCGACGCTCACCGGACAGGAAGCGTCTCGGAGACAGTCTGCGACCGGACGGGTCTAGGTGAGACAGAAGCCAAACAGGAGGAGGAAGTGGAGGGTAAGTGCTTCCGGGTCCCCTGGCACAGCCTCCGCCATCTTTTCTTCGCCTAATTTGACCCGTTCTTTTTCCCCTCCTTGAAACCTTGCTCTGTACGCATGCGCTCTTTGAGTGGCCTTTCCCCTAGTTCAAGCTCCCCTCCGAGTCAGCGTCCTGTTCGTTAGGGTTATCGAAGTGTATAAAGGTGCAGGGAAAGTGAGACTGTGTAAAACAAAGCGGATTGGGGCGTTGTGCTTCCTTGTACCTCGTGAGCCTCCGTTGCCTTGGGCGGTCGTTTTGCGCACCCTGCCGGGAGTTGTAGTCCTGGACCCGAAGGTGCCTGGGAGGCGGGAGGGGGGTTGGGGCTTCTCAGCGCCGATTCCGCGGGAAGGGCCCTGGGACCTCACACTTCTAGTCGCGGGAGCTGCAGGTCTTACCCGGAGAGACGCTGCACGTGGAGCCCTCGCCGCTGCCGTTCTCAGCCGGCTCTGGAGTGCGGGCGGGGGCGACAGGGCCGATTCCGGAGTGGGTGAGTGCGGCCGCCGGGGAGGAGGGGAGCGCGGGCCCTCGCGGGCCGGCCTCGTTCCGGGGCCTTTTCCCCCACAAGGGCCCCCCCGCGGCCGCCTCTGTGTTTTGTTTCCGCTGGTCCCCGGCGCTGTGACTCCCATTTCCGTTCGTGGAGACTTGAGGGAGCCGGGTGGGGAGGGGCGGGAGAGCTGTGCGGGGAGCGAAGGGGAGGGGCGGGGGGCGAGCGGCCTGGAGCCCGGGGGGACCGGGCACCGCCGGGACCCGTGCCGGACGGGTCGCCTGTCGCCGCTCCCTCCTTTCCGCGTCCCCTCCTCGCCCGTCCGCACTCCTCAGCAGTCTCAGCCTGCTCAGCTGGGATGTGGTCCTGACGCCCCCGAGATTTTAAGAGCAAAATGCAGACCCTGTCTCATCGCGGGACTCAGCGATTCACTCATTTCAAATCCGCTCTCTTTATAGAACAACACACACCAGAATCATTTATCAGCGTATATGGTAGCCATCTGGGTTTGTTTTTTTGTTTTTAAGCAAGGAAGTAAACCAAGGAGATAACAATGGGTTGTCTACTTGGAAATTTTTTTGTGTACTAGAAGACACGCTGTATGTGCGTGTTTGGATTTAGGGACCCCAGTTTGATCAGGTTAGCGGACCGAGAGGACAATGCCTAATATTGCATTGCAAGATGATTAGAAATTTAGAAATAAAATTCATTTCATAAGTAGTTTCCACTAATAGCAGTAGGTCTGACTCGTGAGAAGAGCAAAGATTTAGCAGGATTCACTTGAGCGAATTGTAGAACGAGGCGGTGATAACATTCTTCGGTAGTGTTATCTTGAACTTCAGAAGAAACCGCTCAACTCTTTAGCAACTGCTTGAGGGACTAGCCTGTCTCTCAGGGTTCCATCCAGGCTTTCCAAGCTTCTTTATTTTTAGACATACAGTGACGCTGAGTGGACTTCAAGTCAATTTTACCTGAATTGTGTATACAAGAGCATCTGTCATGAGGCATGTATAGTAATGAAGTAATTAAATCATGAGCTAGATGTTAGGTTGAAGCAAATCATCAGACCGAGTACTAAATTAAAACTGTTGACTTTAGCCTTCCCTCAACTCTTTATATATAAAACTCCAAACCTACAGAAGAATTGGGGAAAAAATCATGCAGTGAACACGCAGATACCCTTCACCTGAGGGTCCCAACTGTTAATCTTTCACTGTATGTGCTTTCTCTTTTTATATTACATAGATATGTATGCTTTGCTTTTTCTTAACTGCTACCTTTATTTTTGAAAATAAAAATGTCTTTTAATTTCCTCAGACACAGAAAAGCATTTGATAACTTAGGAAAATGTGCAGTTAATCTCGCAGGTACCCCCACACTCCACTTATAATATATTGGGAACAAAATGTTCTAAGCTCTGTAATAATGCTCTCCAATGAAGGACAATTCTCAAATTTATCTGTAGTTTCAAAAGGGAATGTTACACCTATCTGTATTTTAAAAGACACTAGCCGTTCCCAGAATTTTTCGTTAAATTCAAGTTTAGTTTGTATCCCATCTTGTGAAACATTCCGAACCCCAGGTTGGATTTAATCCAGCAGAACCAGAGTGTCAAAGTATATGAAATTGTTCTGTGCAGTTCTGGCGGGGGCAGCCCTTAGACGGAGAAACTGCAAGTAATTTTCTCTCAGTTTTCCTAAGTATTGACATAGAAGCCTGAGGAATTGGTTTCAGAAAAAGAGATAAGACTCACTCAAAAACTGATATGAAAGATTTGGACTATTTCTCAAATCTCTGTTTTGCTTCTCTGGACTAAGCATAGAGAACCAGGAGAGAAAGAAAGATTTAAGAGACTGAGTAATATTTTTTGACAGATCATTTAAGAAACTGAGTAATTTTTTTTTTCTCCAAAAGGGCATGGGTTTTTGTTTTGTTTTGTTTTTTCTCTATTTGGCACTTTCTAGGGATTGGTCTATAAATTTTTTGAAAGATCATAGGATAAATTTCTTTGTAGCAACTTCCTATTTTAGTGTTTATGTTAGGGGAGCCCCAGGTGTCCCTGCTGATACGCCATTAGGGCCACTTCTCAGCCTCTGGCTACATCATAATGCTTTTTTTTCTATCTTGCCAAAGTTTCCAGAAAATTTATGTTTTCTAATTTTAAAAAAATTGGTTGTGGAGATGGGAGTGGACCTCTTTATAAGCCCTGAAAATAAGTGATTTTTTTTAAGTGCTATTCTGCTATAAACCTGATTCTCACTTTTTTCTGTAGACAACAGTTTTTTATAATATATCTATTTTGTGTGGACATTATTTCCTTTTAACCAATACTGAAATTCCATAGTGTATACTTTCTCCACATTTTCTTTGATTAATACTTTCTTAAAATAGACACTTGGATTGGCACCAGCTGTCACCAATAAAGCTGCCCTGAACATTGTCAATCAATCCTGTTAACCAATTTGAGAATTTTTCTGGAATGCTTAGTTAGGGATGAAATTGCTGGGTTATAGGTATGAGTATGCTTGATATACTTTTCTCCAGAATGTCTACACCTGTGTGTACACCACATCTCCAGAGATAGGGGAATCTTATGTCCCTGCTAACTGCTCTCGTTATTTAATTTTCTGACATTTGCCGCCGCCGCCGCCCCCTGCCCCCAACACACACATGGTATAAAGTGGTAGTTTCTTGTTTTAAATTGAACTTTTGAATGATTTGAATTTGGGCATTTCTTTGTATCCTGAGTTATTTTGGTTTCCCGTTATGTGAATATCCTTTTCCTATGCTTTAACTACTTTTCTAATTTGTCCCTTTTTTTGGTTATCAAATTCCAGGCCATTGTCTATTCCATCGTCACTTTTGGGTATTGGAAACATCTTTCCATTCTGTAGCCTGTCTGTTGAACATAAATCTTGATTTTTATGTAATCAGATTTTTCTCCTTACGGTTATGTTCTTGGAATTTTATTTAAGAAATCTTTTTCTATCCTGAGACCACAAAAATGTCCCCACCATTTTCTTCTGTTTCATAGTTTTGCCTTGTATGTTTAATCCTTTAAGGCATGTGTAGTTCATTTTATATGGTGTGAAATAGTTCTTATTCATTTATTCAACACATATTGGTGGAGTGCCTGCTGAAGGTAGTACTCTTCAGAGTACTTTGTATATATTTGTGAACACATATTCTTGCCCTGGAAGCTTATGTTGTCCTTCAAGGTAGATCCCTACTCGGTTTCCACCTGTTTTCTTCAGCCCTCAGGATGAATTCCACAATTTTACACATAGCACCAGTTAAGGAATAGGCTTTATTGGAGAAAAGGAAGGCTTATTAGACCAGCATCAGCAAGAAAAAAAAAAACCAAAAACAGAGGGTCTTCATTTCTTCATCATCCCCAAAAAAGCCTGCTGGAGCCTGCGCATTCTGCTAGATATGCACGTGAACAGAATCTGCGCAGTCGGCTAGATGTGCTTGTGAACGGAGCCTGCGCAGTCTGCTCCATATGCATGCGTCCATCCCAGTGGAGAACCTTACCCTTTTATTGTTCGTCCTTAAAGGGCAAGCCTGAGAGCAACCTTAATTACGTGGGAAAAATTAGATCATTTTGTATCAGGCAGTCTAGATTTGGGTGCCAGCTATTTGTCAGAAAACCAGCTACCCCATAGTTGGAGATATTGAGAACTTAGGAGAGTTATAGCCCTTTCTAAAGTGGGAAGGGAGACTCAGTTTCTTAATGCTAGTGTAACAAATTATGCAAATTTAGTGGCTTAAAAACACCACCTGTTTATTATCTTACAGTTTTGGAGTCAGAAATATGAAGTAGGTCTCTGGGCTAAAATGAGGTGTTGCCAGTGCTGTTTTTCTAGAGCCTTCGAGGGAGAATCCGTTCCTTGTCTAGCTTTCAGAAGCTACCTGCATTCCTTGGCTCAAAGCTCCTTTCCTCCATCTTCAAAGCCAGTCACAGCTAACCGGCAGATCTTCACATTGAATCACTCTGGCTCTCTCTTCCAATTTCCTCTTCTACTTTTAAGGACCTTCTACTTTTATTTATTTGTTTCAAGAGATAGGGTCTCGCTGTTGCCCAGGAGGGAGTGCAGTGGCACGATCATCATTGACTGCAGCCTCGACTCCTGGTCTCAAGCGATCTTCTCACTTCAGCCTCCCAAGTAGCTAGGACAACAGTTGCACACCACCATGCCTGGCTAATTTTAAAAATGTTTTTATAGGAGACAGGTTCTTTTTATGTTGCCCAGGCTGGTCTTGAACTCATGGGTTCAAACAGTCCTCTCTCCTCGATCTCCCAGAGTATTAGGATTACAGGCATGAGGCACCGTATCTGGCCCTAGCTGCGTTTTAAAAACGATCACACTCTGGCCGTTGTATTGACTGAGAATAGACTGTGAGGGGACAAGAGTGGACACAGGGACCCCCTTTAGGAGATTGTTGCAGTACTCCAGGTAAGGGGTGGTGGTGGCTGTTGTACTGATATACGCAATACAGAGCCTATATTTGGACAACCATGGTTCATCCCCATCTGGAATGATACCTACTTAGGTTGATACACCAAAACTGTGACATGGAGCCACAAGTGGTTTAGCCTCACCTCTGAATAGCGTTCGTATGAGATGGAGCTCAAAATAAGATTGCTCTATGCAAAGCATTTGAATGCAGTGCCTGATGCTCGGCGAGTAATGGTTAATACAAATGAACATTTAAATTCTTCATTTAGTGAAATCTTGTAAGTGGGAGCACAACTCTTTTGTAAATGTCGAAATACCAAATTTAGTGGAGCGTTCCTTTTAAAGGTACGCCTCTTTTTAGATGTGGTAGTACGCTTAGAATAACTACTCAGAAGGTGCTGTGGACTGAAAGTGCGTATGGAATTCAAAGACATTCATTGACCTACTGCGAGGTAGTTAATAACAGAACCTGGTACTTAACAGTATTAACACCTCAGACATGTCCACAAAGAAATATCTATGTATATTAGCTATTTGTGTATTCTTTAGCATTTTTAAAATTCTAATGTTTTTGTATCAGTGGTTTTAAGCAATAGATAAAAATTTTACATGGGATAATTAAAAACTGAAGTAGTGGTCTGTTTAAAATAAAACCACCTCTGAAAAAATCATTAAAAATTTTCTACTGTGTGTAATCAGGGAAATAATGTGCATATCTGTAATTTGTTACTTTGTTTTGCTGTTTTATAATATTCTTGCATTTATAAGAGACATCATTTGTACCAAATCCTAGCTGATTAATTTGCATATCATTGTATCAGTGTGATACTTTGCAGTAAATTCTGCTACTAAGGTACAACTTTCAGCTGAATAAACATAGTTCATCTCCATGTTAAGCTTCAGGTTTGAATCTGTTATTGAGACTGAGTTGCTTTAATATAGTTAACAGACCCTTAACTTAATTTTGAGGTAACTTGTTGATTGCAATTGGTCCCGAAAACATCTCAGTAAATCCAGTAGATTAATGAAGTTGTCATGTCAGGTTAATAAACACCAGTTTTTTAAAAAATTAGTTTATAAATGTCATTTGTGGATTTTCTTTATTTTATTTTTCAAACAGGGTCTCTTGTCGCCCATACTGGAGTGCAGTGGTGCGATCATGGCTCACTGCAGCCTCAGCCTCCTGGGCTCAGGTGATCCTCCCACCTCAGCCTCCGAAGTATTAATAGCTGGGACTACAGGCGCGTGCCACCACGCCCTGCTCATTTTTGTATTTTTAGTAGAGACAGGATTTCGCCAAGTTACCCAGGCTGATTTCAAACTCCTGGGCTCAAGCAATCTGCCTGCCTTGGCCTCCCAAAGTCCTGGGATTAGAGACATGAGCCACCACACCCAGCTGATTTTCTTCTATATGTAAAGACTACTTCCCCCTCTTCTGCTTGGCGTTTGCTTTTTATTTGGATTGGGTCTCTACTTCTTGTGTGTCATTTCGTTTATGTGGATAGTTTTAAAATATCTTAAAAAGTCACTCTTGCAGGACTGATCCTTTGAAATACTCCAGCCATGACTAAAAGAGAAGCAGAGGAGCTGATAGAAATTGAGATTGATGGAACAGAGAAAGCAGAGTGCACAGAAGAAAGGTTGGTGTTTCTGAATTTATCATTTTTTTTCAAAATATCAATATACCTAATTAAAACCAGGAAACAAGTCATAGTTCTTTTGGACTGTCTTTTTTTAACTGTTCTCAGTATTTTAGGGAATAATGTATTGTTTTATTTCCTCTGACTTAATGTGGTTGTAGCTGAGAGGGAAAGACAGTTTTAAACTAATGGTAGTAAAAGGGTAAATGAAATCAAAAGCAATTGCTTTCAATAGTTTTCTCCTTTGGGGCATTTGATTCTTTATTCTTTTCCTCAGCACTGGTTGCTTTAATTTCAGAAATAGTTTAATTCAACCTGAACTCATTTAACAAATATTTATGAGTAACTGTTGTAAACAACTAATTGACAAGAATATGTGAATAAATAAGATACTAATCTGCCCTTATAAAGGCCACGTTGTATTTGAGGAGACATACAGGTATATGAGTACTTACGGGACCAGTACTAAGCATAAAATGTAGTGAAAAGTGTTAATTCTTGGAATAATAGTGGAATCATACTTATTTGAAAGGAGGACAGTAGTAATGAGTTCAGAATCCAGGAGAGAACATGGGTAGAAATAGACTTTGGGAGTCAACAAGAAGACTGAGGAAAGTAGTAGTTAATGGTCCCTATTGTACTCCGTGAAGTAGGAGGTGAGATAATAAGCTGAAAGTAAAAGGGATTGAAAAGTACTAGAGATCTCTGTGGAGTAACAAAGGTTTAGAAGTTTCTGCAGTGGAACTGGACAAGATAATTAAGGTTAAGGAGGATACTGAGTATTGAGAGTACAGTTGAGATTTAAAATCTTAAATTTTTAATAGAGCTTTTCAACTTGTTTATCCCAGTTTTTCCAGCATAAGAAAGAGGGAATGCATGCTTCTGTGGAATTTCATGTATAGATATTTGTGTTAGAAATTACCCCAAAATTCAGAAACTAAAAATGCGTAACATTCAGCCAGATGCAGTGGCTCATGCCTGTAGTCCCAACAGTTTGGGAGGCTGAGGTGGGCAGATCACTTGAGCCCAGGAGTTCAAGACCAGCCTGGGCAGCATGGCAAAACCCTGTCTCTACAAAACATACAAAAAAAAAAAAAAATAGCCTGGCCTGGTGACATGTGCCTAAGTCCCAGCTACTCTGGAGGCTGAGGTGAGAGGATTGCTTGAGCCCAGGAGTTCAAGGCTGCAGTGAGCCATGATTGTGCCATCGTTGTGCCATTGCATTCCAGCTTTAGTGACAGGACAAGGTGCGGTCTCAAAAAAAAAAAAAAAGCCCAACATTTTTTATTGCTCATTGTTTCTCAGAGAAACCTGGGAGCAACTTACCTGGGTGGATCTGTCTCGGGTATTTCATGAGTTTGCAATGAAGCTGTCAGCCCAGGCTGCAGTCTTGTAAAGACTTGACTAGGGCTAGGGTGTCTGCGTCCAAAGTCATGCTTGAGACTCTCAGCAAGATGCCTCAGTTCCTCATCACATGACTCTCTCTAGGGCTGCTCATGGGATGGCAGCTGGCTTCCCTTAAAGCAAATGGTCTGAGAGACAGAATGGCAAAGTAGAAAGCCCCAGTGTCTTTTTTAAGTAATCTAAGAAGTGACATATCACTTTGTCTTAGTCTTCTGGTCACACAGTCCAACCCTAGTACAGTGCTGGAGGGAACTTTAAAAGGGCATGAATTTAAGAATCATTGGCAGCCCTCTTGGAGTCTAGCATGCATATATTTATACATGCATGCACACAGATGGTCCACAAAGTCTAAAGTATGTACTATCTGACCTTTTGTGGATAGTCTAGGTTAGGCGACAGATTGGTAATTAATATGTATGACCTATGTGAAGGAGGCAGTAATTGTCGTTCACCTAACGTAGATTTTTGCTGTGCAAGAATTTAGGTCTAGTAGTATGAGATCATCTTTTTTTTTTTTTTTTAAGAGAAATTGGTACTTTAGATATTTGAGGTCTTCCAAGGTTTAAATGATAGCAATAAAAACTTTTTAAAAATGTTTAATGTTCAGCTAGTATAAAGTAGTTCTTTAAAAATTTGTTTTAAAAGTGACATTTGAATCTTAAGAGTAATTGTTACAAAAAAAGAAAAAACTGGCCTGACACAGTGGCTCATGCTTGTAATCCCAGCACTTTGGGAGGCCAAGGCAGGTGAATCACGAGGTCAAGAGATCGAGACCATCCTGGCCAACATGCCAGTCTCTACAAAAAATACAAAAATTAGCTAGGCATGGTGGCGCATGCCTGTAGTCCCAGATACTCGGGAGGCTGAGGCAGGAGAATCGCTTGAACTCGGGAGGCGGAGGTTGTAGTGAGCCAAGATCGCGCCACTGCACCCCAGCCTAGGAACAGAGCGAGACTCTGTCTCAAAAAAAAAAAAAAAAAAAAACCTACCAGGCTATAGCTGAAGAGTTTGGTAAAAAGGCTTACTTAAAGTTTTTTTTTACCTTAACAAATAACAATAGTAGACTAGTATTTTTAAATAAGCTTGTTTTTAATCATGAGGGTTCTATTTTATAAATTTTAAATGTTTTAAGTCAAGTGCAATGGCACACACCTGTAGTCCCAGCTACTTGGGAGGCTGAGGTGGGAAGATCAGTTGAGCTCAGGAGTTTGAGGCCGGCCTGGTGTGAACATAGGGAGACTCTCTCTAAAATTAAAATATAAATAAATATTTTAGAAAAAAGTTTAAGCTATATACATTCATTGAATATCATGTATGTATCTCATTTTACTTGTAATTTATGTGAAAACTTGACAGATTTTTAATGCATACTGTTTTTGACAATCACAAATAAGATTTAAATCATATTTAAATTAAACATGTTGGAATACTTAATTGAATTCCACATTCACCAATTCAGCAAATATTACTTAGTATTTGTCTATTTGGCCCTATATAAGGATTTGTAAGAGTTATGTAGGATTACTTACCAAAGATTTTAACCCTTTTGAATTCAAAGTGTGAAATAATATGAAAGAGCACTAAGACAGTTTTTAGGAAGAATATACATTTTTTTTTTAAACGTTGAGCTGTCCTGATTATAACCAGTTGTGTTCATATTAAATTAAAGGGAAAGTCTTTTATTTAACTTATTCTATTTTTATATCTTTCTTTTTTTTTATGTGGGGAAGGGAAATTGACTAGTAGAGATGGCATACAGATTTTGAGGAGACAATGTGTCTTCCTTTCTGGGTCTAAAATTCTTCAAAAT
This sequence comes from Homo sapiens, assembly GCF_000001405.40. Classification (NCBI taxonomy): domain Eukaryota; kingdom Metazoa; phylum Chordata; class Mammalia; order Primates; family Hominidae; genus Homo; species Homo sapiens. Next base: position 25,744,890 of record NC_000021.9, read on the forward strand.
AACTTGAAAATGTAATGCAAATGCAAACATAATGTATGTGCAATGTTTATATGTGTACACATACACACATATGTATGTACATACATAATGAGGCATATTTACAAGGATGCTTTAAATTTCAAGCTTAGCATTTCTCTATGAAATTCAGTGTTCATTTTGGCAACACTAGTTGGTGATGAGCCTGCCACAGTATCTATGTAGAAATGACTTTTCAAAGACCAGAAATGTGTTTTGGTTTGGGATTGTGTTTTTAGCATATTGTTGCTTTGAAATCCAGGGTAAAAAATGTAACTGTTAGCACTTACATCTTTAACATTTAGCATTGTAGAACAAACCTACGCGCCAGCTGAATGTGTAAGCCAGGCCATAGACATCAATGAACCAATAGGCAATTTAAAGAAACTGCTAGAACCAAGACTACAGTGTTCTTTGGATGCTCATGAAATTTGTCTGCAAGATATCCAGGTAATTTTTATTTTTGTAAATTTCTATTGCAACATTTTAGTCTGCATAGGAATATTTTTTGTTAGCCTTTTCTTTATAGCTATAGACTTTATCTCTGTAAGAAGATTTGACCTGTATTACTGTAAAATTTAAGTGTTTAGAAATAAAAAGGTTTTTAAGCAAAGTTTTCTCCATTTAAAGTTATATTTTAAATATTTAGTACTAAAACAAATGAAACATTTGTTTTTTACTTTCACAAATATAAAACGAGAAGTTTAAATAAATTAGAATCAAAGCTTAAATATAAGTAGTAACAGTAGGAAGCCCATTGACTTTTGAAGCTGAAGTGTATTTCTAGCCAGCTTTTAACTTCTCAAACGTATCATTTAACTAAATGATTTCTACATTTCTGTTTTACCTTTATTTTCTCTAACAGTAAGTTTTGGATAAGAATTTAAATATCAACTGATAGGTCCTGGAATTTATTGTAAAAGGATTTTACCCATGGTAGTAGTATAATATGTTATGTCTGAAACATATCCCGAGTCATATTTTACAGTATGTTTTAAAGATAGGTAGTACTTTTATGTATGAAAGGTAGCAGCCTAAATAGGATTGCCCATACAGTTTTCCATGACCTTCCTTAAACATATGATTAAATACTAGAGTTTTATACTTTTTTTTTTTCTTTTTTTTGAAATGGAGTCTCGTTCTGTCACCCAGGCTTTAGTGCAGTCGTGTAGTTTCGGGTCACTGCAACCTCCACCTCCCAGGTTCAAACGATCCTCCTGCCTCAGCCTCCTGAGTAGCTGGGACTACTACAGGCCGATGCTTCCACACCTGGCTAATTTTCGTATTTTTAGTAGACACGGGGTTTTGCTGTGTTGGCCAGGCTGCTCTTGAACTCCTGATCTCAAGTGATCCGCCTGCCTTGGCCTCCCAAAGTGCTAGGATTACAGGTGTGAGCCAGCGTGCCTGGCTGAGTTTTATACTATTTTTATATTAACTTAGATTAATGTATATTGTTTCATCTTCTGGATCGTTTGATTTATTTTATTCTTTACTCCTTCCCCTGCCTGCCTTGTGATATGGGTATTCTGTATATTACAGAACTTTTTTATTAGTTTTTTAAAAATTCAAATCATCATATGCTGCTACTATTTTTAATAAGATATTGTTGTACAATAAGTTGAAGTGTTTTAACAAAATTTGTGCATTTTATTTGCCTTTTAACCATACTTTAATCTTTTCATTTCAATATAAATCTAGTAATTGGTGGTGGGTAGGGAAGATAGAGTGCCTCTAAAACTAGGGCATGTGGGAAAGTCTAGTAGTGTTACAAATTTTAGGATTTAAAGTTTTTTTCTCTTAACAATGAGAGGATGAGTTAGCTTAGTCTTTTTGGAAGACCACCTCCCATTTAATATCTGTTAATGTTAAATGTGAAATTCCTAACAGTTCCACTTCAGCAAATTATTCCTACAGAAATGCTCACTTGGGTAGGTAAAGATATATGCATGAAGATGTTCATGGCTTTGCAAAAACTGAAAACACCTCAAATGTTCCAAAAATGAGATTTGATAGAATAGAATTCGAGGTAGCCATTAAAAACTGGTGAACTTGAGCTATATGGGCAAGGTACGTTGAGTGAAAAAAATACTTACAAAACACTCTAATTCTCTCACGTAATCTTCACATCAGTCTTTGAAATCAGCATATTTTTAGTCACATTCTGCAGATGTAGAAACAGATTTAAAGAGGTTAAATAATTTGCCCAATGTGTGGCTACAAAAGGGTATACTGGAATTTGAACCCAGACCTCTGTGGCTCCAGAACTCTCTTCACTTGTTTGAGACGAAAAAACAAAAAACTTTTTTAAAGGTTTATAGTGAATATAACTCAGTGTCACTGGACTTTGCCTGGTTTTGCTCATATGTAAAATAAAGGAGAATCTGGACTTGATCTCTTAGTTGTCTTTCAGCTGTAACATTTATTGCTTTCTTTATAACACTTGACCTATCCAAAATGAAAGTATGGCCTGCAGATTACCCAGGCTCTTCCAAGTTCTCAGAAAATAATAGTTGGATAAATGGTAATATTTATAATTCATATTGTCATAGAATTCAGGGCTAGCTTTGGATCTAAGGGCATTTTGCATTACTCCTTGTCCCCCTTTCCTCCTTAAAAAGGATATGAGGACCACACTGACATGTTCTTCATGTCAATGCAAACATACATTTCAGTCAGAAGTCTTGCTGCTTATGGTAATGCTGTGGGCTGACTTGAAAGCTGAGGGAACAACAGCTAAGTTGCACTTTTTTGAAGAGTGTTAACACAAGATCAAATACCAGGCTTGAGTTTTGTCCTTGTTCTGGCTTTTAGTGAACTTGCTAATATGTTCAGTACCTGAGAGCTTATACTTTCAGAGTTACATTTGCCATAGCTTCTAATGGATAATACCAGTGTCCACCAGACAAGGAGAAAAAAACTTGACATTAAGACAATTTTTAATGAAATGTATATTAATGGATGAAACTGTCATATTTAATCTATCTGTCTACAAGGTTACAAGGTTTTTTTTTGTTTTGTTTTGTTTTTTTGGAGATGGAGTCTTGCTGTATTGCCCAGACTGAGTGCAGTGGCGCTCACTGCAACGTCCGCCTACCGGGTCTAAGCAATTTTCATGCCTCAGCCTCCCAAGTAGCTGGGATTACAGGCATGCGCCACCACTCCTAGCTAATTTTTGTATTTGTGTATAGACAGGGTTTCTCCATGTTGCCCAGGCTGGTCTCGAACTTCAGACCTCAGGTGATCCACCTGCCTTGGACTCCCAAAGTGCTGGGATTACAAGTGTGAGCCACCATGCCCAGCCGTACACAGTTTGTCTTCTCCCCTGTTCAAGTTAGATTCATAGTCATTTGTCATGTGTTTGTGCCATGACGACACCATCAGTTGAATTCTTGGGAATGCGAGTAGGACATGCAGCTTTATGACATGCAGACACAGTTATAAATTATGCAAGATGATTATAATGGAAGCCTGTCTTTAAGCTGATGACAGAAAGTGTCTGAAAGTCAGAATTAATGTTTTATCATCAATTTGCCATAGTGTGAAATGCATTCTATAAGGATATATGAAGGAAAAAACACTAATACTGAAATGATATAGAATTAGGATTCAAGATATTCATAGCTAGGTTAGGTAGTAAGGTCATAAGTGCTTTAATTTTATTAACTTTATGATGAGAGATTTAGAGTAAACCCTTATCTTCAATATGTAGCATTGATTACAAGGCAGATATGACAAGAATATGTTAATATATTTAGATAAATTATCATGACTAATTAAACACTTTTACTTATTCATGACAGATATAGCATTACCTTCTACTTTAAATACATTTCAGAATGAATAATTGCCTTTTGGAATTATTTAAAATCCCAAACTAGACTCCAGAGGTAGAGAAAACTGACATGACAAATTTGGTGGTATGCTGTCCTCAATTACTTCCTCAGTGGTGAAAATATTTTAGATTTTGGCAAAGAATTAAATATGACAAGCTAAATAATGTGTTCTTATAATTTAATTAGTATGTTCAGTAATTAAGTTCTGTTTGGTACATCCATTTATTCTAAACCAAAGGCAAGGGACTTAATCTAATGATTGCACTGAAATAATCTTACTCATTTTATCCATGGTTAGCTGGATCCAGAACGAAGTTTATTTGACCAAGGAGTAAAAACAGATGGAACTGTACAGCTTAGTGTACAGGTAATTTCTTACCAAGGTAAGTTACTTTTCATGATAGTTATTTAAAATTTTAGCTCATGTTTTTCTGATACAATTTATAAGTTTTTAGGTGTTTTCGATGGTTGTCTACATTACTTGATATGATATAATAGCCAAAATTCATGCTTTGGGTTTAGTAGTTTTATTTGACAGGGTGAAACAGATAGTACAACACATTCTACTTAGTTCAATCATAAAAGGATATATTATATGGTAGTAAATAGCAGAATCAGAGAGAGTACTGGAAGTCAGCAGGTTGCAGCTGACTTCCTAAGAGTACCTCAGCCACACTGCAGAACTGGACTGCTAAGGAAGCTGCTGCCCTGCCATGATCTGGAAAATACAACACCTGGAAGCTACCATGGTAGCTGTCACTTTAACCATGTTGCCTTTACAGTGATCCACACTAGTCAAAAAAATAGATGTCTGCTGGCTGCGGGGGCTCACGCCTGTAATCCTACCACTTTGGGAGGCTGAGGTGGGCAGATCATTTGAGGTCAAGAGTTTGAGAACAGCCTGGCCAACATGGTGCAACCCCATCTCTACTAAAAATACAGAATAAGCTGGGTGTGGTGGCACATGCCTGTAATCCCAGCTACTTGGGAGGCTAAGACAGGAAAATCACTTGAACCCAGGAAGTGGAGGTTGCAGTGAGCAGAGATTGTGTCACTACACTGCATCTTGGGCAACAAGAGGAAAACTCTGTCTCAATCAGTCAATCAATAAAAAAATAGATGTTATCTGCCTCAATGGTCCCCAACCTTTTTTGGCACCAGGGACCAGTTTCACAGAAGACAGTTTTTCCGTGGATTGGGGCAGGGGAATTCAAGCGCATTACATTATGGTGTGCTTTGTATCTATTATTACTACATTGTAGTGTATAGTGAAATAATTATACAACTCACCATAATGTAGAATCAGTGGAAGCCTTGAGTTTGTTTCCCTGCAACTAGACAGTTTCATCTGGAGGTGATGGGAGACAGTGACAGAGTATCAGGCATTAAATTCTCATAAGGAACACGCAACCTAGATACCTCGCATGTGCAGCTCACAGTAGGGTTTGTGCTCCTATGAGAATTTAATGCTACCACTGATCTGACAGGAAGTGAAGCTCAGGCGGTAATGTGAGTGAAAGGGAGCGACTGTAAATACAGATGAAACTTTATCCACTCGCCTGCCAGTCACCTCCTGTTGTGTGGTCTGTGGCCTGGGGTTTGGGGACCTCTGATCTGCCTGCTTGTCCTCTCTTAACCCTTTTCCAAATAGAAGGCTTATACCAGTGATTCTAAAGCATTGGTCACGCCTGGAACCCTAGCTGCAAAGAAATCCAACCAGTACAGTTTAGCACAGAGAGAAGAATTTGTAATAGACATAGAGTCATCCAGTCAACCTTATTCATTACAGTATTTTACTAAACTTGTATAAGTACCCAAGTTAGAAAAGAAAATTAGGAAACTGTTTTTGGTAGGTTGAATTTTAGCTTTTTAAAATTTAGAATAATTTCATCTCTGAACATATATTGTTCACAATTATGTTTCACAAACCACATTTTTCTTCAGACTCTGACAATGGTAGTTACGTACTTCTGATCCTTAATTCCCTCAGGACTGATTATTGGGAATAGGAAATAAATTAGTAGTTTTTATCTTTAAAAGCCTAGTGACCTCTTGATGCAAGTATGTTTAAGAAGAGTTCGCTTAAAGCCATTAAAGTATGAAATCTAGATGAAGGATTAGGAAATAGATTTTAACAAAAAATATTTTTGATTCTGATTGTTTTTATCATGTATATTTGAAAAATGATTCTCTTTAAACTACCTGAGAATGATAGTAGTAGTTTCTTGCAATACTGGTTTTCACAGAAGATCGAAGTTGAGTTGTGCTTTTTCTTTAAGCTGTACTTTGATTGAATTTTGATATAGATTGTAATAGATTCAGTAAGAAACAGAAGCAGTTATGTAATATGACAGTGTCTTAGAGCTGTCATTTTAGTCTGAGGTTATTTCGTAAAGGGCTAATTCCATTTTGAATAGATAAATAAAAGTATATCTTATAGAGAGTACTGCACACATAATGAAATAACTGTTTTTATGGCATAATTTCTTGGCTTAATTATAATTTAATTAGGTATAATCAAATTATAATTTAATAGTTTAAATGTGTTTTAAACTATCCAGAATTAAATCAAAATCAGAATTTTGATTTAATTCTGGATAGTTGAGGAGCCTTTGTATTAATAAATTATTTATTTTTATTTTTTATTTTTTCCATAGGAATTACAGTTCTTAACACCTTTATACTAGGAGCTTAAAATATTCAGGATTTGGGTTTTTCTTCATCTCATTTAAAATGAAATTTAGAATTTAATGGTTAATTTAATTTAGTAAATTTGGCATAATTTTTAACACATCTACTTTGTCCTTTAAAAAGAAAAACTGAGTCAGTAAATAATAATTTTAATTTGCTTAGAAGGATTTTTTAAAATTCCAAGGATAGGTAGCTGCTCATTTATACTCTGCCTAGTCTAATTTTTATTGTTTCGTATTGGTAATTTTTATTTTTATTTATCTATTTATTTTATTGTGGTAAGAACTGGTACTTCTTTTTTTCTAATGATGTTTATAGGTAGGGTTTGTGTGTGTGTCTTATTTTTTATAAAATTATTTTAAACTTGTAGAAAAGTTGCAAGACTAGTAAAAGAATTCTTGAATATCCTTCACCCAGATTCCCCAAATGTTAACTTTTACTACATTTGCTTTATTCGATGTAGTTTTTCTCTACCATTTGGGAACATATAAACTAAATTATTTTTTGGTGACTTCTGCGTTTTCATTTAGATTTACAATTTTTTTTTATCCACTGTTCAGGAATTGAACCAAAGTTAAACATCCTTGAAATTGTTAAACCTGCGGACACTGTTGAGGTTGTTATTGATCCAGATGCCCACCATGCTGAATCAGAAGCACATCTTGTTGAAGAAGCTCAAGTGATAACTCTTGATGGCACAAAACACATCACAACCATTTCAGATGAAACTTCAGAACAAGTGACAAGATGGGCTGCTGCACTGGAAGGCTATAGGAAAGAACAAGAACGCCTTGGGATACCCTATGGTAATAAAATGCATAATTCTATATTGGGTAGAATAATAGGAATTAAGCTTGACATAGAAGACACTAGGGTAAGTTATAATCTATTTTACATGTAGAGTTATTAGGATGAATGTTGATTTTCTGTATCTCTCTTTTAATTGTAACGCACATTTAAGCTCATGTGGTGGACAAATTCTGTCCTGCGTGCAGGAAATACAAAGAAGTCTAAAAAATTTCTGCTCTTAGGGTGTTGAGAGTGTAGTTGAAGAGAGAGAAGATAGATGAAAAGAGATGATTGCCATAAAAGGTAACATGTTTTTAAACTGCCAGTAACTCTTGTAGAAGTATGCTATTGGAATCTCAAAGAGATCATAGTTGCCCTGAGGGAAAGCTGAAAAGAGTTTATTATAAATAAGATACCATTGGGCAGAGAAAGACATTTAAGACAGGAAATGTTATGTGCAAAGCTTAGACCTGGGGGTATGCATGAGTAGTGAGAAAATGGAGTGGTTAAGGAGTTACTCTGTAGCATTACAGAACTGTTTTTGATTGATGAAAATGATAATTGAAAAATGAATATGGTGGCAATATATGGCATAAGTTGGAACAGGTAGAGACTAAGTGAAGGGAAAACAGGAGCATATTATTATAGTTGTGACTGGATGATAATGTCTACATTAGCCCAGACTCCAGATGATTTCTTTGGGAGTAGCAAGGAAAAAGTGGATGAAAACAGTGATAGGACTGAGCAGATTGACAGATTTTATGAGGGTAGAGAGGGAAGATACAAGTATTGATCTAACTTCTCAAGCTTCATCTTGGTGACTAAAACAGTAATAATCTTGATAAAAATTGGTTCCATCATCATTACATATTTAGTGAACACTACCGTACACCAGGCACCATGTTAAATGCTGGGCTTAATTAAGATGGTGCACTATGAAGAGCATGCTTTCAAAAGCCCAGTTGGGGAAGTAGAGAAGTCTGGTATAGGAAATGTTTTTTTCAAGAGAAGGTGGATAGCACTTGATTTTGATGTGGAAGTTTATATTCAGCTGGAGGTTAGCCAGAAAATGGTTTCAGTTATATAAGATTTGGGCTGGAGACAAAGATGTTATATGAGACTCATTCCCACTGAATTTATATTTGAAGCTATAAAAGTCTACGTAGTCCCTGATGGAAAGCGAGAAATGGAAAAGAACACACAACTAAAGGCATATACACTTGACCCTGTAAACATTTAGGGTTGGAGAAAAGGGAGACAAGAAATAACTGAAGAGACAGAAAGAAAGTAATAACTTATATGTATAGTGTCACTGAAATTGAGGGGAGAGTTTGGATGGTCAAGACTCTCAGATGCTGCTGAGAAAGTCAAAGAATGCTGACTGATATCTATTAAATTTGATGATCAGAGGATTATTCTTAAATTTAGACAGAAGTAACTAGAGTTGGCGAGACAAAACAGAATTATAAGAAATAGATATCTTAGAAATGGGGGCAGATGAGGAAGAATGCTGGGGTAACAAATAAATAATACTGATCTTCCAAGAGTTGGCGGGGACCTGAGTGTATTTGTAAATGAAACAGTATTGTCGGGTTTTTGTCCTTTTTTTATTTTTTATTTTTAGAGACAAGGTTGTACCTGGGGAGCAGGGCTGATGACAGAAAGGCTGTATTGTAGAACCACTGTTTTCCCTAGGACATTTTTTTTCTTTCTTTAAACCAAACCTAAAAGATACACAGTAAATGAGAGAGCTTACCCATGGAACTGAAAGAGAGCTATGGAACCAGACAGCTAATGTAGAATTTCAGTCTGTCCCTCCGCTGCCCAGTACTGTAGCCACTAATCACACGTCAGCACTTGAAGTGTCTCTGGTCAAAATTAAGATGGGTTGTAAATGTAAAAATACCCATTAAAAGAAAAAGTATAAAATCTTTTCTAATTTTTTATATTAATTACCAGTTGAAATAACATTTGGAACATTAAGTTAAAATAAATTCATTATTAAGATGTATTTGACCAACTTTTTAAATGTAACTATTAGAAAATTTAAAATTACATAATGGTCTGCATTGTATTTCTGTTGGACAGCCCTGATCTTGATAATTGTAGCCTTCAGTTCTGGATGTTCTTACTGCATTATTTTGATAAATACCTGTGTTCTTTTTGCTGGAACTCCTGTTGAATCTCTTGAGTTGATCTGCTGCATCTTTTTTCTTGTTTATTTTTCATCTTACCTATCTGCACTACTTTCTGCCAGATTTTCTTGTGTTTTTAATATAACCTATCTGATTTTTAATTTACAAGGGCTCTTCATTTTTGTTTGTTCCTTTCTGTAGCATTCTGATCTTATATTGCCAATATCGTGTTTTCTCCTACTTCTCTGAGTATATTGATTATATATTTTTTTTTAACTTTTAAAAAGCTTTACCGTGGTATATCTGTTTCTTGTGGATTCTGTTTTTCTTGTGGTTTTTGTTTGTGTTGTTTTTAACCTTTCCCAAGTATCTAATTATTTTTGCCCATCTTTTCATATTTAAGAATTAATCACTTTAGGCCAGGCACAGTGGCTCATGCCTGTAATCCCAGCACTTTGGGAGGCTGAGGCAGGTGGGTCACTTGAGGCCAGGAGTTTGAGACCAGCCTGGCTAACATGGTAAAACCTGTTTCTACTAAAAACACAAAAATTAGCTGGGCGTGGTGGTACATGCCTGTAATCCCAGCTACTTGGGAGGCTGAGGCACAAGAATCTCTTGAACCTGGGAGGCGGACGTTGCAGTGAGCCGAAATTGCACCAGTGCACTCCAGCCTGGGCAACAAAGTGAGACTCCATCTCGAAAGAAAAAAAATAAGAGTAAATAACTTTAAAGCTAATTAATGCGAAGTTCTGAAGGATTTGATAACTATATGCTGATAAAACGAGGCATTGACTATTTCATTAAAAGAATTTCAGGCCAGGTGTGTTGGCTCATGCCTATAATCCCAGCACGTTGGGAGGCTGAGGTGAGAGGGTTTCTTGAGGCCAGGAGTTTGAGACCAGCCTGGGCTATATAGCCAGACTGTCTCCAAAAAATAGAAAAAAGAGCTGGGCATGGTGGCATACACCAATATCCTAGGAGGCTAAGCTGGGAAAATTGCTTGAGCTCTGGAGCTTGAGGCTATAGAGAGCTTTGATGGCACCACTATACTCCAGCCTGGGTGGCAAAGCAAGACTGTCTAAAAAAAAAAAAAAAAAAAAAGGGCAAAGAAAAGAGTTTCAAACGTGTCAATATTTATAGATCTTTTTGCAGATACCTGTCAGCAGTAGAAGATAGGGGTGAGCATTTGGGGTAGGTGTGTATGTGAATACTGTGTTGTGGAACTGGAAAAGGAAGTAGAGCAGGGAGGAGGTAGAGAAGGTGGAGACGGTCTCACTCTTCAGTTTATAGGCTTTTATTACTGGGAATTGTTCTCTCAGTGTCTGTTCGTGTCTCTCCCCATCTATTAATAAATGTTTTCCCGGTGTCCACATGTGTGGGGTGCACTCATTTAACTGGCCCCCCAAATGAAAGAGAGACCCTGGAGGTTCTAACCACACCATCTACTTTAAATCTGTCTCCTTATTTTCAGCTTTAAGCCTCTTGCTACTCAGAACCACCATGACTTGAACCAGTGAAGGGGGTTCTGCAGGCAGGAATTCTCTCACTTCTTACTGGCATCCTCCTTGGCAAACATTTTAGGTCATAGTTTTCCCCTCCTATGCCAAATCGATTACCACTCTGCTTATTGTCTTCAAAACATTAGATTAAATCTTTCATCCATGCCTGTCACTTTGTACTCATGTTCCTATGATTTTGCATCTTTTAAAAATTCCTTTACTGTTGTTTTACTAGAGTCTTAGAGAAAGGAGGCAGAACATGGGTGGACAATTAGTTATGTTAAACCAGAAGTCCTGATATTTGAGAAAACAAATCAGACAAATTATATTTTTCCCTGAGTTTTTTTTATTTTTAAATTTTTATGTGAAATTAACTTTGTTTTTCTTTTAAAAGAGGTGTGTTTCAGGATAGCTTTTCTATTTAACTCTGCTTCTGTTGTTTTCAAGTAGTATAGTACTCACAGATAAGGCAACTTTCTTTTTCAGTTCTTGTCGACTTTTACCTGGGCCTTCTCCTCTTTCCTTTTCCTTGGCGTCCCTCTGCTGCTCACTTCTAGTTCCACTCTGCCAGTTTCTCCTTACTGTGGGCCATTCTCCTGAAAGTGGTTCTTGGCTCAGTTTGACAAACACCCAGGTGCTACATTGCTTCAGCCCTTTAAATCTTAACACACACTGCAGCTATTGGATTGGGCGAAACTGCTTTTTAGCGTTGCTTTCATCTTGTCCTGTTGTACTTTGAATGCATGCTTCTTGGCTGCGCTCAGGTTTTCCTATGATCAGAGTGGGTCACACTTCCCTTGCTTCCCTTTGCTTTCTCCTGCACACAAGCTAAGACCATGGAGGTCTTATAGCTGTTATTGCTTTGTCTTTACCCTCTTGTATCTTGAGGTCCATGAAGATATCTTGTCACCTGGTTTTATGTAAATGTTCGTGGGTTTTTGGTTTTGTTCTCCAGTCACTTTTTTATGTTTATGTGTACAATTCAGAAAAATTAAAAAACTTTGCCACCATCTTCCTAGAATCCTCACTTAACAACTTTATGGAAAAATTTTAAAATATATATTCTGTGGCTATTAATCCTGTATTCTTAGAATGCTTGCTTTTGCCTTTTGAGGCTAGGGCACCTCTGTTCCTTTAGTCTCAAATGGAATAGTTTCAGTTTCAATAGCACTTTGCCTCTTTGAAGAACTTTTATAAAATTCTTATGTTTGATTTATTTTCACTATAATTTGCCCTCGATACCTAAATGTTATTTTTTTTCTACTTTTCTTATTGAATAGCATTTATTTATTGGGTATATAACCAATATTATTTGAATAGATCATCTTCTTAAAGTGGGAGTACCAGAACCAAAACTAATTTAGCTAATATGTATTAAACTTACACAGATAGAATGCTCTATTAGGTGCGGGTGATACAGCAATGTAATATTTATAGATATTGGCCATATTTTTTTATTTATGAATTCAATTAGGTAGTAAATGATAGGGAAAAGGAAAATTATTTGGATATACTCTTTAAGATTAAACAAGTGTATGAGCAAGGCACTGTTAGGTTCTAAAGATAGAATGGTTTACAAGACACATTTCTTGTATTTCTTAGTGTGTTGTGAGGGGACAGCTGAGTAAAACAGGCAATTACCATGTTTATTTATTTATTGGAAATGCATCATAAGGGTAAATGCAGGAGCAGCCAGCTTTTTACAGGAAGGAAAAGGGAGGAAAAAGGATATGGTTCATAGTTTGGAGAATAAAGCTAGCTTCTTAGAATCCCCTTTTGATTTTTTTTCAATGCAACTGCAAATTTTTTTAAACTTGGATAATTTACTTTATTCTCTCCAGAATAATCTCATATTTTATTCTTTCATTTGGCCCACTGGAGAGCAGTTTTGCATTTTGTTTTTCTTGATACAGTTCCAGCTGAGGTTGAACCAAGTGACTGCATCAGAAATTTAGATTAAGAAATTGGAAAGGAGCTGAGGAAAAAATTACAGCATAATTTTTTTTTTTTTTTTTTTTTTTGCTTCATATAGTAAGTTTACCTCATATACTTGGGGAAAGAAAACATCTGTGTGTATGTGTGTGTATTGAGAAGTTAACTGTAAATTTACACAGTATCTAAAATGGAACTAGGCTAAAGTGAATATTTTTCTTTCTAGATCCCATACAGTGGTCCACAGACCAAGTCCTGCATTGGGTGGTTTGGGTAATGAAGGAATTCAGCATGACCGATATAGACCTCACCACACTCAACATTTCGGGGAGAGAATTATGTAGTCTCAACCAAGAAGATTTTTTTCAGCGGGTTCCTCGGGGAGAAATTCTCTGGAGTCATCTGGAACTTCTCCGAAAATGTATGAAATTACAGTTATTTCTTTACATTGTAATTTAAGCTTAATTTTATTTCCTTGTAACTTTGTTTTCATCTTAGTTGTTTATTGATAATGATAAGTAATAAGCAATAATAATTAACATTTATTTACTGTATAATGCTATGCTGAAAGCTCTATATGTTCTTTAATTCCTATAGTAACACCATAAGTCATTACTTTGCTTATTTTTTAGATAGGAAAGTGAGGCTTTGAGAGCCCCATAAAGTCACAGCTAGGAAGTGGCAGAGCCAGGATTCAAGCCCAGGCTAACATTAGAATCCAAGTTCTTAAATCAGATGCTGTGCCCTACACTTAGCCCTCTTCATATATTCCATTTGTTGCCTTCTGTTTGATCAGCTCTTACATTTACTGCTCATCTAGAAACGGAAGAGATCATTTGTTTACAGGTGGCTTCCTACCCATTCTCTTCATTATTGATGAGATTAAATCTTTTTTGAAGTCTTTACTATTAATTGAATAGAGTCTTAAGAGGGAAGGAAGTGTATGCAGCCACCTTTTGGCATTGGAAGCCATTGGTTATAAGTTTTTCCACTTATAACTTGTAAGGCTTCAGACATTATTATGATTAAGTGACCATGTAAAGAAATTGGATGAGGCAGGCAGATCACTTGAGGTTAGAAGTTCGAGACCAGCCTGGCCAACGTGGTGAAACCCCATCTCCACTAAAAATACAAAAAATAGGCGGACAAGGTGGTGCGTGTCTGTAGTCCTACCTACTTGGGAGGTTGAGGCGAGAGGATAGCCTGAACCTGAAAGGCGGAGGTTGCAGTGAGCTGAGACTGCGCCACTACACTCCAGCATGGTGACAGAGCAAGAGTCTCAATTGGAAAAAAAAGAGAGAGAGAAGTTTGGAAACTACTTGGCTGTCCAAGAAAACAAGGCACAAATGTAAATTATTTTTGCTTGAATTTTAATCCATCTTATATTTCAGTCACTGTTAAGACACCGAAAGCAACCCATTCCTTGACAGTTTTGCATATCAGAAATGCTAGCCAGACCCACATATTTTTCAGAACACATGACTACAACATACTCTGACTTTGCTTTTGTATCAGTTATGGATGAAAATGTTAATGATAGCATTTTGTTTTATTATATACCCAATAAGGAGAGAGCTCTGGTGGAGGGATTTTTCCACCGTAATTCAATGCTTGCAGTTTTCATTCAAGGTGCTTTCTCTGGCCAGGTGCAGTGGCTCACTCCTGTAACCCCAGCACTTTGGGAGTCTGGGGTGGGCAGATCACTTGAGATGAGGAGTTGAAAGTGCTTTCTCTGCTGGTGAATAAGAAATGAGCTCTGGAGAGAGGCATTTCTTAATTGTTTATAATTTTATTCTTGTGAGGATTCTCCCAGATGTTTTTTTTAAGTATCTATGATACTAAAAGACTTAGTACATTCATTGTATTTGCAGCATTTATTTCCAATTTCCATTCTTACTAGATAAGTAAGTTGAATGTCCTGGTTGAAGCTTTGTCCTTGGTTTCACAGATTTCCTTCCCTGCAGAGGTTTTGAAATGAATAAGGTAGATTCTGAATTGTGAAACATGTGAGTCATGTTTATTGAAACACTTTCTTATAAGAAATCTCAAGAACACAACAAAGATAGTGCATAGATGGTAGTTTCATTTTTCCCAAATCCACGTTTTTTCCAGTCTTTCCCAGGTCAGCTGTTTGTTGTGGCTGTCTCTTTCTGGTTCTCTTATTGCTTCTCAAACTTTAAAGCTTATTCATAGGCTTTTCCCAGAACAGAAGTCAAAGGTGTCTTGTGTATCTTTCCATTTCCATGCAGTTGAATGAGTCTTCCTCAGAAAAGCTCTGCTCTGGAACCATTGCTTTGTCTTTTAAAGCAACAAAGTCCCACAGCCTAGATGAGTGTCTCACGGAATTTCTTGGTGATCCAGCCATGGTTCTTCACTCTGCCGGGGTAGGGAAATCCCATCTGCTTTGGAAATCTAGTGCTCAGTTCAGAATTGGGAGATGGGCAGGATGATGTGTAAGGGTATTTCTAACAGACTTTCTAGAATTCACAAGTCTTACTTCTCAGAATAGGGTTTTTTGAGCTCAGTGTAGTTAGTACTCTGGTCCCTTCTGTAGAGAGAAGTCTGCAGCCTATCTGCGAAAGGCACTGATTCTGGGACAGAACTGTTAATAACCCAGCCTCTATTATCCATCCTCAGTGATCTCTCAAGAAGCAGCAGTACTGAAGAGGTAGGGCTCCTTCTTCAGATATTTGTATGAGATTATTCACCTGAGCCACCACCTGCCTGCAGTCCCCCCTATGTTGAAACTACATCCAAGTCCCACTATACATGGGAGGATAATTAGGAAATGTCCCAGTACTACCAGTTCCATGATGTCCTTCTCGGTGTGAATCTCTGTCTTCTGTCACCAAAGGCAAATGAAGTTCTCAGTTTGCTAAGGGTTTTATTTAGGAAAAATAATTGTTTTATTCCTGTAGTGTCTAATGTTTCTTCATAAAATGGCTCCATATCCCCCAGGGCTTTGCCTCTCAAGACTGCTTACTTTGTGTGTAGCAAGGATTTGGAGGTTTCAGGGAGGAATGTGATATTCAGAGTGCCTGTACTTTGAAGAGATTGGTCTTGGACCAGTCTTTCAAAAACTTTTTTTTTTTCCCCCTGTGGTCTGCCTTCTGTCTTGAGAGTTTCCAGGAAACAGACCAAACTCCAATCTGAGAATTAGGACTTAGAAGGTGATTTTACAAGTTGATTATGCCTGTGCTGTGTGATGGTGATGCTTTCGTTTGCCTCTTTTGAGGCTAGGTTCCTTTAGTCTCAAATAGTTCCTCTTTGAGGAACTTTTATAAAATTCTGAGGAAAATTTACTACAAACATAAAGTGCGTATTTTTTTTATCAAGAGAGACCACAGTTCTGGAGGAGAATGCTCAGAACTAGGAGTCTGGATAAAACAGTGAGGTTGTCAGTTGACTGAAAAAGTAACTGTTTTGTGCACTGTGCTTTTTAAAAACATGTTTCTTTAATCCTCACAATAACCTCATGAGGCAGTAAGTATAGGTGTCTAATTTAAACTTGAAGAAGTTAATGTTGAAAGAGGTCGGTAATTTTACCAAAGTCATATAGTCAGTAAGAGCTAAGAACTAAATCCAGATCTGTCTGAAGCCAGTCCCATATAATTCTTAAGTCCTCAGTCTTCAGACCCTCAAAGCTCCCATCTGATAGGATTCTGACCTCTTTTTACTTCCCCAACCTTTTCCAGCTCTGCGTGTCTGGAACTGGATCCTGGCAAGGCACCCTTAGCGGAGTCTTCTTGGGAGCCCAGGCCTCAGTACCCAGAATGATTGCTGGAGGGTATAGTTTCAATTTCAAGAGAGAGGCATGCAATTTGTGATGGGCACAAAGTAGGCTGAAGTAATAGAGACTGGGATGTGCAATTCTTGTGAGAGGTAAAGAATAACATCTAAGTAGGGAATAACAACAGATAAGTAATGAATGGTTCTGTAAAGCCTTATCTCAGGACCTTTATAGTATTTTTATTTTGGGAACTATATTTTTAAATGTGAAATTATTTAGTTTAATTGAGACATTTAGGACTGCTACAATTGTGTTGAAAATTTGCTGTCTTTAAGTAGAAGCATTATAAAGCTTAAGCAGCTTTAGTCAAAAGTGGATGTTATAACAAATAATGGGAAGGAGGCCTTTTTGGTGGAGATACGTACCTAAATAATTTAATTTTGGTGTATATTTTATCTTTGATCTGATCTTGAAGATTTCCATATTTTTACATGGCTTTATGTGGATTTCAATACAAATGTTTACATTTAGAAAACCATAGTTCTCTGCAGAACTTTACTGAACACTAAAAGACATTGGAGCTTTTCCCTGTGTTATTTCTCTTAAGGTATCTTTTCCTTTTAAAGTGACTATCAAATATTTTTAAGGTTTTTATGCCAGTAAGTTTCAGTTCAGTGTTTTGGTTTTAATTGTGGAGTTCTTTTTAAAAGAACCATGTTTATTAAGTTGAGTTTTATTGGATTGGGGTTTTTATATTTTTGGTTTTAAATAAAAACAAAAAATTTTTGTTTTTTTCAGATGTATTGGCAAGTCAAGAACAACAGATGAATGAAATAGTTACAATTGATCAACGTGAGTATTTGTACCTATATTTGCCCTTTTATTAATAAGAAATGTTTATTTGATACCGCAAGGTAATAAAAAGGAAAATTATTTAAAAAAATTTTTTTTCTACACACAAAATATCTTTTGTTCTGTGGAATGAAAGCTCGACACAAGTACTTTATAAGATCCACTCATGTGTTTTTAAATGATACGATTAACATAACAGCTTGCTTTGTATCTCAGTTCACCAAAATTTGTTAGGACATCATTTGTTTCATCTTTACTGACTGTTAATTACCAAGTTGTAAGAACAATTCTAACCACATTCATACCTGACAGAACTTTCATGCCTGATAATAACTGGATATTAGGTAGCATCCAATTGAAATATCAGTATAGGTTGGATACAGCAGAGAAAATATTCAAGTGTCCAAAACAAACTTGAGGAGTTACAATGGGTTTGAAATGAAGAAAAAAGGCCAAGTTAAAATAGGAAAACAAATAGTTTTCATTTGGTGGGAGTTGCAATCAAAGTATACAGTTGTATACATTCTAATGGATCATCTGTCCCATGTGGCATTTTCCAAGGCTTGAAGAGTCTACCAGGGCAAACCCTTCGCCGCCTCCACTACTTTTGCTTGGCTTTTCCCCTTTCTTTTCTCTCGCTTTGCCTTCAGCTTTATTCTTTACCTTTGATTCATCTATATTGGGTACTGTACTTGCTAGAAGTACAGTCTAGAAGAGTCTTTTTGTTTCTCTTAATATCCATCTCCATTTTCATGTCATCTTTTCCATCTTTTACCTCATGTTGCATTTTCTCTTGGCATGTTTGGGTTTGGGTACCACCACAGTTGCTGTCTCTTAAACATCTTTCATTAAAACATTACTGTCTAGTTTGAGAATACTTTTAAGCCTGCTGAGCTCTTTTGGGGCATTTTTCCCCCCTTTTCAGCATGCATCTTTCTTTTCCGCTTATGCCATAAGCTTTTAGCTATGTTTTACCTGAGGTACGAACACACACGTCACAAGATCATCCCAACCGGCTAAAATTTTTAATGAGGAATTTGAGATACACAAAGAAAGTATAACTAACACCTGTGTACATCATTAGAAATAAAATTTTTTACACCAAGTATACCTGTTGTAGGTTTCATTTTCCTCTCTCCTACCAGAGAACTATCTTGAATTTTATGTTTATTACTGTCTGCATATTTTATATTTTTACCAACTATGTAATCGTAAACACTGTATAGCATTGTTTTCCACATGTTTAAACATTGTTTGTAAAATAATACATTGTACATATTATTTTATAACTTTTTTATCATTTGAGAATTACTCATGTTGATACTTGCAGCTGTTTCATTCATTTTCACTGCTGTATCTTTTAAATGCTGTGAAAACATCATTGAATGAATATTTGTAAGAACATGTGTGAGATGTTCGTGTCATAGGGTTTCTATCCTTTCAGCCTTACTCCAGATATTGCCAGATTCTCAAAGTGGTGGTGTGAATTCTCATTTGTCCACATTTAGTACAATATATTTGACAAACCGTTTTTATGAACAAATGTTTTAAGAACAAACATGTTTAAATACTCTTTGTCTAATGTGTATGCATCACTAAGTTATTTCCAAACAAGAATACTAGCTCTTACTAAGATGCACAAACTATAATGCAAGCGTTATACTTTACCATCTGAACTTTTTTGTTATTTTGTTTGAAATTGTGGATTGAGGCTTTCTGTAGTGAAGTACTTTCTTGGGGGTAATTCATAGGGCATTAGTTAAAGTGATAATGTCTTTCAGTAATTTTTTTTTTTTCCTGCTTGTATTGGAAGAAAAAAAATTTCTCCTTGTCTGTCTTTGCAGCTGTGCAAATTATTCCAGCATCAGTGCAATCTGCTACACCTACTACCATTAAAGTTATAAATAGTAGTGCGAAAGCAGCCAAAGTACAAAGAGCGCCGAGGATTTCAGGAGAAGATAGAAGCTCACCTGGGAACAGAACAGGTATTTTTGTATTTTCTTGTATTTATAAAATATATCTATCTAATTAGGTATATTTTGTTGTATTTTACTGTATGAAAAATGTGAATTTGGACTATCCCTCTGGCAGTTTTTAGACAGCATTTCTAGAAAAACAAAAATTGTTTTTGCCATGGCTGAGATTTAAACCACGGGACCAGTTTGTTGTCTTTGCCTTGGGCTAATCTATAACACTATAGCTAATGCTTTGTTCCTCTTACCAATTTAGGAAACAATGGCCAAATCCAACTATGGCAGTTTTTGCTAGAACTTCTTACTGATAAGGACGCTCGAGACTGCATTTCTTGGGTTGGTGATGAAGGTGAATTTAAGCTAAATCAGCCTGAACTGGTTGCACAGAAATGGGGACAGCGTAAAAATAAGCCTACGATGAACTATGAGAAACTCAGTCGTGCATTAAGGTAAGCCTTTATTACTTTTTTTTCTGTTATCAAAAATAGAAACTTTCTAAAAAATAGTTTCTTATTCTAGATGTAATAAGCATTGTTATGTAATGATATTAAAAACTTGTTTATGTTTTTTTCTTTACATATTAAAAAACCTTTTTAAAAAGATCTTAATAATTTCGAGGTACAGTTTTTTTTTTACAAAATTACTCTAAGATTGTTTGTTTTTATCTGATTTGAAAGCTATAATACTCTGTCCCAAAAAAAAATGTTTAATTTTTGAGGTTTTTATTATTTGCATAGATGAATTGAGTGTTAGTTTTTAATGAGTAAGCAGAAACTGTCCTCTGTTTTTACAATTACAAGCAGAATATTGACCCATTTTCTACACAATCTGCCTAAATCTGGATATCCAATCTTTACATTGATACAAACTCTCCGTAAGTAGTATAAGGTTTTTTGACAGAAATTACTATCAGAAATTATGCCTACTACAGTGATGGAAATTCAACAGGTACATTTAAGTATCTGAGAAGAAGGATATATAAGAATATCACGGAATTATGTCTGATTTTTTGGGAGATTGAATATAGTAAAATAGTTCTGCAATTCACGAGTTTTTCTAAATAGCATGCTTTTACTGCTTCTTCATGTTTCACTTGGCCATTTTCACACTGAAAGATTATAATTTAGCTCACACACACACACTCTCCCTTCCCCTTTCCATCCCTTCATCTCAGTATCCCAATATAATTATATGGAAATTTTGGTTCAGCGAGTATTCATTGTTACAGTATTACGGCCATGTAACTATTATTACATAGTTGGCTGTGATTATTTTTCTTTTCCTGAATGACCCTTTTTTTCTCAGAGTTCATGAGTAACTAAAATGTTTAGTTTTCAAAATGCTTATCCTTTACCATTCAGTCTCAAACACATTGCCAACTGTCTAAAGATTCTTCGTTTATAATCATAATTAAAGCTGCCATTTTTGAGAGTTGATACAGATTGTATACATACAAGTCCCCTCAAAATTACAGGTAAATTGTTAGAGTTAATAATTAAGATGTCAGTTCCCCCCCAGATTGATCTAAGTTTCAGTGCAGCAACTTAGTTTAATTTGAAAAATCAAACTAAGTTTTTCATAGAACTTGAGAAGATAATTGTAAAATTTACATGGGACTATAAAGTACCATGGTAGTCAGGACACCTGAAGATTAGCAAAGTGGAAAGACTTGTCCCACAGGATATTGAGACTGACTCTAAAGTTACAGTAATAAGACAGTTATGCTATTTTCTCAAGACAAATAGGCCATACAGTAGAATAGGGAGCCAAAATAGAACCAGGAATATGTAAGCATTTGATTTAAAGAAATGGCAGTGGGGAGAAAACATATGAGGAAACGACCTGCTTTTCAATAATCAGTGCTGGGATAATTTACTCTCCATCTCTGGGGAAAAGTAAAAGTTGACCTCTTGCTTATGCCGTACCAAAAATCAATTCCATGTAGCTTGTAGCTCTACATGTAAAAAGTAAAATAGAAAAGGATCTAGAAATACTTTCATAACTTCTGGTGGTAGGGAGACATTTAAACAGAATCAAAAGGACTAATTCTAAAGGGAAAGATCAATAAACTGGACTATATTTAAATTAGGAATTTCTGTTCGTTGAAAGCCTTATTAAGAGAGCCACACATGTCGGACAGAAGTATCTAGAATATCTAACCAATTCTTACAAATCAATTTTTTAATGGGCAAGAGACTTGAATAGACACCTCAGGCTAGAGATTATCCAAATGGCCAATGAATATATGCAAAGGTGTACGGCCTCATTAGTATTCAGAGTAATGCAATTGAAAACCATAATTAAATGGTACAACTCACCCCCTAGAGTGGCTACAATTTAAAAGATTGCCAGAACTAAGCTCTGTTGAGGATATGGAGCAATGGGAATGCTTCTACCCTTTTGATAGGAATGTAAATTGTAACAGTTGCTCCCCTAAGCAACTGTTTCATACACATCAAACAGAGATGTACTTCTATGCCCATACACATGTTCATAGCAGATTATTTATAACATCCAAACCCCAGAAACAACCAGATATCTATCAACAGTAGAGTGAATGAATCATTTATGGTATATTCATACAAGAATACCTTGCATTCTTGAAAACTAAGCTCCTGCTACAAACAATGACCAGTGAACCTCACAAACATAATGTTCAGTGACAGAATCCAGACCCAAAAGACCAAATTCTGTATGATTACATTTATTTAGTAAAGTTCAAAAAACAGGAAAATTAAATTTCAGTATTTAGGGATGCATGTTTGGGTGATAAAAATATAAAGAAAAAGCAGTCAAATTACTATCATGATACAGGCTTGTGTTTACCTTTTAGAGCCAGGATTTGGGGAGTGATTGGGAGGGGACATAAAGGGGATTCTAGATGCTGGCAGTGTTCTGTTTCTTGACCTGAGTGATACTTAACAGGTGAGTGAATGTTCACTTTGTAATAAATCACTGAACTGTTCACTTCTGTGTCCTTTTGTTTGTGTGATATATTTGCAATTAAAAAGTTTAAAAAAATACAAGTTTAAAAAAAAAGAGGGAAGAAAAGAAATCATATCCATGAAATACAGGTATTGTGTATCTTTCATTTTAGGGAGGCAACAAGTGGAATAAATGCTACTATATACAGTTGTGTGATGCATCTACTAGATCAAAAGAAGTATTCAGTAAAATTCAAATTTATGTGTGTATATTCTTTTTTATCACCTCTTACCAAGAAATATGATTATGCCAACTCCATTTTCCTCCTAGAATTATAAAACCTCTTTCCTTTTCCATTTTCCTTTTTTTCCCCACGTATAGTCTTACATATTAATGTAGAAATTTT
This sequence comes from Homo sapiens, assembly GCF_000001405.40. Lineage (NCBI taxonomy): Eukaryota > Metazoa > Chordata > Mammalia > Primates > Hominidae > Homo > Homo sapiens. Next base: position 25,767,670 of record NC_000021.9, read on the forward strand.
TTAAAGCAATTGATATGCCTATAGCATTTTTAACTGGATGGCAAGGAATTGTTGGTTTATGAGCTGAAATCCAAATTCTGTACTAATGTAATTGACATAAATGGAAACTACAAGACTGCCCAATGTGTTATATCTCTTACTGGGAAATCAAACATAACTATTTTTCTTTTGCTATTCTGGAATTAGGGAAAGATGACAATTTCCTGTATATAGGTCAGTCCTTTCATTAATAGACTCTTGATTAAGCCAAGTGACTTTTATCCTGCTAAATGTGATAGTTTATATCTGGTACTTTTGCAAATAGTTGTTTCTTTTATAATAGCCCTTTGTCAGTGGGCAGTGCAATTTTAAAATAAGGGCTTTGCAATCTGCCAGTCGTGGAAAGAGCTTGACTTGCCTCTTTTTCCTGTTGTTGGAATTAGCAATACATAGTGTGTGTTTAAATAAAGTCTGTTTTCCAAAGGAAACATAAATCCAGCTCCATTTGCATCTCTATAGAATGCAGCAGTAAACTAGATTTCTAGAATGATTGCCGGAACTCTGCTTGTGTACGTTTAGAAACATTGTCTCTTTGCAATGTCCTTTACCTGTTTTTCTGTATCCTCTGTTTCTTTTAGACCTTTTCCTTAGACTTAAAGCTCCCTATTGGGCTTGGATAATTTATCTGAAATTTGGAAAGCGTTTACATAGTGAAATAATAAAGATGAAGACATGACTTCATCATATAGGATTCTTTACAAGACAGAAAAGAAGTGGAATATATGTATTAATTTTTTTTATATTATCGATTTTTATTAACATAGCTTATATTTTGTAGAGGGCTGTGTGCCAGTCATTGTATACTAAGCACTTTACAAAGATTATCCCTTTAATCCTCAACAATGATATGAGGGTATAAGCACTGTTAACCTCACTTTATAGATGAGGAATAAAAGCTTTGAGAAAATATGACTCCTGTGGTCTCAAAAATGTTAGGTTTTGAATCTTGGCTTTCTGACTCCAAAGCTCTTGTTCTTAGGCTCTTCTACTGCTCTCAAGGTTTTTTGTTTTGTTTAATAATTATTTTTAAATCAATGTTTTATTCTAATTGTTGAAAATATGTTTTGAAAGTTTAATGTATAGAGTTTTGGAGTAGTGAGCATTGAAATTTTAGTAAATAATGTTGGGATGTTTCATTTGATAGTAGCATTAAATATTCTACATAGCTTCAATATTAATTGCTATTGTGGCGGATGCAGTACTCTACTAGGCTTCTGCTTATGGAATAGTCTGTAAATTATTGTAAGAAGTCTCATTTTTTCTGAAGTCTCTAATTTTTTTTTCTCTTTTTGAAGATATTATTACGATGGGGACATGATTTGTAAAGTTCAAGGCAAGAGATTTGTGTACAAGTTTGTCTGTGACTTGAAGACTCTTATTGGATACAGTGCAGCGGAGTTGAACCGTTTGGTCACAGAATGTGAACAGAAGAAACTTGCAAAGATGCAGCTCCATGGAATTGCCCAGCCAGTCACAGCAGTAGCTCTGGCTACTGCTTCTCTGCAAACGGAAAAGGATAATTGAGCCCCAGGACATTCTGAGACTCCAAAGTCTTTCTTAAAATGTTTAGAGCAAGTATAGCTCTTACCTTTATTACTGAATTTGAATCTTCTTTTATTTCTAGGCTGTACAGTCTGATGCATGATTTTTTTATAAATATTTCATACTCTTGTGAATTTGGATCTTTTTACTTTGAGCATATATTTTAGAATATGTGTATGTTAAAGGATCTCCACAATGTCTGCAGTGTGAAGGCAGGTTCATTGTGGAATAGTTTAACAGTCAGGAAGGCTAAACTGGTCAGTATTAATGTGTAGCCCTACCAAAAATAGCCAGTAGTATCTGAAAATGAAAAATAAATGAAGTATCTCTAGGAAACAGTCTGGCTTAACTATTTTTGAAAATATAACTGTTTCCCCTCTCTGCTGCTTTAGATGTTGCTTTACATAGAACCAGAAAATGGAATTTCTCAGCTAAAGCATGTGTGCCTGTTTCATCTAATCAAGCAGAGCTAAAATGTTCATACCGAATAAATTTATATTAATAAATTACTAAACTAAGAGTATCAGGTTATTTATATATTTGCAAGCAAAGGACAGTAAGAAGTTGACTGGCAAAAGAGCAGTGCTGAAGGAGGAGATCCAGGTTTAAATCTGGCTTATTAACTCAAGCCAATTTTAAGGATTTTCTGTATAGATTACTCATGTCAGACCAAGAATTTAAATTATTTTGAGAGAGGCATTTAATTCTAATAAACCAGCTGTTATAAAAATTATAAAATGATCTCTGTTTTTCCTGTCAGAGATTTAAAAAACTGAAAAGGTATACCTCAACCCAAAAATAAAGGTTTGTTTTGGTTTGTTATGGCTTCCTTTTTTAAAAAATTACCCTGTAGTGCCAGTTTATTATGCAAAGCAGCTTATATTCCTTTGTTTCTGATAAAATGAAGACTTTAAATCAGTCAGTAGTACTTTACCTTTCAAGGCATTAGTAAATTACTTGCAAATAGTTTTAAAAGGAAAATACGACCTTTGTTATAGGCAGTCTTCTCTTTAAGACAATACTTTTCCACTTGTTTTCCTTTTCCATATTATATATGTGTATTCATATAGCTGTATACATATTCAGTTGATCATTTTATAAACATATGAAGGCATAAAGATATACAGAAGAAAAATTATTAAACAACTCATTTTAAGATTCAAATTAACTAATTCCTGCATATATGACATTCCTTACATAAGCGAACACTAAACAAAAATGGCTAGAAATGTCTTTTTCTTTCTTTTCTCTCTTTGTTGTTTAAGGTATTAAGCACGAATTATTACATGAGACTGGCAGATAGCTATTAATCCTCTTACAGATTTGAGAAAGTTGATTCTCAAATATTTATGCACCTTCTCCTTCATTGTTTTCTTTAAATCTGTCCTCTTAAAAAGCTTCTTAAGAGCTCAGTTAATGCTTTTGACTTAACTAGGAGAAAAAGGCATGATAATACAGGCAAGATGGCATTGTTAGCAATTCTGGTAGTGGTTTGGAATGAATCCTAAGAGGCAGGGATCTTAAGGACAAGGAAGAGAAGAGAGAGAGGGAGGGATCTTTGATCTCTTTCTCTGGTAATCTTAATGCATAATTTTACTAAAACATGTTCTCAATTCATTCATATTATTAAGCTCTTCCTGCAGTTGATATCTGAGCAGAGTAAGATTTGTATTTCCATTTTTACTTTTTTGAAAGAGAATATATGGACAGATTATTAGTACAATTTGGGCACTGTGGTTTTAAGAATATCTGAGTAAAATAACAATATGAAATAATAAACAGAAGCTCTAACGTCAGGTAACAAATAGACAGCAAGAAAGGTTTTGCACCATCCTCTTACGGCCTAGAGAGTTGACAAGTTGCTTGTAGTTTTAAAAAAATAATAAAGTATACCCTTCTGGTATATCATCAAGAGCTTAAGAATCTTGGCTTTCATATTTAAAATGCTTTTGGGGAGACATATATTAAAATTTTAGCCAAGATGATAGACATGTCTCAATTATATATGTGTGTGTATGTTTTTAAAGCTAAAAACATTACTTTTAGATCCCTAGAATGAAAATTTTTTTCTCATCTATGCAATTCCCATATGGTTTTTTTTTAAATCATATTTTATTCATTTTCTCCCTTTAGCAATTTTCATTTTATTTCTCATAATTTGAACAGAGACAGTTCTCATACATGATCAGATGCTTTTTTTTTCTTCTTACCATCATTTATGCATGACATAGGTAATGTGACTAATTTCTCCAGTTGATTCAAGAAACTCATTACTTTGCCTCAAATTATATGTAAAATATTTGTTTTACTTAGGTTACAGTTATCAGAAAGGTAGTTTTTTTCTTCTATTAAAATATAACATTGTGAAAGAAAATAAAATTTATGCTATTCTTTGCTTTGTTTTTATAAATGAATTTTTCATAGAATTTACAGTATATTCAAAGGAAGAAAGATAAAATTATTGGTCATCATTTGTACCTTAGAAGTACAAGAATTTAAGTAAAAGAAATGTTCATTTTTGTTTTAAAATTTGTTTTCCATGTGAAGTTTTTATTGAGCCAACTTTCATACATATCTTGCTAGCCTAAAGTCTAAATATTTGTGTTGGCATCAGAAAAACAAATGAGGCAGAATTGCTATGTGTGGTTGATCTTCAGATAAATTGACTGATCACAGTTATTTTTGTATCAGTCTATGTTATTAGGAAAAATTGTTTAGTTGTTTTCTCCCCTGATTAATGGTGATATTCAAGTATGATACAAAAAGAATTGTACCACCAAATATTTTTGTGAGGTCTGCTGTTTTCCATATTCATTTTATGCTACTGCCTTTAAGAAAGAACTAGTGTATCCTTGAAATAGCACAAAAATGTTTTAAAATTCATAATTGCAAAACAAATCTGTGACTAACTTAATGTCTTCAGATCTAAAGGGTGTAAAAATATTGATACTTCAATATTTCACTTGCTGCCAGGAAAAACAAAATTCTCAATCTTTTGTAAATGGGAGGAGGACTTTTGCATACATTTTTACTCTTTAAATAACGACAACGACACTTATACTGTCATAATAACAATTATGTATTTCTTTGTGGTTTTAATTTTTTTTGTAATTTTACATAAAACAGTTATTTTCTATTTTTACGCAGATAAATATTTGTGCATAAAATGTAAAAATAGTAAAATGAGAAAAATAAAACTATTATACAGTATGTTTCTGTGTTGCTTAAAAGTTTTTTTTCCTGAAAACAAAATCTTAAATCCCCAGGATATTTTGTTGGATAGTAATCTGACAGTCCACTTATGATACGTTGTACATAGGATTCCGATGCATTTTTAAACTTAAAAGCTGTCAATTTGGGAAGAACATATTTCACTGAACTAAAATTAGTAGGTTCATCTCTTTGAGGAAATTAATGAAATTCCATCTACAAAGCCAAGTTGTTTTAGAATAGTAACAGATGAAGCTGTCAGAAGGCAAGCTGATGATTGCTAAATTGTAAACCTTTCATAAAGCCTTTTTTTTTAACAAACAAAAAATCACCTGTTCATGTTGGCTATCAGCAGGTTGCTTCAGCCAGAATCAGAATATAGAAGAATGGAAAGGGTTAGGAAAAAGTGATTCATGCCTGCCTTCATGGTGAAGCAATGATGAAAGTTTGATTGACATGCTTAAATAGGAAGTTATGGTTAGAAATAAATGGCTTTAAAAATACACAGTGTGATTGTATCTAGTTCGAAGCAATCAAAAACCATCAGCCAGGACGCTAGTGAGGTATGTTTGTTCTCCCAGGACTTCAGTTTTTTGTGTGTACAGCTTCAGAGTTTAATTTACAAGCCAAGTATGTGTTTAAAATGCTTTTTACTGATAAACTGACAACTTTAGAACACTGCTTTTAAAAATTTCCGTAGTGAAGGACCACTTTCTTATTTCCAATTTGTCACAGACAAACATCTGTAAAATAAAAACTGAATTAGTACAGGGAGGGGGAAATGGGAAGTTACTGTTTAATGGGCATAGAGTTTCAGTTTTGCAAGATGAAAAACAAGATGGTTACACAACTATAAACATGCTTAACAATACCAAACCGTATTAAAGATGGTTAAGATGGTAAATTTCATATTATGTATATTTTACCACAGTTGAGTTTTTTTTTTAAAGAATGAATTACTATAAGAATTTTAAAAATTCAGTATTTACCAAATTAACAATACAATGGGGGAGGAACACATTCAACTCAATAGATGCAGAAAAATGTACAACTTGACATCCATTCATGATTAAAACTCTCAGCAAACTAGAGAACTTCTTTAACCTGATAAAAAGGTATCTGTGGAAAAACCTACAACTAACATCACGTTTGTTGCCCCTCACCACTCCGCCCCCCTCCCCACAAGATTTGGGAAACGCAAAGAGGTACCTGCTTTTATAATTTTTATTCAGAATTGTATCCTAGTCTGTGAAATAAGGTAAGAAAAATAAAAAGCATACATACTGCAAAAATAAAACTGCAGAAGGCATCAGACATGTTAAAACGCCTCAAGAATCAAAAGTTATGAGAATATAGCAAGGTAAGGTACAAGGTCAATATGCGAAGTTCAATTTTATTTCTGCGTGCTAGAAACTAATAAATGGAAATTAATATTTAAAAACCACCATTTACAATAATATTAACGTGAAATAGGGACAAATAGAGCAAAATTTGTGCAAGACCTATCAATGAAAACTATAGAACTTGCAAAGAAATGAAAGAATGTCTAAGTAGGTGGAGATATAACACCATAATTCTGGATTGGAAGACTCAATTTTGGGTTTTCTTGTTTTTTTTTGAGACAGTCTCACTCACTGTGTCACCCAAGCTGGAGTACAGTAGTGCGATCTCAGCCCACTACAACCTCCGCCTCCTGGGTTCAAGCGATTCTCATGCTTCAGCCTCCCAAATAGCTGGGATTACAGGCATGTCCCATGACACCTGGCTGATTTTTTGTATTTTTAGTAGAGTTGGGGGCTTCGCTATGTTGGCCAGGCTGGTCTCGAACTCCTGACCTCAAGTGATCTGCCTGGCTCGGCCTCCTGAAGTGCTGGGATTACAGGCGTGAGCACCGTGCCTGGCCTAAGACCCAATTGTGTAAATGTAAATCTTGTAAATGTTAGTTATTCCTAAATTGACCTATAAATTGAATTACAACAAAAATTCTGCCAGTCTTTTTTTGTAGACAAGCTAGTTATAAAATTTATATGTAAATACAAATGACACAGAATAGCCAAAATATTTTGGAAAAAGAGAACTTGCACTGTGCTATATAAAGCTTTGCTATATAAAGCTACAGCAATCAAGAGGTGGTATTTAGGTAAGGATAAATGTATATAGGTCAATGAACAGAATAGAATCCAGAAATGGACCCACATATATGGCTCATTGATTTTTGGTGCCAAAATCAAAGGTGCCAAGGTAATTCAATAGGGAAAGGGTAGTTATTTCAACAAATGTTAGAACAACTGCATATATTCATGGAGAAAAACCCTTGCCTCATACCACACATAAAAACAATGGATTATAGACCTAAATATAAAATCTAAAACTTATTAAGGAATTTTCATAACCTTGGGGTAGATAAAGATTTCCTAGATATTAAAGAAGCAAAACTAGGCTGGATGTGGTGGCTCATACCTGTAAATACAGTGCTTTGGAAAGCTGAGGCAGGAAGATTACTTGAGGCCATGAGTTTTGAGACCAGCCTGGGCAACATAGCAAGACCCTATCTCTACAAAAATATAAAAGTTAAAATAAAATTAGCTGGGCATGGTTGTGTACGGCTGTAGTTCCAGCTACTCAGAAGGCTGAGGAGGGAGGATTGCTTGAGCCCAGGTTAAAATTCGAGGTTCAAGTGCAGGTTGAGTTTGAGGTTACAGTGAGGTATGATTCTGCCGCTACAACAGCACTCCAGTCTGGGGGTGACAGAGTGAGACGCTGTATCTAATAAAAAAAAAAAAAGACAGTAAATTGGACTTCATCAAAAATTTTTAAAACACCTGTTATTTGAAAGATACTATTAAAATAAAAGGCAAGGCTGGGTGTAGTGACACATGCCTGTAATTTCATTGCTTTGGGAGGCTGACTGGGGAGGACTGCTTGAACCCAGGAGTTTGAGACCAGCCTGGGCAACATCGTGAGACCCCCTCTCTATGAAAAAAAAAAATTTAATTAGCCAACCTTGGTAGCATGGACCTGTAGTTCTGGCTACTCAGAAGCCTGAGGCAGGAACACTGTTTGAGTCCAGGAGTTTGAGGTTATAATAAGCTATGATCATACCAGTGCACTCTAGCCTGGGTGAGAGAGCAAGACCCTGTCTCAAAAAAAAAAAAAAAAAAAAGAAAAGAAAATTAAATAAAGGACAAGGTACAGATTGGAAGAAAATATTTGCAATACACTTATCTTACCTAGGTTACAAAGGTAAGATAAGTGTATTGACCACACTGATTTATAATATTTTGTCATTAAGCAATGAGCATCAGTTGTAACTGAATGATTATGGCAATATTAATATCTTACAAAGGTAAGATATTTAATATCAAAATATATGATAAATTCTTTTAACTCACTAAGATAATCAAATAATTTATGGTCAAAGGATTTGTACAGACACTTCATAAAAAAAGATATACATATGGCCAGTAAGCATATGAAAAGCTATTTGGCATTATTAGTTATCACGAAATACCAAGTCACAATCCAGTACCACTAAAAACACATTACAACTGCTAAAAGTTAAAAGACTCACAATACCAACTGTTCTCAATGACATGGACCAAATGAAGTCACACACATTGCTAGTGGAAATGTAAAATGGCACACTACTTTGGAAAAGTTAAACACTTTTGTCACGACACAGCAATTCTAATCCTAGGCATTTATTTTATGTATTTATTTTTTTGAGACAGAGCTTCACTCTTGTCACCCAGGCTAGAGTGCAATGGTGCGATCTCGGCTCACTGCAACCTCCACCTCCCAGGTTCAAGTGATTCTCCTGCCTCAGCCTCCCAAGTACCTGGGATTACAGGCACCAGCCATCAAGTCCGGGTAATTTTTGTATTTTTAGTGGAGACAGAGTTTTGCCACGTTGGCCGGGCTAGTCTCGAACTCCCGACCTCAGGTGATCTGCCCGCCTAGGCCTCCCAAAGTGCTGGCATTACAGGTATGAGCCACCGTGGCTGGCCCAATCCTAGACATTTATTTAAGAGAAATAAAATATGTTCACTGAAAGACTTGTACACGAATGTTTATAACAGCTTTATTCATAATGTCTCCAAACTGTTAACACAAATATCCATCAGCAGGTGACTGAATAAACAAATTATGAATACCCATAGAACAGAAGTACGACTCAGCAATAAAAGGGAGTGAACAACTGCCTCATCAACAACTCTGGAAAAGGCAAATCTCATTGTAAGGATAGAAAGCAGATCACTGGTTGCCTAGGGCTAGGGATAATGGTTGATTTCCTGGATTAGGCATAAAGAAATTTGGGAGGATGATGAGCATAGCCTATATTATGCTTTGTTGACGATTACATGGATGAACAGATTTGTCAAAACTCATCTAAATGTATACTTAAAATAGGTGCATGGGGTTATGTAAATTTCACCTCAATAAGCTTAAAAACTGAATTACTAGAGAAATGAAATTTAAAAGACAAAAATACATAACCACTTTTTAAAAATTATTAGATTCCACAAGCATAAGATTGCTATATCAAATTATCAAAATTGTTTTAATGCTTGCTCTTATCTCCCTGTGGACTGATGACAAACAGTTCACGGACTGACCACACTGATCTACAACATTTCATCAACTGATGAGCATCAGTTTTAACTGAACGATTATGGCAATGTTAATGGTATTTGAAAATTTCTCTGTAAACCTTTTTTTTTTTTTTTTTTGAGACTGAGAGTCTCACTCTGTTACCCAGGCTGGAGCGCAGTGGCTTGATCTTGGCTCACTGCAACCTCCACTTCCTGAGTTTAAGCGATTCTCCTGCCTCAGCCTCCCCAGTACCTGAGATTATAGGCCTGCATCACCACGCCCAGCTAATTTTTGTAGTTTTAGTAGAGACAGGGTTTCACCATGTTGGCCAGGCTGGTCTTGAACTCCTGAGCTCAAGTGATCTGCCTGCCTGAGCCTCCCAAAGTGCTGGGATTACAGGCATGAGCCACCATGCCCGGCTGTAATGTGAGAAAAGCATTTTCTCATGTCTGCTAACAAGATAGTTGATTTGGGAATCTTATTTCCATGATACTAGTAACACCCAGTTAGCACCTATGCTATTTTTATAGGTAACACCACAGTAACTAGACATGAATGAAATAGAACACTGAAGAAAAAGTTATTTATCATATCTATGAGCAACTCTTTAATTCACTTCCTTAGAAAACTATGCAAAAAGGTTTGCTCTAATACTCACAGTACGAATAGAGAAAGTAAGCTTCCTATCTCTAATGTTGGTTTTACTTTGTGAATGAGAGGGCATATTGCATATTAATACACTGATAAACATCACTGAATAGTTGAACTAGAATGTTCATTTGACTTAATGGTTAAAGGAAAAAGCTATGCATTAAGAACTCCATACTAGGATTCTTGTCTCCAGCTCTCAAATCATAAAAATAGAGGATTTTTGTTTGTTTTTGAGACAGAGTCACTCTGTTGCCCAGGCTGCAGTGCAGTGGCACGATCTCGGCTCACTGCAACCTTCACCTTCCAGGTTCAAGCAATTCTCCTGCCTCAGTCTTCCATGTAGCTGGGATTACAGGTGTGAGCTACCACATCTGGCTAATTTTTGTATTTTATAGAGATGAGGTTTCACCATGTTGGCCAGGCTGGTCTCGAACTCCTGACCTCAAGTGATCTGGCCAACTTGGCCTCCCAAAGTGCTGGCGAGAGGTAACAGCCTGCTAGCAGCCCTCGCAGCCCTCACTCGCTCTCGGAGCCTCCTCGGCCTTGGCGCCCACTCTCGCCGCGCTTGAGGAGCCCTTCAGCCCGCCGCTGCACTGTGGGAGTCCCTTTCTGGGCTGGCCAAGGCCGGAGCCGGCTCCCTCAGCTTGCGGGGAAGCGTGGAGGGAGAGGCGCGGGCGGGAACCCGGGCTGCCCGCGGCGCTTGCGGGCCAGCGCGAGTTCCGGGTGGGCGTGGGCTCCGCGGGCCCGCACTCAGAGCGGCCTGCCGCCCCAGGCAGTGAGGGGCTTAGCACCTGGGCCAGCAGCTGCTGTGCTAGATTTCTCGTGCGGGCCTTAGCTGCCTCCCCGGGGGCAGGGCTCGGGACCTGCAGCCTGCCATGCCTGAGCCTCCCCCCTCTCTCTCTGTGGGCTCCTGCGCGGCCCGAGCCTCCCTGACGAGCGCCGCCCCCTGCTCCACGGCGCCCAGGCCCATCGACCGCACGAGGGCTGAGGAGTGCTTGCGCAGGGCGTGGGACTGGCAGGCAGCTCCACCTGCAGCCGGTGCGGGATCCACTGGGTGAAGCCAGCTGGGCTCCTGAGTCTGGTGGGGACTTGGCTAATCTTTATGTCTAGCTAAGGGATTGTAAATACACCAATCAGCACTCTGTATCTAGCTCAAGGTTTGTAAATGCACCAATCAGCACTCTGTGTCTAGCTCAGGATTTGTAAATATACCAATCCACACTCTGTATCTAGCTAATGTAGTAGGGACTTGGAGAACTTTTGTGTCTAGCTCAGGGTTCCTAAACGCACCAATCAGCACCCTGTCAAAATGGACCAATCAGCTCTCTGTAAAACAGACCAATCAGCTCTCTGTAAAATGGACCAATTAGCAGGATGTGGGTGGGGCCAGATAAGAGAATAAAAGCAGGCTGCCCGAATGAGCAGTAGCAACTCGCTGTGGTCCGCTTCTGTAGTGTGAGGAGGTGTGTTCTTTCCGTCTTTGCAATAAGTGTTGCTGTTGCTCACTCTGGGTCCAGCTGCGTTTATGAGCTGTAACACTCACCGCTAAGGTCCGCAGATTCACTCTTGAAGCCAGTGAGACCACAAACCCACCAGGAGGAACGAACAACTCCAGCTGCGCCACCTTAAGAGCTGTAACACTCACTGAAGGTTTGCAGCTTCACTCCTGAGCCAGCGTAGACCATGAACACACCGGAAGGAAGAAACTCGGAACACATCCGAACATCAGAAGGAACAAACTCCGGACACGCCGCCTTTAAGAACTGTAACACCGCCAGGGTCCACGGCTTCATGCTTGAAGTTGGTAAGACCAAGAACCCACCAATTCCGGACACGTTTTGGCGACCACGAAGGGACTTTTGCCTGTCGCTGAGCGGTGAGACCATCGCCTATCGCCAAGCAGTGAGTACCATTGGACCCCTTTTGCTTGCTATTCTGTCCTATTTTTCCTTAGAATTCGGGGGCTAAATACTGGGCACCTGTCAGCCAGTTAAAAGTGACCGGCAAGTGATCTGGCCACCTTGGCCTCCCAAAGTGCTGGGATTACAGGCGTGAGCAACCGCGCCGGGCGTAAAAGTAGAGGATATTTTAAATAGAATTAAGTGTGAGAATCTGCCCTGTTGGCATAAAATATATTAGCTAATTGATTAAACAAAGAATACCTAGAATAAAGGTATAAACAAATAACCTTCCATTGTGGAGGATATGTAAAGTGGCGTGCCAAAGGAAAGAACTAGAAGAAACAGATTATGGTCCTTTTCCCACTAACCAGATACGAAACTTACAGCTAGTTGTTTCACCTTTGTTCACCTCCATTTTCTCTCTCCTGTGTTGGGGTCGTTGACACATTTGCCTGCAGTGCAGGGCCATTGGAAGGGTTAAATGAACTCAGTATGTAATTCATCTTGCAGGCTCCTAAATAAGTGTAAAGGTCTAGGAAAGAAAAGCCTCCCTCCAAAGAATCCAGTGTTCTAGGTTGAAATTGGTGCTCCTCTCGCGTAATGGTGAAAATCACAAAGTAGCGTAAAAAACATGTTGAATGAATGAGTAAGGAATAAGAGCTAATTCTGATCTCTTACGATATGTCAAGTCGTTTATGTGCCTTCTCACTTATTTCTCACAACTCCTTGAAGTAGATAACTGTCCGTTTTATAAATGGAGAGATTGAGGCATAGAGGGATTAGTCAACTTGGCTGAAGTCACTTGCATAAGGGCCAACCCAGGCTTGAAGCCCTGCGTGGGCTTTTCATTAGGATCAAGTCTGTCTCAACAGAATATAGCTGTTAATACCTACAGTCAATGAAAGGGAGGTGTGTTTAACACGTCTAAAAAATGAGAATTGCAAACATTGAGTATTTTTTTCATTTTTCCTGGCTTGTACTTGTCTTACCCAAAGTGAGAAGCTTATACCAAATTTTACTTTAAGTAGTATTCATCTCTAATAAGTCAACGGAGTTTTATTAAACATTATCATACAGCCAACCCTTAGTAAAATAATGGCTCTAGGCAATCATCACCAACAGCTGCTAAAACCACTAGCTGAAAAGTTAGACGCTTTGTAAAGGATGGATTTGCCTCACAATCCCTGAATACATATATCAATCTTAGTATCACCAAAAGCGAGACAACCAGGGCCGGGCGCAGTGGCTCTGTAATTCCAGCACTTGGGAGGCCGAGGCGGGCGGATCACAAGGTCAGGAGATCGAGACCATACTGGCTAACACGGTGAAACCCTGTCTCTATTTTAAAAACACAAAAAATTACCCGGGAGTGGTGGCGGGCGCCTGTAGTCCCAGCTACTGGGGAGGCTGAGGCAGGAGAATGGCGTGAACCCGGGAGGCGGAGCTTGCAGTGAGCCAAGACAGAGCTACTGCCCTCCAGCCTGGGCGACAGAGTGAGACTCCATCTCAAAAAAAAAAAAAAAAAAAAAAAGGCCAACCAGATAATCATATGCCTCCTAATATGACGCATTGGGACAACTCTTGCCAAAACATAAACTGAACCTAAATCTGATAAATTCCTCAGATGTAAGTACCAGTTCATAGGAAATATAGGACACAGAGAGACTGTCATTTACATGGATAGAATCAACAAAAATATAAAAGAAAATAACGTTAAAAAAAATTACAAGAAAAAAAGGGAAATGTGTAGATTAAAAGAGACTTAAGAGTGTCACTCAACCAAATGCATTCTGTGGTTTTGTTTGTATCCTGATTACAATAAACTATAAAAGAAATTGAGGCAATCAAGGAAATTTGAACGCTGTATTTTTTTAAATATTAAGGAATGGCTGTTCTTTTTTTCGGTGTGATAATAGTGTTGTGGTTATAAGGAGGAAAGGAAGGAAAGAGAAGAGAGAGAAATGGAGGAAAGGGATTTTAATCTTTCAAAAATGCATACTGAAGTACTTAGAGATGAAATAGTGTGATGTCTAGCATTTGCTTCAGAATATTTCAGTGGGTGGACTATAGATTAAAACACACACACACAAAGGCCATGTGCTGAAAGCAGACTGGGTGGTAGCTACATGTAGATACATGAGGGTTTATTATACTGTGCTCTCTGTTCAGAGTATGCGTGAAATTTTCCATAAAATAGTGCATTTTTAAAAAACTATTATAAAGAAGCTTACCTAAAAGAATAGCACAGATGCGGCAATGTCACCTACAAAATCATAGCAGGTTTTTAAAACTGCATCACTAGGTAAAGAATACATATTTGTTTTCATGAAATGGGCACTTTATGTAACAAATGTGTTTCTGAAAAAGTTGTACCTAAATAAAATATTATAAGCATAATTGTTAGCAGTATTATATATACTGTTTGGCCCCCCCCAAAAAAGATGCATTTATAATTTTTTTTGCGATCCTCCCACCTCAGCCTTTCGCTGGGACCACAGGAGTATGCTACAACTCTTGGCTAATTCTTTCTAAATTTTTGGTAGATGCAGGTTCTCCCTGTGTTGCCCAGCCTGGTCTCACACTCCTGGGCTCAAGGGATCCTCCCACCTTGGCCTCCCAAAGTGCTAGTATTAAGGCATGAGCCAATGTGCCTAGCCCATAGTTCTTGAATACCAAGGAAGAAAAGAGGTTTATAATTAAGCTCTAAATTACAGAGGAGTGGTATTCCTGAAAAACGTTTAGTAAGTGGAAACTGCAACTGTAATGCATATATGTAGAAACCCAAGACTTGCAATCACTTCACAAGAAACATTAGGCACAAATTACCACAAGGTAACACAGCTTACTGACATGGAAATGAGATTCCATCAAACCTATTTCTAAAACTCCTTCATAGTTTCTTATTGCCGTCTGGAAAAAAAGTGCAATTTCCTTAGCGTGGTGTGAAAGCATGGAGCCAGTTTTTATCTTTACCCAGCTTCCAGTTTCCATGCTCCTTCTTCCTGGAAGCATTATTTATCAACCATAATTAGCCCAGGTCAGATTTGTGCATTAGAAATACGGTCACTTAGCGCTGTCTCCTCCACTGGATTAGCAGCCATGACGTTCAGGACCTGATATTGTCTTTGTTTATCACTGCATCTTCAAACCTTAGTTGTGGCCGGGCCCAGTGGCTCACATCTGTAATCCCAGCACTTTGGGACACCGAGGCAGGTGGATTGAGGTCAGGAGTTTGAGACCAGTCTGGCCAACATGGTAAAACTCTGTCTCTACTAAAAATACAAAAGTTAGCGAGGTGTGGTGGCGCATGCCTGTAATCCCAGCTACTCGGGAGGCTGAGGCAGGAGGATCGCTTGAACCTTGGAGGTGGAGGTTGCAGTGAGCCAAGATTGTGCCACTGCTCTCCAGTCTGAGAGACAGAGTGAGACTCCATCCGCCTCCTCCTCAAAATAAAAATCCTTAGGTGTTATAATGGATACAGCACTGTAGTTGTGCCATTAGTCCTCAAAATTCATGGTGTTAGCATCTTATATCACTTATTTTATAGACAAAGAAAAATTATTATACTAGAGAACTGCATTTTTTTCCTACAGTTTCTTAGATATAATTCCATGGAAACTTGGATCTGCTAAAACAATCGGCAGCATCAATACAGCATTGGGAAATGATAAAAGGAAATCTGTTAAAACTATCAGAAATCTTATTAATCACATATGTTTATCCATTTGATAGATAAATCATGTCCCTTTGTCGATTTAAAAATAATTTATATTAAGATATCTTTCTGACAATTATTGTGACTTTTTTGAGAAGCATGCTTTGGTACTATAGAGTATCTTTAGCACAGTGATTCGTATTTGGATAACAAGAGTCACAAAAGGAAAAATCGCCTTTACTTTAATGCTTAATTATTTGCCATAATATATTTGATTTGTATATGACTTTGTAGAAACTACTTTGTGCTCAAGTTTGTTCCTCTAAATAGAACTTTATATTTCTTAATTGGCCAGCTTGTTTCATTGATCTGTCCCAAGTCTCATTATGAAATCTCAAAATCTCACTTTGATTGATTTGAAAAAGTGGAGGGAATCAGACCATTTGGTTTTTTTTCCTTTGTTTTTGACAAGATTTTTGGTGCACAGTTTGAGAAATGGCAGAATTACCCCCCAGCTAAAATATTCGGAGGCTCAAAATTCATACTAACCTTTCTTGTTTCCTAAGCTGAAAAAAGCTGCCACGCAGGGTTCTTATGGCAGGTTCTTGTCAAATTCTCACACTGAAGAAAATCAATGACATATTTGAGAGCATCAAGCTTCAGAAGAATTTAGCAAACAGGATGTCAGAAACCTTTCAGAAATAAAATCATTCACCTGGGTGGATTTAGGGCTGAAATTATTCCATGATATGTTTGATAAACTTTCATGCCACTGAAAACATTTCTCCCTCATATTTAGGCTTCTAAAGGTTTTCTCGACTTTCTTATGTTAAAAATTAACCCATCTCATCTCTGTTGAGAAATAAATAATGCCCCATATCTTTGAAAAGATAAATCAATGTTAAGATTATGTTCTATGTCCTCACTTCATCTGTGAGGATGTCAGAATTTCTTTTGGCTGTTTGTCAAGTCATTGGCAATATCAGAATTATCTCTCAGAAGAGAAATAGTTGAACTTGTGTCACCCTGTGGGATCTATTGGGAGTGAATTAGATTGTGGAAACGGCATATGCTCTATCTGAAAGTCAATCTCAGTTCACTAACTAGTGTCCTAGAAATCTGAAGGAGGTAAGGATGAGAAACAATGTTTCCTCAAATCTCTCTATATTTTCACTATTTCCTAAAAGTTGATAACTAGAAGATCAATTTAGTATCTCTTTGGGGAGGAGCATGAGTAGGGACTGTGGTGTGTGTGGGTTTGTTTGTTTTTTTTTTTTTTTTGGAGATGGAGTTTCACTCTTGTTGCTCAGGCTGGAGTACAATGGCCAGACCTCAGCTCACCACAACCTCTGCCTCCCAGGTTCAAGTGATTCTCATGCCTCAGCCTCCCAAGTAGCTGGGATTACAGGCACACACCACCACATTGGCTAATTTTTATATATTTTTTTTTTTAGTAGAGATGGGGTTTCTCCATGTTGGTCAGGCTGGTCTTCAACTCCTGACCTCAGGTGATCTGCCCACCTCAGCCTCCCAAAGTGCTGGGATTACAGGCATGAGCCACCGCACCCGCCCTGTTTTTTCATTTCTGTTCCCTCTGATTGAAATGCTTCCTCTTTTTATCCTTCCTTTTCCTTCTTTCTCTCTGTCAAAATTCCCATTATCCTTTATTGTCCAGAATTGACCAGACTGTCCTTGAACACACTTCCTTTGAAGCTACACTCACCTGATTTTCCACCTCACTGACCCCTACTTTTGGGTTCCATACTAGACTCCTTTTTCTCTTCCAACCGCACATTAGGTGACTGTAACGTTACAAATCATCTATGTGAGTCATCAATCTTCATATCCAGCTTTGATCTCTCCCAGAATCCATTAATATCTCTATCTGCTTACAAGGATGTATAGTAAGACATTTTAATCAAAAAATGGCAAAAAGAAAACTCTTTTATTTTTTTTAGACCGAGTCTTCCTCTGTCACCCAGGCTGGAGTGCAGTGGTGCCATCTCGGCTCATTGCAACCTCCACATCCTAGGTTCAAGCCGTTCTCATGCCTCAACCTCCTGAGTAGCTGGGACTATAGGCACAGCACCACCACGATCACTAATTTTTGTATTTTTAGTAGAGGGGGTTTCACCATGTTCACCACGCTGATCTCCAACTCTTGATCTCAGGTAATCTACCACCTCAGCTTCCCAAAGGGTTGGGATTACAGGCATGAGCCACCGCACCCTGCCCTATCAGTAAATATTATATTATAAACACCTATCACAAATGCATAGGTACTCAGATGGATTTCTGGAGATGATTCTTTAAATGTGTTTAATTATGTTGATTGATTTTTGAATCACAAACTGATTTTGTTTTCCTGTAATGAACCCGGCTTGGCTCTGATGTATTATTTTGGCATGTTGCTGGATTCGGTGTACAAGTATTTTGTTGAAGGTTGGTTTTTTGTCTGCAAACATAAGAGATACTGGTCTGTAATTTTCTTTTCTTGTTGTCAGGCTTTCCTGTGGGTTTTTGCTGTCCCCATAACTAAGTTGGAAGTGTTTCTTTTGTCTCTTATTTCTGAACATTTTTGGATAATATTGTTATTTTTTCTTTAAATATTGGATAGACTTCACCAGTGAAACCATCTAGCCCTGGAGTTTTCTTTGTGAGGAGACTTTTTTATTAGTGGATTACACTTCTTAAGTAGATATAGGAAAATTAAGAGTTTCAATTTCATCTTAAGTCAGCTTGGACAAGTTGACTCTTTTTCCAAGAAATTTGTCCACTTCATCCAACTTGTCATATTTGTTGGCATAAAATTGCTATTATCCATTGTCTATAGAATCTGTGGTATATCTTGCTTTCATTCTTGACATCGAAATTTGGGTTTGTCTCTTTTAAAAAAAAAAAAAGGTCTTGCTAGGGATGAATCAATTTCATTGATCTTTTTAAGGAATTAATTTTTGGCTTTGTTAATTTTCTGTTATTTGTTGTCTTCTCTACAGATTTATGCTTTTATCTTTATTGCTTTCTTTCTTGTTTGGGTTTAATGTAATCATATCTTTCTGGCTTAACGTGAAAACTTATGTCACTGGTTTAACACATTTACTTATTTTTTGAGAATCCACAGACCATTTATTAAGATAAATCTTATTTGAGTCCATAGACAAGTCTTGATAAATTTAAAAGGATTAAAACCACACAAAGTATGTTCTCTGACTATAAGGGATTTAATTAGAAATCAATAGCAGAAAGATACGTAGAGAATACCCAATGATTTGGAAATTAAACAATACATTAAAAAGAATTTTTTTACTATATACATTTAAAGCTGTGCATTTCTCCTAAACATAGCTTCAGCTCCATCAAATACATTTTAGAATGTCGTACTTTTATTATAATTCAGTTTAAATATATACTAAGTTCCTTTGTCATTTCCTATTTTGCACACTTGGATTATTTCAAAATATATTATTTAATTTCAATATCTATCACAGTGGCTTTTGTCATTGTGAGAAGTTACGAAGATTCCAAATTTCTTATGAGTGGGTATTGTTTGCTCATAAAAGTTTAGCCCATTAAAAATGATGTGGCATATGAAATAACATAACATTTTATTTCCTTTTTTATTACTTCTTTGTAAAATCCAATTTTAAACATTTTATTAAAAGCAAAAAGTTATGATATAGTATTAAAATATTTCATTTTGGGCTGGGTGCAGTGGCTCTTGTTTGTAATCCCAGCACTTTGGGACACCGAGGCAGGTGGATTGAGGTCAGGAGTTTGAGACCAGCCTGGCCAACATAGTGAAACCCCATCTCTACTAAAAATACAAAAAATTAGCTGGGCATGGTGGCAGGCGCCTGTAATCCCAGCTACTTGGGAGGCTGAGGCAGGAGAATCGTTTGAACCTGGGAGGCGGAGGATGCAATGAGCCGAGATCACACCATTACACTCCAGCCTGGGCAACAAGAGAGAGAAGCTGTCTAAAAATAAATTTCGGTTTGAAGAATACATACATCAGTATCTATATATGTAAATCACATGTATTTATGTATATGTGATCTTTACACCACAGGTAACTTAAAAAATGTGAATGCTGTTCCCTAACAGACCTTTTTACTCTCTTCAGAAACTTCATAACATGGATATTTGAAGGAAATCCTAGAGCTGAATTTAAAGACGGGGTTTGAGGAGACTTGAGTCATTCTGTATAGTAAAATAAGATTTTGTTGTTTTGTCATTGTTTACCCATAAAATGAGGGAGGAGAGCTAAGCACTATGCCTATGAAGCCTGCATTGCAGAATCTTTCAGCAAGATTAATGTCAAATGTGGAATTTTAAGATGTTGACATTACTATATGTCAAAGAGTGTTATAACAAAGTATCATTAACCAGTGGCTTATAAACAACAGACATTTATTTCTCACAGTTCTGGAGGCTTGAAAGTCTGATATCAAGGTGCTGGCAGATTTGGTGTCTGGTGAGGACCCACTTCCGGGTTCATAGATGACGCCTTCTCACCACTGGGTCTTCATATGGTTAAAGGGGCAAGACAGCTCTCTGGGACCAATTTTATTTATTTATTTATTTTGAGATGGAGTTTTGCTCTTGTTGCCCAGGCTGGAGTGCAATGGCACGATCTCTGCTCACCACAACCTCCGCCTCCCAGGTTGAAGCGATTCTCCTGCCTCAGCCTCCCAAGTAGCTGGGATTACAGGCATGTGCCACCACCCCGGCTGATTTTGTATTTTTTGTAGAGACGGGGTTTCTCCATGTTGGTCAGGCTAGTCTTGAACTCCCGACCTTAGGTGATCCACCCACCTTGGCCTCCCAAAGTGCTGGGATTACAGGCGTGAGCCACCGCGCCCGGCTGTCTGGGACCAATTTTGTAAGAGCATTAAACCTATTCATGAAAGCTCTGCCTTCATGACCTAATCAGCTCCCAAAGGCCCCACCTCCTAACACCATCACCTTGGTGACTAGGTTTCAACATGTGAGTTTTAGGGAGACGCAAACGCTCAGAGTATAGTAGTTATATCCTTCCATGTCCACTATCGCCACCTGCACATGTGCCTCTCATAAAAATGCATTGAAAAGGTGAGTTTGGAGGCAATTAACCAAAAATCTACCCAGTTTTAGATTTAGGAAATGTAAATCTTAAGGAATGGAAAGCCTTCCTGCAGACGTCTAAGTTGTGTTTGGGTGTGTATTTATTTGAGTATATCTGCATATAAGTGTTAAAGAATCGGAGGACAATTCACTAATACACATTCGTTATCTCTAGAAAAAGGATTTTTAACACATTTGCTTATTCCAATTTCTACTATAAAAATAGATCACTGTAGTCATACTCCCACTTATGGTTAAGATGGTATAACCAGAATGAGGTAAGTCTCATTTATTTATCAGCTTAAACTGAGATTCCAGGGTTGCAGCATGCAGAGAGAGTAGAAACCACTGGGAAGCCAAGACAGCTAGAGTTCACAGAGCAGAGAGAAAAAAATCGCACAGAGATCAAGCTTGGGAGATCTGCAAAGGGTTCCCCTGGGGCTGTCCAGTGAGACCTGGTCAGTAGATATACACGGGAGGATCCTACCCAAGGCTGGGGAAGGAGCCACGTGACAGGAGCACAGGGAACAATCCTCAGAGCATACACAGGAGAAGTAATGGTTGTGCTTCCACCAGCCAGAGAGGAAAACCTTATAAGGCATAGAGTACTCGGAATGCTAGAGACTAAAGGCTGCCCTGATCCTACCTGACAAAGTTTAAAAAGAAAGCCTAGTCCCAGCGGGGCGTGGTGGCTCATGCCTGTAATCCCAGCACTTTGGGAGGCCAAGGCAGGTGGATCACCTGAGGTCAGAAGTTCGAGACCAGCCTGGCTAACAAGGTGTGAAACCCCGTCTCTACTAAAAATAAAAAATTAACCAGGTGTGGTGGCATACACCTGTAGTCCCAGCTACTGGGGAGGCTGAGGCAGGTGCTTGAACCCAGGAGGCAGAGGTTGCAGTGAGCAAAGATCGCACCACTGCACTCCAGCCTGGGTGACAGAGCAAGACTCAGTCCCCCCCCCCCCAAAAAAAAAAAAAAAACAAACCAGCAAAGCCTAGTCCCAGAATAAAATTTAAAATGACTTTTGGGAATAAAAAGTAATAGATTATTGTTAATTTCCATTACTTTAAAATCTGATCCATTACATATTATATGCGTGTATCAAAATATCACATATACCCCCAAAATATATACAACTATTATATGTCAATTTTTTAAAAGTTGTACCCAGTCTTCAAATTCCAACTAAAATGCTAACTGATTCCTTCATCTGAATTTTTGTAGCATTCTTTTATGGCAATTAACACAGTCTATATTTTAGAGATTTTATCCAATTGTATTGTAAATGGGTTTTATCTATTAGGTTGGTGCAAAAATAATAGCGATTTTTGCAATTACTTTTAATGGCAAAAACCACAATTACTTTCGCACTAACCTAATGGTTGTGCTGTAAATTCCCAGGGGATAGGGAACACCCAAGATTCATACAACTTTGTGTAAATATGTTAACCATCTTGCATTATTAGTGCCTTACATAAATCTGATTTTAAAATATATATTTGCCCAGTAAATGAATATTTCAGTAAAGTTTAATAAAAAAATATAAGTATTAACTGGCTATTAATTCATATGAATTTATGTAGAAGTCTTCTTAAAAATTTGAGAGTTAACTTAAGAATCATTCTCATATCATTATTGCCAGCATGTTTTCCAAAGTATGAGCCTAAATATATGGACTAGCCAGTTCTCATGGCCATTAGTGTACACTTGTAAAATTATTTTTATTTATGTTGGAATTTGCAAAGTCTATTTTCAAATCCAACTGGGATTATTTTTATGGCAGAGATTATTACAGCGGTATTTCTAAGTCATGTAGAAAAAAATGTGAATCTGGGAGGTTCTGTGATGCTTAGAGATTTCAGTTCCAACTTGTTCCAGTTGATGTCACTATGGCAAAGGTATCCCACACATGTGGCATACAGCAGCGGGGGAAGGAGGATACAAATCTAATAATGTGGCCAAATCAAGAGGAAACGTATTTGGGGGCAAGGCTAAAATGGGAATGGGAGCATGGCAGAACATCAGGATTCCACATCTGGAATCAGAGGGGCTGAGTGAATGCATTTACCTGATCTTCTATGAGTCAGCAAAACAAACACACAAAGCCATCGTGAGTTTGGAAGCTGTGAAACTGCTGCTCTTTGCAATGACAGATCTTCCTATGCTCTGAACTGCAGCAATACATTGAGGTAGCAGTAATTACAGACTTTCATATGGCTTCTCTGCTCTGTAGAAGTAGTAAATGAACCTCTTGGGGCTAAATTTCTAGCTTTGGGCTCCTGCACCATCTTTCTCCCTACAGGAAGTCACGACAGACAACAGAGGAAGTCCAAAGCAAGGACAACGCTGTTTATGAAAAGGAGTGGTAATGGTTCAGAGTGAAAATTAACAGATGTTGGGATAAAAATGTCTGCCTGGGTACTTTATGGCTCCAAAGTAAATAATATGTCCCTGAGTTTTAGCAGCTGTTTAGGGACTCCTGTATCTTAGTGTTAGTTTAAACGGCAAGGTAAAGGAACTCATGTAACTTAACACTGTTCATCAACACAAACTTACTGGATATCTTTCTGAAATGTGAAAACAGATCTGTTTTCAGATACTATTCAACTGTGCAAGGAGGCAAACAGATGTATTCATTAACACTCCCCACAGAGCATATTGTGATATTTGCAAATGGAAAATGCTGGAGCTGAGGTTACACAAATGTTTTCTGTTATGAAACTTCCTTCCATAAGACCATGATTTTCAAGGAGGATCTCATTTAGGACTGTTTTTTGTTGTTATACTTTCTGTAATGGGTGATTTTTCTAATTAAGATAATTTGCATTTTAACCTTGTTTTAGAAAGTGATTATTCTTTTTTTTTCTGTCTAAAGGTAGATAATGTTACCTGTTTAAATTCATTTTTTTAACCCAAGTTTTGCCTCAGGATCTATAAGTCAATTTTTTATAGTAAGATATTGGATGCCCAGTGAAGAAAAGGTTTTTGCCAAGCTGAAAGAAATTCAAGGCAAGATTGTGAGATGTCATTGGTACAATACACACCAACTAAGAATCCTTGTTTCTGTTTTATGCCTATGAACCAATAACAGTGATCAGTGTGGGGACATTTCATTGGAATTCTGCCTGAGAAAAAGCAGGAGTGTTCAGTCCTTCAGCGCCACCAACAGCTCTGGATGCCAAAGGACCATGCTGGTAGGGCTCAGAGTGCTCAGACAGAAGTATGAGGCAGAGTTTCATGGGGAAATGAGATGGGTCTGAGATGGGTAGGAAGAGGGGGAAAATGGGCCTCTCAATGCTCTCATAGCCTCTTAATGCTCTCAAAACAGCCACTGAGGCAATGAAATTTTTTTTTAACTTTTAGGTTCAGAGATACATGTGCAAGCTTGTTATACAGGTAAATTATGTTTCAAGGGGGTTTGATGTACAGATTATTTTGTCACCTAGGTAATAAGCATAGTATCTGATAGGTCGTTTTTTGATCCTCACCCTCCACCCACCCTCCACCCTCAACTAAGCCCTGGTGTATGTGGTTCCCTTCTTTGTGTCCATGTGTTCTCAATGCTTAGCTTCCACTTATAAGTGAGAACATGCAGTATTTGGTTTTCTGTTCCTGCCTTTGTTCACTTAGGATAATGGTCTCCAGCTCTGTCCATGTTTCTGCAAAGAACATGATCTCATTCTTCTTTTATGGCTGCATAGTATTCCATGCTATATTGTACCACATTTTCTTTATCCAGTCTACCATTGATGAGCATTCAGATTGATTCCTCATCTTTGGTACTGTGAATAGTGCTGCAATGAACATGCACATGCATGTCGTCTTTCTGGTGGAATAATTTGTATTCCTTTAATTATATACCCAATAATGGGATTGCTAAGGTCGAATGGTAATTCTAAGTTCTCTAAGAAATCACCAAACTGCTTTCTGCAGTGGCTGAACTAATTTACATGAGCACCAGCAATGTATGTATATGAGCATTCCCTTATCTTTGCAACCTCACCAGCATCTGTTATTTTTTTACTTTTTTATAATAGCCATTCTGACTGGTGAGAGATGGTATCCCACTGTGGTTTTGATTTGCATTAATTAAAAGAGATTTATTTATTTATTTATTTGAGACAGGGTCTGGCTCTGTTGCCCATGCTGGAGTACAGTAGTGTGAACAGGCTCACTGCAGCCTCAACCTCCCAGACTCAGGTGATCCTCCTGCCTCAGCCTCCTGAGTAGCTGGGGCTACGGGTGTGCACCACCACGTCTGGCTAATTTTTAAATTACTTGTAAAGATGGGGTCTTCCTATGATGCCCAGGCTGGTCTTGAACTCCTGGGCTCACGTGATCCTCCCACTTTGGCCTCCCAACATGCTGGGATTACAGACGTGAGCCACCACAGCCAGCCTGAAACGAGTTGAAAGGCACAGGGAGAACCCAGGTTTCTGTGGACTCCACCAGGACATGATGGAAAATGGACCTTGAATGAAATTCCTTGATTACGTGGCTAGGAAGACTCCTGGTATCTGCTGTGGTAACTTCAAGCCACAGAGGAGAGACAGAAAATTCCCTGAGTCCGGGGGATAATAGTCATGACAAGGGTGAAACAGAAAACGAAAAAAAAAGAGAGGAAGGGTTGATACCTGTTGACAGAATAAACACTACAAAGGAAAATCATCCTTGTAAAGTAAATTCTGTCAACATGAATCTTGTTCGTCAAATTTGATTTTAATATTGAGAGTAAGATAGTTTTCAGTTTGTCTGCTGGGACCATGATGAAGCACTTTCTTCATCTAGAATTTCCCTGGTGATCTTTCTGGGGATATTTTTCTGTATCCCAAGCTTTCAGCAAATTTTGATGTGTTGCCCACTTTGTGTGAAGAGAGATACAAAAGAAGCTTATGTGACCCCTGCTTCCCCATGTGCAAGACAAAACTGGCCCCTAATGAATTGAGATGAGATTCCCAAGATTTGGGGACTTCATGGAAGGGTAAAATTACAAAACAATAACAATGTTCTAGTTTTCTAAGGCTGCCATAACAAAGTCCTATGGACTAGGTGGCTTTAACAACAGGAATTTATTTCCTCACAATTCTGGAAGTTAGCAATCCAAAATCACGGTTGGTTTCTTAGGTCTTGAGGGAAGGACCTGTTACACACTTCTCTCTCCTTGACTTTTGACGGATTTCTTTTCCATGTGTCTTCACATCATCATCTTTCTTTTTCTTTCCCTCCCTCCCTTCCCCTCTCTCTCCTTCCTTCCTTTCCTTTGTTTTTTTTTTTTTTTTTGAGAGAGTCTCACTTTGTCACCCAGGCTGGAGTGCAATGGCACTATCTTGGTTCACTGCAACCTCTGCCTCCTAGGTTCAAGCGATTCTCCCACCTCAGCTCCTGAGTAGCTGTGATTACAGGCACATACCACCACGCCTGGCTAATTTTTGTATGTTTTGGTAGAGATGGGGTTTCACCATGTTGGCCAGGCTTGTCTCGAACTCCTGAACTTAGGTGATCCGCCTGCCTCGGCCTCCCAAAGTGCTGGGGTTATATGCATGAGCCGCCACACTTGGCCATGTCATCTTCCTTCTGTTGCTTGTCTGTATCGGAAGTTCCTCCCGTTATTAAGGATACCAGTCAAAAGGTGGGTTATTAGGCCCACCCTAATAACCTCATTTTAATTAATTTACCTTTTTAAAGACTCTATCTTCAAATACAGTCACATTCTAAGTTTCTGGGGTTTGGACCTCAATATATGAATCAGGGGCTTGGGGACAGGGGGAACATAATTCAGCCCATAGTAAGCTACAACAACAAACCCACAAGCCAACAACCTGAGGTGGATGACACATGCTTTCAAAATTTGTATTTTGTAAAATCAGAATTAAAAAACATGGCTGGGTGCAGTGGCTCATGCCTGTAATCCCGACACTGTGGAAGGCTAAGGCAGGAAAACTGCTTGAGATTAGGAGTTCAAGACCAGCCTGGGCAACACAGTGAGACACCCCATCTCTACAAAAAATTTAAAAATTACCCAGGCATGGTCATGTATGCCTTGTAGTCCCAGCCATTCAGGAGGCTGAGGTGGGAGGACCATTTGAGCCCAGGAGGTAGAGGCTGCAGTGAGCCATGATGGTCACTGCACTCCAGGCTGGGTGACACAGCAAGACCCTTTCTCAAAACCAAACAAGCAACGAACAACAAAACAAAACCTATGACATTATAATTTAATAAATTAACAGAAAAAGGATGTACTAGTGATGTAATCAAAGAATAAAGGAGTATTCTTTAAATACATTTAACTTTTTAAGCATCTCATATATTTATCCTTATTTTTTAGGACCAGTGAAATTTTGAAATTTTCATTAGTAACTGGTGAGGATGTGCTGAAATACATTACGGTAATTGTAACATGGCGCCCTAGGTAAAATTTGGTTCTAATATTTTCAAAACCTTAAATATGCTGGTAGAAACCTCGCAGGAGGTGAGGCCTAAATATATCCTGAGACCTTGCTTCTGGGAAAACCACCAGAAGGGATTATTTGATTATATCCATATTAAGCTGATAGTTTAACCAAAAGAGTAATTTCTAAGGAGGTAGAATGTTCTGTGACATCATGAGAGAATGAGAGAGCAAGAGTGACATAGAGGAGTTGAGGAGGTAGAGCAGCCCTTTTTTTTTTTTTTTTTTTTTTTTTTTTTTTTGAGATGGAGTCTTGCTCTGTCGCCAAGCTGGTGCAATCTCGGCTCACTGCAACCTCCAACTCCCTTGTTCAGGCGATTCTCCTGCCTCAGCCTCCCGAGTAGCTGGGATTACAGGCACGCACCACCAAGCCCAGCTAATTTTTGTATTTTTAGTAGAGACGGGGTTTCACCATGTTGGCCAGGATGATCTCAGTCTCCTGACCTTGTGATCCGCCTGCCTCTGCCTCCCAAAGTGCTGGGATAACAGGCGTAAGCATCGCGCGGGGCCGGGTGGCATTTTTATAAAGAGTTTATTTCCCTTTTTAAATTTAAGCTACACTATGCCTATGATCTGCTACTCTTTCTTATGGAGGTAGGGGTGTGTGCGTGTGGGTGTGAGAGAGTGTGTCTTGTTCTTGTTGTTGCTTCTGTTGTTGTTAAAGAAATTATTCATGAGTGATGCAGGGTTGAGACTTAGCCATTGATAGAAAATACGTGAGGGCAGATCTTCATCTCACACAAAGAGGGAACTCAAGTGATAAAGTAGAATTGAGCCTGGACTATAATTTTGATCTCTTGCATGTGAAGCTATTAAAACAGAATCATACATATTTGGAGAAAGGTTCTGATATTATACTAATGTATTCTGGTGTGATTTCTTACCGATGCCCTATGACAAATTCCAAGCCCTATAGGCAAAGTTTTTGTTGATGCAAAAGGATATTCTCATCAGTTATTTCAGAAAGAGGTGCATTCTAAATGAGGAAATTAGGACTGACAACTCAGTCCTTAGATTGGCTTGGCAAGGAGAAACTGTATGGCACCTGTTTCTGTTGTATAGATCTTTGCTGGTAGCACGGGATACCAGTGTCAGGAGACTAGCTCAAAGGTACTCTGTCTGGGTAGAGGATTACATACTTTCTATCCTCATGCACACTGGGCCAAGGCATCCGGTAAAGATGGCTCCTGGACGAAGAGCTCTGAAAGCTGCAGTATCCATTGGCAGCTGAAATAAAACTGTGTATTGCATTGAAATGACTTTCTGTCATTCGAGTTAAGTCCTGAACGTTGAGTTAAGTCTTACTAAAGGCTGCAACCTGTCTCAGTTGTGCTGAGCAATAAAAGAGTAGGTTCCATGTTTGGTCCATGTGGGAGGGACTTCCGCTCTTTAGATAATATATTGGTCCTGATGTTATTAAATTCTTATTTTATTCATTATAAATGTTTTACATGAACTAAAAGTATTGCATTAAAATATTTATTGCAATCACTGAGTTTTTCTGTGCCTCTGCAAATTTTACACCCCATTATCAGCACTGATTATTTCAACTATAAAACGTCATGATCTGTTTTACAGTGAGACAAGGAGTTTTAAGTTTCCAAGTTCACAGGAAATGAAACAAGAAATGTAACAATATGGTTTTATATCACATTTTGGGAGGCTGAGGCGGGAGGATCACTTGAGGCCAGGAGTTTGAGAGTAGCCTGGGCAACATAGTGAGTCTCCTGTCTCTTTAAAAAAATAATAAAACAGTAAAAATTTTTAAAAATACAACTTATCAAAATTTGTGGGATGCAGTGAAAGCAGTGCTTAGAAGGAAATTTATAGCATTAAATATATATATTAGATGAAAAGAAATATCTAAAATCAATAAGCTATAGGAAAGGAAACTATAGAAAAGAATAAGAGTGATGCAAACAGAGAAAAAAATAAAAATTAGAGCAGAAATCACTGAAATTGAAAATAAACCAAAGAAAATGAACGAAATCAAAGCTGGACTTCAGTTAATAACATTGTCACTACTGGTTCAATAATTGTGACAAATGTACCATACTAATGGAAGATGTTAATAATTGAAGAAGCTGGCTGTGAGACATGTCTCTGAACTGTTTGTATTATCTCTGCAAATCTTTAAATACATAGCTGTTACAAAAACAATGTTTTTTAAAAAATATTAAATATCTGGTTTGAGAGGGTGAATTCATTACTAAGCAAGTTGGCAGTATCTGCTTTTAAAAAAGCTTTGAGAATGACACTAAGGACCCATATTTTAGAGATGGCTCAGATCCGACATGGCCAAGACTCAGGAAAGGCATATTTTGGGTTCCTTTTGAAGTGTGAAATTTGAGTATGAAATTGTCTGAGATCTTCAAGCAGTCACCTTCCATCCATTTCCAAATGGGACAGGATATAAATAAGTTTATTGCTTTTGAAAGATCATGTGTAAAAGGGCTACAAAAACAAGGACATGGAGAAAAGGCAGAAGGTGCTTCTAGAAATAGGATTTTAAAAAGTGAAAGTTCTGCGTTAACAAGACTTGCAAAAAAACTGCTTAGGTTGGCAAGAGCTATTTTTTGAAAAAGGAATTTTGAAGGAAAGATCAGAGGTACTTGTCCCACATAAGGTCTGCTTTAGAAAAGATGGGATATTAATATTGCTATGTCACCTAATTTTGACTTTTAGAACAGGAACACCCCAAATAACAAGGGTGGTGTAACAAAATAGAAAGCTTGTCTCATTCTCATATTGAATTTGGAGCCAACTGACCAGGGCTTGGTTTCCTCATCTGTAAGATGGATGACAACAGCACATCATGGTGATGGTCATCATCATCATAACTATTAGACTGTGGCCGGGCGCAGTGGCTTACGCCTGTGATCCCATCACTTTGGGAGGCCGAGGAGGGCGGATCACCTGAGTAGGAGTTTGAGACCAGTCTGGCTAACATGGTGAAACCCCGTCTCTACTAAAGATACAAAAGTTAGCCGGGCATGGTGGCAGGCGCCTGTAATCCCAGCTACTCAGGAGGCTGAGGCAGGGGAATCGCTTGAACTTAGGAGGCAGAGTTTGCGGTGAGCCAAGATAGCAGCACTTCCCAGGCTGGGTGACAGAGCAAGACTCTGTCTCAAAAAAAAAAAAATAAATAAATAAATAAAAAATAAGAATCACAAACACATGTATGCACAACCCAAACACTGACAGAGAAAGCTCTGTAAATGAACATCCTAAGCCTCATTCACACAGGACAGCTTTATAGATTTCTTAACATCCCTGTTTTTAGCTATAGAATTGCTAATTGTGCAACAAATGCTATAGAGGTGCTCGCTTGGCATAAAAAGGAACAGTGAAATCCATAAGCCTGAAATCCATCAGCATACTGAAAACCAAAATGTGGGAATACTTTGGGAAGGAAGTATGTGTGTGGTATGGGAGAGAGCACTGGCTTTGCAGCCAGGTAGATTTAGATTGGACCCTGTCAGAGCCACTCACTCATAGCTTAAACTTGGAGACTTTGCAAACTTCGTTTTCTTTTTAGTTTTTTTTGGAGACAGGGTCTCACTCTGTCACCCCAGGCTGAAATGCAGTGACATGATCATGGGTTGCTGCAGACTCAACCTCCCGGGCTAACATGATCCTCCCACCTTAGACTCCTGGGTAGCGGGGACTATAGTTGGGTGCCACCACGCTCCGCTAAGTTTTGTATTTTTTGTGTGGAGACAGGGTTTCACCATGTTTGCCAGGCTGGTCTTAAACTCCACTCCTGGGCTCAAGTGATCCACCTGCCTTGATCTCCCAAAGTGCTAGGATTACGGGCACGGGCCACGGCACCTGGCCTGCAAATTTCTTTCGTCCTGCATTTCCCCACCTGTAAGGTGAAGATGTTCCCTGGAGATCTGTATTGTTAACGCTCTTAAACCAGTGACACACCCAGAAACTAGGACAGGGATGCTATTAGAATAAGAAAATATGAGAAATATGAGGATAGGAAAATGTTTCAAAGCAAGTTGCATGTAATGTAAACTAGATCTCTGAAGACAGGGCTGTTATCTTCCTGCCTAAAATAAGTGGTTCTGTATTATGGAACTTAGCTTTAGCTGGTGGATACTAGCCATGACATTTTGACTCAATGAACAATAAACTCTTCCACTGTCTCACTTCTCAAGACCCCCCAGATGTAACCTGCTAAAACACCTACAGATTATTAATTTTTATTCA
The DNA here is from genome assembly GCF_000001405.40 of Homo sapiens. Classification (NCBI taxonomy): domain Eukaryota; kingdom Metazoa; phylum Chordata; class Mammalia; order Primates; family Hominidae; genus Homo; species Homo sapiens. The sequence goes on from NC_000021.9 coordinate 25,799,030, forward strand.
TATGCTCTCTGACTTGGTAGCAGGGGAGAGGCACTTAACGTTCTTTAGACAGAAGATGAAGAAACAGACAGTATGTCAACAAATTGTTAGTGTTAGGAGCCCTTTAATAACTTCAGCGAGGCATCCTTTTAGGAGCTCTAAAAATAAGCTTCAAATTTAAAGTGGCACCTAGAGAGCTGAGATTACAGGCGTGAGCCACCATGCCTGGCCCTATATTTAAATTCACGTGTATGCACACCATACCCAGAAAACCCCCTTTGAAAAAAATAACAAAGTTATTTCTAATTGGCAACATACAGAGTTGTACAGCTTATTGTTTACAAAATAAATCAAACTCTTAAACTGAACGACAGGAAAGTGAGAGTTTAAGATGAGAGCGGTTTTCTGCAAATTGGGACCAATACCTATTTTAGTCACCATTCCAGGTCTCCTGTTATCTGAATAGTGTCTTGTCTGATAGACTAAACTTACACACCATTACTATTGTTGATAATGCTAATAAACTAGAAATCAATATAATGAACTTTAGCCTGAAATTCCTTAAATATAAGTCTTTGCATTATGCCCAAGGTATTTTTATTGTATTGTCTTAAAATTTAGATTTTAACATTTCGTTAAGTTTAACGTAAGAAATGTATTCTTTAAGAAAAAACTTCCACTTTGGATGTTTTTTTTGGAAGAAAAATGCCAGGGACATCATCATACCTAGAGAGATTTAAAAACAGAATGAAGCTAAAACCAAAAATTTGGTTTTATACATTTTTTTGAGATGGAGGTTTTGCTTATTGCCCAGGCTGGAGTGTAATGGCATGATTTCGGCTCACTGCAACCTCTGCCTCCCGGGTTCAAGTGATTCTTGCCTCAGCCTCCTGAGTAGCTGGGATTACAGGTGTGCGTCACCACACTTGGCTAATTTTTTTATTTTTAGTAGAGACAGGAGTTTCACCATGTTGGCCAGGCTGGCCTCAAACTCCTGACCTCAAGTGATTCGCCTGCCTTGGCCTCCCAAAGTTCTGGGATTACAGGTGTGAGCCACCGTGCCTAGCCCAAAAATACGTTTTTATTACAGAAAAAAAGTTGGTTTCTTTGGTACAGATTTTTTTCCCCCATAACAACTTGCTATAAAAAAGTAAGACTCACCTCTCTTCTTCCAGCAACCCCCAGGGAATAAGATTATCCATCCAGTAGAGAATAGAACTAGGAAAGATAAATCCCTCTTTGACTTCTGATATTCTATTTTTCTGATGTTTTCTGTACCTCCATTACTGGTTTGACATAATATTTGGCCTTTGAGTTTTTAACTTTTCCCAGTTGTCATTCTTGAGAAAGTGAAAAGATAATAAGTTTCAACATAAATTTGGAGTAAGCTCCAGTTTTCACACAAACACAAATCACAAGGCACTTACAATGTTTCACGAGCTACAAGTCTTTTAAAAATACCACCTATTAGCCATTGAACACAGGGCTGTTACAAACTTATTTATCAGAGGACATAGTTGCTATGCTCTCCATATAACAACAGTTTCAAAAACTTGCAGCCATTAAAACTACATTTTTTTGGCCGGGCGCGGTGGCTCATGCCTGTAATCCCAGCACTTTGGGAGGCCAAGGCAGGTGGATCACCTGAGATCAAGAGTTCGAGACCAGCCTGGCCAACATGGCGAAACCCCATCTCTACTAAAAGTACAAAATTAGCCCGGCGTGGTGGCACGTGCCTGTAGTCCCAGCTATTCAGGAGGCTGAGGCATGAGAATCGCTTGAACCCAGGAGGCAGAGGTTGCAGTGAGCTGAGATCACACCTCTGCACTCCAGCCTGGGTGACCAAGTGAGACTTCGTCTCAAAAAAACAAACAAACAAAAACCTTTTTTTCCTCTCAAATCTTTTGATCCTGAATTAATACAGAATCTTATTCAAGTGGATGCTAACTCCATTGTGTGGAACTTTTTTTCTTTTCTTTTTTTTTTTTTGGACAGAGTCCTGCTCTGTCGCCCAGGCTGGAATACAATGGTGGAATCTCTGCCTACTGCAACCTCTGCCTCCCGGGTTCAAGCAATTCTCCTGCCTCAGCCTCCCGAGTAGCTGGCATTACAGGCCCCCGCCACCACGTCCAGCTAATTTTGGCATTTTTAGTAGGGACGGGGTTTTGCCATGTTGGCCAGGCTGGTCTCGAACTCCTGACCTCAAGCGATCCCCCTGCTTCGGCATCCCAAAGTGCTGCGATTACAGGCGTGAGCTACCGAGCCCAGCCTCTTTGGGACATTTCTTCTTTTCTAAACATACAGCAGTGGTGGTGAAAATATAAAATGAAGATATAAAAAGGCATAGTGATGCTCAAAACCCAAATTAGGGTCTGTGTAGACTGGGAAGCAGCACTTGGACAGAGACAGATGAGTGAGCTGAAGATCCAGGACTGTGGTTGTGGGTCGGAGTTGGGCTCTGTCGGGATAAATCGCTCCGCAGAAGACGGGCTAGAGTCTGCTCACCATTGAAGGAAAGGCCAGTGCGGTTTTTCTGCCCCTGAAATGTTATTCAGAACTCCTGCTGCTGACACTTTACCACTCAGGTTTCTGCGACAGTTGGGTTTCTGTGGACCTGAAGAAGAGGGAGGACACAGACTCACAAGCCGGAACGGCATGCGACGAGCCCCCCAGAGGCCCATAACTGAACTGCAGTGTCTCCAGCCGCGCCCTGTGCAATGATTTGGTTCTGCATTGCGCCCCCTAGAGGTGAGTGGAAGCAATGTCCAAGCTGTGGGCAAGTAGGATTGAGTACCCGAAGGGAGTGAAAGCAAAAAGCAAAACGCAAAAACAGCCAAGGAGCCTGCAAACCAAATATTGAGAATGCATGAAGAAATGCAATGCCAAGAAAGAAAACTGCAAGATCATCATCAAGTAAATGTGGGTCAGATAAAAATAATAGGACAATCTGAAAGAAGACTTTCACATAAATATTTAAGGTACTTCAAGGGAAAATTAAGAGAAATATTCTAAAAAAAAAAAAGTAAAAGGTAGAGAAAAAAATGTAAGACAAAATAGGCATAAATAAACCAACTATGGGTAAACATGAAAAATAACTGATTAGAAATATGAAAAATAAAAATCATAAATATACCTTAAGAAATTGGATAAAGTATATTGGACATAATTGAAGGAGAAAATTAGTTGATGAAACCATTCATGCAGAAATAGTGGATAGATGGAAGGCTTTCCCCATGTATTCAAAAGAAGGTCCAGAAAAGAAAATGGAGGGAAGAGTAGAGAAATTATATTTAAACAGTGACTAGCTAAGGCTTTCTCAGAATCAAGTTCAAACACAAGTTTTTAAATTAGGAGAGGGCTGGGTACAGTGGCTCTCACCTGTAATCCTAGCACTTTAGGAGGCTGAGGCAGGAGGATTGCTTGAGCCCAGGAGTTCGAGGCTGCAGTGAGCCATAATCACATTACTGCAACACTACACTCCAGCATGGGCAACAGAGTGAGATTTTTGTCGCAAAAAAAAAAAGTAAAAGTTAAAACATAAAATAAATTTACTAGAAGGGTAGTTCAAGTACCAAGAATAATGAAAAATAAACCAAAATAAGACACATTATAGTAAAACTAGGAAAATTTAAGTTACTGGGAAAAAAGATTACCACATATTAATAACTGAAGTTATTATCAGCAAAGATAGATGCATAGAGTGAAATAGTATCTTAAATAACCTTAAAGGCCATAATTATTAGCCTAGTGTTTTATACCCAGAGAATGAGGGCTATACTAAGAGTTGGCCACAGATGTCTTCTTAATTAAAAACAATACTGGTTGGGCATGGTGGCTAATGCCTGTAATCCCAGTACTTTGGGAGGCCAAGGCAGGCAGATCACAAGATCCAGGGGTTCGAGACCAGCCTGACCAACATGGTGAAACTCTGTCTCTACTAAAAATACAAAAATTAGACGGGCGTGGTGGCACATGCCTGTAATCCCAGCTACTCAGGAGGCCAAGGCAGGAGAATCGCTTGAACCTGGGAGGCGGAGGTCGCAGTGAGCCAAGATGGCACCACTGCACTCCAGCCTGGGTGACAGAGCGAGACTCCATTTCAAAAAGAAAAATAAAAAATAAAATAAAAACAATACTAACAACAAAAAACTATTAAAGGATATACTTCAGCAGGAAAAAATCTGAACCCAAAGAAAAGGCATTGAGATACAAAAATACTGTAAATATGGAAACTGATAAAATATTTTGGTGAGAATAATATGGACTATGTAAATAAAATTATACCTCTAAGCAAGAAGAAAATGAAAGAGCAGAAAAGCAATAATGAAGCAAATAAAAAGTATGGTGATCAGGAAGATCAGGAAAAGAAAAAGCAAAGAATGAGAATAAGAAAATAGAAACAATTCCAGCTGTGTAAATAATCACTAACGGTAGACAGATTAAACTCACCTTTTAAAGAGACTGAAATGATCAGAATGGATAATAAAGCAAAATCTAGCTGCATGTTGCCTACAAGAGGCATAGGTTAGAATTTTAAAAATAAAGGGATGTATAGTTATGCAAAATGGGAACAGTGAGTGAGAAAAGGGTGCTAAATACCTCCTTGCACATTTTTTGCTGTGGCAAGTTTCTGTGAATATATAGTTATTTCAAAATAGTTATCAAAAAGGGGAGTGGATAAAAAGCTATAGCATTCAAGTATCAACCGAGATAAAGGGGCATAGCAATATTAATACCATACAAAATCGAATATAAGACAAAAAGAATTTAATAGGGATAAAAAGATCAGTCCATAATAATTGAAAGAACAATCCACTGAGAAAATATAATAATTGAGAACCTGAATATACCTATAATAAAACCCAGAACTGTATGAAACAAGTTCTTATGGAATTACCAGGAGAGAGAAAACCACATAGTAGTAAGATTCCAGTATATCACTATCAGAATCTGATAAATTGGACCAAAATTAGTAAGGATGAGATTTACAAAATACATTGGCTTTATCTGATAGATACCTAGAATTCTCTCTCTGGCAAGCAGACATACATTTTTAGAGAGTATTTACAAAAAGTGTACAGGGCATTTCAAAAATTAACCACACACTATATCACTAAAGAAGTTTCAGCAAATGTCAGGGATTGAATATGACATAGACAATGTGCTCGCCTCATCATTCAATTAAATGGTAAATCAACAAATCTGCTTTTTATTTTTTATTATTTTTAGAAATAGGGTATATCACTTTGTCACCTAGGCTGGAGTGCAGTGGTGCAATCATAGCTCACTGCAGCTATGATTGAACCTGGGCTTAAGCCATCCTCCTGCCTCAGCCTCTCTAGTAGCCAGGACTACAGGTACGTGCCACCATGCCTGACTAATTTAAAAAATATTTTGTAGAAATGGAGGTCTCGCTATGTTGCCCATGCTGGTCTTGAACTCCTGGGCTCGAGCAGTCTTCTGGTCCTGGCCTCCCAAAGTGCTGGGATTACCTGTGTGAGCTATCATGCCCGGCAAAGTCAGTTTTTAAAACTATTCATATGGCTGCAAACCTAAGAACTTACTTCAAAAGAATTCCCACAAAAGAATTAACAAAATTCTTAGAACTGAATGATAATTAAAGTAAGTATATCAAAATATATGGGATTCAAATATTCACATTAATTTCTAACTTTAAATGCACTCGTTTAAAAAAGAAACAAGAAAGAAATGAGTGAAGAAGGTGTCTCAAGAGCTAGATAAGGCTGGGTGTGGTGGCTCATGCTGTAATTCCTGTACTTTGGGAAGCCAAGGTGGGAGGATGGCTTGTCCGCAGGAGTTTGAAATCAGCCTGGTCAACATAATGGGACCCCCCCACCATCTCTAGCCCCCCCCCCCCGAATTGTTTTTAATTAGCTAGGTATGCTGGCCTGCACCTGTAGTTCCAACTACTACTGAGGTTGAGGTGGGAGGATCACTTGAGCTCAGCTGTGAGGTTGAGGCTGCAATGAGTTGTGATAGCATCACCATACTCCAACCTGGGTGACAGAGCAAGACTCTGTCTCTTAACAAACAGCTAGATAAATGTAAGGAAACTATAAGAACAGAAATAAAGACAGAAATACAAATGAATGAGATAAAATAGGAAGGAATAGAAAGGGTCAAAAACGATTAGGATTAAGTAAAAGAGAACAAAAATATATGAAATTTAGAAATCATGAGTACTTTGAGCAATTTTATACCAATAAACCTGAAAAATTGTGCAACTGTAATTATCTAGGAAGAAAAGTATTAACAAACTCAAGAAAAATAGAAAAAAATTGATACCCATTTTAATTACACTGATATTATCAAAGCCTCCCTTGATAGGTGTTTCATGGACTCAAATATGTGTCTCAAATCTAATGGCAGATGCTGAAAATTGCAGGCAGGTTATTTAAGACAGTCATTTTACTCATGAATAATTCTGTGTAGTTCTCTTTCCTCTGGAGAGAAGTAGAGGTTTTTCATTTAACAATGATTAATTTTTTTCTAGTTTATCCTGGGGAGTCTGGCTTGTTATAAACAATACTGGAGGAATAATTTTTTGGTAAATACCGTTTGTCTGCCAAATTGATGATCTCTTTAGAGAGTGTTTTTGTTGTCTGGTTGGTGTTTTTTTTTGTTTTGTTTTGTTTTGTTTTTTTTTTTAAGAGATAGGGTGTCACTCTGTCACCCAGGCTGGAGTGCAGTGGTACAATCATGGCACATTGCAACCTTGAACTTCTGGGTTTAAGCAATCCTCCCACCTCAGCCTCCTGTGTCACTAGGACTATAGATGCATGCCACCACACCCGGCTAAAATTAAATTTAAATTTAAATTTAAATTTTTAATTATTTTTTTTTTTGGTGGAGATGAGGGTCTCACTATGTTGCCCAAGCTGGTCCCCAACTCCTGAGTTCAAGTAGTTCTCTCATGTTGGCCTCCCAAAGTGCTGGGATTACAGGCGTGAGCCACTGTGCCCAACCAAGATAAATTCTTGACTGTGGAATTTCTAGATCAAAAGTTTCAGTGCACTTACTGGTTGAGAAAACACCATCCCAGGCACCATCTCCCAGTGCTGCAGAGGGGAAGACTACATGGAGTTAGAACAGCTAGAGTTCCAGGACTAACCCCACCCTGTCACACATCCTTTCTCACTTAGCTACTGCCAGAACACCAAACCCCTTCAATCTGTATGTCTAGTGAGATCATGTAATTTATTGTCTGAACTTGGACATACACTAAACTGCATGTCAGGATGACACATACATGCGGGGACAGCCTTGGGGGGTTTTGTCATCTTACTCATGACCCCTATTGTTCAAAGCACGTCTCCCATAAATCTGACTTGATCCTCTGTACCCCTGCCCCTACCACGCCCACACCCATATTTTTCACTGTGGCCTTCAGGTCTGCACACAGCAGATCTGCATACATTCGGTCTCTTTGCGAAATGTTTCTTTTGCTTCCTGAATTCACCAGAAATGCAGCTCTCCGTTGTGAACACTCTTCTCCCTTTGACTTGGTGCTGCATTTTAGGTGTTATTGACCGGGTTAAGGGATACGCAGAAACATTTCTGGGTGGGTCTGTGAGAGTGTTTTTGGAAGAGATTAGCATTCGAATCCACAGACTGAGTAAAGAGGATCTGTCCTCATCAATATGGGTGGACATTATTCAATCTGATGAAAGCAGGGATAGAATAAAAAGGTGGAGGAAGGGTGAATTTGCCCTCTCTTCTTGAGCTGGGGCATCTATCTTCTATCCTTGAACACTGGAGCTTCTGGTTCTCAGGCCTTCAGACTCTGGGACTTACATTACTGAGACCGCTGGTTCTCAGGCCTTTGACCTCAGATTGAGAGTAACACCGTCAGCTTCCCTGGCTCTCAGATCTTCAGACCAAGACTGAATGACACCACCAGCTTTCCTGGGTCTCCAGCTTGCACACAGCAGATCATGGGACTTCTCAGCCTCCATAATTGTGTCCAGTTCCTATAACAAATCCGCTGTTACATATCTTATACAAATCCTATTGCTTCCCTTCCTCTGGAGAACTTGACCAATACACACCCTCTTCAGGGGAGCTATTTTTTCTCTTATACTCCTTGTATATCAGGGTGAGAATATAAAATTCAAAGGCTTCCTTCTTGCATTTCACTGCTATTTCCAGACCATTTATCCATCTTTTTGGGGCTGGGGAGTTGGGGGAAGGAAAGATTTCACTCTATCTTTGAGGCTTAGACTACCTGACTTGAAATATTCCCTCCTCTTTATGGCTGTTGTCTGGTGGCATCCCTACCACTCCTCCTCATGGCTGAGGATCGACTGTCAGCTATAAACATTTATCTCTACATAGACTGCCATCACAATGACCAGCAACTTCAACAATTAACATGATAGATTGGCTCTTTGATAGTATTATGTAGTGGCCGGGTGCGGTAGCTCAGGCTTGTAATCCTAGCACTTTTGGAGGCCGAGGTGGGTGGATCACCTCAGGTCAGGAGTTTGAGATCAGCATGACCTACATGGCAAAACCCAATCTCTACTGAAAATACATAAATTAGCTTGGCGTGGTGGCACGCCTGTAATCCCGCCTACTCAGAAGGCTGAGGCAGGAGAATTGCTTGAACCTGGGAGACGGAGGTTGCGGTGAGCCGAGATCGTGCCACTGCACTCCAGCCTGGGTGGCAGGGCAAGACTCCGTCTCAAAAAAAATAATAAATAAGAAAAGATAATATTATGTAGTTACTGTTATTCATTTTACATTTGATAATGTAGTGTGGAAGTTTTTTCAAAGAGTCCCTTTAAAAATTAGATGCCAATCTGATATATTTACACATATAAGCATGTGAGTGTCTGGATTTGCTTCCAATGGTAAAGGAAGATTGGCCATGAGTTGATAATGACTAAGATGGGTGATGTATGGATGGAGGTTTATTATGCCCTCTCTACTTTTTATGTTTAAGGGTTCCGTAACAAAACAGCAAATGAATCTGGGTGTTCCAAACCACCATGAGCTCTTTTTTCCTTGACTGCTACTCCCATGGAATCACTCAGTGTCATAGTCAGACTTAACCTTGTCAGCCCAGAAATTACCACCTCCAAAATTCCCATGTCATGCCTCTCATTCTCACAGCACTACTGCCTGTATTTCAAGCTCCCTTACTTATTCTAGGAAATTCCAGCATTCTCAACCTCATTAAGAGTTCCATTTTGGCTGGGCATGGTGGCTCACGCCTGTAATTCCAGCACTTTGGGAGGCCGAGGCAGGCAGACCACTTGAGGTCAGGAGTTTGAGACCAGCCTGGCCAACATGGTGAAACCCCATCTCTACTACAAATACAAAAATTTGCCAGGTGTGGGGGTGGGTGCCTGTAGTCCCAGCTACTTGGAAGGCTGTGGCAGGAGACTCGCTTGAACCTGGAAGGCAAAGGTTGCAGTCAGCCGAGATGCCACTCCAGCGTGGGTGACAGAGCCAGATGACAATGTCTCAAAAAAAAAAAAAAAAAAATTTTTTTTTAAAAGTGCTCCATTTCATTGACCCAACCACCACATTCTCTCTTGTTCCTCATCCCCTTTGTGTATTCATTTGCCTCCTCGTCTAGCTTAAATGATGTTGAAAATTCTTGCCACGTCTTCAACTCCCTTGCTTTTTTTCTTTCTGACATACTTGACTAAGGAAATTCTGACAGTTGAAGTCTACTGTCTGCCATCCTGGGACCAGTGGTTGAGCAGCTGAACATTTTTAGGAGAAATTCACCCAAATGGGCTGACTTATTTATCTTTAAATTCATGTTTACAACATTTGAACTGGCATTCAACACTGTCCAGTAACCTACCAAAATTTTCCTAATGTCTGCCTACCAAGATGACTAATTCATCAGCCTCTCCTCTTTCATCAATCCTGTTGCCCACCAATTATAGCTGATGATATCCTTCGCGCATCACTAAAGTGATAAAATTAATCTGAGAGAAATATTTTACTTTCTGATTAACTAAATCTTCAAACCTCTTACATCTGCATTCCCTTCTTCCTATCTATTCTTTCCTTTCCCTAAATAACAATTTCTCCACATGCTGTCAGAACAATTTTCCTTCCCAGGAACTTAGCTTCTTTGATGGTCTGCACTCTGTCTGCATTACTAGTCTACTAGTTTACACTGGATCATTCCCACCAGGGCCTAGGCTAGCTGGGACTTCTCAAACTGAAATTTGCACATGAGTCATCTGGAAGTCTCATAAAAATGAAAATTATGATTCAGTAGGTCTGGGGTGGGGCCTGCAATTCTTCATTTCTCAAAAACTCCAAGCTAATGCATGGGTTCATGCATCTCATTCTTTGAGTAACAAGGCTTTAGTGCATTTTAGAATCCAAGTAACAGGTGTACATATGGTAGAAGTACAAGCAGAAGTGATATGAGAAGTACCAAGCACAGCACAGGTATCAAGCCTCAAAAGAAAAACAGGCCATATCTCTGCAGAAGCAAGCACCTTAGGGCCTTCTGCTAGGTCCAGGTCGAACTGTTTAGTGTGCAGATTATGAACTGGTCCAGAACTGTCCAGTGGCAGTTGTGGGGATTGGGGAGCTTAGAGCAGTGGATTTTAACAACTGTGCTTGAGTATTTCAACAATCAGTAATTTGTACCAGTATGTACCAGCTGAATGCAGCAAATATGGTTTGGATATTCATCTCCAAATCTCATGTTGAAACGTGATCCCTAGTGTTGGAGGTGGGGCCTAGTGGGAGGTGTTTCAGTCATGGGGGCAGATCTCTCATGAATAGGGGTGCTGTCCTCATGGTAATGAGTTAATCCCTCTGTGAGTTCACATGAGATCTGGTTGTTTAAAAGTGCCTGGCACCCCCTCCCTCTCTCTCTCGCTTTCTCTCTCACAGTGTGATGCTCCCGATCCTCCTTCACCTTCCATCATGATTGTAAGCTTCCTTAGTCCTTGCTACTAGCAGATGCTGGCGCCATGCTTCTCATACAGCTTGCAGAACCATGAACCAAAATAAACCTTTTTTTTTTAAATAAACTACCTAGTCTGAGATATTCCTTTATAGTGATACATAACTAAGACAGCAATCTTTATGTCATATGACAAATTTTAGAAGAAATTAACAAAATATTCAGAGAGACAGCTCTGAGCTCAAGTTGGGAAGAATATTCTTACAGTGCCAACCAAAAGTGAAGTGGGCTGAGTGAAAAATAATTTCCTATTCCTGAAAGGATTTAATCCCAAGTGAAGTATTTGTCACAGAATACATAGAGAATTGTTTGGGTTACAGAAAAGGGGTCCAGATCCAGACCTCAAGAGAGGATTCTTAGATCTCATGCAAGAAAGAATTCAGGGTGAGTCCACAGAGTAAAGTGAAAGAAGTTTATTAAGAAAGTAAAGGAATAAAAAAATGCTACGCCACAGAGAGACAGCCCTGAGGGCTGCTGGTTGCCCATTTTATAGCTATTTCTTGATGATATGCTAAACAAGGCATGGATTACTCATGCCTCCCCCTTTTAGACCATATAGGGTAACTTCCTGACATTGCCATGACATTTGTAAACTGTCATGGCATTGTGGGAAGGTAGTAGTGATGATGACCAGAGGTCACTCTCATCGCCATCTTGGTTTTGGTGGGTTTTAGCCAGCTTCTTTACTGCAAGCTGTTTTATCAGCAAAGTCTTTATGACCTGTATTTTGTGCTGACCTCCGATCTCATTCTGTGACTTAGAATGCCTTAACCAACTGGGAAGGTAGCCCAGTAGGTCTCAGCCTCATTTTACCTGGTTCCTATTTAAGGTGAAGTTGCTGTGGTTCACACCTCTCTGACATTTGAACTAGATAATTTAAGATTCCTTGAAACCTTAGATTCAATGAGTTCTACTCCAGTAGAGAACTATTATCACTCCAGTGTCATCTTAAAAAAAAAATCTAAAACTCAATTGGACTTCAAATTGCAGTTTACTTGACGTCACAGTTTACAGACTGTTCAGATTTTTTCAGAAAGAAAAATTTTAAAATATTTAATGGATCAAAAATAGATATTCTTTCCCAATCTTTCTAATTCTTTTCTAATTTTCTTTTTCTTTCCTTATTGCACCTAATAAGTAAATTTTTCAAGAGCATAGAAAAACAGTCAATAAACAAAAATCAGTTTCTGAAGACTCGTGGTAAACAGTTGGAAAGTGAAATTATGATAAAGAAAAACATTTACAAGCAAATGCAGCCAGAACATGATATACTTAGGGATAAGCTGAACAAAATACATGTAAGACCTGTTTGTATACCCAAAACTACAAAATAGTGCTTGAAGAAGTAAAAGAAGACATAAATAAATGGAAAGATATACCATGTGATTGGAAGATTTAATATTGCTTAGATGACAATTTTTCCCAAATTGATCTATAGATTCAATGCATCCCTGATCAACATTGTATAGGCTTTTTTTTTCAGTAGAAATTTGAGCTGATTCTAAAATTTATGTGAAAATACAAAATACCTAGAATACCCGGGGCAATTTAGAAATAGATGAACAAAACTGGAAGACTTACACTACCCAATTCCCAACCTACCTTCATCATGACTGTGACATTGGAGTAAGACTCAATGGACTAAAATAGAGAATCTAAAAACCTTGCTTATATGGTCAATTAAATTTTTTTTCTCTTTTTTTTGAGACAGTGTCTCACTCTGTTGCCAAGGCTGGAGTGCAGTGGCACCATCTCGGCCCACTGCAACATCCACCTCCGCGTTCAGGCAATTCTCCTGCCTCAGCCTCCTGAGTCGCTGGGATTACAGGTGCGTGCCACCATGCCTGGCTACTTTTTTGTATTTGTAGCAGAGACGGGGTTTCACCATGTTGGCCAGGCTGGTCTTGAACTCCTGACCTCATGATCTGCCCACCTCGGCCTCCCAAAGTGCTGGGATTACAGGCATGAGCCATCGCGCCTGGCCAGTCAATTAATTTTTGACAAAGTTGCTAAGAAAATAAAATGGGAGAATAATAGTTTTTTCAACAAATGGTACTGGAATAATTGGGTATCTGTATGGACAAAACTGAGCCTCAATCATGGTATCACACCATACGTGAAAATTAACTAAGTAAATCATTAAATATAAAAGTTAAAACTTCTAAAAGAAAACTTCTAAAACAATCTTGAAGTGGAGGCAGATTTCTTAGAACATGAAAATTGCTATAACCTATATAAATGTGTAAATAAATGGGACTTTATGCAAATTAAAGAGTGTCTATCTTTTGAAAAACTATGTCAAGAAACCGAAAAGGCAAGCCACAGTCTGGGAGAAAATTGCAATATATTTTTCTGACAAAGAACTTGCATCCAGAATATACAAAGAACTCGAACTCAATGAAAAGTCGACAAAATATTCGAACAAACATTCCAATAAGACGATATAAAAATGACCGGCTGGGCGTGGTTGCTCATGGCTGCAATCCCAGAACTTGTAAAGGCCAAGGTGGGTGAATCGCTCGAGCCCCAGAGTTTGAGACCAGCCTGGGCAATATAGGGAGACGTTGTCTCTACAAAAAATAAAAAATGAGGTGGGAATGTTGCTTGAGCCCGGGAGGTGGAGGCTGCAATGAGCCATGATTGTGCCACTACACTCCCTCCTGGGCGATGGGAGTGAGACCCTGTCATAAAAAAATAAATAGGTCGGGCGCGGTGGCTCATGCTTGTAATCCCAGCACTTTGGGAGGCCGAGGCGGGCTGATCACGAGGTCAGGAGATAGAGACTATCCTGGCTAACATGGTGAAACTCCGTCTCTACTAAAAATACAAAAAATTAGCCGGGCGTGGTGGCGGGCGCCTGTAGTCCCAGCTACTCAAGAGGCTGAGGCGGGAGAATGGCGTGAACCCGGGAGGCGGAGCTTGCAGTGAGCCGAGATCGCACCACTGCACTCCAGCCTAGACGACAGAGCGAGACTCCGTCTCTGAATAAATAAATTAATTAATAAGGCTAATATTACCATAAGAAGATGCTCATATTTATTTAGGCATCAGAAAATGGAGATTAAAGCCCTATTAAGATACCACTACACATCCTACCTCTGCGAGAATGGCCAAAATTAAAAAGACTGACAGTGCCAGTTTTGGTGAGAATGTGGAGTAACTGGGACTTTCAGGTATTATTGGTGGGAGTGAAAATAGTATGGTACGCAAAGCTGCAATAATCAAAACAAAACTGGCATGGAGACAGACCATAGAGACTAGTGGAATGGAATAGAAAAAACGGAAATAACCCCTGTCACATATGGTCAAATAATTTTTGACAAGGTTGCTAAGATCATTCAATGGGAAAAGGGCAGTCTTTTAAACAAATGGTACTGGAAAAACTGGATGTCCACATGCATGACAATGAAATTGGTCCCTTACTTTACAACGTACACAAAAGTTAACTCAAAGCGGATCAAAGACCTAAACATAAGAGCTAAAACTATAAAACTCTTAGAAGAAATTATAGCAGAAAATTTTCATGATGTTAGGTTTGAAAATTATTTCTCGGATATGGCAATAAAAGTAAAAATAGATAAATTTGACTAAATTAAAATTTAAAACTTCTGTATATGCGTATGAATAGCCAAAATCAACAAATGAGGAAAAAGCAACTTACACAATGAGAACATACTTACAAATCACATTTCTAATAAGGGGTTAATATCCATAATATACAGTATAAAGAACTCCTACAACTCAGCAAAGAAAACCAAACAGTCCAATTTTAAAAACGGGCAAAGAATTTTTTTTTTTTTTTGAGATGGAGTTTCACTCTTGTCACCCAGGCTGCAGTGCGATGGCGCAATCTCGGCTCACTGCAACCTCAGCCTCCTGGGTTCAAGCGATTCTTCTGCCTCAGCCTCCTGAGTAGCTGGGATTACAGGGGACCACCATCACACTAAGGTAATTTTTGTATTTTTAGTAGAGAGCGGGTTTCACCAGTTAGCCAGGCAGGTCTTGAACTCCTGACCTCAAATGATCTGCCCATCTCAGCCTCCCAAAGTGCAGGGATTACAGGCATAAGTCACCACACCTAGCCTTAGGGCAAATAATTTGAATGGACATTTCTCTAAAGATGTACAAATGAGCAACAAGCACAAAAAAGATGTTCAGTATTACTAATCATTAGGGAGATACAAATGAAAACCACAAAGAGATACTACTATTAAAAAACCTGAAAATAGCAACTGTTGCTAAGGATGTGGAGGAACTGGAGAAATTCACTGTTGGTGGGATTGTAAAATGGTGCAGATGCTGTGGAAAACTATATTGTTTTCAAAACAAAGATTGAATATAAAATTACCATATGATCAAACCACTCCCCTTCTGGTTATACATCGAAAAGAATTGCAATCAGGGTCTCAATGAGATACTTATCCACCCATGTTCACAGCAGCATCATTTAAAATAGCCAAAAAGTAGAAGCTAACCCAAGCGTCCACTGGTGGATAAATAAACAAAATGTGGTATGTACATACAATAGAATATTATTCAGCCTCAGAAAAGGAAGGACGTTCTTTCTTCTTCTTTTTTTTTTTTTTTTTTTTTTTTTTGAGAAAGAGTCTCACTCTGTCGCCCAGGCTGGAGTGCAGTGGCTCGATCTCAGCTCACTGCAACCTCCACCTCCTGGGTTCAAGCAATTCTCCTGTCTCAGCCTCCTGAGTAGCTGGGACTACAGTTGCATGACACCATGCCTGGCTAATTTTTGTATTTTTAGTAGAGATGGGGTTTCACCATATTGCTCAGGCTGGTCTCAAACTCCTGACCTCAGGTGATCCACCCGCCTTGGCCTCTGAAAGTGCTGGGATTACAGGCGTGAGCCACTGTGCCCAGCCAAAGAAGGACATTCTGACACATGCTACAACATGGATGAACCTAGATTCAGGACATTATACTAAGGGAAATAAGCCAGTCAGAAAAAGATAAATACTGTATGATTCCACTTATATCAGGTACCTCAAATAGTCAAATTCATAAAGACAGAAAATAGCATGATGGTTGCCAGGAGCTGGGGAATAGAGAGAATGGGAAGTTGTTTAATGGGTACAGAGTTTCAGTTTTGCAAAGTGAAAAGACCTTTGGAGATTGGTTGCACAGCAATGTGAATGTACTTAGTGCTATCGAACTGTATACAGTCATCCCTCAATATTTGTGCAAGATTGGTTCCAAGATCCTGCTCATTGCCAAAATCTGTGGATACTCAAATCCCTTATATAGAATGGTAGTATTTGCATATAACCTCTGCACATCCTCCTATATACTTTAAATCATTTTTAGATCGCTTATAATACCCAGTACAATGTAAATGCTATGTAAATAGTTGTCAGACTGTGTTATTTGTATTAATTTTTTAATGTTGCATTTTAAAAAATATTTTGACTGCTCTGCATTCGGATGAATCTATGGATGTGGAGCCTGCAGTTACAGAAGGCCTACTGTACTTAAAAATGGTTAAGATGGTTACTTTTATGTTAATTAATTTTTAAAAATTAATTTTGAATAGTATGGTACAACCCCTTTGGAAAACACATTGGCACTTTTTTATAAAGTTTTTTTTTTTTTTTTTTTTTTTTTTTAAAACAGAATCTTGCTCTGTTGCCCAGGCTGGAGTGCAGTGGCATGATCTCAGCTCACTGCAACCTCTGCCTCCTGAGTAGCTGGGACTACAGGCCTGCACCACCACACACAGCTAATTTTTCTGTTTTTAGTAGAGATGAAGTTTCACCATGTTGGCCAGGCTGGTCTCGAGCTCCTGACCTCAAGTGATCTGCTGCCTCTGCCTCCCAAAGTGCTGGGAATTATAGGCCAGAGCCACGCGGCCGGCCTCTTTTCTATAAAATTAAATGTACACTTTCCATAATATCCAGAAACTCCATTGCTACACTTTTACCCAAGATAAATAAAAACATGTCCTCAAAATGACTTGTATGCAAATGTTCACAGCAGCTTAATTAATAGCCCCAAATTGGAAAGGGCCATCAATAAGTAAATGGATAAGCAAATTGTGATATTTATACAATGAAATACTTTTTAGCAATACAAAGGAATGAGCTATTGACACATACAACATGGGTGAATTTTTAAAATATTATGCTGAGTGAAAGAAGCCAAAACGAAAAAGTACTTACTGTATTATTCCATTTATACAAAATTCTAGAACAGGCCAAACTAATCTGTAAAGGTGGAAAGCAGATCGTGTCAAAGGGAGAAAACAAAATTGACCCAAAGGGCATGAGACGGGGGTGATAGAAATGTTCTGTATTTTAAGTGTGTTGGGGGCCATGTCTGCACGCAGTTTTGGAGCAAGCAAGCAATACTCTTTCTTGGTCAAGCAAATGAAAGCGTTTCCCAGATTCTGATAAAAGGAGCAAGAGACTCTCTGCTAGAATATTGATTTGTTCCCTGACATTTACAGTGAGGTACTTGAAGAACTCCCACCAAAGCTATTCACAAATGTGAAGCTGCAGAGTTTTATGTACGGTCGTGGGTGTTACTTGCCAACATTTACCCCGACTTTGCTGTACTCTTTCAGCATGTTGATATTCTCAGTAATTTTCAGGCCTTTTTTTTTTTCCTTTTTTTCCCTTGACTTCTCATCAGCTCCAAACCTCAGATCTCTGTTTCCTTCCAATACAATTTCTGAGTCCAGAGTGACATGAAGACTGACATAGCTCACCCACGAAATTGAAGTCCATTGAAAAATCCCCATTGCTTGGCTTACAGTCCACCTTTCTGTATCTCAAAAGCATTTGATTAATCTCTCCTGATTTCCCACCATGATCCATGTGGTGGTTGCACCAGGCATCCTCTCTCTTCTTCTTCCCACAACTTGTCTTTCTGCCAGGGACTTTGCTTCCAGTGTTACTGAGAAGATAAGGCCATCACATGTGACTCCCTCAGTTACACGTTATTCTTCATGTTATTTTTGATTCTGCGCTTCCAGCTTTGCCAGCAACCTAAGCCTAGGTAGGTGCTCTTCTTCTCTGTTCATTCTTGGTGCTGTAGTGGCTGGTGGGGGTTCATTCCACATATAAGCTATTCATTGCCATTAAGGCTTTCACTTGCCCGTTTTAAACAATTTTATTCCATACAAAAATATTCCAGAACTTTTTGTACAAGTCACTGCCTCATTTACCATTTGTACCAATTGTACTAATTATATCAATGTACCTGCCCACAAACAATGTGTAAGAGGGATTTTCACTGCACTCAACAATCCTTAGAGAGGCAATAAAGCATAGTGGGTGAAAGAGCTCCACCAAGTACTAGCCACATGACCTTGACTGAATTAGTTTGACTTCTGTGCTTTAGTTTCCTCATCTGTAAAACAGGGATAAATAATAAGACCTAGTAGGGATGAGTTGTTGCAAAGAGTAAATGGCTGGTAGATGGAAAACACTTGGCGTAGTGCTATATAATAGTGCTTAGTAAGTGCTATACACACACTAAATCTGTGCGTGTTGGTAGCTGAAAGTAGCTCTGTTGGGGATTTCTTCTATAAGTAATAATGTTGAACATTTATTCACATGTTTTTGGTCATTTGTTTTCTTTTGGGAAATGCCTTTTCAAGTCCTTTGCCAATTTGTTTTTGTTTTTGTTTCTTTTTCAACCCTGGCCTACAGAACTTTGCCAATTTGTAATGGCCCACAAATATTTCTTCACTGATTTTCAAGCTGTTTATGAGCTACGGCTATTAACTTTCTGTTATCCCGTTTTATTATTCGAAAATAGCTTTTCGGTCTGTTATTGGCCTTTATATTTGTTTATAGCATCTTAACATTTTTTTTTTCTTCTATGACTAGAAGATTCTTTCCATTATTGTATCACTTAAAGTTTCTATTTTCTGTATTTTCTCCTTCCTCCCATCCCCAGTCTGGCAACTGATAGAAAGTGCCTTGAGCTCTTTGGAGGAAAGTGCCCATCTGAAGTGCTCATTATTCAATTTTGGGGCTGTTTAGTAAATAATAATAATGTTTCTAAAGAGATAACTCCATACTGTACTTGTAAATCAAGGAATTTGTCCTCCAGTCTCCTCAAAGAGTGAGGCTATTACTAGAGAAGTACCATCATTGGCTGAAAAAGATGGACATTTGAAAAGCCACATATAACAAATGTTAAAAAAGAAGCCTCCTTCTTGAGATTGAACACTGTCTTCTGTAGACTTCCCTCAGGAAATGAACCTCCGAGAGCTGCTGTTGTTGCCTTTGCTTCTCTGGCCGTTTGTCAAGCTAAATTGAGTGGAGCTCCTGTGTGTTGTCTGTTTAATCGCCCTCTTTGACAGAAGCTTTCTCATTACCTACCTGGCCCTGTTGCAAACCAGCGCCTGGAGGCAGACATATTGCACACCATTTCCTCCAGGGTCTTGCTGCAGGTTGTCTCTGGGAAGTAATGAAAATCTGGAATGTTCTCAGTGGGCGGGCTTCAGACCCACTGCCCCCTGCCATGAACCCTCAGCAGGCCAGCAATGTAGTAAAAGCCATTAGTGAAGAAATCTGGAGGAGTTCACCTCTAGGCAGGATGATTTGACTTTTGGAAGATATTCTGGAGTTAGCCAAGATATTTTTATCTGAAAATTATTTCTGTCTTATAACTGTTCCCTGGAGGCTCTAAGAATAGCAAAAACTGACAAATTTTGTTTTTGTTGTGGTTTACTTTCCTTTAATCTGCTAACGAATCTTTTTGGCTCCACATGAGGCTGTGTCTCTGCAGCTGCATTCTTCAGGGCTGTTTCCCCTCAGTGTTTGGGGTATTCTGGCCTTTGATACAGAATCTTAATCTTAAGCTGTCTTGCCATGACAGGTGTTCATTTTGCCCAAGACTTCTTAGTTTAGGTGAATGTCAGGCAGAAACTCTTCTCTCTTCAAAAAGAAACATTAGAGCAGAATAAGAAAAAGCAAAACCACCTTTCCAGAGCCTTTTTAATAAAGGGATTCTTCTGTGTTTATAGGTTGTTTCATGACCTTGAGGATGACTTGCAGGCAAAATAAATTATTCAGAGGTTACCTTGGTTTTCAAATTAATAAGCAGGTTGTTAAAGGAATGCTTTCAAAGCCCTACTTCTTAGATTTCAAATCTTACACGTCTAGCAATTTGTTTTTCTTTTTTTTTTTTTTTGAGACAGAGTCTCATTCTGTTGCCCAGGCTGGAGTGCAGTGGTGCGATCTTGGCTCACTGCAGCCTCTGCCTCCCAGGTTCAAGCAATTCTCCTGCCTCAGGCTTCCAAGTAGCTGGGACTTCAGGTGCATGCCACCACACCTGGCTAATTTTTGTATTTTTGATAAAGATGGGTTTTCAATATGTTGGCCAGGCTGGTCTCAAACTCCTGACCTCAGGTAATCCACCCTCATTGGCCTCCCAAAGTGCTGGCATTACAGGTGTGAGCCACCATGCCCATCCAAGTCTAGCAAATTTTAAGACACACAAGGGAATATAGTGGGTTGAACAGTATCCCCCCCAAAATTCATGTCTAGCCAGAACCTCAGAATAGGACCTTATTTGGAAGTAGGTTCATTGCAGATGTCATTTCCATAAGGATCAAGATGAGATCATACTGGATTTGGGTGAGCCCTAACTCTAATGAGAGTGCCCTTCTTAGATGCAGGAAAACACACACACACACACACACACACACACACACACACACACACACAAGAACGCCATGTGAAGATGGAGACAAACACTAGAGTTAATGCTGCCACAAGCCAAGGAATTCCCCGAGCCACCAGAGACTTGAAAAGTCAAGAAAGGATTTTTCTTTTTCTTTTTTGGAGACGGAGTCTCGCTCTGTAATCCAGGCTAGAGTGCGGTGGCGGGATCTCAGCTCACTGCAACCTCTACCTCCTGGGTTCAAGCAATTCTCCTGCCTCAGCCTCCTGAGTAGCTGGGATTAACAGGTACCCACCACCATACCCAGCTAATTTCTTTTGTATTTTAGTAGAGATGTGGTTTCACCATGTTGCCCAGGCTGGTCTGGAACTCCTGAGCTCAGGCAATCTGCCCGCGTCAGCCTCCCAAAGTGCTGGGATTACAAGCATGAGCCACAGCGCCCAGCCAGGAAAGAACTTTTCTAAAGAATTGTCAGAATTGTCTGTGAGAGCATAGCCATGCTGACACCTTTATTCCAGTCTTCTGGCTCTGGATATGAAAAAAAATAAAATAAATTTCGGGTTTTTTTGTTTTGTTTTGTTTTTTCCTGAGATGGAATCTTGCTCTGTCACCCAGGCTGGAGTGCAGTGGCGCAATCTTGGCTGCCTGCAACCTCCATCTCCCGGGTTCAAGCGATTCTCTTGCCTCAGCCTCCTGAGTAGCTGGGATTACAGGCGCCTGCTACCACGCCCGGCGAATTTTTGTATTTTTAATAGAAATGGGGTTACACCATATTGGCCAGGCTGGCCTCAAACTCCTGACCTCACGTGACCCACCCGCCTTGGCCTCCCAAAGTGCTGGGATTACAGGCGTGAGCCACCGCGCCTGGCCAAATTTCTGTTGTTTTAAGCCACCTAGTTTGAGGTAATTTGTTACAGCAGCCCTAGAAACTAATATAAGGGGGTTTGATCCTTGGCTTTATTTACAAACTTAAATTTCTTTAAACAAAACGGAAGCTAAGGTATTTGATTACCTTTTTAAATATTTCAGTTATCTAACAAACTTTCCAAGACACTTGTGTCTTGATTTAATTAGCTATTTCCCTATTTCGAACACCTCTGTTGCTTTCATTTTTTTCTTGAAATCATAAAAAATATAGCAAAGTGTACATTAATTGTAAACTATATGTACATTTCTTTGCAAAGGTAGACTCTGGCATTAAAACTGTTAGCATTTGGGCTGGTCCAGTGTGCTTGGCTGATGGGAGCACAGTGCTGATGAGACTAAGATGCCAATTAGCCCTAAAGAGAGAAAAGCTGTGTCCTCCATGGCCCGGCTAGAACGTTTGATTCACTTAACAGGTGCATGCCACTGGGCAACCAGGGAGAGATGTACCCATCCATTATTGTTAAAGGATAAAACTCAAACATTTATATTGGTTTCTCTGATGACACCAACTTTATGTTTTGACAAGGAACATTATTTATACTAATATGTGAAAATAGCTAAAGCTTCATTCAGACATTAATCTCATAGGAAATGTTTGCACAAAAGGCAGGGAGATGGAAGACCAAGACTTCACATGACATTTCATCACAGACCAATGGCAGAATGAGCTACAGAATGCAGTTTTAACACTATATGTCTAGTGGCATAATCCTTCTAGCTTTAACTGGCAGCTTTTTTTTTCTAGGACTAAAGCCACCAGCATAATAAACATCTTTTAGATCTGCCTTCACCACAGAACTGTTTTTAGGAAACTCATCTATGATCCCAGGATTCACTGTTTGAAAGGAGTTGCTGGTGTTACCTTCAGAGACCTTAAATTGGTTTGAAATTATATAGTCACTAAAGAGATTGTGATTGTTATTTTAAGTTTTTTTTTTTAATTTGAGATGGAGTCTCACTCTGTTGCCCAGGCTGGAGTGCAGTGGCACAATTTCAGTTCACTGCAACCTCTGCCTCCTGGGTTCAAGCAGTTATCCTGCCTCAGCCTCTCAAGTATCTGACATTACAAGTGTAGGCCACCACACCCAGCTAATTTTTGTATTTTTAGTAGAGATGGGGTTTTGCCATGTTGGCCAGGCTGGTCTCGAACTCCTGACCTCAAGTGATCCACCCACCTCAGCCTCCCAAAGTGCTGGGATTACAGGCGTGAGCCACTGCACCCAGTTCATTTTAAACTATGCCTCAGTTTTCTCCTTTCTAAAATGGGGATCACAAGGACAACTACTTGATGGAGATAATTAATACATGAGTTTAACATAATATGCTCAGTAATTGGTACAAAAAAATAGCATAAATAAGACCTACTATTTGATAGCACAACAGGGTGACTATAGTCAATAGTAAGTTAATTGTGCATTTTAAAATAATTAAAAGTATAATTGGATTGTTTGTAATACAAAGGATAAATGCTGGAGGGGATGGAGACCGCATTCTCCATGATGTGATTTTTGTTGTTTTTTTTTTTTTTTTGAGACAGAGTCTCGCTCTGTCGCCCAGGCTGGAGTGCAGTGGCGCGATCTCAGCTCACTGCACCCTCCGCCTCCTGGGTTCATGCCATTCTCCTGCCTCAGCCTCCTGAGTAGCTGGGACTACAGGCGCCCGCCAGCATGCCTGGCTAATTTTGTGTATTTTCAGTATAGACGCGGTTTCACCATGTTAGTCAGGATGGTCTCGATCTCCTGACCTTGTGACCTGCCCGCCTTGGCCTCCGCAAGTGCTGGGATTATAGGCATGAGCCACCGCGCCTGGCCATGATGTGATTATTATGCATTGCATGCCTGTATCAAAATATCTCATAAGTGTGATATACATCCTCCATGTACTCTCAAAAATTAAAAATTAAAAAAGAACATGCTTAAAACAGCCTTTAAACTAGTAGCCATATATAAATGTTAGCTGTTACTTCTTCTTTAGGCTTTGGACAAGGAACGTATCTTTTCTGTGTACCAGTCTATTTCCAGTGCCAAACTATAGTGCCAAGCAAATAGTGAGTGCTCAATGAAGATTTGCAAGCGACTTAATAGCAATTGAAGGAACACAGAGGGATTGACTTTGCCTTGCCTTCTTGACCTGTTTTATGTTTTTGTTTCCCTTAAACTTTATAATTTAGGGATTAGGAGCAGCTGGTTGCTTATGTTCATAACTCAAAACACAAAAAGAGCTCAGCGGGTCTAACAGGGAGCGCAGCAATGTCTTTCACTGCTTAGACGGTGAACGGCTAAAGTTTATTTCCACGTTAACTGTTTTCATTGATGAAAACTGGTTAGAACATTATTTTTGGAGTGTTAGATACTGAAAAGATTGACTGTAAATCCATAATTTTCACAGCTGTGTTCTCCAAAATTTTCTTTACTCCTACAAGTGAAGAATGAAAATTACAGAAATATATCTATGTGTGCATAGGAAGTCGTTTGCTTTTGGGAATTCTCCAGTTGGTAATTCAGTTAATTTGCTACAGTAACTTACGATCTCCTTCTCAGAGTTAACTTCCTGATCCTCTTGAATTGCAGGTGTATTTGTCAGGTGTGGACAGGCAGGTCTGCGGTTGGGCTTGCGTCTTCCTCAACAGTTCTACTTCTGCCAACTGGGTTATAAAAAGCTCTGCTGCAATCTGGTGGTTTAACTTGAGGTATAGTTTCCCCGAGAGACGACGTTAGGCCTTAGGTTTCATAACCAGACCAAGCAATTCAATTAATCTTACTATCCATGAAGGGTAATTGGATGTAAATAGCACTAGAGAATCCAGCCATCGTTTATGACGATCATTGTAGGGGCTGTTTTTAGGCTGTCAATTTAGTGAGCTAGAAATACATCTTTCTTAAAAGTGAAATTAGGGACTACACTTCTCTCCATCCTCCATTTGCTGTCTTTGAAGGTGAAGTGATAATTCTGGCCAGGCGTGGTCGCTCACGCCTGTAATCCTAGCACTTTGGGAGGCCGAGGCGGGTGGATCACCTGAGGTCAGGAGTTTGAGACCAGCCTGGCCAACATGGTGAAACCCCATCTCTATGGGAAATACAAAAAAAATAGACAGATGTGGTGGTGTATGCCTGTAATCCCAACTACTCGGGAGGCCGAGGCAGGAGAATCACTTGAACCTGGGAGGCACAGGTTGCAGTGAGCCGAGATGGCGCCACTGCACTCTAGGCTGGGCAACAGAGTGAAACTCCATCTCACAAAAACAAAAACAACAACAACAACACAAAGAAAGAAAGTGATGATGCTTCTAGTCTTCCCCTAAGTAGGAGATGACTCCTCTGGACAAAGGATGAGAATGAAGAGTCAGGGGGAAGCAGGAAGCCCTGGAAAACAAGAACCATCTGCTGGGTAACCTCTGAGCTTAGTCTGCCTTTTTTGAAGTTCCCAGGGCTTGATTTATGGCACACCATGAACTCTGTTGTTACAATTCTTTATTTCCAATTACAGCATGATCTTCTTATTGAATGATGAGTTCCTAGAAGATTGATCCTTGATATACCCTTTATCATCACTGTTTAATCACAACGCCTGCCACATAGTAGGGGCTACATAATTGTTGAAATGAAATCCCTCCAGTTTCTAACCTTTCCTAACCTGTTCAGGAGAATTATATAACTTGATAGGTTCTTCACTACCTTTCCTGTCGCTCAAGGAAGAACTCAGCTTTCTTGATATATCTTGTGAATTTCATTCCAAAAAAGTGAAATAAAAATAGGGCATCTATTTCTACCCAGACCCTGTAGAGAACGACAACAGGCCATGTATCTGATAGGTGTGTTGGCCATGTGTCGGTGTGCTAGCCTGTGTGAACCTTGGTCCCTGTAAGGAGAGGGTATCCCCACTAAGTGAGTCCCCGTCCGTGGTAATTGTACTCTATGCCAGACAGTCAGATAATTCTGAGTGGTAGAGATCGGCTGGATTTCCAATGTACCCTAACAATAGACTGTGTTCTATCCTGCCTTGGTTTACCTGAGACGCTTCTGCATCTTTTTTTTTTTTTTTTTTTTTTTTTTTTTGAGACGGAGTCTCGCTCTGTCGCCCAGGCTGGAGTGCAGTGGCGGGATCTCGGCTCACTGCAAGCTCCGCCTCCCGGGTTCACGCCATTCTCCTGCCTCAGCCTCCCAAGTAGCTGGGACTACAGGCGCCCGCCACCACGCCCGGCTAATTTTTTGTATTTTTAATAGAGATGGGGTTTCACCACATTATCCAGGATGGTCTTGATCTCCTGACCTCGTGATCCACCCACCTCAGCCTCCCAAAGTGCTGGGATTACAGGCGTGAGCCACCGCGCCCAGCCGAATCTTTTCAGCCTGTTCCAACTCTTACCTCTTTATTTGAGTTACCATGACTAGGACTCAATTGCTGGAGATAAAAAAAATCTTGACCAAGACAATACAGGTAGTTCTTTAAGGACCAAAAAAACCCCATCTTCTACATTTAAGAGGAAAACCAATCTCACAGGTCTTTACAGGAACAGAGAAGGACAGCAGGGTTAGAGATCTGTACATACATTGATCAAGTCAGGTGTGGTTATGTGCTGGACCTCAGTTGGAAGAGAGCGAATTATCTAGAAACTCAGTGAGGAGGAAAGAGAGCAGGGATAACTACTGATAGTAGAGCATGTATGTCCTTGATCGTCGAGAAGGTGAAGGCAGAATTCATTTATAAGTAAAGAAGATTCATGGTATAGAGACCAGATATGTTAGGGGATGATGGCCTTTTATTTTATTCCTGGTAGACTCACTTGAGGAATAAACGTGGAGCACCAGTGGCTTGTGCTTAAATATGTCTTCTGTATATTTTGCTCAGTAGAGGCTTAATTGGGATAATTTCTACTTCTAATGTATAAAAAAGCCAGTGGTTAGCACAATTTCCAGAAATATTCACAATGTGTTCCATAGGAATGATTTCCCCCTAGTCTCATTTTTGAGACTAGAACCCTCTGGAATTACACAATATGGGAATCTTGTGTGTAAAAAGTGTAGAAGAATTAAGCTTACTGGTAATATACATCTTGATGTCAATCATTTGATTCATTTTCTTACTTTAATGATATTAACCTGTGAGATGGATTTTTGATTGATGGACCAGGGTAGTGGCTTTCAGAGAGAATGCCAAGAACACCAGTGTCTTGCTCCGTCTTAACTCCCAATTAAAAAAAAAAACTTTTAAAATAAACTTTTTATTTTAGAATGGGTAGAGATTTTCAGAATAGCTGTGAAGATAGTACGGAGTTTCCATATACTCCACACCCAGCTTCCTCTGTTATTAGCATCTTATATTAATATGGTACATTTGCCATAATTAATGAACCAATGTTAATATTATTAACTAAAGTCAATACTTTCTCTTTTCTTTCTCTTTCTTCCTTCCTTCTTTCCTTCCTTCCTCTTTTATTTCCTTCCTTCCTTCCTTTCCTTCCTTCCTTCCTTCCTTCCTTCCTTCCTTCCTTCCTTCCTTCCTTCCTTCCCTGCTTCCTTTCCCCCCTCCTTCCCTCCCTCCCTTCCTCCCTTCCTTCTTTGACAGAGTCTCACCTCTGTTGCCCAGGCTGCAGTGCAGTGGTGCCATCACAGCTCACTGCAGGCTTAACCCCCCAGACTCAAGTGATCC
This sequence comes from Homo sapiens, assembly GCF_000001405.40. Lineage (NCBI taxonomy): Eukaryota > Metazoa > Chordata > Mammalia > Primates > Hominidae > Homo > Homo sapiens. Next base: position 25,826,202 of record NC_000021.9, read on the forward strand.
TCCCACCTCAACCTTCTGAGTAGCTAGGACTACAGGTATGTGCCACCATGTCCAACTGATTTTTTGATACTTTTGTGGAGACAGAGTCTCACTATGTTGTCCAGGCTGATCTCCAACTCCTGGCCTCAAGTGATCTTCCCACCTTGACTTCCCAAAGTGCCGGGATTGCAGGCATGAGCCACTGGACCTGGCCTAAAGTTACTCTTTATTTTACTTCTTTTTTTTTTTTTTTTTTTAATTCTAGGGAGCTATGACTGCAAGGGCTACCATATGTTTATTGTAATACTCAATGGTTTCCTCTATGTATTGAAGCTACTCTATTCTGAATATGGTTCTTAAGCCTTCCTAACCGTAAAAATCACATTGGAGCTTTAAAAATGCATGTTGCTAGGTTCCCCCACTGAAGATCCTGATTTATTTGGGCAAGGGAGTCGCTGGGCAAGAACCTACCTTTTTTTTTTTTTAAAAAAACAAACACAGGTGATGCTAATACAATAGTCTCTAGACTACATATATTTTGAGAAAATAGACCTAAACTATAAAGGGAAATTAAGAAATCCTTAGTACCACTTAGAAGTTGCCATATCTATTTCTGTGATGCTAAAGGAAAATTTTACTGTAAGTTGTTTTTTTTGGCATCACCCCAGAGCATAACACACAATTAGTATCTAACTCAATCATTTCTCTTCTTAAAAGCACTTTGCTGTCCCTCTTGGATGGGCAGGGCCACTTTCCAATGTGCTGCAATAGCATTTTGTTAAAACCAACATCTCATGTTAACACAACTATTTGTGGGCTTACACAACAAGAATAGATGGAGAAATATATCCCGGGAAGGAAAATATTATTATTAAAGAAAAACCTCAACTGACTAGCCACATTTTTATCCTGTAGGGATAGCAGAATTCACATCATGGAAATTTTTATGTTTTCCTTTAGAAAAACTACTTACGGAGCCCTTTGGTTATAAAACAAAAAGGCCCGGACCCATCTAGATTAGAGAAGAAGAAAGGGAGCTAAACTGATCTTCATGATGAACTTCAACGGAGTCATTCCTGAGGATGGAGGGAATGATCTATGCTGGAAAGGGCTATGTGAGTTTTCTTTAACCAGGCTCCAGAAGGAATAGGTTTCCAATCCCTGGAACTTAGAGAAGCCAGTGCAGAAATGGGCTGAAGCAACGTGATGAAAGAGTGAGATGCTACAGAAGAGACAACCAGGGAGAGGTTCCCTGGGGCAGAGAATGGTGGATGAGATTTAGGATCAGTGTTGCCAGATTCTGTCTGTTGCAGATTATTGCCTTTTTATCCTAGTCCTTTGTATACAATAGCCTTGTGTTAGTGGGTCATGTTTTAAAGCACAAGAACAAGGCAGATTGGACAGACCTAAAGCAGTATAAGGAGGTAGAGTCAGATGGCCCAAAATGATGAAAGAGAGGATTGGAGTAGGAGTCGGGTCTGGGACTCCTCAGAATTATAGGTGAGTGTGCTGGATATCCTCATTCATATGCATGGCACTTCGAGTTATTTGATCTGGACTCATAATGGCAGACAGACTTAAGGACTCAGGGTTATATTAACAAGAAATACCCTAAAGATTCTTTTGTCTTCCTGCAGATCTGAAAGATGAATATTGATAGAAACTTTTGTAACAAAGGCATATCTCTCCTACCATTTTTCCTCTGATTATGTTGTTCTAGTTGTCTGTGATTCTTATTGTCAGCACAGTGCTGAATTTTCAAATAGACTCTTGCTTATGAAGCTGGCAGTATTTCATTATTTATGACTTTGTTCAACTTCATCTAGTCTAAACACAAAGTAGATAGAAGTTGTGTTTTTCTATTGCTGACAGCAAAATTCTCTTGCGTGAACATATTTCTTTACACAGACAAAAGATGTTGAGCAAGGCATGATAGTTTTTGCACAGTACAGCTGAGGAGGATGGATGGAATGACTGCTGCAATATAAGAAACTAAGAAAAAATTCAGGGCAAAAGATCCCAATCTATATAAGCTAGTAAAACTGGGATATAAACATGAAAATTAAAGAGATACATTTTCCTGTAGCCTTTGTGCCATAAATTATATGAAAAGGGTGACCAATAGAAGAGAGAAATTTGTTCTTTAATCCTCTGGGAAATGCTAAGGAGTCATTTCTTTTTTTTTTTTTTTTTTTTTTTTTTTGAGACGGAGTCTCGCTCTGTCGCCCAGGCTGGAGTGCAGTGGCGGGATCTCGGCTTACTGCAACCTCCGCCTCCCGGGTTCACACCATTCTCCTGCCTCAGCCTCCCGAGTAGCTGGGACTACAGGCGCCCGCCGCCCCGCCCGGCTAATTTTTTGTATTTTTCGTAGAGACGGGGGTTTCACCGTGTTAGCCAGGATGGTCTCGACCTCCTGACTTCGTGATCTTCCCGCCTCGGCCTCCCAAAGTGCTGGGATTACAGGCGTGAGCCACCGCGCCCGGCCCCTTAGCAATTTTAAGGTAACATATTAATAGGTTATTGGGATTAGGACATATACACCACAGATTGACTATAGATTTCATGTTCCAATTCATTCATTTTTTTCACCAGAGCCACTGAGGAAATTTTTAATATAAGTCATGAAAAACGATGGGGCAAAATTGGAATTGCATGATTCCTTGCTTCCAGTAAAAAAAAAAAAAAAAGGTTAAGGATTAAGTAAAGGACTAATTTAAATTGGGCTCCCTACTCCAACCAATTATTCAGATTGTCTCATTTGATAGCCTCAGGGTGCTGCTGATACTGAATAATTTGATCCTTGTCTGGAATCTTTTCCTTGACTTCATTATTATACTTGTTCTTATCTACCTCAGGTTGAAATATATGTGATGGTCATGGCAGGTTTCTTGATAAAAGAATTTGGCTTGTTTTTTCAACCCATCACTAGAAGGTACCTTTTGGAGCTATCAGGTCATGGGGAAGGCTGTTCTGGTAAGACCTGTCCAGACTTAGAAAACCATGACAATTAGCACCCTTAGAAGAGGAAAATTTGGCTTAGAGGCAGGTAACAGAGACTCTCTTTAGAGAAAGAAAGGGTTATTAAATAATCTAGTGCAACACAATCTAATAGAAGTACAAAATAAGCCACATACATAATTTAATTTATCTAAAAGCCACATGAAACACAGTTTAAAAAGCAGATGAAATAAATGTTTATAGTATATCCAAAGTATCATCATTTCAACATGTAATCAACATAACAAATTATTGTTAAGACACGTTTTAAGTTCTTTTTCTATACACTATGATTTAGGATCTGGTGCATACTTCATATGTACAGCACACCTCAATTCAGTCTAGCCACATTTCACTTGTGCTACAGCCACAAGTGGCTGCTAGCATCTACTACATTGGTTAGAGCCTAGTAGAAGCTTATTGTACTTAATGGACATCTTTAGATAACCTTGTTTATTGAGTCCTTCACAGCATTCTCTACTCTTATCCACATCAGTTCTAAAGCTTGACGCCCCTTAGATGAGATAGTGGCCACAACTGTCTGCCTCAACACCAATGTACTACTTCCTTTTCTCTTGGCAATATCCACTAGAGAAGCAAGAAAAAGTAGCACTCACCTCCCCATTCTTCTTTGCAGCTAGGGGTGGCCATGTGACACAATTGTGGTCAATGAGTGGTCAGCAAAATTATGATCAAGGGTTTCTGGTAGCTGGTGCCTCCCCTTCCTTCTTCTGGGTGTTCTGAATGTGAGGCCTGGAACTGTAGAATCCCGAATAATCTCAAAGACACATGGGCTGACACCATGAAATAATTGAACCAACGCTAACATTCACCAACCTCCACATTTCTTTCTACAAAAATCACTGGGCACAGTGGCCCACACCTGTAATCCCAGCACTTAAGGGAGGCAAGCCAGGAGTTCAAGATGAGCTTGGGCAACAAATTGAGACCCTGTTGCTAAAATAAATAAATAAATAAATAAATAAAGTTAGCTGGGCATGGTGGTGTGAGCCTATAGAGTAGGCTACTTGGGAGGATCACCTGAGCCCAGGATTTCAAGCCTGTGATAGTGCCACTGCACTCCAGCCTGGGTGACAGAGCAAGACCTTAACTTTAAAATAATAATACACTGGGCACGGTGGCTCACACCAGCACTTTGGGAGGCTGAGGAAGGCAGATCACTTGAGGTCAGGAGTTCGAGACCAGCCTGGCCAACATGGTGAAACCCTGTCTCTACTAAAAACACACAAAGTAGCCAGTGTGGTGGCGTGCATCTGCAGTCCCAGCTACTCAGGAGGCAGAGACATGAGAATCACTTGAACCTGGGAGACGGAGGCTGCAGTGAGCTGAGATGGTGCCACTACACTCCAGCCTGGGTGACAAAGCCAGACTCATCTTGAAAATAGTAATAATAGTAATAATAATAATAATGAAGAAAACACCATAAAAACCTTAATTATTTAAGCCATTGTTCGTGGATTTCTCTTTGACTTGCATTTTATTTCACCTCTAAGTGATGCAAAACTTTCTGGAGCCTGCTCTGAACAGACTACACTCCTCGTTTGCCCTCTGGCTTCCTGCTAGCTCTGACAATGGGGCACTACAGGGAGACAAGAAAGTAGGAGGAAGGAGAAAAGACTCCCATTTTCCTTTTTTGTTCCAATCAGGGTTGTCCTGAAATACCTAGGGGGATTTCTAATTCCTTACTGGACTCTGACTGATACATCCCCTGCGGCCTCTTCTCTACATGGAATTTAGAAAGATAGTTTTAGGCTAGGCGCAGTGGCTCACGCCTGTAATCCCAACACGTTGGGAGGCCGAGGCAGGTGGATCACCTGAGGTCAGGTGTTCGAGACCAGCCTAGCCAACAGGTGAAACCCCGTTTTTACTAAAAATACAAAAATTAGCCGAGTATGGTGGCATGCGCCTGTAGTCCTAGCTACTTAGGAGGCTGAGGCAGAACTGCTTGAGCCCAGGAGGCAGAGGTTGCAGTGAGACGAGACTGCATTACTGCACTTCAGCCTGGATGACAGAGTGAGACTCCATCTCAAAAAAAAAAAAAAAAAAAAAAAAACAAAAGATAGTTTTAAAGCATAATTCAGTTCATATATACAGTGGCTTCTGATATCAATAAAAATGAAACCCAAAGTTTCTTCTACAGCCAGTGAGATGTTATTTCTTTGATCCTTTCTCCTACCTCTGCTCTGACACAACTGTCAGAGGCATTTGAACTAGAGTGACTCCATCCGGAACAGGGGCTGGGTAAAATAAGGATGAGGACTGCTGGGCTGTATTTCCAGGAAGCTAGGCAGTCTTAGTCACAGGATGAGACAGTAGGTCGGTACAAGATATAGGTCACAAAACCACCTCCTGATAAAGCAATGTGGTAAAGAAGTGGGCCAAAACCCACCAAAACCAACATGGTGATGACAGAGACCTGTGGGCATCCTCACTGTTCATTAGACACTAATTGTAGTACATTAAAATGCTAAAAGACACTCCCACCAGTACCAGTTTTACCAGTACAGTTTACAAATGTCATGGAAAGGTCCAGAAGTTACCCTATATGGTCTAAAAAGGAAAGCAACCCTCAGTTTTGGGAACTCCTCAACCCTTTCCTGGAAATCTCATGAATAATCCACTCACTGTTTAGCATATGATTAAAAATAACCATAAAAATAGCCAACCAATATTCCTTGGGGCTGCTCTGCATATACAGTAGCCATTCTTTTATTTCTTCACTTCTCTAATAAACACTCACTTTTCTCTGTGGACTCACCATTAATTTTCTTGCACAAGATCCAAGAACTCTCTCTTGGGGTCTGAATTGGGACTCCTTTCTGGTAACACAATCACCCAGAGTTCCTTCCTCTTCCAAATCAAACCAACCCAACATACTGTCACCCTAGGGACTCTGCCTGTAATAGTCCTTCCGGATGGATCCTCACTTTGCTCCAACCCTCCGTTGGTTCAGCCCTCTGCTCAAATACCACCTCATTAGCAAGGGCTTCCCTCACCACCCCTATAAAACACAGTTCCCTGTCCCTCTCAATCCACTCACCTGCTCCTTGTTTTTCCCTAGTAGTTTCCCCACATGATGTTTTGAAACTGCCATTGCAAAATTATAACCGAGAAAATTATTACAGTGAAAGAGAGCTGACCTAACCAACTTTGTCTTGCTTCTAAACTCCTAGCTGTCGTTGTTCACTCATGGGTGTAGGCCAAATTAACTTTGGGAGGAACTTAGTTTATAGTTTAACTTTGAAACAAAGATGATAACAGCCCTTTCCCAAAACAATCCCCTTTCCTTCCTGGGGACTAGACTGCTTTTGCAGGACTAACAAAATTGGCCAAATGATGAGAAATTATGGTTTAGGAGTCATGCAGTTGGAGGTTACAAGATTCTGACCCTCCCCAAATTGCTCCTGGGGATAACATCACTATTGTAAAACCTAAGATCAGTGCTTGAGATATTTTGCAAACCCTGCACTTGATGGATCAATATACTGGCTCATCTGGTCTTGTGGCCCCACCTAGGAACTGACTCAGCGCAAGAGGACAGCTTCAACTCCCTATTATTTCATCTCTGACCCAAGCAATCAGCACTCTCAACTCACTGGCTCCTACCTACCAAATTATCCTTAAAAACTCCAATCCCCAACGAATTTTTGGGGAGACTGATTTGAGTAATAATAAAACTCCCACACAGCCAGCTCTGCATGAATGACTCTTTCTCTTTTGCAATTCCCCTGCCTTGATAAATTGGCTCTGTCTAGGCAGCGGGCAAGGTGAACCCACTGGTCAGTTACAGTTTTACATGCTTGTTTACCCATATATTATTCATCTCTCCCAACTAGAATAAAACTCCAAAAGGGTAGGAACTTTGACTATTGCATTCATTGCCTTATCCCCATTGCCTGGAACAGTTTCTGAGACAGGACTCATGGGAAAAGGATCAGTAGGAAATGGAAAGAGATGGTATCAGTTTCAAGTATGATGATTTTCGAGTTGCCCCTTGAATATTCCTGTGGACATACCCAGTTGACAGAGACACTTGAGTCTGGAGCTAATGGAAGACATATAGTTAGTTGAATTAGATTTGATTAAAGCTATAGGTTTAGATGAGAACATCCAGGAATGGTTCATAGAAAGAGAGGAGAGTCATGATAAAATTGCACAAGACATAATATCAAAGAGAGAGATTGATACAATGATAGAGGTAGGAGGCAGAGAAATTCCAGGCAGACAGGGACGGGTCCCTGACAAAACTCCACCTTCAAGCCGAAAAGCCTGAAACCCATGGCCCAAAGTGAGAACTTCTATCCATTTTCCTGCTTAAATGTTGCCTTTTCCTAAACTACCCATGACCCACCCCACCCCCCATCCTGTGCCTATAAAGACCCCAGACTCAGTCAGAGAGAAGTGACTTGACTTCAGAGGGATGGCTTGATGGCTTGACTTCAGAGAAGACTGGCCAGAGATGGCTGGACTTAAGGGGAAGATTACTTGCCCATCCCATCCCCTTTCCAGGTCCCCTTCCCCTGAGAGCCATTTTCACTGTTCAATAAAATCCTCTGCATTCACCATCATTCAACTCGTTCACACAACCTCATTTTTCCTGGAAGCCAGACAAGACCTTGAGAGCTATGAGTGCAGACAACCAAAAAAGGGCTGTCACACTGGCCCTTTGCCGTTGGTGGTGGAGGGCAGCCGCCTCATGTGATGAGGCAAAGGGCCCACTGAACTGTTAACACTTAAGCCGAACGTGGCTGGCAGAGCTGAAATAGCACTGTAACATGTCCTCTTGGGCTTCAGGGGTCTTAGGTAGCCCCACTTGGATGCTGCCATGGGGCCTGCATAGAGTTTGCTCCTGCTGGCACCCAAAAGCAGCTGGCCAGATCCCGTATTTGCTTGCCTACTTGCTTCCTCCCACAAGGGGTTGAGTGTGGCAAGCTGAGTAAATGGAGTTTATTTCTGCCAGCACTCAAAAGTGCTCCCTCTGGTTCCTGCACTTGTTCACTCATATTTTGCCTCCTGTGAGAGGTAGAAAGGGGTGGGCTGAGTAAACAACGCACCCCTGTCTTGAATTCCACAAAGGAGTCAAGAAAATATCCTGCTTCAATACCAGGGGGGCTATGCAGCGATGTTATGAATGACCATCAGATTAGAGAGAAGTGGTGCTGCAGAAGTCCCGAGAGGAGAAATTGTCCAGGGGAAGGTGACTCAATGCCACAGAGAAGACAGGTGAGATCAGGACTAAACTTGCCCTTTTGGTTTGGTAAGCAGGGAATGTAAGCCAAAAATAAAATTCTAAGCCCTTCCAGCTGAGTGACGGACCCCTCCCTGCCCCCCATCTCTGCCAAGGGCATTCCAAAGAATTATGAAAAACTAGTACAGGCCGTGATGGGAAGGAAGGGTCTGACACGCCTCATTATACCCTCCTCCCTTTGGAATTCAGGTATGACTAACCAGCACTAACCTTAAAACAGCAATCTTAGGACTGACAAAATAAACTCCTTGTAGCAATAAGATACCAACATGACAGATAACAGGCCCTGAAAGAAATCAAAGTATTTTACCTGAAAACATATTTCTTTGACATATTTTGAAATGGCCCGGCAAAACTGTATCTTAGGGGAAAATCTACATTCTGTAGAGAATCACTTTCCTTTTCCAGGTCTTTTCCCTCATCCAGGAGATAATTAACTAAGAGTCTGGCACCTTTTTAAGTGTGATAAGAAACATTTACAGTCTATTCTCTGAAACCTGCTACCTGGAGGCTTCACCTGCATAATAAGAACCTTGGCCTCCACATCCCCTTGTCTTAACCCGGACACTCCCTTCTGATTCCAGGTCTTTACATACCACCTTTACTCTTTCAAACAATTGTCAATCAAAAATCTTTGAATTCACCTATGACCGGAAGCCTCCCTCTTCACCCCTCTACCCCTGCAACATACACCTTACATGTATTGACTGATGTCTTACGTCTCCCTAAAATGTATGAAGCCAAGCTGCAGACTGACTCCCTCGGGCACGTATTCTTAGGACCTGGGGCCGTGGTCACTCATGTTTGGCTCAGAATAAATCTCTTCAAATATTTTAACAGAGTTTGACTCTTTTCCTCGACAGGAAGCTTTGTCAATGCTGGTGAGGGCCATTGTGTAATGATGAATTGAGAGTTTTGTGGAAAGCCAGATTACCATGGATTGAAGAGTAAACGAGATGGGAGAGTGTGGGTTTATCTTTTGTAAAGAGTGTCTGAAAGGAGGAAAGACATTTCCTAACTACAAGACAGATTAGGTCAAAAGCAAATTGTCTTTTTTTTGGTTTGTTTTTTTAAGAGGAAAGATAGTTGGATGTTCCACACAGCACTGGAAATGAGTGACTGTTGCTGAGGACACAGGCCAAGGCCGACTTGGAAGGCCTCTGTACTCTATGTGGGCACCATTTCCAGACTCGCTGTTGTGCAAATCTGGGTTCATAGAGGTGCCTTGCTGAGTCTCTGGTACTGTCTTTTCAGTAAGTCCTCTTTTGAGACATGAATTGAAAGCACCATAGAAACAATGGACCCTCCCACTCTGCTCTGAAGCAGGCCTAGCCCCTGACTCCCTACGTTGCTGGGTGGAAGCCAGTCCTCTCTCCAATTTTGCAGATTTGCTATCTAAAGAATTTGCAGGCCAGGCGCAGTGGCTCACGCCTGTAATCCCAGCACTTTGGGAGGCTGAGGGAGGTGGATCATGAGGTCTGGAAATCGAGACCATCCTGGCCAACACGGTGAAACCCTGTCTCTACTAAAAATACAAAAAATTAGCCAGGTATGGTGGCAGGTGCCTGTAGTCCAAGCTACTCGGGAGGCTGAGGCAGGAGAATGGCATGAACCCGGGAGGCGGAGCTTGCAGTGAGCCGAGATAGTACCACTGCACTTCAGCCTGGGTGACAGAGCGAGACTCCGTCTCAAAAAAAAAAAAAAAAAAAAAAAAAAGAATTTGCAAAACCTTACACGTTCCTCTTTTTATGTGTTTCCTGCAAGCTGCAGGTCACATATTGGAAGAAGATCCTTGGAACAGAGGGATTGGTATAGCCCTGAGCTTCCCAAGGTAAACACACAAGCCAAGTCCTAGCAGCACCAGGTTAGGGTAAATAAAAAATTTGAAAGGAGCAAACTTGCTTTTGTTTTAAAATATCATAGTTTAATGAGAAATTTGAGCCTTGGTGACTGTCTTAACCCTTTTTTTTGTGAATATTGACGATAGGCCTTGATCCATAGTATGCCACGGGTACATGATCCTTTCACAAATCTATGGTGGTGAAAAATGTCTCTTTATAATGTGTTGTGTACTGGTAATCTGAGGCTGGAAGAGTTGTGGATGTGGTAAAAATCAGTCTTTGTGGTTGGCCCACATTTTTTTTCTTTGGCCTCTGGCAACTGCACCCTGTGTGTGTGGGCATAAGAACAGTATGGATCCATCACCTTACTGGCTTGTCAGCAATTACATAAGACAGCTCCACTTTCACTGAGAGTAACAATAATAATTTCTTCTGAGGACTTTTCTGGAAATGAAAACACTTTAAGCAAAAAGCAGTGATCTAATTTGGAAGCAATACCTAGCAGAAAGTGTATTCGTTTCCTAGGGCTGCCGTAAAAAAAAAAGACCACAAACTGTGTGGCTTCACACAACAGAAATGTATTCTTTCCCAGTTACAGAGGCCAGAAGTCCAAAATCAAGGTGTTGACAAGGTTGGTTCATTCTGGAGGCTCTGAGGGAGAATCTCTTCCATGCCTCTCTCCCAGCTCCTGGTGAGTGCCAGCAGTTCTTGGTGCTCCTTGGCTTGCTGATGCCTGACTCCAAATCTCTATCTCCATCATGTGGCATTCTGTCTGGATGTCTCTGTGTCCCTGTCTTCACAGGGCCTTCACATGACACCAGTCATTGGAACTAGTGTGCATTCCAATCCAGTACGACCTCATCTTAACTTGGTTACATCTGCAAAGACCCTGTTTTCAAATAAATTCACATGTACTTGAACTGGGGGTTAGGGCTTCAACATATCTTTCTGCGGGAACACAACTCAATCAAGAACAGGAGGCTATTGAGAAATAGGTATTTAGAAGAGCTCAGTAAGAATCCACATTTAGCATACAAGGAAGGAACATGGTATGCTGAGTAGTGAATTATAACTTTTATGTATTCAAGCTTTGGTAAAAGCTGGAATCCCTCTGGGGAAATTAAGAAAAAAAATCCCACTTTGATAGAGGCTGAAATTCTTGGTAGTGGAAAGCAGATGAGCCCACTCTGTCTAGCACATATAGCAGTTTCCCTCTCTTTAAATTGGATAAGTCTGGCCTGGAAACTAGAAATCTCGGTTGACAGCCATAAACCACTTAGAAGTAGTCAGAATTACAGTCATTTGCAATATACCATACCCTATAAGAAGAGCATCTCCTTAATCATAATATCCAACTCTCAGACTATCCTTTTATAGACATTGAGGCTACAAAGGCATTTTCTTGATGGATTCCATGGTCCCGGGAACTTCTCAGAATCTGCATGGCTTATTCTGGGAAATTTGCCAGACCTCAGCCTTTTAAATTTGTGTAACTTACATGATGAATAGTGTATTGTGTAGGAAAGCCTATCAAAATAAACCAAATATTTCTTCTTTCCTTATGATTAGAAAACCTGTAGTTTGTCTCTCCGAGTTAGGCATTACATTATGTTTCCTCTGGGTTCATTTCATTTTATAATTTAAAAAAACTATAGTGTATTATTGTCTATCTGTGCCATTATTTTCCTTGAGTTTAAAGATGTCACATCAAACAGAACTCTTTTTTGAACTGAATCTCTATTACTGGGGACCTGCACGTTTTGAAGCTGGCTAGGACTAAACATTTTCTTCATACCAGCTGTCACAAATAATTCAGTCTGCTAAATTCTAATACACTGGCAGAATGGGTGAGCAGTCCCTTGAAAAGAGAATTTTAAATATCAGTCTCTTCTCTCTTATATCAGTGTTCAGAAATTCCAGTGAAAACATTTGGGGAAGCAGACAGAATTAGTAATAATGGAATTAGAGTGCTTTCCACATGCCCATTTTGTGTTGATCTGCATTTAGGTGGAGGTTAGAACTCAGTCCCTAAGTCTTGAAAGTTTGATGGCATGCAGAGCAATGTACTGAGACTATGGGTCCCAGTCCTCAGGAATCTTATTGCCTCACCCCTCAAGAAGAAACCAATGGTACTAGTAACGACAAAATGCTGGAGACTGTATTAGTTTCTTTTTGCTGCTGTAACAACACAAAATTATTATCTTATAGTTCTGGGGGTGAGAAATCTGATGTGATCTCGGCTAAAAATTAAGGTATTGGTATGACTGGATTCATTCTGGAGTGCTCTATAGGATTATATGTTTGCTTTACTCTTCCAGCTTCTAGAGGCGTCACATTACTTGACTCATGGACCCCTCTCAACTTTACAACCAGCAATGGTTGGCCAAGTCTTTCTCATGTTGCGTCACTCTGACAGTGACTTATGCCTCCCTCTTCCACATTTAAGGACCCTTGTGATTACATGGGCCACCCAAGTAATCCAGGATGATGGATCCAGCCAATTGGCAGTTTTAATTCCATCTGTAATCTTAATTCTCACTTGCTACATAGCCTAACATAGTCACAGGTTCTGGGGATTACGATGTGGACATCTTGGGAGGTTGTTCTTCCATCTACCACAGAAGAGAGTAAATATATCCCAGAGGTCAGTCACGTGTCCTCTTCTGATCAGAAAGGTAGGAGGCTTAGTTCTGAACTGTGCTGCTCTGTAAGTGTATTTTACTGAGTCATTCTGGCACTGGGTGCAGTGAGAGACAATGCAAATTGCAAACCGTATCCAATTTCTGCCTCATTACTGTTACCAAAATGCCAGGGGCCTGCTGCTCACCACACAGAAAGCTGATCACTGAGACAATGAGTATTATCAGGGAAGAAGGCTTTCATTGCGTACTGCTGCCAAGGAGATGGGATGCAAGTCTCAAATTGGGGGTTCATATAGCAGGGAAGTAATGTAGCCACATATATTGTGTTAGTTTACTCTCACATTGCTATAAAGAACTACCCAGCCAGACATGGTGGCTCACACCTGTAATCCCAGCACTTTGGGACGTCAAGGCAGGTGGATCATTTGAGGTCAGGAGTTTGAGTTAGCCTGGCCAACATGGTGAAACTCCATCTCTATTAAAAATACAAAAATCAACCTGGTGTGGTGGTGGGCACCTGTAGTCAGTCCCAACTACTTAGGCAACTGAGGCAGAAGAATTGCTTGAACCCAGGAGATGGAGGTTGCAGTCAGCCGAGATCATGCCACTGCACTCCAGGCTGGGCAACAGACTGAGACTCTGTCTCAAAAATAAATAAGTAAATAAATAAAATAAGAACTACCTGAGACTGGGTAATTTATAAAGAAAAGAGACTCAATTGGCTCACAATTCCACAGGCTGTACAGGAAGCATGTTGGGGAAGCCCCAGGAAACTTACAATCATGGCAGAAGGGTCAAGGGGAAGCAAGCACGTCTTCACATGGCATCAGGAGAGAAAGGGCAAAGGGGGAGCTCCTACGCACTTTCAAATAACCAGATCTCATGAGAACTCTATCATGAGAACAGCAAGGGGGAAGTCCACCCCCATGATGCAATCATCTCCCACCAGCTCCCTTCCCCAACATTGGGAATTACAATTCAACATGAGATTTGGGTGGGGACACAGAGCCAAACCATAACATACAGGAAATCAGGAATTAGGGGGATGTAAGGAAGAGGAGTTGTCTAAATGCAGTGATCTGGTGAGTTTCAGTTTCTTGATACTATCTGGGACGTCTGGTGGTCAGTTTCCTGGGAAAGATACTCAAATTAGACAAATGTAAGTTTCAAGTTTTAAGACCAGGAGAGTCAGTTTCTATGTTTACTCAAAAAGATCACAAACATCAGTTCTACAAGGAAATTAGCCAGTTTCATTATTTCCTCCATTACCCCCTAAACCTGAGCATGAAATTGTCATCTTTTCCAGTAGCTGGGAAAAGCTAAAGATCTTGATTTTAAATGGCAAATCTAAAGATCTTAAGAAGGGCATCAAGCAGATGCCCTTCCCACTCTTCCATCAAGGAAAAGTGTCTGCTTCCTTGTTCATAGATGATGCCTTCTTGTTGTGTGCTCACATGGTAGAAGGGCAAGGGGCCTCTCTCAGGCCCCTTTTATAAGGGCACTAATCCCATTCCTGAGGGCTCCACCCCTCTGACCTAATCACTTCCCAAATAACTTCCCACCTTGTAATACCGTCACCTTAGTGGTTAGAATTTCAACATATGAATTTGTAGGAGACACGAACATTCACAGCATAGTAGATACGCACCACATCGATGCAAGATATTAACAGCAGGGGAAATGCATGCAGAAGGACAGGGGATATAGGAACTTGCTGTATTTTCAGCTCAATATCTCTATAAACCTAAAACAGCTCTAAAATATAAACTCTATTTAAAAAACAAAAATGCTGTCTAGCCAGTGTCTTTTAGGGTCCAGATGTGGGGGCCATTTACATTTTGGACTGCGTAGCATAAAGGAAAATTATGTAAAGCATGAACTGTGTAAGCTCTGACAACATGTCCTTGTGGGCAGGAGCAGACTGCAATTTCTGAGGCATATAAAACACGGGGTCCTCTGCAGGAAAAGAATAAATACAAAATGAAGTAGGAAATAAAATACTTATTTGGAAGAGGCTTTGCAAGTGAGGGATCCTGACACTTAAGTTTCATTAACTTTATGACATCTATCTTGGCTTGTGCGTGCTGACACAGAGAAAGTAGGGGTTCTGAGGGAGGACAGAATGCCATAAACACAGAGAGAGAGGCAAAGCCGAGAGACCCAGAGAAAGGGAGAGAAATCATTTGAGGGCCTTCCTTTCTACTTTTTTGTTGCAGGTTTTATTTTCTTGTGAAGCCGAAATTTGCTACCCATGAGTATTACCAACAACGTGCCCCTGTTAGCTTAAACTAATGTGTTGGAACCAAATACCCAGCAGACGCAATATCCCTTATGAGGAGGGGAGGGGCAGTTGGAAGTGGTTCCATTTTGTAAGTGGCACCACTGAGGCAGAAAGCCAAGCAGTAACCTGCTCAAGAAAGGCAGTATAGTATGGATGGTTCAAACAGAGCCTACTTCTTTGATTTTCAGTCCAATGGTCTCTTCATTGTCTTTGGAGGGGAGTTAACACCTCCTGAGAAAGCCAGTGCATTACGATCTCATTACTTATTCTCTGCCCACATGACTGGTTCTGAGGTTCCTTGAAATTCAATTCTGTCTCCGTTGGAGACTGAGAAATAATGAACTGAGGATAAACCAGGGTAGGTGTCATCACAAGATGACATTTTTGACAGTATGTCCAGAGGCCGCTGTTCATTACAGTTGCTTGTTGAGACCTCCTCCTGCCTTCCACTGGAGTGATGTGCAGTGAGGGTATTTCTGTAACTTTTCCTCCAGGAAGTTTCCTTTCCACTTTGATGTAACAGAGGAAACAGACAGTCTTAATTTAAGCTGAATTCAACTGTAGGCTCCTTAAGCCCTAGAGTTAGGATACAACTGGACAATGTGGCAAAAGACATAACACATACCGCAGATTTGTTAGAAAGAATGCATGCGGCAAGCGTTGGCCAATTATTCCGGTGTCACCTGGGGTGGCATGTTATTTTATGCTGTGGCGCTATTGCTAGTGATGGCCGCTGTGTATTTGCTCTCCAAATCCATGGAGATAGTTCAATGCCTTTTTACTGTGTACACTTGGCAGCTGCTAACTGCAGACATAAGAACAGAATCTCTGAGGGTAGATGGAGAAGCAAGTTATGTGACCATTTTTCTGTGTTCTCAATGCCCTCACTATACGTAAAAGTAAAGAATACAATTTCACACTCTCTCTCTTTTTAAGCAATTATAAGATGTCCAGGTCAGTGCTGAGAGATTTCCAAACACTAGCACAAAAAGTTCCTGAAAGTGGTCTTGGATAGGAGGAATGATTACTCTCTCCACTGAGGCAGGTGGAGAAGTGGCAGACACAGAATTCAAACCTAGGTCTCCCCGACTGCAGTGATCTGTTGCCCACCCACTGTTCAACCTTCCATTATAGTACTCACCGAATGCCTTCCCAGATGGGGTCCTCAAGTCCCTGCACCATGTGTCATCTTTGTATCTATAATATCTAGCTCAGTTCTTCTTACTTTCTGACACAGCGCCTCACTCTGTTGCTCAGGCTGGAGTGCAGTGACACCACATAACTCACTGCAGTCTTGATTTCTCGGGTTCAAGCTATCCTCCCCTGTCAGCCTCCCAAGTAGCTGGAATGACAGGTGTGAGCCACCATGTCTAGCCTCAACGCTTCTTAAAGGAAGTGAGTGAATGAATGAGTTGTAGCCCCAGCTTTGATCGAGTTGCTCAGAATGTCATAAAAAAGGTGGCCATGTGGATGTTTTGGTGTCCTTTTTCCAGGGGGATTTCTTCCTGTGCTGGAGGTTCTCTCTTGAAAGTTAATGGGTCTCAGCACAGTGCCTGAAGTGATTTGTGGGTTGGATCCTCTTAGGCAAGAGCCCATCTGTGGGAATCAATGTTTGGCTTATCCAGTAGACAAATTAGTCTGACATCACTATCCCTTTGAGGGACAGGCTGTTGTCTCCTTGTCAAGAGTGGATCATTTGCTGTTTAGTTTTCCTTCGGTACAGAAGGGCTTGGGTTTGGGGGTGAGTGATTCAGCACTTGGTTAATCAGCTATTCTGCATGGCATCAATGTTTTTGAATTTTTGAAATAAGTCTTGTGGATTCCTCTCCACTCCTCTTCTGTTTAGCACCACCTACACCTTGGTAACTCTGTCTGCTGACACTCGTTCTCCTTCAGTTTCTCCCCCACATTCCCTTTCTGCTGCCTGATGAATCTCTGGGGAAAAACTACCTCTCAAGGTTTTCCTGTCAAATGTTCCCTGGTAATGAGAACAGAGCTGAGTTTTTGGGTCGTTGCTATGGAGAAAGTGTGTTTTCTCATTGCCCTATTATATTTGAGTATGTTCCCAGTCTGAAATCTGTGGGTGACACTGCATTTGCACCCCCTTTTTAGGTCTATTGTATCTCAATTATATAAGCCTCAGTGTGCTTTTTTTTGTTTTATTTTTAACAGTTTTTATGTTCCCCTTTTACCACCCAGTATAACAGGTGGCCTCACGTCAGTGGTTGAGGTTGAAGACCATGAACCTAATATCTCTCCTGCATTATATTGCATGCATTCTGCTGCTCTTCATGCAGAAAGAAAACATTCAATTTTTAGATTCATGTGAACACTACAGAAATAACTAATATGTGATGAACACTGGCTCCTTCCATACTTCTCACATCTATTGGCTATTCCTGTGCTTCTAACTAGTTTTTATTTAACAACATTGAATGCTTAGGCACTGATAGATTCTAGAGCTTTACCTTTCTTTCTTCCTTTTTTTTTTTTTTTTTATAGCTGAAACCTTTCTTCTATGGAAATGGTATGAAAACCCGACAGGGAAAACAAATAACCGAGGTGAGAGAAAGGGGCTCAGAGCTCACCACTGCTCTTGTTCCTTGCAGGGGTCCGTCAGGTTCATCCACAGAACATCTTGGGCTGGCAGAGTTCAGATGGAAACCCACTCTACAAGTTGCCACAAAAATGAACAGACTACACGGATTTTGGGAGCTTACAGCTGAACGGGGAAAATGTTATGTGATCAACACGCAACTCATAGTCAAACAATGTCCTAATTGCTTTAAGAGCAGTAAGGTAGACCCTGAGTGTCAGACAGTATGGTAGATAGGACAGTGGGCATTGGAGATCTGGTCAGAATCCTGATTCTTCAACTCTCTCTGAGCAAATCAACTTGAACAACTTGAACTTCTTTGAATCTGTTTCTGACTTGTAAAATGAAGATAATGTGACCTACTTAACTTTTTCCAGATTTGTTGACAGGATCAGGCATACGATTGAGTGCAAAGTACTTAATCCAGTGTCTGGCTTATTGTCAAAGAGAGTATTGATAAAGACATTCCTCACAAGAATAATAGCTACCACCATTGATTGCTTTCTATGTAGTAGTCACAGCACTAGACAGAACTAGGAGTCTTGCCTCAGTCATCTCAGTGTCTTCTCTAAGCCTCTTCATGAGAAATCTTACAAATCAGGTCATTAAAATACAGGCTTAATATCTTATTCATGTATTTATTCATTCATACAACAAATATTTACTGAGCAGCTCTTAAATGCTAGGCACTGGTCTAGTCTTGGGGGACACTACAGAGATCTCTGCCCTCATAGATTAGATGTTGCTTTTTTTTTTTTTTTTTTTTTTTGAGATTCAGCCAGGCTGGAATGCAGTGGCGTGATCTCGGTTCACTGCAACCTGCACCTCCTGGGTTCAAACAATTCTCCTGCCTCAGCCTCCCGAGTAGAAGAGATTACAGACACCCACCAGCAAACGCCTGGCTAATATTTATATTTTTAGTAGAGGAAGGGGTTTCACCATGTTGGCCAGGCTGGTCTCGAACTCCTGACCTCAGGTGATCCGCCTGCATCGGCCTCCCAACATGTTGGGATTACAGGCATGAGTCACCGTGTCTGGCCAGATATTGCATTTTAATGGAGTAAACAGACTATAAAACAGTTGTATTACTTGGATGGTGGTTCAAACAGAAGGAAATCTCTGAGATGACCCTCAGGTTTTAATCTTGATGTTTTTACCTGATAATCAAGATCTGGCTTTGCTCAAGGAATCTACTCCATATTTACCCTCTGAGTTCTGAGATGATTCTTTTCTCCTGGAGTTCATAATCATGTCACAAATGCCACATTTATCAATACATGTGATTTAAGGTCCCATATCATCTCTTTGAAAAAAACTTGCTTGGAGATTCTGTGCTTGTTCATGCTTCCCAATTCAGTCCATGCATCCAATCCAATTTTAAATGTCTTCTCTTCTGGGAAACTGTCCTAAGTCCTTTAGGTCTCCCCTGATCCTAGTACAGACTTATGTCTGTCATAGCAGTAAGCCTTCAATATCCCAATTCGTTGTTTATGTATCTCCCTCCTTACTGTTCTCTGTGTTTCTTGAAGGCAAGGACCGTCTTTTATTTATTCCCTTTGTATCCCCAGAATCTAGCACATATAGCACTCCATTTTTTTAAGCTGATGATGAAGAAAAAGACCAATAAAAGATCTGTAGAAATACTATATGCGTATTTACACAAATGTCTATACTTAGGGGGAAAGTACAGCTGAATCTTTCAATATGTTTTACCACCTGCTCTGTAGATGCTGTAGATTGGTGGCTATAACTTGTGGGTCTCTGTGGTTGGTGAAGGTGGTGGTCAACTTGGTATTTCTAAACAGGTCTTTGTTTGCATTTATCTATCTGCATTTGCTTACCGCGAGCTATGATATTTAGAAATGTGCTTCTAATACTGTTATCTCAAAGTTCTTGCTCTGGAATGTAAGCATCTTGATTTAGATACAGAGAATGATAGGCAATGAAACCTGCCTGAAACGAATTAGCTAATTGGTTTCAGTTCTCCTAAAGAATGAATTTTCATCTCTGTCCTGTCTTCTTTCTTCAGATCAGTTCAGGACCTTTCTGATGTGATTTATCATAACAGAACTGTAATTTACATCAACCATCTGAATGTCCCTATGTAAGTGGATCGGGGATTACTTTTACTTGCTTCTTGCGTGACTCAATTTTGGAGAACACTCAACTGTTTACTGTCAGAATCTGTTCTCGAATGAGACAGATGTAATATGAAAAGTTAACAGTGGCCTGTGTCTCTATGATGTTTGCTCCCTCAATCTGTTATGCATTGTTTTCTCAAAAGTCATTTTCTAACTCCCGTGAATGTGATTCATTGATGATCTCTGCTTCAGACTATAAAGAGGGCTTAGAAAGAAGTAAACACTCAAGAGTTTAACTGGCTTAGTGTTTGGAGTTGCCCTTACTGGGCTCAAAGGATGCCACTTGCCTGTAATAACCAGCCACCCCAAGTCAGAGCCAGATGGAGGTGTGGGACTACAGGCAGAATATTAAGTTTGGCACCTTTCCAAACAAAAGTTCTTTAAATATTTTCCAGCATAGGTAAAGAGGAGAGGCTAAGAGCTGTGTTGGAGCAGGAAAAGGAAGGAGGACATGGGGGTTGTGCTCAGTTTCTTTGCTATTGCTCCAAGAAACTCAGCTTTGGCCCCAGCTTTTGTAACCCACATAGCTAAACAAACTGAGCAGGTTACCACATCTTCTTCTTGGGCCTTGTCTCATCTCTCACCCTAGCAGCAGCTTCTCAAAGTATTCTTCCCCATCACATGGAGTATCTTCTGAGATGTGCACAAAGTACCCCTTTCTCCATCTAGTCCATGTCTAGTGAAGTTTTTTTTTTCTAATCATGTATTAGTGTCTCTTACAGACTGAAACCTGGGACAGAGGCCTCATGCCCCTTGTCAGTCTTGCTCCAGATAAAAATCTCATTTATGTGACACACTTTATCCTTTAATTCTTCAAGCCTGTACTTTGCACATCAAGCTTCTACAAGAGTAGTTGGTGCTTTTGTCCTGAAGTCAAATTCTATGCTTTGTTCTCAAGTGGGTCATGGACCCCATCACTAAAGCACAGAAGAGAAACCGCTGCCTCCTTTCGGCCTATCTATATTCCGCTGGGCTATAGGCCTCACATCTTCACCATGCAGTATAGTCCTCATGACCTTACAGCCACACACCCTAGCCCCACTGCTCTGAAATCCTTGGACCAGCCATATGTGCCATGCAACATTACCTTGCCTGCACTCTGGCTTGTCACCTTTTCAAACAGCAGAGGAGCCTTTGCTTACCCCACCTGTGGGGCTGGTTTTTCCTGTAGCTGAGCAGGACCTTCATAGCCAGTTAGTATCTGCTTCTCAGATGGGGAAGGTTTACTAAAAGCACTCAACAGAGGCCACTTTCCTGACAGCTGACTGCATCCCCCATGGGCTAAACCATCTAAATCTCCTTCGGCACCAACCCATTTGCTTTACACCTTTAAGATCTCATACTATGCTCAATTTCTCACCATCATGCCTGAGACTCCGAAGATTAATTCCACCAAGTCTATGTTAACTGTCCTCTAGTTTTTCTGATGCTCTGTTTGTTTCCTTCACAGAACTTCACATGTTGTAATTATTTTCCTGTTCCTTTGCCTGTTAATTTCTTTGCCCCTTGATACAGTTTGGCTCTTGTGTCCCCATCCAAATCTCATCTCAAATTGTAATCCCCACATGTCCAGGGAGGGACTTGGTAAGAGGTGATTGGATCATAGGAGTGGTTTCCCCCATGCTGTTCTCCTGATAGTGAGTGAGTTTTCATAAGATCTGATGGCTTAAAAGTGGCACTTCCCCCTTCCCTCTCTCTCTCTCTCCTGCTGCCATGTAAGACATGCCTTGCTTCCCTTTCATCTTCCACCATGATTGTAAGTTTCCTGAGGCTTCCCCAGCCATGCAGAACTGTGAGTCAATTAAACCTCTTTTCCTTATAAATTACCCGGTCTTGGGTAGTTTATTATAGCAGTGTGGAAATGGACTAATACAGAAAATTGATACCAGGATAGTGGAGTACTGCTATAAAGATAACCTGGAAGTGTGAAAGTGACTTTGCAACTGGGTAACAGGCAGAAGTTGAAACAGTTTGGTGAGCTTGGAAGAAGACAGGAAAATGTGGGAAAGTTTTAAATTTCCTGGAGACTTGTTAATTGGCTTTGACCAAAATGCAGATAGTGATATATGGACGATGAAGTCCAGGCTGAAGTGGTCCTAGATGGAGATGAAGAACTTATTGGGAACTGGAGTAAAGGTGACTCTTGCTATGCTTTAGCAAAGAGACTGGTGGCATTTTGCCCCTGCCCTAGAGATCTGTGGAACTTTGAACTTGAGATGATTTAGCGTACCTGGTGGAAGAAATTTCTAAGCAGCAAAGCATTCAAGAGGCGATCTGGCTTTTTCTAAAAGCATACAGTCAGTCGTATGCATTCACAAATAGATGGTTTGAAATTGGAAGTTAGGTTTAAAAGGGAAGCAGAGCATACAGGTTTGGAAAATTTGCAGCCTGACCATGAGGTTGAAAAGAAAAACCCATTTTCTGGGGAAGGATTCAAGTCCAAGCCAGCTGCAGAAATTTGCCAATCACCAAGACAATGGGGAAAATATCTCTGAGGAATTTCAGAGATCTTCAGAGCAGCCCCTCCTATTACAGGCCCAGAGGCCTAGGAGGGAAAAATGGTTTAATGGGCCAGGTGCAGGGTCCCGCTGCTCTGTGCAGCCTTGGGACTAGGTGCCCTGCATCCCAGCTGCTCCAGTTCCAGCTATAGCTAAAAGGGGCCAAGGTACAGCTCAGGCAGTGGCTTAAGAGGATGCAAGCTTCCAGCCTTGGCAACTTCCACGTGGTGCTGGGCCTGCAGGTGCAGAGAAGACAAGAGTTGAGCTTTGGAAACCTCCACTTAGATTTCAGAGGATATATGGAAATGCCTGGATATTTAGGCAGAACTCTGTTGCAGGGGAAGAGTCCTCATGGAGAACTTCTACTAGGGCAATGCAGAGGGAAAATGTGGGGTTGGAGCCCCCACATAGAGTCCCCACTGGGGCACTGCCTAGTGGAGCCGTGAGAAGAGGACCACCGTCCTCCAGACCCCAGAATGGTAAATCCACTGACAGCTTGCACTGTGCACCTGGAAAAGCCACAGGCACTCAATGCCAGCCTGTGAAAGCAGCTGTGGGGGTGGAACCCTGCAAAGCCACAGGGGTGGAGCTGCCCAAGGCCATGGGAGCCCACCTCTTGCATCAGCATGCCCTGAATGTGCGACATGGAGTCAAAGAATATTACTTTGGAACTTTAAGATTTAATGAGTGCCCTGTCAGGTTTTGGACTTGCATGGGGCCTGTGGCCCCTTTGATTTTGGCAATTTCTCCCATTTGGAATGGGAACATCTGCACAATGCCTGTACCCCCATTGTGTCTTGGAAATAACTAACTTGTTTTTGATTTTATAGGCTTATGAGTAGAAAGGACTTGCCTTGTCTCAGATGAGAGTTTGGACCTAGACAGTTGAGTTAATGCTGGAGTGAGTTACGACTTTGGAGGACTGTTGGGAAGGCATGATTCATTTTGAAATGTGAAAAGAACATGAGATTTGGGAAGGGCCAGAGGCGGAATAATAAAGTTTGGCTCTGTATCCCCACCCAAATCTCATCTCTAATTGTAATCCCCAAGTGTCAAGGGAAGGACCTGGTGGGAGATGATTGGATCATGGAGGTGGTTCCCCCATGCTGTTCTCATCATAGTGAGTGAGTTGAGATCTGATGGTTTTAAAAGTGGCAGTTTCCCCTGCACCGTCTCTCTCTCCTGCCACCATGTAAGACATGCCTTGCTTCCCCTTCACCTTCTGCCATGATTGTAAGTTTTCTGAGGCGCCTCCCCAGCCATGCAGCACTGTGAGTCAATTAAGCCTCTTCCCTTTATAAATTACCCAGTCTCGCGCAGTTCATTACAGCCGGGTGAAAATAAACTAATACATCCCTGGTAAACTCTAAGCTTATCAAAAGCTGACAATGTCTAATGGTTCACTATGATACCCTTGAGCAACTAGCGTAGTGCCTGCACTCATTGGCCTTCAATTATTGTTGAATTAATGAATGAATTTTGCACCCTCATTTTAGATGGAATGGGATGCTCTAGGAGAATTTGTTCTTGATTTCATGGCCATATGTAGAAAGCCTTGTTCTAGAGGCAGATGGACATACATAATAATTAAACAAGCCAATGTTTACATTTGTGTAAAATGCCTATTATCTTGTAGTTGAATCATTTCCAATTTTTCCTAGTATAATTTTCTAATGTGCTAAATTTAGTATTTGTAAATGAAGTTTTGAGTTGCCTTAATATTCTCTCTTCTTCTTTTCTTAAATAATTCATGACCTGAAGTACCCTAACCTTTTATTTTCTCTACTTGTTCTTTCCTACTGTAATTTTTTAAAATCTCAGGCAACCTGAGAGGCAGCTGAATTCTTTTGTCATGTTGTATCATGTCAGCATTACCACACAAGTTTCTCCAGAGGCTGTCTTGTAATTACACTTGATTGGCTGATTATTCCTGAAAGGCAAAATAAATTTTACAGCTGTCTAGGTAAACTTTAAAAACATCCTCCAAAATGTGATATGTGTGAGGCCTGCCTTGGGATCATGACTTTCGATGGAACTAAACCAATGGTCAATGACCCATCATGGTATAGGCAAGTTCACCATCATCAAGAAATCAGTCTTTTTTGTCCTGTGCCTTCAATCTGATATTTCTCTCTACTAGAGAGCAAGAACATCTAGTCCCAAAGCCTATAGAGAATGTTAGTGGTTGCCTAGCAACATCATTTCCAGCACAAGTTTGTGGCTTTCTAAGCAAGGGAAGGGGGTAACCTTCCTGTCTTTCTCAGCTCCCTGTGAGTCTCTTGTATTTTTTTCTACTATGTTGACCTCTGGCTGATTGAAAACATATAAGATGATGTGTGGAAAAACTCTTTCAGATAGTTAAGTGTGAATACAAGATGGGATTATCACCTCTCATGAAAGCCCATTCTAGTCCCCGATTCTTTAGCGCAGTGTCTTTGCAGTCAGAATATGAATCGCTCGTTGCCAATTTTTGGTATATTCTGATGCGAGCAGAACTGCAAATGTTGGCCCCGACAAGCAAATTAACCACCTCCTAAATTATTTTGTTTTTTCTTCTGGAGATAAGTGGCCTGTTTTGTGGTCTGTTCTGTTGGTCCCCTGTCTCTCATTCCCCAAGCACTGCAAGGTTGATTTTTAAGAATATGTATTGGTGATTGCTGCTATTTCCAAGTGAGTTTGATTTACCTACTTTGTTTATTTTAGGTATCATGCACTTTCTATTTGTTGAGCCTCCTTAACTATTTCTCCTTATGTTTCACGTCTTCAAAACTTTTGTGTCATGCATCTGCCAAGCCAAAATCAGGAGTTCAATAAAGTCACTTGAGAATTATAAAAACATTTAGTTGTTGGGAGATAAATCTCTATAGGTCTCAAACATTTCTGCATGTCTTGTGAACAGAGCTGCCTTTGTTCTGGGATATCTTTTCAAGGATGCTTGCACAGCCAACAGTCTTGGAAGATAGAGATACTGTCTCCCTCCAGAGCAAAGGGAAGATTTGCTTAGCCTGGAAAGATAATGATAGTATGTCCTTCTGGAGCAAAGAAGGAACTTAGCTCATGGTTCATTATAAAATATGTAGGTTCCCTGCACTTGAGTCCCTCTCCTTTAGCACACTTAATTTCTTAGGTCTCTCTTTATATTTCACCATGGGAATTGGGGCTTGGAGAACTGGTGCAAATGCTAATACTCTATTGCTGAAGCTGTCAGTAATAAAGACTTTTGCCTCTGACTCAGGAGTCTCGTGTCTTCTGCCTGCATCTGTGAAATTGTGGCCAGACAACTTATTGTCTTGAAAGTATGGTAAAATATCAGACCCTTCATAGTTCTAGTCAAGTTCTTAGTAGCTTAATGCTCACTAGTTCAGTAAATATATGTGTTGGAACATATTTAAAATTGGTCTTAAGATACATTTCTTTTAAGGAACATTTTAGAAATTTTAGAGACCTGAAATTCTACATGACTTTCTACCAAGAGAGGATCAACTTTTGGGTTGAAAGAACTGAAAATGCAATGATGATCATTGCATTTTACTAATCAAAACTTATTTTCAATCTTCATTTTCAATAAAATTAAGTTAAAATTTCTTAGCTGGCATAACAAAGATAGTATGGATTTGGCTTACCTTACCTTTCTACATATGCCCAAAGCTCCGGAAAACTCAAATGTTGGAAGTAACTGATCTATATTTCACTAGACTTTTGTTTTCTGGTATTTCTCTCAGTGGGTGGTACTGTAATTTAGCAGCCATCCAAAATAAAACCTGAAAGCCCATTACTCTTCCCTGTTCTTCATTAATCCACATCCAATCATTAGTGTGTTAAAGATCTCTGTTTTCAAATATTGCATGTGCAGAGACTAAAAAGTGCACTGTATAAAATAGAGAGTATATTGGTAGTTACCAGAAGCCGGGAAAGGTAGGGGGAAGGGGGAGATGAAGATTGATTGATTCATGGGTACAAATATACAATTAGATAGAAGAAATAACACCTGGTATTTGATAGATCAGTGGGGTGACTACGGTTAACGTTAATCAATTGTACATTTCAAATTAGCAAGAAGAGAGTAATTCAAATGTTCTTAGCATTAAAAAATGATAAATATTCAAAGTGATGGATATCTCAATTACCTTGATTTGATTATATGAATGTATCAAATTATCACATGTACCCTGAAGATATTTACATTTATTATGTGTTAATAAAACAACTCTAGTCTTTTAAATATGTCCCCTATTTTCCACGCTTAGTATCAGAACTCTCTACTTTTTGCTTGTTTGAATCATTGCATTAGCTTTCTAACTGGCTTCTTTAATTCCTATTTGTATATTTAAAATCTGTCTTCCCAACTGGGCTCAGACCAGTGTGATACATCCAAAATACAAAACTGATGCTGTTTAAAGTGTGCTAGCAGCCCCCCTTTTTACACAGAATAAAGTCCATGCATTTCAGGATGGCCTCCATGAACTGGCCCATCTATATCTCTTTGGCCTCATGTTTATTTTATGATCTGTGGGATACGTATGGCTAGTGACCGAGAGCAAGGGCTCTGGAGTCAAAGCATCTGTTTATATTATGGTTTTTTCATCTATGAGCTGAGTGACCCCAGGAAGATTTAAATAGTATTCCATGGCTTAGTTTCCTCATATGTCAGGTGGGAATACAAAGAGCAGCTACTCATAGGGTTGTTGGAAGAATTTAAAAAATAATTTGTATAAAAACACACATTGGTCCATTTTGTGCTGCTATCATAGAATACTACAGACTGAATAATTTTTAAACAGTTTAAGTTTATTTGGCTCACGGTTCTGGAGGCTGGGAAGGCCAAGACTGAGGGTCTGCATCTGGTGAGAACCTTCTTGCTGCATCATAACATGGTAGAAGGCATCACATGGTGAGAGAATGCAAGAATAAGAAAAAGTGAAGGGTGCTGAACTCACCTTTTATAAAGACACCACTCCCTTGATAATGAACCCACTCCTGCAATGACAACATTAATCCATTCATGAGGATGGAACCCTCATGACCTAAACACCTCTCATTAGGTTCTGCCTCCCAACACTGCTGCATTGGAGATTACGTTTTCAACACATGAACTTTGGGGAACACATTCAGACCATAGAATAACATTTAGTGAAGTGTCAGGCACATAACAGATATTCTACAATGTCAGTTATATTAATATTAAACTGCTTGTTTTCATCATGTGCCATGTTTTTCTATTCTTTGTCTTGCTGTCTTTTGTTTTCCTTTGTGTAAAATGTTCTTGCTCTGCTTCACTATGGAACAGTGGTTGACAGCATGGGCTTTGGGTGAGATTAAAACAGGTTTGGATTCAGACACTTCCATGGATTAACTGTGCAACATTACAAAGAGTGCTCAAGAAGTGATTATTATTATCCTATGTACCCTTCAGGATTCAGCTCAGGGGAAATCATCTCTGTGCCAGTTATGAGGCTATTACCTTTTGGCATCAAATCTATCCTTCCATAGTTGGCATTTTGATGCTGGGGCCAGGATTCTGCAACCTGCATTTTTACTTTGCCTGCAGGCTCCGTGTTAGGCTCCCTCTACTTGGGAAGGAAGACAGAAGCAGCAGGGCTGAGGGAGGAAGAAGGGACTTCCACCTCCTGTTTGTGTCCTGTGTGCCTCCTGCCTGCTGCCTGTTCCTACTAGGCTGTTAGTTCTTGTTTTATCTTTTCAAAAGACAGAGATGAGGGTGAGGTCAATGAAGCATCTGCCTCAGGAACAAAATTTAAGGGAACACTAATACTAAGGAATCAGGATAAATTACTGTATATTCAAATATAATATTTTAAAAAATCAAAATTAAATGAAAAAAAACCCATAATGAACAAAATATCAAAATTTTAGTAGAGACCAGTGCCCGCTGAGCCACATTAGAGCCTGGGGCCACTGGTTTTAATAAAAACAAACTCATCAATAATATATTCAAAATCTACTTTGTTGCTAATTTCATTTTTAGTTGAGAGAATTACTGTGTTTGACAATTTCTCTTGTCCAAGAGATGATCTTTAATAATTTTTACTTAGCTTAAGCTGATACAGAGTGATAACAAATTAGCTTTTGGCATAAGTAAAATATTAAACTTAAAATAACACTGTGGGCTGGGAGTAGTGGGAGTAGTGGCTTATGCCTGTAATCCTAGCTCTTTGGGAGGCTGAGGCGGGTAGATCACTTGAGCCCAGGGGTTGAGGCCAGGCTGGGCAACATAGCCAAACCTTGTCTGTACAAAAAAATACCAAATTAGCTGGGTGTGGTGGCACATGTCTGTAGTCCCAGCGACTCAGGATGCTGAGGTGGGAGAATTGCTTGAGCTCAGGAGGCAGAGGTGGTTGTGAGCTGAAATTGTGTCACAGCACTCCAGCCCGGGCAACAGAGCAAGACTTCATCTCAGAAAAATGGAAAATAAAAATAACATTGTGAATTTTAATACACCTACTTTTCGGACTTTCAATATTTTTCTTTTTTCTTTTTCTTTTTTTTGAGATGGAGCCTCCCTTCATTGCCCAGGTTGGAGTGCAGTGGCATGATCTCAGCTTTGTAACCTCTGCCTCCTGGGTTCGAGCAATTCTTCCACCGCAGCCTCCTGAGTAGCTGAGACTACCAGTGCACGCCACCACGCCTGGCTCATTTTTGTATTTTTAGTGGAGACCACACTGTGTTTTACCACACTGGCCAGGCTGGTCTCGAACTCCTGACCTCAAGCGATCTGCCTGCCTCGGCCTCCCAAAGTGCTGGGATTACAGGTGTGAGTCACTGTGCCCGGCCAGTATTTTTCAATTACTTTAATGTTCTGGAAAAAAATTATCTTAAAAAATATACAAAATTCCCAGCCAGGTGTGGTGGCTCACGCCTGTAATCCCAGCATTTTGGGAGGCTGAGGTGGGCGGATCACAAGGTCAGGAGATCGAGACCATTATGGCTAACATGGTGAAACCCCGTCTCCACTATAAATACAAAAATTAGCCAGGCATGGTGGCGCGCGCCTGTAGTCCCAGCTACTCAGGAGGCTGAGGCAGAAAAATGGCGTGAACCTTGGAGGCGGAGGTTGCAGTGAGCAAAGATTGTGCCACTGCACTTCCAGCATGGGCAACAGAGCGAGACTCTGTCTCAAAAAAAAAAAAATATATATATATACATACACACACACACACACACACACACACACACAATTATGTATCTTTCTTTGCCTCAGCTCCCTGTGGTTCACCACAGCACTGCCTTTTCACTTATCTAGTTCTCAAGTTTATATGTAGGTAACTATTCTTTGATGCCCTTATAAGTTACACGACCCTGAGTGGTCAGCATCCCCCAACTTCTTAGAGGGACAAGTGGCGTGCAGCCACCCGAGATTGAGCAATAACAGGTCTCTTCTTTTTATGTGGCTCTTCCACCTACACGTGCCTACCTGCCAACTAAACTTGCACATGTACTGTAGTCTTCCTTATCCCCAAAATGCAGCTTGCAGATGGAACGAACAACTGCCAGTCCCCCTCATGACACCAACACGACAAAAAAGAGTCATCCCACTAATCCCTTTACTTGTGGATTTAGGACTTTCTGCCTCCACTATTGCACTTGGAACTGGAATAGCAGGCATCTCAACCTCTGTCACAACAGTCTGCAGCTTCTCTAATGACTCCTCTGCTAGCATTACAGATATATCACAAACTTACCCCAAAATCTTACTTCAGTCTAATCTCTCCCACTTCAGGTTCCTGTGCCACCCCTAATCCTGCTCAAAGCAGCCCTGAGAAACGTCGCCCATCACCCCTCCATACTGCCCCCAAAATTTTTACCCCAAGTTTTCATTACTCTTTCTCGTTTTATTTCTTCATTATTAACATAAAAAGGAACGTAAGGTCCTCTGAGCTGGCCACACCATGGTAAAGCCAAGGCATTCCCCGCCCCACCCTCCCCCCATGATAATGTACTTTGTGATATTCCCCCTCCTTGTGAATGTACTTTGTAACATTCCTCCCTGCTATTTTGACAATACATCCTCCCCGCCCTTGTGAAGGTACTTTGTAACGTCCTCCCTGCCCTTGAGAATGTACTTGTAACATCCATCCCCTGCCCGCAAAAATTGCTCCTGACTCCACCGCCTATCCCAAACCTGTAAGAACCAATGATAATCCCACCCTTCTCTGACTCCTTTCTCGGACTCAGCCCTGCACCCAAGTGAATAAACAGCCCTGTTGCTCACACTAAGCCTGCTCAGGTGGTCTCTTATACGGACACACGTAACAATATTAAGTTCTCTCTGTGATTTCTACCTCCTGAACAGATTCTGACAACCTCAAAGTGCAGAGTGGATTTCTTCCTGTTCTCTTTCCCTCTCTTGGGCACTTCCCCACATTTATACTTTGCTAATTTTCTGTATTCCAAGAAATATAGTCCTCCCTGCCCTGCACAGGCATTCATTTGTTCCTGTGCAAATTCAATCCATTCTTCAAGATCCATCTCATATGTCATGAAATCATTCTTTACCCTGCACCAAATGAAATGTTTCCTTATTTCATGGGACCATAGAGCTGTACTGGCATCCATACCATCTTACTGTACCTTGTTTTGTTGCTATTTGTGCATATATCCTATTCCGCCCCGTCCTCCCATCTGAGTTGTAACTTTGAAGATCAGGGACTGATCTTCTGGTCTTTCTCATCTTTGAACATTTCCTATTTGGTGAGGTCAGGAGCTTTGGAGCACTAGTCACAGAGAGAACTGGAGAAACAGCTGGGTCATGAAACACCGGGCTTCTGCACATTGGTGGGAAGCAACACCAGTAGGTGTTGAAGTTAGTTTTCTTTACATTCCCAGTGATCTCAAAGCTTGCTTCCTTTTTTGCCATTTCTGCCTTGATGCTCAGTTTTGGTCCTGAAAGGAACGATTAACTTTTCTTCTTTCCTTAGCCTGCTGAGCACAGGGTGGCATTTAAAACAGTTGAGAGCGCTCTCTCCCCTGAATTAGAAAGAGAGTGATTTCCAGGAAGCAGAAGTTCCCTTGGGATGTTTGCCAGTGGGAGTCAAACAGCCCTGTGTGAATGGCTTTGTGAGCCAAGACCTTCTCTTCACAGAAGTGATGTGATGCTGGCAGGACCCTTTAATGAAGGGACCATGGTAATTGAGATCAGTGGGGATATTCTGCTTACTTCTATAGCAATCAAAACACCTCCTACAAAATCAAAACATTAGGAACAGCCCATCCTCAGCCTCCCACTGGCCCCAACTTTGTTCTTTTAGAAAAGTCAAAGCCCACTGAGACTGGGGGGTAACTTTGTCAGAAGTTTGTTTATTTATATAGTTTAAAGACGATTATTTTCAAAGTGGAAGCCAACTGATTTCAGACTACAAAAAGAATTTTCCAAAAACAAAGCTACGAGGTCAAGTTTCAGCTTCATAGAAGGGATAATTTGGGCAAACTTCGCCAACCACAATAGAATATGACATATTAAATTACTGCTCTGGAAAAGGCATTTGCGTTTGTAGACCTCAGGAAACCCTGAATCTTGAGTGCAGTCTGAGCTGAGAGCTTTCCCTGAGAAGCTTGCATCTTTATAATACTGACTGCTGACCCACTTTAAGGTCTTTGTCCCCAAACCACAGAGAGAAGAAAACAAGATAATGCAGGTCCTACTAGAGACTCTTGTACCTTGGTGTATTTATGCACCCACTGGTGGGCATTGCATTTCCAAACTAGGGCCATGGTTGATTTCATGCTCAACCTCATGGCATTATTTACTATAGAATAGAGGATGAAAACCCCAAAGTATCACACTAGATTCCTGGTCCTTTCAGTATCTTTTCAAAAGCTTGGTGGGGTTTTCTTTTAGAGTCAGCCACACTAACTCTTTTTGATCATTAAGATGCTCTTTGCGGTAACCTTCTGTAGGTAAAGGGAGACATGGTACATTACACCTAGAGGTAACCAAAGGAGAAAATATATTTCCCTAGGTCCATCTGTTTCTTGTTTTACCTTCTCATTTATTCATTCACTGAGAGCATACTCTGTGCCTGCACCATGCTAGGAGCTGGTATGCAGCATAAATAGGAAATACATAATCACTGCCCCCAGGGAACAGCCTCTTCAAATACTCAAGCCTAGTGTAATTAAGGTAGCTCCCTCCGGATCTTTGAAAGGCTTTAACAGCGATAGCCCCTCAACTGAGAAACTTTGGATGTACTCAGTGAACTAAGTCAAAGCCTCAGATATTTGGGCATGGGAATTTTATGTAAAAACTAAAGGTGCTTTTAAAATATCATAAGCGGCTACTATTCACTCTGCCCGCCCCCCACCAAGTGGTTTCAACCAGGGGCAATTTTGCGTCCCAGGGATATTTGATGGAGACATTTTTAATAGTCATAACTGGGGAGAGGGTGTTATTAGTATCTGATAGGTAGAGGCCAGAGATACTGTTAAACATCCTACAATGCACAGGACAGTACCCCAAAAAGAATAATCTGGCCTCAAATATCAGTAGTGTTGAGTTTGAGAAACTCTGTTTTCCACCAATACAACTGTAACTTTTTTTCTACTTTTAATCAAGAAAGACAACTATTTTGAAAAATAATGCTATACTTGCCGAGTTTATAACTTACATTTCACATTAACAGTAAGCTGTAATTGGTATTTACATGTATCTTGACTATACAGTTGGGTTTTTTTTTCCCTGTCTTTCACTTGTTATCACATTAGATGTTGGGAAAGAACTAGTATTTTTGATTCCCAGTAGTTCTGCCTGACTCTAGCTTATGAGCAGAAAACCTCTTTTGATCTTCAACTTCTTGCCTCTAATGGCCTCAGCAGACATTCTATGCATCTGCCCCCATCACCTCTTGTCTCTTTCTCAGAAAGGTCCTGGGAATTTAGTATTCTTTCTTTAGAGATAGAAAACCCGAAAGCAAAAGGAGAAGGCTTAATCAAGGTCACCTAGCAGGGCTTTGCACGGGCTTTCTGCCTCTCCCTTGGCTCATTATTCACTGGTCCCTTCGGGGGAAATGTACACTATAAATCAGAAAAGACTATCATCTGTACTCTGCTAAATGTGTAAAGGTTAAATTTAGTCAGGCAGGTGATTTATACTTGCTTATTTCCTTTAAAACCTCATGGAGAATTAAGGGAGTTTTCAGCTAGGATGACAAGGAAGGAAATCTAATATTTCAGAGTTCTGCTGTTATTCTTCTTGGAGTATGAAACTATCATTTGTTTAAAAATTCCATGTATCCAGGAAGGCTTGCATCAGAATACATTTTTGTAGACATTAACTCATCATAATTTGATTAAACAAAATTTTGGTGTTGCATCTGTTAGGAATATCCTGAGTCACATCATCCACTCAAGGCAGAGAAACTGGTCTGCAAAAGCAAGGGTCGAGAAGTCTCATGAGGAATGTAGTAGACCGACTGGGAGAAAGTTTCTAAGAAATGATATGAAAGGGTTTGGTTTGGTTATGGAGATCATAAAGTGACAGATTTTTATAAAACTAGTGGAACTGCCAGCTTAGGAGATTTTCACGCACTAAGTCAGGCCATTCACTTTCTTTCCTTAGGAGGCAAAAAGCAATAATTCACAGTTATACATAGGAAAAAAAGCATATTCCCTCCTTTCCAATGTACCGCCCTCCCACCTTTTCTCATTACTTATTTTCCTTTCTTGTGATTTTTTTCTTTATTATTATGATCAACACATATCAGACAATATTTGGTGTCAAAGATGTACTTAGAGTAAACAATATTTCCTAAGGCCTCATTTACAATATTCGAAACTTGACCTGGAGAGCAGGTAGATTTTTATGTTAGTGGCCCCACTGAGAAATGGAGAACAAGGTGGTTCACCATGGCGCAGGGACATTTTGTGTTGGGCATGACAAAATATTTGAAATTAACAGTTATGCCCATCACCACAGTAAAAGGTGACTTTCAGAATACTTAAAATTCAATAGCTTAGTAATGTGTGATCTTCATCCACCCCTCCACCTCCACCTCTCCTTGCTATTTCTGAGGTTAAGACTTGTACTCTTATCTGAGGAACATGACTCAGAATTAGAGTACATAGTCTATGGAAAGATCATCAGCCTTGACTTCCTGGGCTCAGGTGATCCTCCCTTCTCAGCCTCCGAAGTAGCTGAGACTGCAGGCACATACCACCGTACCATGCTAGTTTTTTTTTTTTTTTTTTTTGGTAGAGATGGTGTTTCTCCATTTTGCCCAGGCTAGCTCAAGTGATCGGCCTGTGTGGGCCTCCCAAGGTGCTGAGGTTACAAGTCTGAGCCACTGCTTTCTTTATATCACTTTACTACGTAAATGACTTCTTAGTTGTGAATACATTTGATTTAGTGGTAAATAAATTTCTTCTCCCTGGGTTGTGGAAATATGAGTTTCTAATTTCATGACAGAAAAACTCAGCAACCAACTGTATTTCTTAATTATACTTTCATCTGAATGCTGCTTGTCTTAATTTGTTATGCTACAAATG
Source organism: Homo sapiens (assembly GCF_000001405.40). Taxonomy (NCBI): domain Eukaryota; kingdom Metazoa; phylum Chordata; class Mammalia; order Primates; family Hominidae; genus Homo; species Homo sapiens. The sequence continues at coordinate 25,860,941 of NC_000021.9, forward strand.
ACATAATAGTAACCCAAAGATTTGCCGTCTAAACATGTGTCTTTTAAAAGCTCAATAACTTAATGGTGCATTTTCGGCTGAAGCCAGTGTTTTGTTCGTACAATTCATGATTGCTTTCTGTTAAAAAGCATGACTGTATATTAGAATAGAATTTAACCCAATTTATTATGCTAAGGCATGAACAATCAATGGAACATAACCAACGATTGAATGGTAAGACTCGAAGAAAAAAAGAAACTGCCAATCAACCAAATATTTGCAAAATTAGTTGCAATAGGCTGAATTTTGTGTCCCCTCTAAAAATTCATGTGTTAAAATCCCGACACCCAAGATGATATTATTGGGAGGTGGTGCCTTTCGGGGTGGGGCCTTTTGGGAGGTCCTGCCCTCATGGATGGAATTAGTGATCTGGAAAAAGAGGCCAGAAAGAGAAAAAGAGTGGGGAAAACTCTGACCCCGACTCTCATCATATAACTTACATGAACATCAGCATTCCAGAAGACGGCTCAGTGGTTCTTTGAAATAATCTGGAATTAGGGGATGTTGTCTAAATTTATCTGCCTGCATCTTGTTCCAATAAATATATAAATTATAGGTTCAGGACTTCCAAAACAGGGCAAAAACTGAACTATCAGAAGGCATGGCAAAAACAGTTACAGCTAATATTGAGAAATAACAAACTGTATATACATATACTCGTACATTTTTCTATTTAGTATTCATTTATTTATTTTTCCAAAAGGAATAAGACCCACAGTTTTCAATATATTCTCAAGTGATCCATAAACTATAAGAAATTAAAAACTGCCTGTAAAAATCTGCATGATAAATAATATTTATCATAATGATACTAAAATGTAAACACCATAAAGGCAGGTGTTTTGTCTATTTTTGTTCACTTTTCTATCCCCAGTACCTGGGACATAGTAGGGACTCAGTAAATGTTCATTAAATGAAGGAAGAAATCACACAAATGCATTGTAAGAGCATAGTATTCTACTAAATAGCTAAAGAAAGGCCAAATGTTATTCAATACAAATTAAATGTTCCTGCTTTCTCTCTTTTTTAATTTTTTTTAATTTTTATTATTATACTTTAAGTTCTAGGGTACATGTGCACAATGTGTACCCTAGAACACGTTGTGCACATGTACCCTAGAGCTTAGATTATAGCTGTTAAGCAGAATATTCAAATGACTAGTGCCTTAGGCCATTGAGGGTGCTGTAACAAACTACCATAAACTGGGTGGCATATAACAATAAAAATTTACTTCTTACAGATCTGGAGGTCTGGGACCGCCAAGATCAAGGCACCAGCAAATTCAGTGTCTGGTGAGGTCATGCTTCCTGGTTCACAGATGGCTTTCTCACCGTGTCCTCACATGGCCCAAGAGACAAAGGAACTCTCCTCCCCATTGTCTCTCTCTGGTCTTTATTATGAGGTCACTAATTCCATCCATGAGGGCAGTCACTCTCAAAAGGCCTCACCTCCCAAAGGCGCCACCTCCTAATACAATCATCATGGATGCCAGGATTTTAATATATGAATTTTTAGGAGGAACACAAAATTCAGTGTATTGCAACTAATTTTGCAAATATTGGCTGATTGGCAGTTTCTCCACTTTTAATGCCATTCATTGGCTCATGCTGCCTAAGGAGTCTTGTGGCTTTTGCTCTTTTTTGCTTTATCTGCCCATTTGTCAATTTTCTGCAAGCCTGGTGGAGACCAAGCAACTCAATCAGCTCTTCCTCTTCCTATTGCCCTCAGAGCACCTCCTAGTGGCAAAAAGCAGGCATTGTAATCCCAGCAAGGCTTTTGAAATTTGCTTCTTTCATCCATTTATTTAGTTATTGCCTGCAAATGTTTCAACGATAATGTAATGATCCCTCTGCTGTCCAAAGGTTTGGAGAATGTTATGAAAGAACATTTTTGTTTTTTTCTGTAGCCTCTGCACTGACCTGTATTTCTGTTCCCAGGTGACTTGTACCACAATTTGGGGCAACAGAACATGCATTTAATGTTGGGTATAAACTTTTAATAATTAGAAAACTGAGAATGCCAAGAAACTATTACATGGTACATCTGTATAAGAGTATTTAGAATAAAATGTATGTGTTTTCTTAACACAAATCAAGTAATTTTGGGAGTTGATAAAAGGCTAATAGTTCAGAAAATTAAAATTATATGTTAAAGTCTTCTATGAAAAATACTTAACATAATTGCCATGTGAGAGAGCTGGTAAACATTAATGAAATTTCAAAATCAGTGCATAGAAGAGGGACATGGTCGATGGTTGAAAGTAAACAGCAGACTGGCCAGAAATCTGATTACAAAGACCATGCAAAAATGAATAGGGCCTGAAGATACCAAATTCCTTCTGTTTTAAACCAAATTGATTTTCCCCTAAAAGAGTGTTAATAAAATACTTCACATAGTGAGTTTAACTTTTCTTTCTCAGTCTCTAAGTTATCTGGTATACCATTGTTTTTGATGAATTGCTTCTTCCTTAGTTTATGTTTTGTGTCATTTCAATCTAAATTGGTTCAAAGGGACACCTTCAGATTTTCTTCATTGGCAATGACTATTGAGCCCCTATGAGAGTACAGTAGTCCCCCCTTATCTGAGGGACATACCTTCTAAGACCCACAGTGCACATTTTCTATACATACATACCTGTGAGAGTTAATTTGTAAATTAGGCGGAGTAAGAGATTGACAACAATAACATAATAAAATAGAACAATTGTAACAATATGCTGTAATAAAAGTTATGTGAACATGGTCTTTTTCTCAATATCTTACTGTAATGTACTCACCCTTCTTGTGATGATGTGAGATGTGAGATGGCAAAATGCTTACGTGCTGAGATGAAGTGATGTGAATGACGTAGGCATTGTGACTTAGCATTAGGCTACTATTGACCTTCTGACCTATTGTCAGAGGGAGGATCATCTGCTTCAGGTGATTCTGGATCATTAAGCCACAAGGATGACGAAGGTTGGGAGTCAGAAACAGACAGTGTCAATGACTGATGGGTGGGTTGTGTCTACAGTGTGAATCTGCTGGACAAAAGGATGATTCCTGTCCAGGGCAGGACAAAGCAGGACAACATGAGATTTCATCTGAGATTTCTCCTCAGAACCACGTGCAATTAAAAACTAATGAGTTGTTTATTTCTGAAATTTTTCATTTAATGTTTTCAGACCATGGTTGACCACAGGTAATTGAAACCCTGGAAGGTGAAACTGCAGATAAGGAGGACTACAGTGTTCAACTATTTACAAATAATGACAGTGGCCACAAAGATTACCTTGAAAAGAGACCGTGAGACAGTTTCACACAGACTGTGCCTGGATTTCCATGAGTCTCTGCCAACTGCTTTTTAAGGTATTATACCATATAATAATGTTTTTTAAATCTTTTAGTTGGAAGTGATTTTTTTTTTCTTGAGACAGAGTCGCGTGCTGTCACCCAGGCTAGAGTGCAGTGGCAAGATACCAGCTTACTATAACCTCCGCCTCCTGGGTTCAAGCGATTCTCCTGCCTCAGCCTCCTGAGTAGCTGGGATTACAGGCACCTGCCATGATGCCTGGCTAATTTTTGTATTTTCAGTAGAGATGGGGTTTTGCCATGTTGGCCAGGCTGGTCTTGAATTCCTGACCTCATGTGATTCACCTGCCTTGGCCTCCCAAAGTGCTGGGATTACAGGCATGAGCCACTGTGGCTGGCATTTTGAAGTAATTTTAGACTTTAAAAAAGGTGCAAAAATAGAATAGAGTACTCCGTATACTCTTCATCCAGCTTCCCCTGTATAACTATAGCACAACATTTTACATAACTATAGCACAGTCATCAAAACCAGGAATACAGTACTGTTTCAATTTTAAAATAATGTGCCTTAGCTGATGATGTTCTTGCTATACTTTTCTTTCTCATCTCTTTAAGTCTTTGTTGCTTCTCTTCTTCAGAAAGAGTAAAATTGAATTCTAGAGAGGTCCACTCATAAGAGGCAGACCTGGGCAATGAACTCGTTTTTTTGCCCTGTGCTCTTGAAACTGGATTCTCCTTTCTCAACAGCGTTAAGCTTCAGTTCTCTATGTTGCCAAAAGCCAAAGTTTTAGCCTGGGGCTCAGAATATTGGCTTATTTTTCCTGTATAAAGAACTGTCAGACTCTTCTTGACAGGGGTTCATATTAATAACCCTAATCTCCATCTCACGGTAGAACATGCTGTCTACTTAATAAGAACTTTTGCCCCTTTTCTGTTAATGCCATCCCTTTACACAAAAAATGAAATACATATATCATGAAGCTAATTATGTTCAGCTTAAATATTTATTTCAGGATGGTTCTAAATCCTATCTCTGGTCTGGTTTAGTGATTTTCATAATGCTTAGACATGATGACCATTTCAAACTGAAACCAAGAAAGAATATGAATATTTCTTTATAAAAATAAAAACACTTTTCTTTAATTAAAATAAAACCAAGAAGTTTCATGTGAAAGGTCACATTTCTAGCTCGTGCTGTGTTGTCAGCATACTCCTCCAGCCTTCTTCTCTCTCTCTCTGTGTGTGTGTGTGTGTGTGTGTGTGTGTGTGTGTGTGTGTGTGTGTGTGTTGTTTTGGGAATGTGTATAGCATCTTATCAGGAGCTGTTGGTTTGAGGTCAATGCCATCTCCACTGTCATCCCGATCAACAGTAAATACAAGAGTAGCTTCATGTTCTCCACAACAATAGAAAAATCCCTCCTGGGATGTTCTTTGGGAAGTACAAGAAAAAGCCATTAAAAGTTTCATGTTGACCTTTCTTGCTTTACAGAGGTTTGTTGGCAGGAAGTGTCTTGGTTTTCTTGATGGCAGAGATAAAGAAAAAAAGAAAAAAAACAAACGTGAAAAATTCCAAGGATCAATTTGCTATTCAGTTTGGAAAATAGTTATTTACAAGAAGCACTGTGGCATCTACAAGATCTTGCTACCTCACCCAACTACTCCCTCCCTAATCCAAAAAAATGAGAGAAACCCATTGCAGTCTGTGGTTGGGGTTGATTAAACATCCCTTGGGGCCCTAATGCCCTCGAAATGATGTGAAATCACTGGGTTGTGTATCAAAAGGGCAGGGTGAGCTCCTGGCTCATCTGACTTTAATCTCAAATGGCTCCACACTGGTAGTTGAGAACAGACAATTACTTCATTAACTTTTGGAAAGTCTGAGGCATTTGTGTTGCTTTCTGGACTGTGCTCTGCTACAGGGAGAGAAAAGACGAGGTCCAACGAGGCCATTCATGCCTGCCAAGTTTTCCTTTCTTTCCAATCCAGGAAACATACATTGGTAGTGGGTAAGATCCAATATTTTATAATGCTAAGACAGAGAGACTCACCCACTGAACAGCCCAGAGTGAATATTCCCCAAGTCTTGGCTGGCATGTAAGCCCAGAATCTTCACCCTTACTCTCAAACCTTTTGCCACCTCTATCCAAGAATTATTTTTAATAATGTCATGTTCTCTTCTTTCCCTTAAATAAATCCACTCATATATGAAAATTAAAAAGATTTATGTGTAGGGAATCATACACATTTGTCAGATTTATCTGTAACTTTAGGAATTTTTTTTTTTTTTTGAGACGGAGTTTTGCTCTTGTTGCCCAGGCTGGAGTGCAATGGTGCGATCTCGGCTCACTGCAACCTCCGCCTCCCGGGTTCAAGCGATTCTCCTGCCTCAGCCTCCCAAGTAGCTGGGATTACAGGCATGAGCCACCACGCCTGGCTAATTTATTTTATTTTATTTATTTAATTAATTATTTATTTTTAGTAGAGACAGAGTTTCTCCATGTTGGTCAGGCTGGTCTCAAACTCCCGACCTCAAGTGATCCGCCTGCCTTGGGCTCCCAAAGTGCTGGGATTACAGGCTTGAGCCACCGTGCCCGGCCAACTTTAGGAAATTTTAGAGAAGATTTAGAGGATGGTTTAGAGAAAAATATTATGCAGGAGACATTGAATTGTTAGGAAAAGCCACTGTAGAACTGGGGGCTGTTATTGCCAAAAATATTAGTTTGGTACAAAAGTAATGGCGTTTTTTGCCATTACTTTGAATGGTAAAAACCGCCATTACTTTTGCACCAACCTAACAGTTAAACCAGCAAAAGCGACACACATTTTACAAAAGAGTCATGTAATTCTGTATCTGAAACTGCCAGCAGCAGGGTGTTTTTTCATCCATTACTGCCATCTGAATATTTTCATCTTTTTGCCTCTGGGCATTAAAATGCAACTAATCCACCACCCACAAAACCCATTAGCATAAACAGTAAAAAAATGAGTGGTCAGACTACACAGTGATAGCACTGAAATTACTTGAGTAAAATGCAGATGTAATGAGGATGTCAGTTTCAGAGCAGTTTGCATCATAATAGACTGAACTGTCTTGGACTTCAATTCTGGGTTCTTTTCTAGATGACTATTGTCCTTTTTTTAAAAAAAAGAAAACATCTGTGTCCTGTTACTTTTTTTTTTTTTTTTTTTGCTTTCCCCCAAAGTTTTCTGATGTTAGAATTTAGAATTTTGTCTACTGTTTAAAAAGGAAAAAGAAAAATTTTCCACTAGCTCTCCTTTGAGAGAATGAGAGAATTCTAATTGCTTCTCCACTATAAAAGCACAAACTTCCATGAAAATGGTCATCGGAGAGCAGAGGTGACAGGATGTATACTGCTGAACTTTTTTGCTTCCACTCTTCTAGATAACTGCTGAGAAAGGCCCCCTTTAGCTTTGATATCCAAAAGGCAAAACAAAGAAGGTAAGCACCTTTCAGCAGGGCAAGGACAACTAATGTGTTCTTCTGCCCACTGCAGCTGAGACCCATGGTGCACCTGCATTCTTTTAACTGAGACAACAAAATTCTCCCTTTAATCCCCTTTTGGAAGGAGGAGGGAGAGAGTACTACCATGATGTATGTATTTTCCTTTCCTTACCTCTTTGTTCCTGAGTTTTTGCTTTTCAGACAATAAAATCATTAGAATTAGAAGAATTATTATTATTATTCCTAGTAATGTAGCAACTGTCAGTTCCAAACAAGCCTCCTTGGCTCTGACAATCCCATGCTCTGCTATACAACACAGTGAAAATTGGGAGCATAAACTCATTCTGTTGCCTCAACAAAATTATATTATGGGGTGAAGTCTATTGGGGATGGGGCAGGGTACTTCATAGCATGAAGAGAATGCAGAATAATGTTCTTAGTCCCCTGTCTGTGTGGCCTATTGAAAGGGAAGAGATTATAAACCCTACTGTGGAGTTAATAAAAGTAGAATCTGTAGGCCAGGGACTGCACGCAAGTTGACCTCTGTTGGGGAAAGCTCTGGGGGTACAGTGCTGAGAACCTCTCCTGGGAGTCAGATGTTTTTTGAATTATCTTTCTGTTTGAAGAAGAATCTGCCTTCCATTCATTCATTCAGGGCTCTTTTGAGTAGCCCATGTTTCAAATGAGCCAGGAGGGACCAGACATGTGATTATAAAAATACATTGAAATTGCCAAGGTGGAGTCTACAGCAGTGGTCCCCAACCATTTTGGCACACGAGGGACCGGTTTTGTGGAAGACCATTTTTCCACAGACCAGGAGTGGAGAGGGGAGGATGGTTTCGGGAAGATTCGAGCACATTACATTTATTGGACACATTATTTCTATTATTATTATATTGTAATATATAATGAAATAATTATACAACTCACCAAAATGTAGAATCAGTGGGAGCCCTGAGCTTGTTTTCCTGCAACTAGATGGTCCCATCTGGGGGTGATGGGAGACAGTGAGAGATCAGAAGGCATTAGAGTCTTATAAAGAGAGAACGAATTAGATCCCTCCCATACGCAGTTCACAATAGGGTTTGTGCTCCTATGAAAATCTAATGCTGCGGCTGATCTGACAGGAGGCCACGCTCAGGCGGTAATGTGAGTGATGGGGAGCGACTGTAACTACAGATGAAGCTTCACCTGCTGGCCTGCTGCTCGCTTCCCTCTGTGTGGCCCTGGTTCCAGAGATTCCTGGTCTACAGGAACTCGTCTCTCTTAGGTCTTTTTTCTTGAAGAGGGATTTGCTTTCCCAAACTTTTTTTTTTTTGAGACAGAGTCTCCTTGCCCAGGCTGGAGTACAGAGGTGCAACCTTGGCTCACTGCAACCTTGACTTGCCAGGTTCAAGTGATCCTCCCACCTCAGCCTCCTGAGTAGCTGGGACTACAGGTGGGCACCACCATGCTGGGCTAATTTTTTGTATTTTTAGTAGAGACAGGGTTTCACCATGTTGCCCAGGCTGGTCTTGAACTCCTGGGTTCAAGTGATCTGCCCACCTCAGCCTCCCAAAGTACTGAGGTTACAGGCATGAGCCACCGTGCCCGACCTTTCTGGAATTTTTTTTTTTTTTTTTTTTTTTTGAGATGGAGTCTCACTCAGTCGCCCACGCTGGAGTGTAGTGGTGCGTTCTTGGCTCGCTGCAAGCTCCGCCTCCTGGGTTCACACCATTCTCCTGCCTCAGCCTCCCGAGTAGCTGGTGCCGCCATCACGCCCGGCTAATTTTTGTTTTTTTTGGTATTTTTAGTAGAGACGGGGTTTCACCATGTTAGCCAGGATGGTCTCGATCTCCTGACCTCGTGATCCACCCGCCTCAGTCTCCCAAAGAGCTGGGATTACAGGTGTGAACCACCGCGTCTGGCCCTTTCTGGAATTCTTGAATCTTTAATAAGATTCTAGGCTATATGTGCCTTTGGTTGAATTCTCCTGAGTTGTTTCTATTTCTCTGAGTTTGCCATTTTTCTTCCTCTATTAAGTATCTGTATTCCAGGGTTTTGTGTAATTCACCAAAGCTTTTATAATAATTTCTAAGAACAATTTTGATCAAAGACCTAAGAAGACAAATAAAATTCTTCAGTAATAGGTATAATTTTCATCAAATGATTGCTTTCCTTTTTTTATTGTTAGGGCTCTATTGCTAAACGTGAAAGGGGAGCTGTCTCATAGATAAAACCCTCTGGTGTTCTGAAGGATGAATGGGAACAGTGGAGGCAATTTATCAGAAGCCTGTTTTTCTCTGCCAGGTCCTCCAGCCCATTTCCCCCAGGTCCATGGAGAGGAAACTCTCATAGGAAACTGACATAAACATAGACATTTCACTTTGGTCCAGCCAATCTACCATTAAGAATATTCAAATCCATTTATGAATGGATCTTGAGAAAGAAAAAATATATTGCTATGTTGGTTATTTTGTAAACGCCCAATGGGTTCACTTTGCTTGCCTAAACAGAGCCAATTTATCAAGACAGGGGAATTACAAAGGAGAAAGAATAGTTCACGCAGTGCCAGCTTTGTGGGAGACAAGAGTTTTATTGTTACTCACATCAGTCTCCCTGAGCATTCAGGGACTGGTGTTTCGAAGGATAATTTGGTGTGTAGGGACTCGAAGTGGGGAGTGCTGATTGGTTGGGTTAAAGATGAAATCATAGGAGGTCAAAGTGAGTTCTTGCTGTCTTCTGTTCCTGGGTGGGATTGCAGAATTGGTTGAGCCAGATTACCGGTCTGGGTGGTGTCAGCTGGTGCGTCGAGTGCAGGGTCTGCAAAATATCTCAAGCACTGATCTTAGGTTTTACAGTAGTGATGTTAGTCCCAGGAGCAATTTGGGGAGGTTCAGACTCTTGGAGCTGGAGGTCGCATGGCCCCTAAACTGTAGTTTCTAATCTTGTAGTTAATATGTTAGTCTTGGGAAAGGGTTATTATCAATTTTGTTTCAGAGTTAAACTATAAACTAAATTTATTCCCAAGGTTAGTTCAGCCTATGCCAAGGAATGAACAAGAACAGCTTGAAGGTTAGAAGCAAGATGGAGTCAGTTAGGTTTGATCTCTTTCACTGTCATAGTTTCCTCAGTTATAATTTTTGCAAAAGCAGTTTCACTTTCTAGTGTCTAATATTTTAGTAAGTCCTTCTCCTTCCTCCCATTTTCCTACCTTTTTGATCCTTTCTCTGTGCTACTTGCCAAAGTGTGCCAATTTCAATTCACTCATTTATTCAACAACTACTCCTTGAGCATCATCATGCACAAGGCACTAGACTAAACACTAAGGATTCATCCGTGAAGAAGACAGACAAAAAAAAATCTTGTCTTTGCGAAGTTTACGTTCTTGTGAGAGGAAGGCAATAAGCAAATAAAAGAGTAAAACATATGAGTCAGATGGTGCCCAGGAGAAAAGTGATGAAGAGAAGGATATATGAAATGCTTCTTCGTATGCTGTTAGGGCAGGGGAGAGAGTTAAGTTTTGGCAACCATGGTCAGGAAAAGCATCATCAAAATGGTGACATTTGATCAAAGACCTAAGAAGACAAGGGAATAAGGTGAACAGATAACCAGTGCGTTGCGATTTTTGGGTAGGGCTCAGTGGTGAATGCTCCTGTCTGCTCCACACGGCATCCACAGAGGCGTGGTGGTGGCAGGTGCCTGTAGTCCCAGCTACTCGGGAGGCTGAGGCAGGAAAATGGCGTGAACCCGGGAGGCGGAGCTTGCAGTGAGCCGAGATCGCGCCACTGCACTCCAGCCTGGGCGACAGAGCGAGACTCCTTCTCAAAAAAAAAAAAAAAAAAAAAAAAAAAAGATGGTCCTAATTTCAACACCTTGTATGTTAAGTCTCTGGATAAGCATTACCACCTTTAACAGTGGTTTATAAGTAAAAATTGTATTTTGCCACAAATCTGCAATTTGGGTAGGGCTCAGTGAGGAATGCTCCTGTCTCCACACAGCACTCAACAGAGGCAGCTGAGCCGAAGGATGGGGGTATGTTTCCAAGATGGCGCCCTCATGTGGCTGGTGAGTTGGTGTTGGCTGTCAGCTTGGGAGTTTGGCTGGGGGCCTCAGTTCCTCTCCATGTGCAGTGTGCACCTGTATGTGCAGGAATGGAGGAATGGAGTTATCATTTACTGAGAAGTGAAAGGCTAAAGGAGGAGCAAGACATCTGGAGTCAGATGTTGGACACATTAAGCGTGAGATGTCTGCTAAATATTCAGCAGGCAACTGGGAACCTGGAGTTCAGAATGGAAATTATAAAAAGAAATTGCCCTACCAAGGGAATTAACATCCTTGTCTTTCATTACTAGTTAATTATGCTGAGCTGACCAAGACAGGAAATGGCCATTACCCATACTTATCCCTAATAGAATGTGTATATTTATCCAAATGTGGTAGTTTTAAAACAAGTTCTTTGACATTCTTCCCATCAAGAGATGGAATCTATGTCCCCTTTCCTTGACCTAGGCAGGCATTTGTGGTTGCCTTGGAACCAACTGGGTATGACAGAAGTAATGTTATGGAACTTTTGAGGGTGAGGCATAAAAGGCAATACAGTTTCTGCCTCTCTCTTTGGGATGTTCATCCTTGAAACCCAGCCACCATGCTCTGAGAAAGCCAGGGCCACATGGAGGTGCACATTGCTTGTGGAGAGGAACTGAGGACCCCAGCCGAACTCCCAAGCTGACAGCCAACACCAACTCACCAGCCACATGAGGGCGCCATCTTGGAAACACATTCCTCATCCTTCAGTTCAGCTGCCTCTGTGAGTGCTGTGTGGAGACAGGAGCGTTCCTCACTGAGCCCTACTCAAATTGCAGATCTGTGGCAAAATACAATTTGTACTGTATAAACCGCTGTTAAAGGTGGTAATGCTTATCCAGAGACCTAACATACAAGGTGTTGAAATTAGGACCATCTTTTTTTTGTTTTTGAGAGGGAGTCTTGCTCTGTCGCCTAGGCTGGAGTACAGTGGCGCGATCTCGGCTCACTGCAAGCTCCGCCTCCCGGGTTCACGCCATTTTCCTGTCTCAGCTTCCCGAGTAGCTGGGACTACAGGCGCCCGCCACCACGCCAGGCTATTTTTTAAATTATTTTTAGTAGAGACGGGGTTTCACCGTGTTAGCCAGGATGGTCTCGATCTTCTGACCTCGTGATCTGCCCGCCTCGGCCTCCCAAAGTGCTGAGATTGCAGGCGTGAGCCACCGCGCCCGGCCAGGATCATCTTCTAAAAAATTTTTTTTTAGCCATTGTATTGCTAGTGCCTGGCATTGTCTGAGTATATGCAGTAGGCACGCAATAGCTGTTTTAAATGAATGAACCAAGATGAAACATCTGTGACCATCTTACAAATGGAAGGAGGGAAGGTTGAAAACACTGAGAAAGTCTCCTAGTTTGGAGGAATAGAGTTCAGCTCAGGAAGAACGTAGTTCAGGGTAATTTTTTTTTTTTTTTTTTTTTAAGACAGAGTCTTGCTCTGTTGCCCAGGCTGGAGTGCAGTGGCATGATCTCGGTTCACTGCAACCTCCGCCTCCTGGATTCAAGCGATTCTCATGCCTCAGGCTCCAGAGTAGCTGGACTTACAGGCACATGCCACCAAGCCCGAGTATTTTTTGTGTTTTTAGTAGACACAGGGTTTCCCCATGTTGGCCAGGCTGATCTTGAACTAACCTCAAGTGATCCACTCGCCTTGGCCTCCTAAAGTGCTGGGGTTACAGGCATGAGCCACCGCACCCGGCCAGGGTAGTTAAAAATTGTATGCTCTGAATGTGTAAAACAGGTTGTCCAAGAAATCTTATGGACAATAAAAGTCATTTACTTTGGAAATTATTCTAAAACATTTTGAAATAGAGCAATGTTAGAAATGAGATGCTGCCTCTGCTAGTTGCCTCAGAGCTGGTTAGTTAGCAGAGGATAGATTTTCTCGGTTTAATAGCCATAAAGGATCTTCATATTCTGATTTGATCTGCAAATGTATTCAACAAAGTGACTGCATGATGAAAGCAAGAAAATTATATAAATAATTTCCACTCCAATTTTTCGTATATGCCCAAAGTCATACCAGTGTAGAGCCTTAACATGTTTGTATGTAGGGGACAGGGAACAGAAGCGTATTAATAGACACAGGGCCATTCAAGGATCCTCTACAAGACAGTCATTCCTGATTGACTAGCCTAAATCAGAAAATGGTGTGTATGGTTAGGCCAAAATTAGTCTCTTCTTTTTTTTTTTTTTTTTGAGACAGGTCTGGCTCTGTCACCTAGGCTGGAGTGCAGTGGCACAATTTCGTCTCACTGCAGCCTCGACCTCCCGGGTTCAAGTGATTCTCCTGCCTCAGCCTACCGAGTAGCTAGGAATCACAGGTGCGTACCACCACGTCCGGCTAAATTTTTGTATTTTTAGTAGAGACAGGGTTTCACCATTTTGCCCAGGTTGGTCTCGAACTCTTGACCTCAAGAGATTCACCCGCCTCGGCCTCTCACAGTGCTGGGATTACAGGTGTGAGCCACTGTACCTTGCCTACATCCTGTATTTTCTAAAACATGCATTGCATTTATAATCATAGTGCATATTTTAAAGCAAAGACAGGAATCTGGGTCTCTTAACTCAGGAAAAGATTTAGGTTTAAGTTATTGCTTTGCATATATGAATTATAATAAATACTTTTCATGTGGCTGATGTTAGACAGTGTAGAGAAGAGAAGCAAGAGCAGAAACTCAGGGTCCACCAGCATCCAAAGCAGTGATTTTTATGATCCTTCACAGCTTAATCATGGGTGTGTGTGTGTGCTTGTTGAAAATGCAGAGTCCTGGGTCTCCAGAGATGATCTCAGTAGGCCCAGAATGGGATCTGGAAAACTGCAATGTTTGGCCAGGCTCATAGGTGATTCTGATGTAGGTGAATTCTTTGAGAAACAGAGATGTGAAGGACAGTGCTTCTCTTACCTACAGGACTCAGGTAGGAGAAAAATGAGACAGTCATGGCTGGGAAGCCAAGGGACTTTTGGGAAAATATATGTAAAATGTACTAAAAGCACATTATGATGATATAACAAGATGTTCTCCACCACAGCTGTGTATTAGAATCATCTGGGGCACTTTAAAAATATACCAGTGTGCAGATTTCCTCATAATGGTGGTAAATGTCCCTCTTTCAGCATGACTAAGAGATAAGAGAAGCTGCAATTTTCCAATTATCTGTGCATAGAAGAAAAAAAAATCCAACAGAGTGCCCACTGTGGGCCTGCAGCAAGCAGCCACCACAAACCTATGGGTGCAGAAATCAGGGGAGAGGAGTCTCAAGAGATTGGGGAAAAGGGTGGAGGGAAGCAGAGAACTTAGAGAAAAAACAGACAAAGCCACTCCCAAAAGATAAAGTGAAACAATATTTACAAAGAGAATGAACAAGGCCGGGCATGGTGGCTCACGCCTGTAATTCCAGCACTTTGGGAGGCCGAGGTGGGTGGATCATCTGAGGTCAGGAGTTCGAGACCTCCTGGCCAACATGGTGAAACCTCGTCTCTACTAAAGCTACAAACATTAGCCGGGTATGGTGGCGTGCGTCTGTAATCCCAGCTACTCAGGAGGCTGAGGCAGGAGAATTGCTTGAACCCAGGAGGTAGAGGTTTCAGTGAGCCAAGATTGCACCATTGCACTCCAGCCTCGGCAACAAGAGTGAAACTCGGTCTCAAAAAAAAAAAAAAAAAAAAAAAACCAAAAAAAACGAGCAATGATGGGCACTTGGCAGTTCAGAGCCCAGGCTCCGGAGTGGGGCCTGACAGTGTGCAGACCAGACATGGAGAATCCATGCTTGTTGGGGAGAATCAGACACAGGGAGAGGAGTGGTGCTTCTGGGAGACAGGCACAGCAGAAGAGGAGACAGAACAAAATTAAGCATCCTGCAGAAAATAGGAGACACAACAACTCTTCTATCTTTCCTGTCAACATCAGCCACAGAAGCAACTGCACAGAACATTGTTGAACTGAGGGAAGAAGCTGCTCCTAACTAGGTCTCCTGCCCACAGAATGAACAGGAAGAGGAAGGAGTGGACCAACTTCTATAGAGAACAACTGCCAAAGTCAGAAGTTGCAAATCAAAGTTTTTCTGCTGGTGATGTCTCCTCGATATAACCATGAACTTGATGAAAATTCTAAGACAACACTCAATATTTATGAAATATTCTCCAACCTGCATCTGGGAACATGGAAAATATCAATATGTTGAATCGGAAATATAAAAACTAGGTAGAGAAATCAACAAAAAATAGGAGAAAATGAAGCCAGAGCTGATTAAATTCAGGAAAAAAAATAGAAGAAAATCACAAAACTTTATCAGTAATAAAGAACAGATTACAAGGTGCCCCGAAGAGAATGGGTTCAAATAAAAACTTAATAAAGGGTATTGAATAAAAGAAGGATAGCCAAGAGAATGAAAAGGAGATAAAATAAAAAGGACCAGAGAAGATAGTTGAAATGGAAGCCAGACAAAGGAGGTTGCATATTTGTATTATTGGTGTTCCTGAAGAAAAGAAAAACAATATAACAGAATATTTAAAACTCTAATCCAAGAAAAAGTTCCAGAAATAAAAGAACTGAGTCAACTCTACACTGAAAGGGCCCAGTGTGGTATATAGGAAAACTGACCACAAATAATTCTGAGATAGCTCGGAAAATTATTAGACTTATAAAAAAAAAATCCTCAAGGCTTCCAGGCCCAAAAAATATTTACAAAGAGAATTAAAGATTGGCCTCAGATTTCTCAAAAATAACATGCAAACCAAGAAAACACTGGAACACCATTTTCAAGAAACCTAAGGAAAAACAAGCTGCTCTTCAAGTTTCAAGGTCACAGAAAATCAGTTTCAAACTCACCAGAATTCCAGGAATACAGTACACGTGCTCTTGCTGAGCAATTTACTGGAGGGTGAGTTTCACCCAACCAGAATATTTCTGGGAACAAAAGGACCAACAGAGATCATTTCACATATTTGACTGTAGAGCTGAGAATAATGTAAGAGTTCGTTCATGGGTTAATGAAAAACATGGATATGTAAACATTATATACTGATAAAGTAGAACAAATACAACTAAAAAGGTGGGAGAAGGGAGAGAAAAGGGGAAAAGTAGAGTAACACCATTGACTGACATATAGGTAATAGGTGGGAATCAGTATCATCTAGAAAAGACAGATAGTAACAGGTTAAGAAAGAAAAAAGGGGCCGGGCGCAGTGGCTCATGCCTGTAATCCCAGCACTTTGGGAGGCCACGGCAGGTGGATCATGAGGTCGGGAGATCGAGACCATCCTGGCTAACATGGTGAAACCCCGTCTCTACTAAAAATACAAAAAAATTAGCTGGGCGTGGTGGTGGGTGCCTGTAGTCCCAGTTACTTGGGAGGCTGAGGCACGAGAATGGTGTGAACCCGGGAGGCAGAGCTTACAGTGAGCCGAGATTGCGCCACTGCACTCCAGCCTGGGCGACAGAGCCAGACTTCCGTCTTAAAAAAAAAAAAAAAAAAAAAAAAAAGGGAGTAAGAGCACTACAGAAGATTAGTATAAAAGCAACCCATTAGAATAAAGATACAAGACCCAGCGCGGTGGCTCACACCTGTAATTCCAGCACTTTGGGAGGCTGAGGCAGGTGGATCACCTGAGGTCAGGAGTTTGAGACCAGCCTGGCCAACATGGTGAAACCCCGTCTCTACTAAAAATAAAAAAGTAGTTGGGTGTGGTGGCACGTGCCTGTAGTCCCAGCTACTCGGGAGAATCGCTTGAATCCGGGAGGTGGAGGTTGCAGTGAGCCGAGATCACACCAGTGCACTGCAGCCTGGGCGACAGAGTGAGACCCCGTCTCTAAATAAATAAATAAATAAATAAATAAATAAATAAATAAAAGACACAAAATTCATAAGCCAAAAGAAAACGCAAGAGGATAGACACAGTAAATATAATACATTCAGCAATTACAATCTAAAATATGACAGAATTGACATCAAACATGGTAGTTATATCAAAACTAGATCGGCTTAATTTGCCTATTAAAAAAGATTATTTTCGGATTGGCTCGTATAGCAAAAACTCAACTGTGTGCTGCACACAAGATACACACCGAAAATGCAGCAATTGAAATAGCTAAAAATAAAGGAATGAACGAAAATTTACCAGACAAATGGAAACAGTAAGACAGCAGGCATTGCAATCCCGATACAGAAGTAGAGACTTCAAGCCCCAAACAGAACACAAAAGAAATATAGAGCTATAAAATGGCCCTTGGGCATATGAAAGAATAGCCCAATTATTCATAAGATAAATACAACTTAAAATTGTACTGAGATTGTACTCTTCCTGACCCATCATATTAGCCACAGCAAAGTCTCCCCAAATCTCATTAATCTTTTTTGCGCAGCAGCTACTCCTATAATTCTATTTGGCAGCACTTCAGTTTTGTATAAATTACCTATTGATTAATCCCCAGACCATTGGGAGAATACTATCAATATACCTCAATTTAAGAATCAAGATTATAAGGCATTATCTTTTCATAATTATATATGTATGTATATATACATTTGGCTAGACATTTTTTTCATTAGCTTTAAAATTGTCAGAGGCGTCTGAACCAGAGCAACTCCATTTTGAATAGGGGCTGGGTAAAATAAGGCTGGGACCTACTGGGCTGCATTCCCAGAGGGTTAAGTCATTCTAAGTCACAGGATGAGATTGTAGGTCTGCATAAGATACAGGTCATAAAGACCTTGCTCATAAAACAAGTTGCAGTAAAGAAGCCGGTCAAAACCCACCAAAACCAAGATAGCAATGAGAGTGACCTCTGGTTGTCCTCACTGCTACACTCCCACTAGAGCCATGACGGTTTACAAATGCCATGGCAACATCAGGAAGTTACCCTATATGGTCTACCAAGGGGAGGCATGAATAATTCAGCCCTTGTTTAGTAAATAATTAAGAAATAACAATAAAATGGGCAACCAGCAGCCCTTAGGTTCACTCTGCCTATGGAGCAACCACTCTTTATTTTCCTACTTTCTTTAAAACTTCATTTCCTTTTCCTCTATGGACCCGCCTTGAATTCTTTCTTGCATGAGATCCAAGAACCCTGTCTTGGGGTCTGGATTGGGACCCCTTTCTGGTAACAAAATGATCAAAGTTAAAGCTGTAGTTACTGTAACTGAGTTGGCCTTGGAATGCCATCCCATATAGTGCCATGTTTGAGAGCTGGTTTTCATTTCATTGGTGGCATTAGAAATGTACTATTATATTAGGGTTAATTCGCCCTGCTACCCCAACTAGCTAGCTACCTCCCCTTGGGCCAGGCAAAATGGAACAGTAGCTTGTACATATGAATTGTTAACATGTACATATCTTCATACAGCAGTCATGTCTAACTGTCCCTAACAGGGCAAGGGAGATGACCGGTCATTTTTTCTCATGAAAACAAGATACACTCAGGTGAGTTTTGAGTTTGTTCACCATGCAGAATGTGACGAGATAAGTTTAATTTTCTAGCTTAGTGTTTTTAGCTTAAAATGTTGCAATCTAAAGCTAAAATGTTCACCTGAGGCCAAGGACAACACAGCAAAAACAACAGGGCCAATGTGTCCTCAGACCTTTGGAATCGCAGTCAGATATCACTATGAACTGAGTGTTTGTGTTTCCCCCAAATCCCTATGTTGAAACCCTAATCCCCAATAATGGGATGTGGAGGTGGGACCTTTGGGAGGCAGTTAGGATTAGATTAGGTCATGAGGGCAGAGCCTCACGATGGGACTAGTGTTGAAGGGAAATGAAGAGACCATCTTATTCTTCACCATGTGAGGATGTGACCAAGTATCCTCATTTTTCTAAGAAAAAGAGAATGAGTTACTATTTTTTTCTCTTCTTTTCTCCATTTTCCAGTTTCCCATGTCCTACTTAGCCCTTTAGAAATGCAATTATAATTGTTTACCTCTCCTTCACGAGACACTCCCTACAGGGCAAGGCTGTCTAACATGTGTTTCAAAGCTCCAGTGAAACTCTCCCTCACCAGGAGACTGCTCAGGAGACAACAGTCAATTTACAACCCAAATTATGCCCGCTACAAAACTCTCCCCCACCTGGAGACTTTCGGACACCTTTGTAATCGAATTCTGTCCACAAAGACGTCAACTCAACCGCCTGGTAGATAAGGCACCACAACGAGTACAGGGACCTCCACCTGCTCACTGCCTTCCCTGCATGTCATTCGTGCCAGGCCCTCCTTTTATTTATTTATTTATTTATTTATTTATTTATTGAGACGGAGTCTCGTCTGTCTCCCAGGCTGGAGTGCAGTGAGCCGAGATTGTGCCACTGCACTCCAGCCTGGGTGACAGAGCGAGACTCTCAAAAAACATAAATAAAATAAATAAATATCCTACACTGGTCAGGACAACTCCCTTCAACAAGGAATTATTCCCTGCAAAATGTTAGTAGCGTTCAGGATGAGAAACCATGCTTTACAGATAATCAGCTGTCTTAATTTTTATTTCCCTGGAACTTTTCCCTTTGTCTCTCATTTGGGACAAACTTGAGGGCCAAAATATGGCAGCAAAATGTTTTAGATCAAGTAAAGACTGTAAATTAGGTCTATGAAATATTTTCCCAGCACTGGGAGACACATGTTGGCCCCAACTTCCTACTCAGACTTGCAATTAAGACACAACAGGTGTGGGTACCCAACATGCGAAGACTTCTCACTGGTCTGTACGTCAGTAAATGGTCAAGATTGTTACTATGGAATCATTCACACCAGCACAATGGTGCTCCTCCAAGAATGTATTTATTTACATGAAAACACCATTTTATACAAATTGAAGACACATCTTAAAAGAAGGGTTTGTCCAGGCATGCCTTCCTCATCCCCTTATATTGCCACTTCCATTTTCATCTTCTTTTGTATCATAAATGAAACTTCAGACTGGTTAAAGAAAATTGAATCTGCCTCTTCTCCCCACCCAAAATTACTTCGATTATTTAATGTCTGTAGTCATCCTTCAAAGAAAAGTCTTGCCCGGGGTTATTTTATTTAATTTATTTATGTAATACAGTGTAGAAAGCGATCATGTCATAAGCAATGATTCTGTACAATCATCCTGCAGAAAATTGTTTTGGAGAATTCTTGGTAATTGAAGACCAGCAGAGCACCCCTCCCCACCCGCCCCGTAAAAGTGCTTACAATGAACAGGGATTCTTTTCTTTATCAAAGACCCAAAGATACGTGGACAAAAAAAGAAAAGCTTGAAGTCTCAATGCCTAATGTGTGCACATAAAACAGGCACGAAGAAACAAACGTGTGTATCCTCTTAATTCCTATATCACAAATATAGCAGAAGCAGCAATCTGTACAGTAAAATGCAGTCATGGAAAAAAAATCTCTCTAAAGCATCTGAAATACTTAAAAATGTTTAACTTTAAAATGCATAGTGATCAGGAAAGGAATACTTAGGCAAGAGAAGCAGCTGAACTCCCACGTTCACATGAAGCATCCCCCATCGATTCTTAAAGCATATGTAAAGTAGGACTTAATTGGGTCACAAACCACAAGAATAATATACAACTGGCTAAGGGGCTATGTGATAAATAATCAGGAGAGAATCTATTCATGCACTAGTTTGATACAGCTAAATTCTTTACAGTACACAAAACCCATTAATAATGTAGTATAGAGACCAAAATGTAAAGAGAGATAGAATACATTACTGATGTGTGGATTAATTCAAGTTCAGGCATCTACTTGTGTTACAGCACAGCTGTCAAAAGGCGATAATGAGTAAATCATAAAACGGGTTTGTTTCTTCCCACATTATTCTATAAATGGACACCGATGGGTAGTGAAGCAATGGTTTTGCTGTCCAACTTCAGAGGCTGCTGTGGCGGGGGTCTAGTTCTGCATCTGCTCAAAGAACTTGTAGGTTGGATTTTCGTAGCCGTTCTGCTGCATCTTGGACAGGTGGCGCTCCTCTGGGGTGACAGCGGCGTCAACCTGAAAAACAAGAGGAGAGCTGAGTAAAAAATAAAAATCAATCTTTTAAGGGTGAACATGGAGAAGCAGTAAAAAGATAAGGAGTACAGTACTCTTCTTTTGCCAAGATTGCAGAACACCCATAATTTTCTCCCCCACTTTGACATCTTGGAGCAGAACGCCTTTGCCCACCAGTTACACAGATGCTGTGCTCCATCTAGCCACCAGGTGGCGGTGGAAACCTTGACGCGCTTGCAACGTGTCCAGTGGTTGTTTCTGGTTCCCCAACTCCACAGTAAGTGGATAAACCCAGTGCAATGGTATTTTTTCCTCCCCTGTTGGGTCCATAAAGGACAAACAGAGTCAACGGAAGCCTGTTTTACGTGGAAGTGTTTTGGTAAAATAGATAAAACCACAAGAGTATCATGGAGGGAGATTCAGCAAAGTATACTGTATCTTGGGTGACACTCAAATCTGTGTAGAAAAATACTCGATTTCCTGGACTGCTGAATTTAGTCTAGCCCATTTCTATCAAATTTTATGTTTGTTAAAATGTTAAGGAGAGGTTTGAGAATCAATTAAAACAATAACATATACCAAAGGGGGCTATTATTTGGCACAAGAAAAAAGGAAGAGCAAGGACGACGCCATTCTAGATGATGTAATTTTTTAAAAACTGAGAATTAAGATACTATAGAAGTATGTTCAGCTCAAAGTTTAAAATCAGACCCTCTCTGTTAATATGTTGCTTTACCTCTAAGGTCAGGCCAGTAACTGAAGACGTTTTTCTCCCCCTGTCACTGTTAGAGCTGTGTGTGGCATTTACTGTCTGCAGGTTGGGCAGGGTACTTACCCCTACAACGTGGGCAGTGGCTGTTCTTGTTTTACTATATTTGTTATACCTCTCCCCGTTCGCAGAAGAGAGGAGGTCCTTAACTCTGCTGAATGAGTATGTTAAAATTCCTCTTTTGTAAAACCATGGTAAGATGAAGAGAATAAATAGAAAGTCATCAGAATGAAGAGGCATGTTTTCCAGAGAAAAGTTTGGATGTACCATAGAGAAGATATTCCTTCAAAGGGATATTTCCTAGAATGGGCTGCTCATTCATCTCTGGGAGAATACTGCAGGCCCATTCCCCCTTGTTGAGTGTTGCCAAGTGACATTCCTCCCTTATGCAGCTTTTCCCCCTACACACCCCATCTGGCATGGATCTGAGCCTACACAGCAATGCCCCTGAAGCCAAGGAAGAAAAAGTACCAGCGAGGATGTAGTGTCAGCAGTAAGACATGAGGTCTCGAGATGGAGCTAGATATGTCATGACTAGACCACACTGGCTGATAACAATTCAGACTAAAAGATCTGTCAATATGGCCGGGTGCAGTGGCTCACTCCTGTAATCCCAGCACTTTGGGAGCCTGAGGTGGGTGCGTCACTTGAGGTCAGGAGTTTGAGACCAGCCTGGCCAACATGGTGAAACCTTGTCTCTACTAAAAATACAAAAATTAGCCAGGCGTGGTGGTGCACGCCTGTAATCCCAGCTGCTCCACAGGCGGAGGCAGGAGAATGGCTTGAACTTGGGGGGTGGAGTTTGCAGTGAGCCAAGATTGTGCCACTGCACTCCAGCCTGGGAGACAGAGTGAGACTCCATCTCCAAGAAAAAAAAGGCCAGGTGAGGTGGCTCAAAATCCCAGCCCTTTTGGGAGGCCAAGGCGGGTGGATCACGAGGTCGGGAGTTTGAGACACGCCTGGCCAACATAGTGAAACCCCATCTTTAACAAAAATACAAAAAAATTTAGCCAGGCACAGTAGCACGTGCCTGTAGTCCCAGCTACTCCAGAGGCTGAGGCAGAAGAACTGCTTGAACCCAGGAGGCTGAGGCTGCAGTGAGCCAAGATCGTGCCACTGCACTCCGGCCTGGGCAACAGAGGGAGACTCTGTCTCAAAAAAAGTAAATAAATAAAAATAAATCTGTCAGTATAATCAGGTCCCCTGTGGTCCCTTCGGATAGCCCCACTTCATGAAGTGATTGACTCTTTTCAGTCTGGGAGTGAGGTGGAATGACTACCAGTGGCTAATCCCAAGGCAGCTGGAATAGGTAGATATACAGCTCCCTCATCCCTTGGGACAGAATGTTCCATCCATTATGTGCCCATTTTTTTTGAGTTGGAGTCTTGCTCTTGTTGCCCAGGCAATCTCGGCTCACTGCAACCTCTGCCTCCCAGGTTCAAGTGATTCTCCTGCCTCAGCCTCCCGAGTAGCTGGGATTACAGGCACCCGCCACTACGCCTGGCTAATTTTTGTATTTTTAGTAGAGATGGGGTTTCACCATGTTGGCCATGCTGGTCTCAAACTGACCTCAGGTGATCCGCCTACCTCGGCCTCCTAAAGTAGCACTAGGACTACAGGCATGAGCCGCCATGGCCATGTGCCCCGATTCTTACGTTTCCATTTATGGAAGAGACTGTGCGCCACTGTGAATCCCTCCCATCTACCACCCTGTGGCTCAGAGCTGCCTGAGTTCCCCTGCATCCAAACCCTCAGCTTACTCCAATGACAGACCTAGGCATCTCCCCTTAGCACACTCCCACCAACAAGCTCTGACCAAGGCCAGTACTCAGAGGACTCTGCTCAAATGGATGCTCAGCTTCACTGTCCTTCTGGGAGCAAATCACAGATATTTTCCTTATCCTCTCCTCTTTCCTTTGCTGTGCACTGTTGTCAACAAATGAGGTCACCTGGCTTTAACTGGTAACTGTGTAATTAGCCTCCAACTTGTAAGTTAAAAACCATGGTTAAAGATTAGCACCAATAATGAGAGATTTCATTCACTCTGTAAATCTGTGTGCCAGGAGACAGCCTATCTGCAGCAGTACGCCATTTGAACTTGGGCATCATTTTTGCTCCCCATCACCTCGAAACTGAGAACTCAAAGAATGCCCAGGTTAAAAAAAATTATCTTGCTTAGGAGATCAAGCACAAAGCTGCTATGTTTCTGATTGTAGAAAAAAGCCACAATGCTGCTTGATTGTTGGAATATTATACTTTTATTTCTTCCAGGAGGCACATCTACCATCACACTGGCTGTCAACAATCATTTGCATGCATCAAGGGCAGGGGAACACCTGGCAATTTGATAGGTTTATCTCCTCTTCAAACTCCAAAGCCTAACGCTTAAGAGTGCCCTGCTAGAGATGCGAGGCTCCAAGGCTGGTGCACAATCCAGACCTCTAACTCTCCTGTCTTTTCTTGGCTTCTGTTTTGCTACTTGATAATCCTATTACCTTTTGCCACTGAGAGGACAGCTACATTTTGCCATTCCTGCCATGGGGCAGCTTGGCCCTCAGACCTTAGAGGGCTTAGGAGCTACAGAAGAAGGGATTATCTTGACAAAAGGGCATCCAAGGAGTATGGATTGGATCTTTAATCTCCAGCCCCTTGAAAGCTAGATGCGAAAATCTGAGTACTCATGTCTATGGATAAAGGAGGAGCACCAAGTAAGGGTAGCCTTCCTCTCCAGCAGGCTCACCAATCTCTTCCTCATGGCTAAGCTACAGCAGTGGCATGGGCCACCATGTGAAGGCCAGCCCTACCACGACCCTGTGCAGACAGGGCCTCTGCACAGACACAATATTATTTCCCTTAAAGCAGAGCCAGGGAGGGTTTGAGCCCATGGTGCTTGTTCTGGAAGGAATGATAAGACAATGAAGTCAGAATTTCCATTTTCCAACTGGGCAGGAACATCTGTCACTTGCTGGGATGAAGACACACATACATACAACCACTGAATATTCATTCTCTTCCCAGACTGCCTGGATTACACAGCAGCAGGAAATGATCTGAGGTCTTCATGTGACTCTCGGTACGCTGCACCTTCCTGAGACCTGGACCCCTGCACTGCATGGTGGCATGGCTTCAACTGGCTGCTGCCTATGACACACGCTGAAAAGAGCTGAGCCCAAATAGCCTGACCAGCCTTGTTCTAAAATAGCTTTGAGGAGAACGTTTGACACTCTTTGGCTAACCTCCATACCCCCTGACCCTTTTCTCCCTGAACTTGATTCATTGGAACCATTTAGTCCTTCACTGTATCCAGAGTAATTTAGAGCTCAGCTATCCGCCTGCAGGGACAAGATTCTATTTGGGTGACCTTAGTTTCTAGGTCTCCTCCTATTGCCCCTAGAGTATTTACATGCGGGTGTGTGAGCTTGGAGGAGAGGCAGGAAACACCACGTTTACATTTTATTATGTACAGTAACCAGCAGGATGTGGATTAATAGATGTCCTTTTATACAAGGGACTGAGTCAGGCCAAACGACAGAATCCTGTCATTGAGATGGACCAGACGAGTAAAGGAGGGTAAGGGAACTAAGGCGAACAATACAACAATAGTGTGACACATCAAAGGAGCCACAAGTCTGCGGAAAAAAAAAATAAAAGCAAAGAAAATAGGAAGTTTTCAAGCTAGTGACTTATCCCTCGTAACCTCCCAGTAACTGCCTGCTACCTAGTTGTATAGATGCTTGTTTTCCTAATTTTGATGCCATCTCTCTATAGTTATATATAACTAGAAGGCAGTTGACTATGTTTATGGCCAACATCAAGCAATTCTTCAGGCAGGTTCAGGAACTCCTTTGCTATCCCTTCATAATTTTTTTTTTTTTTAAGACAGTCTTGCTCTGTCACCCAGGCTGGAGTGCAGTGGCGTGATTTTGGCTCACTGCAGCCTCCATCTCCTGGGTTCAAGCGATTCTCCTGCCTCAGCCTCCTGAGTAGCTGCGACTACAGGCGCATGCCACCACGCCTGGCTAATTTTTTGTATTTTTATTAGAGACAGGGTCTCACCATGTTGGCCAGGCTGGACTCGAACTCCTAGCCTCAAGTGATCCACCTGCCTTGGCCTCCCCAAATGCTGGGATTACAGGTGTGAGCCACCACGCCTGGCCTGTGATCATTTTTGATGCTTTCCTTTGATCTTCCAATTTCTCTTCCTGCTGCTCACTGTAAGCCACTCCTAGGTTCTGCACCCCCCCTCACTTTTCCTTATCGTGGCTTTCCATTCAACCTGACCACTCTCTCCAACTACTCTACAATGCCAACGTCAGTGCGTCTGTATCCTGGTGGGTCAGCTTCTGGCCGGGAAGAAAGGACCTCTAAGGACATCTTTTTATACAGTCACCAGTGTGACAGCATATTACTTAGAAAAAGTCATATGCCATACCTCCATAAAAGCCAAATAAAAGGAACTCTCTTCTTATTTAGATCATTAATGAGATAACCAGGAGGTGGGGGCGGGGAGACTTCTGGTGTTCAAGTGATCAGATCTGTGAGAGGAAAACTTTTTCACATCCTATAATAAAGAGAAGCTGTGCCCCCAACTTCTCCTTATTAAAGGTGACATGTCTGGGGAGAGTAGCAGAAAGAGCTACAATACGTATTTTTAAATATCCAGTGTCTATGTATGTGAATGTAGAAAAGTACCGCTTGCTACTAAACAGATCCTGGGATTAGTGGGCTTTGCAGGAACGTCCTAAAACAGGAGCAAGGTGGTTAATTCAGCTAGTGCTGAGATTTCCAGCCACCAGAGGGCTATTCTGACATGGAGGGCACATTTGGGGAGTGGTAATAATAAAGGGCTATTGCTTCACTGCTTGAAGCACCAATAAGGCACAGTTACCTCCTTGGGAAAGCGTGGCCAATGGCTCACAGAGTGACTCTCTGGCCTTATGGCTAAGTAAATTCAGTAAGTCAATATTTCCTGCTTATTTGAAAAAAAAAAAAAAAAAAAAAAACAACAACTAGCAAGTGCTCATTTCCAAATGCTAACAACTCTACCAATAAAAATACAGTTATGGGCCACATAATGACATTTTAGTCCACGACAGACCAAACATATGATGGTGGCCCCATAATACCGTATTTTTTACTGTACCTTTTCTAGTTTGTTTAGATACGCAAATCCCTGCCAGTGTGTTACAACTGTCTATAGTATTCAGTGCAGCAATATGCTGCACAGGTGTGGAGCCTAGGAGCAATAGTTGTAGGTGTGTAGCCCAGGTGTGTAGCAGGCTATACCATCTAGATTTATGTACATGTACTTTATGATGTTTGCACAGCGATCAAACCGCCCCATGCCACATTTCTCAGAACGTTCTCTCCAGTGTGAAGTGGTATGTGACTGTTCTAGGCTTGTTTCATTTATACATTTGTTCTCAGGAGTTTTTTTCCTAGGGTTCCTATCTCTGTGATCTTCTGCGGGCATTTTTCACTCTAAAAACAAAAAATCTCCTGGAAACCAAAGCTTTCATCATGACTTCTTCAGGCACGATGGTATGTAAGTACAATGGTATTCTGTCCTGAGTGACTGAGGTGAGTCCAACTGGAAATATTGATGTACTCATTTTTGTTCTTACTGAAGTAGGGTTACTGATTAATGAAGGTTAGCCAGAGCCGGAAATAAAGGTATTTCCATGTACTTGAGGGTGAGAGTGCCTGTTAAGGTAGGAAGAGGATGTTGCAGAAGCATCACTTCTGTGGGTGCAGACGCTGGAATGCTAAGAAAAATGGTGCTCTGAAAGCCCACCGTGCTCTCTCACCTGGGAACATGCCTAGGCTGGGTTGCAACTCCCTGTGTTCAGGTTCTACCATCCCAGCTAAACTACATCTTTTTTGAGGACAGAAAAGCGGAATGTGGTCTATTTCAACATTGCTGTACAGACACACTATGGGGCTGCACAGAGGGCTGCTTTCAGGAAGGACAGTCACAAAGGTCTTGAGGGGAAGGAGCTGAGAGGAAATAAACAAAACAAACACGAATGAGGTGGAGCCCCTCATCTAGAAAGGCTTCCAGTTGCTCTCCAGTAGACAGCAAAATGAGGAGAGAAGAGCTGAACAGCCATCCTTCCCGATTTTGCTCCTGCAAGGATACCTCCTGGCTTAAAAATTAATGTCAGAATCTGGGTCAAAGTGTCAACTTCTCCTCTGACATTTTAAGTCCAATGAGACACTGCTTGGTAAACTGACTAAAAAAAGAGCGTTTTAATTCAGGCAGCTGGAAGAGCACTTAAAAGGCAACCGGTTATCTGGGAGGTGAGAGATACCATTTTCCACTCCCTGAGGCTTGCGCGGAGAACTAAAAGGAAGGAGTGTTAAAATGATGTGTCAGGGATTCTCAAATCCGACTGCACATCTCATTCATTTGGGGAAATTTTCAACACTCAGATTCGCAGCCTCCTATTTGGGGATTCTTTTTCCTTAGGTCTGAGGTAGGACCTGGTCTCACGCACAGCCAGGGGAAGGAGCTCCAGGTGGAGGCCTTGCTTTTATGCTCAGCATCACTGGGGTCTGTTACGGGCTAAAACGTGTCCCCCTAGAATTCATATGTTGAAGTCCTAAGCTGCCAGTACCTCCACCTGTGACTGTATTTGCAGATAGGGTCGAAGAGGTTATTAAAGTTAAACAAGGTCATCAGGGTTGATCCTAATCCACTATGACTGGTGTCCTTGTAGGAAGAGGTTAGGACACAGCAGAAAAACAGAGTGAAGGTCATGTGAAGATACAGGGAGCAGACAGGCATCTGCAAACCAAGGAGAGATGCCTGGGGAGGAACCAACCTGGCTGATACCTTGATCTTACACTCCAGAAATGTGAGAGGGTAAATTTCTGTTGCTTAATCCACCCATCTGTGTTACTTTGTTATGGAAGCCCGAGGAAGCCAAGTCTTTGGCCTCTGGCATCAAAGAAGGCAACTTCAACGGACAGACCGGCAACAAAGAGAATTATATTAAATAAACTAAAAAGTGCTCTTGAAGGCCAGGCATGGTGGCTCATGCCTGTAATCCCAGCACCTTGGGAGGTTGGGGAGGGCGGATCACTTGAGGCCAGGAATTCAAGACCAGCCTGGCCAACATGGCAAAACCCTGTCTCTACTAAAAATACAAAAATTAGCCAGGCGTGGTGGTATGCCCCTGTAATCCCAGTTACTCAGGAGGCTGAGAGTGAGGTAGGAGAATCGCTTGAACCTGGGAGGTGGAGGTTGCAGTGAGCGGAGATCATGCCACTGCACTCCAGCCTGGGTGAAAGAGCAAGACTCCATCTCAAAAAACAAAGAAACAACAACAACAAAAGAAAACAACAAAACCATGAAAAAAACCAAAACAACAACAGCAGCAAAAAAGGGGTCTTGAATTACTCAAGTATGAAGACATCTTTATTTGCTCAAATATGGAATTAAATTTTTTTAAAAATTAATTTGAGCAGAAATGAAATAAGCTGATACTAATGAAAACCTATCTTACACTGTTTTGAGGGACATAAGCTTAGATACTATCACAAAAGGTGCAATGGCCAAACATGACAGTGGGGTCATTGCTTTTATGTGCTCACACTCTGATCTATGGGTCAGTCCGTTCCTTTCCACCCTGCTGCCTGCTGTTCTCTTGGTTTCCTTCCTCACACTGCTCATCCACGTCAGTATGAATGGGGAAATGAGGCTCCACCCCAATTTCCATCAGCAGCTTCTGTTGTAGTCTGCAGAGGTTTTAATTGCTGAGCAAAATGAAATTTCTGGCTTCACCACAAATTTCATTTATTTAAACTCTGCCTGTCCTCTTCTAATCAAGAATGGTTTAGAGCCCATTTCCTTGGGGATAGTGGAATCTTCAACTCCCTAGAAACACCTGGACTTTTCTCTGATGGAAAAAGCAATGGGGGCCAGACGCGGTGGCTCACGCCTGTAATCCCAGCACTTTGGGAAGCCAAGGCGGGTGGATCACCTGAGGTCAGGAGTTCGAGACCAGCCTGACCAATATGGTGAAACCCTGTCTCTACTAAAAACAAAAATTAGCCGGGCATGGTGGCGTGTGCCCATAGTCCCAGCTACTCAGGAAGCTGAGACAAGAGAATTGCTTGAACCCAGGAGGCAGAGGTTGCAGTGAGCCAAGATCCAGCCTGGGCAACAGCGCGAGACTGTCTCAAAAAAAAAAAAAAAAAGCAATGGGGAATATGAGGGGAAATCTGGACTCTGAGCTTGACCTTGCATAATTTGAACCCTTCTGTCTCGGCCTCAGTTCCCTCATCTACAAGATGAGAAGATCAATTTGATTGGTCATCATCAATAAATCTTTCAGCTCTAAAAATTCCATAACTCTTAAAATATCGCAATTAAATGTCACACAAATTTTTCAGTTTCCCTGTGCATATAAAAGTTATGTTTACACTATACTCTCTGCAAGACAGTTTCCTAAAAAGTTGCATATACTGTGAGATTTTAACACTTTTTCCCCCATCCAAATGGCATTTCAAATGCATAAAAATAACTTATTCGTAAATTTTCTTTCTCTCTTTCTTGTTTTAGTATAGCACCTTGAAACTAAGATATTTCAGGTGGAAGTGCAGGGTAATAGGTTGCAGAACTCTCAAATAACAATCATGTATGTTTTGGTGGGCCATTTGGTATAGTGTGATTTCCTGAGAAACTTTAAAGGTAAGAGTCTGCACTGAAAAGTCACATTATTTACTATTACCTGGTTGTATTGAGAGGCCAGACTATTTAAGACAAAAGAAATCCAAGAATAAACATGTTTAGTTTTTTTGGAAAAAGCAACTTCCTACTTCTATTTTTATTTTTAACTTCTTGTACTGGTTTTTGTTGCTTGTGTTTGAAAAAAAAAAGTCTAAGAGTAATCATGCTTTTTTAAAGTCATGCATTATCATTTGTATTATTTTGATAACTTCAACACAAATTGTAAGTTGAGATAACAACACACACTCTCAATACCTTGAGCAGAATATTCACGGTAAGTTGCAATGAATGAAAACCAAAACAAGAAAGAACAACTGTAACCCAAGCATCATGGAAGCACACTGATTCGTTTTTTAAAAGAGATACTTAGCTAGTTCTTAGCAAAAAGCTAAGCCTAATTCTCTCATAGTCTTAATTCCCACTTGGAAACATGCAGTCAAGTTTACCTACCTCCACCACACCATGATGAATGGATGTGTACTGTTTCTTCTTCAGCATCACCAAGGTGATGACGATCACTGTCGCTATGACAACACCGCCCACCATGAGTCCAATGATTGCACCTTTGTTTGAACCCACATCTTCTGCAAAGAACACCTTGAAAACAAATTAAGAAAAAGAATTTTAATTTCTAAATGCAATATAATTTACAATTTATAAACGCAATTAGAAGAATTTCATTTCTTAAATGCAGGGGACATTTGGATGAGGTTATATAAAAAGTTTCAGTATATTCTCTGCCCAACTGGTTGGTCAAATATTTGATGCTTACTTTAAAAAAAAAAAAAAAAAAAGAAATCACATATTTTCCTACTAAGAATGATAATCATAGTTTATAGAAGGATGTACAACATGTGGCTTCCCCAGTTCGAGGAAGTCTACTTTCCCCACAGGTCAAAACCGAAGTCTGCAGGGACCTGAAACCCTTTGACAGGTGGAACATTTGGTGAGTGGTGGGAAGATAGCGCTTGGATCTATCAAAAGCTGGAAAGGCACGATCATACTAATGAAAGGAGGTCAGCATTTTCCTAGTCATAGCACTCTGAGCCCTGATGTGTGACTCTAAGTGACTGAGACTTAGGTGTTTTTCAACTCTGCAGATGTCCTAATTTCCTTGGAGGGACACTTTTAATGCACAGGAATAGGCATTCTGAAACAAAGGAGTTAAACAATAGAAAAAAAGATATCTTGTTACCTACTTTTAGCTATAGTAATTCTGCAGAATTCTAATTAACCTTTAGCAGTGTAATGCTTTTTAAAGCATAATGTTATTTCAAAGTGAAGTACAGGCAACAAGAATTTTAAGTCACTCATAACTCATGCTTTCTAACTATTGTCTCCAGAAACCAAAATCTGAAATGTTGCTTTATTCTTGCTCTTTATTTGGATTAAACATAAAAATAATTTTGAGAACATTGTAAAGAAGGAATAAAATTTCATTTACTGCACTACATTGCTTCATACTGTTTATAAAAGCAAGTCATTATTTTTCAACTTTATCTACTTGAATGAAATTATAGAAGCACACCACAACTTTTATCATCTTGTTATATAAGGAGTTGATCTTATGCCAGATGAAGTAAAACTAAAGCTAAATATTACCACGTTTGCTCTGCAACTTAATGAAAATACAGGCATACATAGCTTTATTGTACAGTAGTGCTTACAGATAGTATTTAAAAAAAAAAAACAAAAAGGTTTCTGGTAACCCTGCATCGAACAAGTCTATTGGTGCCATTTTTCCAACAGTGAACACAGGTTCACTTCATGTCTGTGTCACATTTTGGTAATTATTTAAATATTCAAACATTAAAAATTATTATATCTGTTTGGTGATCTGTGATCAGTGGCCTTTGATGTTACTATTTTAATTGTTTTGGAGTGTCATGAAACATGCCCATAAAGACAGCAAACTAAATCAATAAATGTTGTGTGTGTTCTGTCTGCCCCCCAAACTGGCCACTCCACCCCCTCAACTCCCAGGCTCCCTATCCCTTGAGAGACAACAATATTGAAAGTGGGCCAGTAAATAACCCTACAGTGGCCTCTTAAGTATTCAAGTGAAAGGAAGAGTCACAGGTCTCTCACTTTAAAGCAAAAGCTAGAAATAATTAAGCTTAGTGGGCAAGGCATATTGAAAGCCAAGATTCTTGTGCCAGTTAGCCAAGTTGTGAATGCAAAGAAAAGCTCTTGAAGGAGATTAAAAGTGCTACTCCAGTGAGCACACAAATGATAAAGCAAAACAGCCTTATTGCTGATACGGAGAAAACTTTTAGTTGTCTGGATGGAAGATCAAACCAACCACAACATTCTCTTAGGCCAAAGCCTAATCAAGAACAAGGCCCACAACTGTCTTCAATTCTATGAAGGATGAGAGAGGTGAAGAAGCTGCAGAAGAAAAAAAAGTTGGGAGAGGTTGATTTCATGAGGTTTAAGGGAAGAAGCCATCTCCATAACACAGAAGTGCAAGGTGAAGCAGCAAGTGCTGATGTAGAAGCTGCAATAAGTTATCCAGAAGATCTAGATAAGACTCCTGATGAAGGTGGCTACACTAAATAACAGATTTTCAGTGGAGATGAAACAGACTTATTTGGAAGAAAATGCCATCTAGGACTTTCATCACTAGAGAGAAGTCCTGCCTTCAAAGCTTCAAAGAACAAGCTGACTCTCTTGTTAGGGGCTAATGCAGCTGGCGACTTTGTTTTTGAAGCCAAGACTGACCATTGTAAAAGTCCTAGGGCGCTTAAGAATTATTCTAAATCTACTGTGCCCATGCTCTATAAATGGAACAAAACTGGGATGACAGCACATCTCTTAACAGCATGGTTTACTGAATATTTTAAACCCACTGTTGAGACCTACTGCTCAGAAAAGACTCATTTCAAAATATTACTGCTCACTAACAAAGCACCTAGTCACCCAAGAGCTCTGAAGGACAGGTACAGGGAGATTACTGTTGTTTTCATGCCTGCTAACACAACATCCATTCTGCAGCCTGTGGATCAACTTTCAAGTCTTATTATTTCAGCCTCTTATTATTTCAAAATATATTTCAAATATATTTTGTAGGGCTATTCACTGCCATAGATAGCGATTCCTCTAATGGATCTGGGCAAAGTAAACTGCAAACCTTCTAAAAAGGATTCACCATTCCAGATGCCATTAAGAACATCTGTGATCCATGGGAGATCAAAACATCAGCAATAACGGGAGTTTGGAAGACAATGATTCCAACTCTCATGGGTGACTTTGAGGAGTTCAAGACTTCAGTAAAGGATGTCACAGCAGATGTGGTGGAAATAACAAGAGAACTAGAATTAGAAGTGGAGCCTAAAGACATGACTGAACTGCTACCATCTCATGATCAAACTTGAATGGATGAGGAGTTACCTCTTATGGATGAGCAAAGAAAGTGGTTTCTTGCAATGGAATCTACTCTTGGTGAAGATGCTATGAACACTGTTGAAATGACAACAAAGGATTTAGGATATCACATAAACTCGATGAAGCAGTGGCTAGATTTGCGAAGACTGACTCCAATTTTGAAAGCTGTTCTACTGTGAGCAAAATGCTATCAAACAGCATCACATGCTACAGAGACATCTTTTTGTGAAAGGAAGAGTCAATCGATGCAGCAAACTTCATTATTGTCTTATTTTAGGAAATTGCCACAGCCACCACAAACCTCAGCAGCCACCACCTGGATTAGCCTGCAGCAGTGAACATCAAGGCAAGATTCTCCACGAGCAAAAAGATTAGGACTTGCTGAAGACTCAGATGATCATTAGCATTTTTAGTAATAAAATATTTTACTAATAAAAGTAAAGTATATACATGGCTTTTTTTTTTTTTAGACATAATGCTATTGCACATGTAACAGACTAGAGTATAGTGTAAATACAAACTTTTTTTTTTTTTTGAGACAGAGTCTTGCTCTTGTTGCCCAGGCTGGAGTGCGATCTCGGCTCACTGCAACCTCTGCCTCCTGGGATCAAGAGATTCTCTTGCCTCAGCCTCCCGAGTAGCTGGGACTACAGGCACATGCCACCATATGCAGCTAATTTTTGTATTTTTAGTAGAGATGGCATTTCACCATGTTGGCCAGGATGCTCTCGACCTCCTGACCTTGTGATCCACCTGCCTTGGCCTCCCAAAGTGCTGGGATTACAGGCATGAGCCACCGTGCCTGGCCAACATAACTTTTATATGTACTGGGAAGCCAAAAAATTTGTGTGACATTTTGTTGCAAAATTTGTTTTATTGTGGTGTTCTGAAATTTCCAAGGTATGCCTGTACCTCCCTAAAAAATTCTTTCAATTTAGCCTCAAGGTAGTCAAATGACTGATTTTTCTAAGCTGAAACTAACATACTAGCAATCTGGAAAGGCAATATAAAATATAGCAAATGAAGCAACTTCTAAAAGTGTTTTACTCGTGGTTTATAACAAAATGAGAAATTGTTCATAATTATTCCCTTTACTAAACAAATATGCTAGCTCAACATTTTTATGAAAAGCAAATCATTAATTAGCTAATATACTAGTGTGAGGTAATCAGGAATAAATACAAGTCTGGACATATGCCTGTGCCTTTAAGAAAATACTGTAATTTTGTAATATTCATTGCACTAATTATAATACATTATCTTAACTAGTCCAGTAGAGGGAGCTGATTCTCCTAATTGCTGCCGCTGCCATTAGTCACTGTCGCATTATAGGCGTTAGTGTAATTGTGGGGATGGGCTTATATGACACAGGCCCCAGGCCCCGACAAATGCAAATCTGTACATTAATCGTCAGCTTTCTACCCCACCAACTCTTCAACTCTTTAGTGGTTCCCCAGTTTTTATTAACCTCTTCAGCAACAGCCTCATCAAGAGAAACCCTGATCTTATAACAACTGATACTAGATTATCTTGCCAATGAAAACCATGCTTCAAAAAGCTAAATGTCTTTCTACAAAAAAAGAACTATGGGAGTTAAGAATGCAAATCCAAATCCCAAGTCAGTTTTTTATTTGCTACAATTATTTGGAGTCAAGTAAGGCATAAATAATAATTTGGAGGTGTTTCTTTTAGAGATTAATACTAGGATTTATCAACTTTATGAATATTGAAAAGACATTTTCTGCTTGGAAAAAAGTAACACTCACACACACACACACACAAAACAAAACAAAAGAAGTGCCTGAGATAACTTTAAGTATTATTGCTATGGAAATTTTCTTACCATTTTTCTGTCCACCACTGAATGTGATAAAATTGTCGTCTTCATTAATTTAACCCTCTTACTGCACCTACTGATAAGATGGAACCCTAACATAATCCACGATTTGATTTATCTCCATTTCTAAGCTTTTGGTAAAGGATTTTATATAACTACTAGAGCTGACCACAAAGGAGATGTGGCTTTTTGATTTACTCCAATTCTAACATTAGGGGGGAAAAGTGATTTCATCTGAAAAGGAAGCTGCTGTCTTCTTTGCACAAACCTTTTGATGAATAACACTATCGGGAACATCATGGGGTCCTGCTCACTCCATGATCTTACTCTTGCAAGAGAAGTTAAATCATGGGAGGTAGGGGAGGGAATGAAAAGAAAGAGCTGGGGGAGAAATGAATGGGTAAAGGAAGACAGTTCCGGATGTGAATTTAAGCCACATAAAGTGTTCTGTAAAACCAAGCAGTGTATGCATGTGTTTGATCCTTCAAATAAACCTATTGTAAACCTATTTTCCCAGAAAACACAGTGGAAGTCAAAGTGGCTGCTATATTGAAATTAATTCCACTTTAAGTCCCGAGTCATGCACGAACTTTGCTGCCTTGTAGTCTGAAAGAACTATACATACAGCCTCTTTCTTTTCTTTTTTTTTTTTGGGATGGAGTCTCGCTCTGTCGCCTAGGCACGATCTCAGCTCACTGCAACCTCCACCTCCTGGGTTCAAGCAAGTCTCCTGCGTCAGCCTCCCCAGCAGCTGGGACTACAGGTGTTTGCCACCACACCCAGCTAATCTTTTTTGTATTTTTAGTAGAGATGGGGTTTCACCATATTGGCCAGGCTGGTCTCGAATTTCTGACCTCGTGATCCACCCGCCTTGGCCTCCCAAAGTGCTGGGATTACAGGCTTGAGCCACTGCGCTCAGCCTAGCCTATTTATTTTCTTCATGTTTTCATGGTAATCCTATAGGCAAGCATTGTATTTTTATCTTTTCCTTAATTTGATTTCTAGCACAGGATGAACCAGAGTTAATAGGTCATTTGGCAAGACAAACAGTAGTGGAAAGAGGTAAATTATTTTACGTACCAATTTTTGATGATGAACTTCATATCCTGAGTCATGTCGGAATTCTGCATCCATCTTCACTTCAGAGATCTCCTCCGTCTTGATATTTGTCAACCCAGAACCTGTATTACATCATAATTAAAGTATGCAGGACAACCAATTAGTTTTACTCATAAATAATAACACTGTAAGACAAAGCCTACCCAAAACTTCTTTCTAGGCCTGAAGTTAGAAGAAAATTGATAAATGACTCTTAAAGAAAAATGATACCCTATATTTAAAACTTCAATTACTACCTATTTTGAACAAAAAGAAATGAAAGGGTAAGGGAAACCTGAAAGTAAGGCTTCTGCTGCCTTTAAATACATGCTATAATTTTTGAAAATGGGGGAAAAGCAGAAGTTAAATCCTGGTTGAGAGGTTGGCAAGGATTTGTTCCTGGAATATGTTGGCTTGGCTTACGGGCTTATTGTTTAGCCTATTATGTGTCTTTTTCCATGTGCACTCATTACTTCAGAAATAATAATAAAAGGCTTTAAAAATGAGCATTAATTACCTGGTAGAACAAAACTGCTACTTTGGGGCTTTGTTCCAATTACAAATAAATTATGTTCATGTATCTATGCAGTGAAGCGTTGTAAAAATTATATAATTTTAGTCAAGTGTTCTAGTTACACAGATTGTAATTGGTTCGTCTGCTGAATAAAGAGCTATAGTACATAATTTTAAAAATGCTTCTTAGCAACTAACAGAATTTATAACCTACGAACTCTTCCTTTTCTATAAATTGCTATATGATTCTTAACACTAATTGTTCTGATGAATTTCATTATTCAAATAATAATTTGAAGCTTAAAACAAAATGCAGAGTCATTTAAAAACCAAAAACATAAGTAAAAAATGTAAATGTCAGTGTCCATGCTATAACATTTAATTATCAAACATCAGAATTTTAGGATGAAAAGGGCTTTTGAAGTCATCTTCTCTACCGTGTTCCCACCCAGGGGCAGATTGTCAGTTCCTGTTTGAACATAGAGGAATGTATCAATTTCCCTCCATTTTTTGATAGATTTGCCTGCCCAAACTGTCCTTTTTTTACATGAAGCCAGAATCAGCTTCCCTGTAACTTCCATCCTTTGAGCCTGATTCAACACAGAGCAAGCCTAATCCTCCCTTCCACATTAAAACCTTGAACAGGTATCACGACCCTAAGGAGAGGCATGTTCCTGCTGGTTCTTGTCTTACTTGGGCTACACATTCCCAATTCCTTTGGCTCCCAGGGGAATTCACTTCCTGCTCTTGGCCTAATCACTCTTTCAATCTTGTCTACGAGATTCTGGGAAACTTGTGACACATCTTGCTGACACTGAAAAGCACAATGTCCACAGCATATGATGTGCCAGTCTAAGAGCACAGCCTATACAAGGAGAAGGTAAGGATAATCTGACAAAACCTAGGAAATCCACGCTGGTTGTGACCTAGCACCATTTCCTCATCCAATTGTTCAAAAAGCTTCCACTTGATAACCTATTTGAAAAGAGACCCACAATCAATGTCACTCTATACCTGGCTTACAGATTGTGAAGCTATCTTCTCTCCTTTTTGCTATTCAGAACTTCATTTTCCTATCCCTACCTTCCCAGCTTTCCACAAAGACCACAGGCAATGGTGCTACTTCCCCTTCAAGTTCTCTTAGCCTGCAGTTGGTCTGGGTCATAAGAACTTGGACTTGGGTAGCAAGATGTCATAGTTTAAAATATATCCACAAATTTGCTGATACTCCTTCCTTCAAGAGGGAGAACTTGATTCCCTTCCTTCGAATGTGGTCGGGATGTAGTGACTTGCTCTAGTGAACAGAGCATGATAGAAGTGATGGTGTATGACTTCTGAGACTGGGCCAAAAAAGGCACTAAAACTTCCTTAATCTCTTTCCTGGACCTCTTGGTGCAGGGGTGCGAGATGCCATGTTGTAGGGACGCTCAAGCAGCATTACAGAGTTCACATGGTAAGATACTGAGGTCTCTTAGTAACAGTGACGTGAGTGAGCCACGTTGGAAACAGACCCACCAGGTCCAATCAAACCTTCAGATGACTTTAGCTCAGGCAGTGTCTTAACTGCAACCACATGACGGACACTGTGCCAGAACCATCCAGCTAAACCACATCCCAAATCCTGACCTATAAAAACTGTAAGAAACTAATGCTTGTTGTTTTAAGCTGCTAAATTCTCGCGTTATTTGCTACGTAGCAATAGGTAACTAATGGGCTAGGGCTTTCTTTTCTCATGTTGATCTATCTCGGGCTTTAATTTCCTTTCATCAGAAGTTCATTCTCTTTAATATAGACATAAAAGGCACAATGGAAGTGGGACAGTTTCCCTTTCTCATTCTTTAACTCTGGTCCTCTCAATGACCTAACCCTCAACCCCCAACTTCTTGCTACGAGACCCACAGAGTTCTCTATTCTTATTTATTTTCTTACTTTAATATTGTTAAGTATTTTTTGGTTAAGTTTCAACTCATTCTGCTGAAACGAACCTTTCTGACACTTATTTTTATAGGGTAGTGATGCTAAAACTCTCTTAATTCTCACTGGCTGTATA
Organism: Homo sapiens; assembly: GCF_000001405.40. Classification (NCBI taxonomy): domain Eukaryota; kingdom Metazoa; phylum Chordata; class Mammalia; order Primates; family Hominidae; genus Homo; species Homo sapiens. The sequence goes on from NC_000021.9 coordinate 25,900,154, forward strand.
TTTTAATCTTTCTATAGCCCTTTTAAATCTGAGATCCTTATATAACCAGTGATTTCTTTAGAGCTCACTCCTTTTCTGTTATTAAGATCTGGCAACGTGCCAAGCACGGTGGCTCACGCCTGTAATCCCAGCACTTTGGGAGGCCAAGCTGGGTGGATCACTTGAGGTCAGGAGTTTGAGACCAGCCTGGTCAACATGGTGAAACCCTGTCTCTACTAAAAATACAAAAAAAAAAAAAAAAAAAAAAAAAAAAAAATTAGCCAGGTGTGGTGGCGGGTGCCTGTAATCCCAGCTACTCCAGAAGGCTGAGGCATAAGAATCGCTTGAACCCGGCAGGTGGAGGTTGCAGTGAGCTGAGATTGTGCCACTGCACTCCAGCCTGGGTGACAGAATGAGACTCTGTCTCCAAAAATAAATAAATAAATAAAAGATCTAGCAACACAATAGGTTAGAACTATATTTCTGAGATTTTTAAGAAAACTTTCTTGAACAGTTTGAAGAGTCTTCCCTTTTAGATTTTGGAGCCAAATATTTATACTGAAAAATAAAAGTAAAGAATGAGCTCTGGCCGGGCACAGTGGCTCACACCTGTAATCCCAGCACTTTGGGAGGCCGAGGCGGGAGGATCACGAGGTCAAGAGATCAAGACCATGGTGAAACCCCGTCTCTACTAAAAATACAAAAAATTAGCCGGACGTGGTGGCAGGCACCTGTAGTCCCAGCTACTAGAGGCTTAGGCAGGAGAATGGTGTGAACCCAGGAGGCAGAGCTTGCAGTGAGCCGAGATTCGTGCCACTGCACTCCAGCCTGGGCGACAGAGTGAGACTCCATCTCAAAAAAAAAAAAAAAAAGAATGAGCTCTCGGCCAGGTGCAGTGACTCATGCCTGTAATCCCAGCCTTTGGGAGGCTGAGGCGGGCAAACAGTTTGAACTCAGGAGTTCGAGACCAGCCTAGCCAATATGGCAAAACTCTGTCTCTACTAAAAATACAAAAATGAGCCAGGTGTGGTGGCACATCCCTGTAATCCCAGCTGCATGGGAAACTTAGGTGGGAGGATAGCTTTAGCCCAGGAAATGGGGGTTGCAGTGAGCTGGTATCATGCCACTGTTCTCCAGCCTGGAAACAGAGACAAATCCTGTTTTAAAAAAAAAAAAAAAAAAAAAACAAAACCAAGAGCTCTCCACTAAAAACTTTACAAGCCCACACTACTTTTGAAATGATACTGTGAATACTTTTGGTGGTCCAAAAAAAAAAATTCATATTATCAAGTCAGCATGACAGATAAATTCATGTTTACAGCTCAATAGTTTGAGAAGCTCTTGGCAGAAGAGCTCTTGCTATAATAGTTCATGTTTGTTTAGCATGAATAGTCATCTAGGGAAGACTTTTTACATTAAGCAAATCTTACTAAAAGACAAAATCAGTAAGCTGGCACATAGGGAAATATTCATAATAAGGTGATAATGCATGTAATAAAATGTGATGAGTAGTTTCAAATAAATGGCAGGGACCTTGGTTTGCAGGCTTACTTAGAGGTCTTTCTTGAGTTGTGCTGATTTCACCCTAAGCCCTGGTGACTCCAGCTCTCTCTTCCTGTAAGTCATGATGAGTGGACAGAGCCTTTTGTTCATGTGGGGGCTAAGGGAGGTATGTCCTTCATGACACCTCTTGCATGGCTCGGGTCAAGGACCTGGTTTCCCTTTATTTGGACTGCAGAAGGGTGGTGATGAATTGTAACAGAAAGGGTAGCTTTCTACCCTATGTGAAGAGCTCGCTAATGTGTTTTTCTTTTTTATTCTGGTCAAACTGTATAATTAGTCCTTCAGAGTCTATTTTTTCTTTGGAAGTAAGCCAGGAGGAGGAGCTATAATGGCCACTATGCCCCCAAATCACCACTGTTATTACAATGGTCCCTACTTGACACTGCATGCTGGAAGCTACCATATTCTGTTTTTTTAGATATGAGAGTTAAGGAGAAGCCATTTTCCTCAGTCATGATTATAAAGCACTGGGTGGGGGAAAAACAAAAACCTTTTTTTAACTTGTTTCTGAGGACAACAGTGATTATTCAAAAACAATGCCATCACTTGAACGGCATGACAATCTTGGGAAGGCTTTCTAAGTTTGGAAAGGCTAAAGATATAATTCGGCACATTAGACTCAAGTGGGTGGTCTCTAAAATGTGAAGAAGAACCAAAGCTATGCTACAAAACACGGGGAAATTAGCCCAAATGTTTGATAAACTTACTACAAGCACAAAAACAGAACACACGCATGGCTTAATACATGTGCAGTAAATACTGCTATTCATAGACAAACCTTAACTAGAATCTTCCTCACTTCATATCTGAGCATTCTTTCTCAACTTTAGCCATCTTACTGGGCAACCCAAGCCTACGCTGTGTATGAAAGGAAGCTTGGCTTAGGCCACCCTCTCTTCTGAATAGAATTGTTCCCTTCTTCTTTGCCAATCCAGGTGCCTCAAATCTTTCATAACCTCTCTGGAAGCCCATCTCCAGTAAGTTCTCTACTTAACATGCCCCTGGGTTAGTACTCCATCTCCTCCCATCACAGAACATTCTTGTTAGCACTTAATGTTGCTTTGTATTTCCTTGTCTTCCAAATTCCATCTCATGTTTCCAAATATGCAAAATTCCTTCTATTATACCTCAAGCTCCTGAGAGCAGGGACCCTACCGTTTAATTTCTTTCAAACCTAGAAAGAATTTAGTGGATTGATCTTTGTGAAATCCCCAAGTGACATCATATTCTTACTGTTATGAGAAAGGTTTTGGATGGTTTTCTCCCACCAGTGTAATACCATTAACTATTCTCTAGCTCTTCCTTTAAAACACACTGTTTTTGTTTGACAGCGTTTGGAGGTGTCCTTTTTGTTAGATTTAGATTAAAAAAAATTTTTTTTAAAAGAATAGGCCGGGCATGGTGCTTATGCCTGTAATCCCAGCACTTTGGGATGCCGAGGTGGGTGGATCACCTGAGGTCAGTAGTTCGAGACCAGCCTGGCCAACATGGTGAAATCCCGTCTCTACTGAAAATACAAAAAAATTAGCTGGGCATGGTGGGGCGCATCTGTAGTCCCAGCTACTTGAGAGGCTGGGGCACAAGAATTGCTTGAACCCCCGAGGCAGAGGTTGCAGTGAGTTGAGATCGTGCCACTCCACTCCAGCCTGGGGGACACAGCGAGACTCCATCTCAAAAAAAAAAAAAAAAAATCAAAAAACAATTTTTTTAAAAAAGAAAAAAACATTGACTGGTAGTGTCACCTGTTCCTGGATGTTTCAATAGTAACATATAGGCTCTCCTGGCCCAATGTAGAAATTTGATAAAATTGAATGAGTCGAATGAGCGCTTTCTAAGTTACATTTTATGCTTGTAGATGAAGAGCATGTCTTTTAAAGAGAAGCACCATGAAAAAAGTCCCAAGGCAAATGACCAACCTGAGCTGGCTGTGGTTGCAATTAGAACTGAACTGACCCTCAGCCCGAGGCCTTACAAGTTGGCTGAGCAGAACAGGAATGTCAACTCCTGGCTCCTTGAGATTCCCTTACATGACATTGACAATAAGGAGGACATTAGAAGAACTGAAACTGTCTCTGACTCACTATAATTTAAGTTCCCCTTAAAAGCCTACAGACAGAAATTCATAAATCAACGAGACCAGCTGTCAAGACGTGTCACACTACTGTCTCTGCTGCCACTGTTAATCACAGCATAAAGGCATGAAGATGCCACAGGCAGACTCTCAGTCTTCATCAGTGACCGTGCTTGGAGGCAGTCATGGCTCGAGCCTGTGGTGGAAGTGTGAGGGACAGGGTGGGTCTCCTGGTCTGCTGCTGACTGTATCTGAACCAGGCAGCAAAGGTTGACCTCTGTGTATTAATATCTTCAAAGAAAGTTAATTCCCTGTTCTTTGACTATCGCCTGGGGACATTATGAGGATAAAGAAGAAAATAAATATGGAAAAGTATGTGTTATTTGGGATTAAAATCTCCCTGGAATACACAAATTTGTCAATTCAATAACTTTCTTCCTCTTTTTGATTCACTGAAAGCACTGGCTACTATCAGTTGGGTGAGGTTGTTCATAGAGTAGACACCAGGCACATATATGCTTCTGCTGTGCTATGACATTATTCATAAAATAAAAATGTGTTTCTTCTTAATGTTTGTGAAACTGTAAAAAAAGAAGTGTCTATTTCAGTGTTAATGGGATTTTTAAGTAATACATAAAAAAAGGGCTTATGTGCAAAATTATGCATCCACATCTGTTGTGTTACTTTAGCCACTCATTGAGAATAAGTACATACAACCCACAAAACAGAAGATGTATTTTGGGCTCTGGAAAGAAACCAATTCTGGTATTTTCAGGAAATCATGTCTACTTCAGTAACTGATTGAAGTTTGAGCCCAGTTCAGTTAGAAAATTACCCATCTGGACACCAAACAAGAAAGGAGAGATGTTCACACTGGTATCCAAGTCATCACCTGAGAGTCTACATCTATCTGGGCTTCTGTTTTTAAGGACAGGCTGTATATAATCGTCTCTGTTTTTGTTTTGTTTTGTTTGTTTTAAAGAAAAAAGAAAAAAAAAAACCCAAATTTGGAAGGGCTCTCTTTTAGGTTTCAAAGGGAAAGCTCAGAAACAAAAAAAATCATTTCACTCGGAACTTGGGAAATGAAGAGTAAGGAATAGTCAAGGGGAATTTTTAAAAGTTTGGTTTCTAAGGTCACTTCAAATTCTACTCTGCAGTAAGTACAATTGAGAGAGGCTTAAAATGCAGAAAGGAGACAACGTCTGCTCGAGCTTAGGCCCAAGATGCGGAGAGGCACAAGTCAAGCGGTTCTGATACCTGGTCGAGTGGTCAGTCCTCGGTCGGCAGCAGGGCGGGCATCAACAGGCTCAACTGGGCACAGGAAGCAAGGGACACAGAAAGCAAACAAGACAAATCAAGATGGTAAGTCGTGGCTCCCAAACATAGTCGAGCAGGGAAAAAAGCATATGCAATAAACAAGTTACAAAAAAGGAGCAGCCAGAAAAGAACCACAGTGAGTTAATCCCGAGCATCGAGGACCAGGAGGGGCACCACTTTAAATGGCTTATCGCTATTGATGTGCCAGTCCTGCTCCTTAGTTTTCTAATAAAAGCCCTCACCAGGATACGCAGCAACATCAAAGAAGAGGGGTGGGGAGGGTGGATTTCCCTCTGAGCTAGTTTAGAGATAGTTTCTTGGCTTTTGATTAGAAATAAAATATTCCCAGCCTAGCAGAAAACCTTAAAGATACTTCCTTTTACAACTGCCCAATCTTATCTTATTTTACAGTTAATTAACTACAAAAGGACTCTGTTAAATTTCCAGGGGAAGTGCAAATATGAATTTATCAGGAGAGCAAAGTTTTACTATATAATCTGCCATTTAGTGAGTGAATCAAATTTGTCCTTAGTATGAGGGCAGAAGAGGGAAACCGCAGTCTTTTTCTCACTTTTTCAAAAAGGCTGGCTTCCATTTGACAGATGACATACAGCTGAAACGTGTGAAATGAGGATATTTCATTTTATATTTGCCATTGTTCACAATTTTCCCTTTTTATGTGTTCTGGGTCCGACCCAAAGAAAGCAGTGTGGACAGCATGATATTCCTCACCATCATCTGACCTTTCCAAAGCACTTCTGATGCTCAGAAAATACTTCCTTGTTTTACGCTGGCGTTTGAAGAAACAAGGAATGGGGACAAAAGTGAAGTTTTTAGGATTAATAATGGTCATAGGGTAAATGAAGCCACGGAGGTAGGTGCAGGGGGAAGCTGCTTTGGTAAGGTGGCAAGTGTAAAGGGAAAAAGGTAAGACAAAGTGAGCACAGGTGCTGAAGGAGACACGGTGTGCTCGATGAAATGGCTTCTAACAATTTCAGCAAAACCATCCAGCTTACTGATGCACACAGGCCAGGCATTCAAAGGTGGGATTCTCAGTCCAAATCGATTTTGGATGCCACATGTTAATAGAAACAGTGAGGGAGAAAAAAAGTGGCAGTAAGCCAAGTCTCCAAAATATAAGAAAATATTTCCGGGAGCACTAGGATATTTGGATGAAATAAAAATTTGGTCCTTTCTCATGTAGAGACTGGCAGCATGGTGGAGTCAAAAGGAGGGTGAGGCATCTAATCCCAGGCCTGGGCCCAACATTTACAATGTCTGTGGCCTTGGGATGCGCCACTTCTGTGGCTGTTTCTCCATATGGAAACAGAAATGTTAACATCTGCATCTTCTAATTATGGTGAGGAACAAATAAGTAACCTTTAAAGCCTGTTTGAGACCCTACCAGATACTACAGAACTGCACTGATTAAATATCCTATGATTAAATATTCCATAGTAACTACTGATGCGAGAGTGACTATTCTCTAGTATTTCACTAGTGCATTAGAGGAAGACATAGTTCACTTCCTTCTGCAACTCCCAAATACATTTCGACAATGAGGTTTGGTTTTTCTATACTTCATTTTTTTTCCTATTTGCAGCAACCTGTAATGAGTAACTGTATTACTCCTTGTAAAATGCAGTTAGTTGAAAGGTCATTGTACTTTGTGAGAATTTCCTGATGATGAGGGACCCAATAGTGCTTCAACTGCAGTTAAGAACACAACAGACCACATGCACGAGGGCAAACGCGTACCTTGAAGTGGTGGTGAGCACATACATCAATAGTTACGTTATTAGAAAATGTATATGCAACTCGGGGCAGTAAGTTAAGTGTACCTGTGGTTTAAATGCAGGCTGAGGAGCTGGTAGTCCCACGGGCCACTGCTAATGTCACCACTTACTTTCTCTGTGATCTGGGGCTAATCACATTCTTTCTGAACTTCAGTTGTGTCACAAAGTAAATGGTTTTTCCAGGGTTCAAATGCGTATACTTATGTGAAAGAAACTTACAAATGATATTGTCCTATAAGTTTCTCTGCCTCTCCCCGCTCTTCTTCTTCTTCTTCTATTTTTTTAAATAGGCATGTATTATTTAAAAACAATAATAAAACCCTAACCCTATTTTTTAGGAAGATTAAACAAAACTAGTTTCAGTGACATAAACCCTAATCTGCTTTAAAAGATTGAAGCTGATTTAGTATAAATTAATGCTCAAAAAATAAGTAGCTCAGGGAGCAGACATTAAAAGTTTTTTAAAAGGCAATTATGATATCATTGCCGAAAAAAAAGAATACACACCAACAAAACAAAGTAGTGTGTTATTTCCCAATCCACTGCAAATACTTTCCAATTTTTCCAATTGACCTTTACTTAACCAGACAGTAACTTCATCAATGAAGTGCTAAAAAACATCTTACATTGGCTGTTTAGTAATTTAAAAACAAGAAATACATTATCTTAGCTTTAACTTTTAATAGAGTTAAAATAAAATGTAAGCAGAAATGAGTTATTCTCTTGCTCTCAGTAGCTTTGAATCAAATCCTTTGCTGTAAGAGGAGAGAAACAGAATGGTCAGACCTCTGGGATTTTTGAGTCTGTTACTTCTGGTATTCTTTGTAATAAACCTCAACTATTAACCGTGCTGCCTTGTACAAACTCTCTACCAGGCCAAAGGTAATGAGGAATCAGCAGTACACCAGTTTTACATATAGATAAGAGGCTGACAAGAACTGGTTTGTAAGTTTAATGAAATATTTATTTAATCTAAATTTCAACATTTAAATTGGCTTCCTCATTGCCTCTATAAAGCTAGTTAAAAATATACTAGAAGGCAGCTTCACATTTTGCAAATACATCCATACAAGTCTTATAAGACCTGCTTTGTCTCTTTAAAAATATTATTTTATCTACATATTATATCTAGGTATTATCTACAAAGAGGCAGACTGTTGGCCACAAAGACTTGCTGGCAGTCACTGCATGCTATGCTGCTCTTTGTGGCTGCCCTTCTCAGGCAGTCAGGAAAAAGTAGAACAAACACAAATGTCATCAACGCTAATGCTTCCAGCCAGATCATTTCACGATCTGTGAGCACAATTCTGTAACAACAGCTTCATTTCAGCCTAGCCATTCATTTAGGTTTTGTGGATGTGAAAACCAAAGAATAAAAAATTGTTAAGGCAAATCACAGCACATTGGAAAACTCTGATATGCTTATTTTCTTCAATGTAAATTTAAAAAATGGGCATCAGAACCTCCTCTGGATTTCACTGATTGTTCTTAAGAAAAACAACAAATTTTTGGTAAGCATTTGAAACTATGATAATGAGGACTGCATGAAGAACAAAAGGAAATCCTTTGAGAATTTTAGATATTTTCAGTAGTTGGGTGTATGTGTGTGTGTGTGCACATGTCTGTACAAAGAAAGACTAACAAGTTTCTGGGGAGAGGTGGGAGACGGTGTTAGAAGAGAGACGGCTTTAGGACTGTATCTCATTATATGGCTTATTATATTCATTATTTTAAGGATACATTGTTGAGGCCATAAGGTGATTCATCTTGAGACAGGCTGATAAAGTCTCTCTAATAAGATCCTGGCTCCATTAAAAAAAAAAAAAGCTACCACTGACATTTACTACGTTCCAGGAATTTTGCTAAGAGCTTTTTTATGCCTTCTTATTTAATGCTCATACTATACCTCTGAGTTAGGAATTATTGTCAACCTTATTTTACAGACGAGGAAGCAGCCAGAGAGGCTAAGTAACTTGCTCAGAAGCACATAGCAGGGCTGGAATTTAAACTCGGGTCTGTATCATTCAGGAGTTCAGGGGTATGGGGTAGTATTTAATATCCTATGAGATGATGGCCGTCTATTTTATTTAAAAACCAATTGGGGCCGGGCGCCGTGGCTCATGCCTGTAATCCCAGCACTTTGGGAGGCTGAGGCGGGCGGATCACGAGGTCAGGAGATCGAGACCATCCTGGCTAACACGGTGAAACCCTATCTCTAGTAAAAATACAAAAAATTAGCCGGGCGTGGTGGCGGGTACCTATAGTCCCAGCTACTCGGGAGGCTGAAGCAAGAAAATGGCATGAACCTGGGAGGCAGAGTTTGCAGTGAGCTGAGATCGCGCCACTGCACTCCAGCCAGCCTGGGCGACAGAGCGAGACTCCGTCTCAAAAAAAAAAAAAAAAAAAAAAATTGCTTAAGTGGCTTTTTAAATTGTTTGCTATAATCAATATATATATGTCAATGTTGGGACTGATAATGAAGAGTACTGCAACTCAAGACTCTGACACTGCAAGTTCTATTGCCTCCCAAAATTGTTATACCAGATTCTACTGTTCAAACAGAATCATCCAACAAGAATATCAGCTCTTTTCATGAGACCTAGGCAATGTAATAGCTGCGTGTTTGTCAAGTATCCAGAAGTACTTAATCAAGGGCTTTGCTCAAATGGACATCCTGGCAATTACCAAGGGTTCACAGTGTATGTGTGTGTGTGTACATTCACACGTGTGCACGCAGATTTTCTCCTAAGGCTGATGCAACAAGGTATGCTGTTAGTAAAAGAGCAAATTTAGCGTGCATTCAATTTACAAAATGAGATCGGACATTTTTCACTAAAAATTCTCATTAGAGACTGAATGAAGAGGACCTTCAATGACCAAAATCTATCTACCTGTAAAGAAACAAAACAATCTGCACTCAATACATTTAACAGGACAGTTTTCCAGGTCTTTGATAATGAACTGTCCCTAAAATTGTTTTCTTCTATGTGATTAAGAATTATTTTCATAAATGGTAAAGTTTTAATTATTTTTACATTGTCAGTAACATGCTGTTTGCTATTACTGTAAGGTGCCCTTTTTCAAATTAAGGAAACAAATTTGGGGTGATGATTCACATTGTGAAAATAGTCTATATATTTTCTGCAATGGTTCTTTAGAAAAAACTTGTCCAGTACACTTAAGGTCTAATATTATATTTAGATTTAGTACTAATTGCATGTTATAAGGTATATATATTTTTTACTTTATTTATTTATTTTTTTTAAATTTAAAGTCTCGCTCTGTCACCCAGGCTGGAGTGCAGTGGTGTGATCTCAGCTCACTGGCCACGTCCGCCTCCCGGGTTCATGCCATTCTCCTGCCTCAGCCTCCCGAGTAGCTGGGACTACAGGTGCCCGCCACCACGCCCGGCTAACTTTTTTTTGTATTTTTAGTACAGACGGGGTTTCACCATGTTAGCCAGGATGGTCTCGATCTCCTGACCTTGCGATCTGCCCACCTCAGCCTCCCTAAGTCCTGCGATTACAGGCGTGACCCACGATGCCTGGCCTATAAGGTATATTATAAATATGAAATCTCCATCAACATTTGCTGCTTTGATAAAGAAAATCAGGTAAAGTGCTGTTGTGTTCTTAAAAAACATGTTATTTGTATCTAGAAATCAAGGTGTTTGTGTGTAATTGTATACTTCTGAACATGTAGAAAAAGATAAAAGAAGCTGAAAGATATTCTTGCCTGAACAGGTGTTTCTGCTAAGAAATCCCTGTGAAAAAGGATGCCATCTACTGCTCAAATTTGTTGATAGAGAAGAATCTTACTTCTCTGAGGTACCAAAGGAAAAAACATTTAGAGCAATGTGCTCCTTAATTTTGGCAGCTGCCTTAAATTTAATTTTCTAAACACAAATTAAGTCTTAAGCAAAATTAAATTTTATTTATATGTAGTTCTCTATCTTTGCCTTTAACATTTAATTCAATCTGAAATTTCATGTAAGAATAAGTAGCCAGTGAAGACTACTTTGGTGCCTGTCAAATCTGCATCTCTGCAGGCCCTCAAAACTCCTCTCTGTTGGTAAACTGTAATTTTTCCTTATTTCACTATCTATCTGCTTTTTTGGAAGGTGGCATTCTAGGTCATTACGTCATAAACACAAGTTGAATTTTGTGCTTCCATTCCAGAGGGAACAATATACCTCACAGTTAAAAAACATTTCTAAAAAATTCCTACCAAAAGTCATCACTTAAGAACTTAGTCTCCTGGTGCCTCCATTTCCTCATTTGAAAAAGTCATAAACATAATAATATGATATACAGTACATGCTCTTTATGTATCCACTTTTGTTATATAATGTACCATTTTATATTAAGAAGAGGAACTGGAAAATAAAAATTAGAAGAATGTTATTGCCACACATTTTCCTTGTGAAGAACTGCCTCTTCAATAATACACTGTGGCTCCCCTTCGTCCGGGAGTGTTCACTCGAAGGATAATATTCCCTAGAATGCAAACCTGGACATGTGCGAAACAAGAGGCCCTTTACCTGCAAATGTTATGTAAATCATTACCATTTTGTTTTGCCACCTATACAATGGAGTTGTTGTCTTTTCCAACAATTGGCAGTTTACATGCTTTGCAGCATAAAAAATATAAAGAATAATTTACACAGATATATTATTTTAATGACATAGTAACTCCTAGTATTTACTTTTTAAAGTAAAATTATAATGAAAATATTTATGACTACATCAAAAAAAATTCACCACTCAAGAACATACAAAAGATAACTCTCTCTCTTGCACACACGTTATGTATGTGTATATATACCTCCCAGAACGCCCTTGCTGGCTCAGGGGACTCTTACCTTCGTTTTCTGTGTTGGCTGGCACAGAGTCAGCCCCAAAAGAATGCCACGGCTGGAGATCGTCCAGGCTGAACTCTCCATTCACGGGAAGGAGCTCCACGGTGGTTTTCGTTTCGGTCAAAGATGGCATGAGAGCATCGTTTCCGTAACTGATCCTTGGTTCACTAATCATGTTGGCCAAGACGTCATCTGAATAGTTTTGCTCTTTCTGAAGCAGCTCATCTAAACCAAACAAAACCATCTCTTTGGTGAGTAACAACAATCACAACAGCAGCAGCAGCAGCAGCCACCATTTACTTCTGCCAGGCAAGACTTCAACTGCTTTCACGTGCATGATCGCGTTTAGAGCCATGACATAGGTACCATTATCATCTCCCTTTTACAGATGTGAAAACTGAGGCACATGGCATTCAAGCTACTTATGCAAAGTCGCAGCTCACAAGAGCTGCTGGCAGGACTGCAGGCAGGAGCATGGCAGCCGGCCAATGTGCTGCAGCGTGGCACTGCTAGAGGTGAAAGGCCACAGGGGCTCAGCTGCCATTTCCTCCTGACACAGTTAGACGTCCCTAGTATACAATGATCGCACAGGAATAAACGCCAGGCTTTGGTGTGGCGGCAGTAAGTGAGGCACAATCTCATTCAAGCTGAAAGACAACAGACAATCTCCTGTCTTGCCTTGCACACTTGCAAGGATAAGAAAAGCATTAAAGGGCCAGTAGTTTGCTACCTTCTTGAATAGTTTTCACTGTCTTGCCTTGAAAAAAAATCTGCATTTCCTAAATGCTCCTCTTGTGCTGCATGACCTATGCTCTGAGGCAACAAGGAAACTGTTCCCTTGCCCTTCCAGATGTAGCCCTGCAGACAGACATCCAGCCTTCTCTGGACTTAACCACCCCTGGCTCCCCGTATTTCCCAATGTGAGCAGACACCAAATATCCTGCCTTTCTCCTCTGTTGCTTCCCTTTCCAAAGAATGCTGTCAGTGCCGCCTACCCCCCCACTTTAAAAATTGATTAAACAAGAATCAGCTTTATGGAACATCATTGACTTATCTTTTCTTACTGGAAAAAGAGAGCTTAGAATATAATCTTGTATCATGTGTAATTACTGCTTTAAAAACTGACCCCAGGATATGAAGATTTGTGAGTCTTCTCTTATGTCACCAAAGATTCACCATGTTTTTCTCTGATTTTTACAAATTAGAGACCGACAGACAGCACTGCACTATTAACAATAATATTTGATTAACCAAAATGTCTCATTTTCCAATCATAGCTGTGTCAAGAGTTTGCTGTAGTATATATTTCAGACACATCACTGGTTAGTTTTATTGCTAGAGAAAATGAAAATAAGATCAGGATTTAAATTTGATTTGTAACATTTTACAATCATCTTTCAAATTCTCTTTTCTATTGACAAAAAATGTATCTGAAAAATTAAAATTCTGTTCAAATATACCCATTAAAATAATTTGATGGAATAGCATTAAAGCTTGTGATTAATATCTTTTCATGTAGTCAGTTTTATTGCAAGTGATTTTAAATGATGGAAGTCCCAAGCAAATTAGTCCTTTTGAAGTCTAATCTGAGTTATAATATATCCCTATTCACTGTGGCACCGTTTCTAAAATTCAATACTTGATGCCCATGATGACCTTTCCCTTACAGATAAAAGACCCTCATTAGATTTCCTCCAACTTTTTCATGTTTTACAAAGCCATAGGTAGCGGCTAATAACTTAGCCAATGTCTGATTAAATAAATTAAATGAGCATTTCTTTTATATAAATCTTTTGCTTGTGACTGTTAAGCACTTACTATGCTAAAGAGAGGATATTCTGGAATACTAATAATTATTGGTGCATACACATTCATCTTGACAGGAAATAACCTTTGCCAGCGAGAAAGCTCTTGAACTCCCCAGGGGCTACGCTGTTCTTGGGTCTGTGGTATCTACTATCACTTACCATGTCCTTTATTTGGAAATGTTCTCACTGTTTCGCATACACAGTACTTATCTTCTTCCCTGTGACATCTCTGAATAACTCTTTTTACTCTTTTTTTCTCCTCTCTTCATCCCTGTCATTTTCTTCTTGTATCTCTTTCCATCTCTTTCTACAATTCTCCCCTTTGGAAATCCCATCGACTCTTGAAACTCTAAAGATCTCCTACCTTTGGGTGAATCTGAAATGTACTTCCCCAGCTTTGACTTCTCCCTCCCACTCAAATTTGTATATTTCCAACAGTTTGCTGGAGATACCAACTTAGGGCTCCCTCCTGATCCATGCACTTGGTAGGTACACAACTGTACTCAAGGTCCCTGGCTTTCCCTTCCACCTTTCCTGTTTTCTAATCATGGCAGAACCATTCTCCCTCCCAGTCACAGGCTTGAATCCTTCAGAGCCATCCAGGACTCCCTGTATTTCTTCGTGTCCAGTACTCACACTACCGACAAATCCTTTTGCATTCTATTTCTGAATTCTCTCAGCCATTTCCTGCTTGCTTTTCCACACCACCCTCACCGCCCCTAGGAATATGATTACTTTTCGCCTGGATAATTACGATAGTCTCCTCACTGCTTGCTATGGTCTGAATGTCCCCCAAAGTCATGTGTTGAAACTTAAATCTCCACTGTGGTAGTAGTGAGAGATGGGGTCTTCTGGAAATCAAGTCATGACAGTTCCACCCCGTGCCCCCGAATGGACTACTGCCTTCTAAAAGGGCTAGAGGAAACCAGCACAGGCCCCTTTATGTGCATCTGCCATGTGAGAACAGTTTTTGCTGCCTCTGGAGGATGCAGCCACAAGGCGCCTTTTTTTTTTTTTTTTTTTTTTGAGACGGAGTCTTGCTCTGTCGCCCAGGCTGGAGTGCAGTGGCGCAATCTCGGCTCACTGCAAGCTCCGCCTCCCGGGTTGACGCCATTCTCCTGCCTCAGCCTCCCGAGTAGCTGGGACTACAGGCGCCCGCCACCACGCCCGGCTAATTTTTTGTAGTTTTAGTAGAGACGGGGTTTCACCGTGTTAGCCAGGATGGTCTCCATCTCCTGACTTCGTGATCCGCCCGCCTCGGCTTCCCAAAGTGCTGGGATTACAGGCGTGAGCCACTGCACCCGGCTTGATCCTGGGCTTCTCAGCCTCCAGAATTGTAGTATTTCTATTGTTTGTTTATAAATTACCCAGTCTCTGGTATCATGATAACAGCACAAACCGACTGAGACAATGGTCTCCCTGCTGGTTTTTATTTTACGTTTGGTTCCTGAAATCTTAGTTCCTGACACACAAGAATGGCTCCCTCTTTGTTTCAGTGGGTCTTCATTTTCTACCGAATTAATTCCAACTCCTTTGCCAGATGCTGAAGGCCCTCTGTGGTCTGGGCCCACCCCGTATTTCTAGCCATGGAACTCACAGCTCCAGCTGTCTACACCACACCTCTCTCTCAGGCTAAATAGCTTGGGGTATTCCCACAAAAGACCATGCATACCCATTCTGACACTTTTGTTTTCTATTCCTGCTATCTTGGAAGCCCATCTCTGCTCATCTACGTTATTTGAACTCTTTAGAGCCCAGCTCAAATGCCCTCTCCTGTATGACTCTCCTCTCCCAAGGCAGGCATTATTAATCTGATGGGACAAGGAGACTGAGGCTGGGAGAAAGGAACCAATCTCTTCAAGACCCAATGGCCAGTAAGCACCAGTGCTGAAATCCAAGTCCTGGGCTTCATAACACCAGCCTTCCCATGTTCAGCCCCTATCTATTTCAGCCTCTCGTATTATCACAAAAGTAGCTGTAGAAATTAGGCATTATTAAGCATGTCTGTTCCAATATCTTTAGCAGTCTCTTCCACCCTTGTGGATTTGTAAGCTGACTTAATCACCGTTAGTCCTATGGAATGGTTATTGCTTTTGGTCATCAAATAAGCATTTCTCAGGCAGGGGCAGCTGGAAAGGGCCCTGTGCCCATCTTAGCCCTTGGCAGTAAAAAGGCAGAGGAGCAAAAGATCACAGTGAGAAATCTTACACTTGTACTTCACAGAACAGTCAGGGGAGGTTGAGGTACGCTGTAGTACCCTTTTCTCTTTTCTCTGTTACACTGTTGGTAGAAAAGTTCCTCCAAATGGCCACCAGCATGCTGAGCCCCATGGTGGTTAATTATATTCATTTTCAGAAAATGTAAGTGAAAAAGTGACAGATTCAAGAAAAGGTACATTTTTAGCAGAGTGAAACACACTTAGCCTTCGTTTTTTTTTTTTGGTCGTTGTTCAAAATAGGAAGAAATCCACATTCCTATCTTAATTCAACACAGAAAATTTAGAAATAACCACCCCTGGCTATGTCATTCAGAACAACGAACCTCTGCCTCCTGGGTTCAAGCGATTCTCCTGCCTCAGTCCCGAGTACTGTGATTACAGGCACACACTACCATGACCGGATAGTTTTTATGTTTTTAGTAGAGACAGAGTTTCTCCATGTTGGCCAGGCTGGTCTCAAACTCCTGACCTCAGGCGATCTGCCTGCCTTGGCCTCCCAAAGTGCTGGGATGAGGCGGGAGCCACTGCGCCTGGCCGTCAGTGTAGTTTTAAGAGAAAAAAAGAGGTAGACATGATGGATTACCATTATCAGAAGTGGAATTCAATTTCGTCATCATAAAATGTCTAAGGCAGCCAGCTACCTGTAGACATGACTAAGGGCTCAGGATTTTACCAGTGGCTTACACACTGGCACTGGGCAATTGAGCCTATGACAAAATACCCAGAGACAAATATGATTCTTTCATTGTTCATTCTGAGTGGGACTTTCTTTGACTTCCATGGTGAGACTAATCACACCGAAACCACACTTCCACTACATTAGTGGCCCTGATGGATTATCCTTTTATCTGAATTAATTTAATACTTAATTACAACACTCTGATGGCCTGCAATGGGGATTTTCAGAACTTTTAAGCATCTATATTTGCCAACCGCTATATTAAACTAAGAGACTGCTTATTTTCCTCCCAAGACTTATTTTTTCCCCTTCTAAAAGCTATTTGTTATGACCCAAAATTGTAGCGTTTATCTTTGAAGTCAAATATCTTCTATAATATCCAAGCATTTGAACCTTGTAGTTAACAGTGGAAATATTTAACTGAGTTTAGTGGTGATAATATTTAAAATATGGCTTCATCAATAACAGAGGTATTTAATTTCAAATACCAAACACCTAATGAACCCCATCACCTTGCTCTTTTACAAATGCTTCGAGGTGGCCAGGCGTGGTGGCTCACGTCTGTAATCTAGCACTTTGGGAGGCCGAGGTGGGTGGATCACGAGGTCAGGAGTTCAAGAGCAGCCTGGCTAACTTGGTGAAACCCCGTCTCTACTAAAAATACAAAAATTAGCCGTGCATGGTGGCGGACGCCTGTAATCCCACCTACTTGGGAGGCTAAGGCGGGAGAATTGCTTAAACCTGGGAGACAGAGGTTGCAGTGAGCTGAGATCATGCCACTGCACTCCAGCCTAGGCAACCGAGTAAGACTCTGTCTCCAAAAAAAAAAAAAAAAAAAATGCTTTGAGGATGTATACGAGGCATACTTAGAGTAACAGAGGGAAGAAGCCCTACCACTTAGTTATCATTGTAAACACTTTAAAGAAAACAACATCAAAAGATAATAATTTCATCTTCAAACAGCTAAATATTTTGTTTTTTCTTAGATATTCATGATCATTCATTTTGAGAAAAATAGCCTTATAAATAAAAGAACTGCTGAATAGGAAGCAGATGAATTCATCCAATATTCTTTTAATTATTAATCCACTAGCCAAATGTCTTCTAAGAATTTAACGGTCACATCTTACGATTAAAGAAAATAAAATTTATGGGCATTAAATCAATCAGTTATGTGTTACAAGTGTCAGTTATAATTACTGAACAGCTTCTTCCATCCACTGAACACAAGTGGGTTGGAGAAGAACATTTTCTTCATATAAAGGAGGTGCCACTCAGCCTTTTCCCTGTAAAGTCTGGCTGTTAAAGCTCTGATCTGAATCTATCCATCTGACAAAGGTCTAATATCCAGAATCTACAAGGAACTTAAACAAATTTACCAGAAAAAAAAGAAAAACAACCCCATCAAAAAGTGGGCAAAGGATATGAACAGACACTTCTCAAAACAAGACATGTATGTGGCCAACAAACATATGAAAAAAAAAAAAAAAGCTCATCATCACTGGTCATTAGAGAAATGCAAATCAAAACCACAATGAGATACCATCTCACACCAGTTGGGATGGTGATCATTAAAAAGTCTGGCAACAACAGATGCTGGCGAGGATGCGGAGAAATAGGCACGCTTTTACACTGTTGGTGAGAGTGTTAGTTCAACCGTTGTGGAAGACAGTGAGGAGATTCTGCAAGGATATAGAACTAGAAATACCATTTGACCCAGCAATCCCATTACTGGGAATATACCCAAAGGATTATAAATCATTCTACTGTAAAGACACATGCACACATATGTTTACTGTAGCACTATTTACAATAGCAAAGACTTGGAACCAACCAAAATGTCCATCAACGATAGACTGGATAAAGAAAATGTGGCACATATACACCATGGAATACTATGCAGCCATAAAAAAGGATGAGTTCGGGAGGTGGGAGCCAAGATGGCCGAATAGGAACAGCTCCGGTCTACAGCTCCCAGCGTGAGCGACGCAGAAGACGGGTGATTTCCGCATTTCCATCTGAGATACCGGGTTCATCTCACTAGGGAGTGCCAGACAGTGGGCGCAGGCCAGTGGGTGCGTGCACCGTGCGCGAGCCGAAGCAGGGCGAGGCATTGCCTCACCTGGGAAGCGCAAGGGGTCAGGGAGTTCCCTTTCTGAGTCAAAGAAAGGGGTGACAGACGCACCTGGAAAATCGGGTCACTCCCACCCGAATATTGCGCTTTTCAGACCGGCTTAAGAAACGGCGCACCACGAGACTATATCCCACACCTGGCTCGGAGGGTCCTACGCCCACGGAATCGCGCTGATTGCTAGCACAGCAGTCTGAGATCAAACTGCAAGGCGGCAGCGAGGCTGGGGGAGGGGAGCCCGCCATTGCCCAGGCTTGCTTAGGTAAACAAAGCAGCCGGGAAGCTCGAACTGGGTGGAGCCCACCACAGCTCAAGGAGGCCTGCTTGCCTCTGTAGGCTCCACCTCTGGGGGCAGGGCACAGACAAACAAAAAGACAGCAGTAACCTCTGCAGACTTAAATGTCCCTGTCTGACAGCTTTGAAGAGAGCAGTGGTTCTCCCAGCACGCAGCTGGAGATCTGAGAACGGCAGACTGCCTCCTCAAGTGGTCCCTGACCCCTGACCCCCGAGCAGCCTAACTGGGAGGCACCCCCAGCAGGGGCACACTGACACCTCACACTGCAGGGTATTCCAACAGACCTGCAGCTGAGGGTCCTGTCTGTTAGAAGGAAAACTAACAAACAGAAAGGACATCCACACCGAAAACCCATCTGTACATCACCATCATCAAAGACCAAAAGTAGATAAAACCACAAAGATGGGGAAAAAACAGAACAGAAAAACTGGAAACTCTAAAACGCAGAGTGCCTCTCCTCCTCCAAAGAACGCAGTTCCTCACCAGCAACGGAACAAAGCTGGATGGAGAATGATTTTGACGAGCTGAGAGAAGAAGGCTTCAGACGATCAAATTACTCTGAGCTACGGGAGGACATTCAAACCAAAGGCAAAGAAGTTGAAAACTTTGAAAAAAATTTAGAAGAATGTATAACTAGAATAACCAATACAGAGAAGTGCTTAAAGGAGCTGATGGAGCTGAAAACCAAGGCTCGAGAACTACGTGAAGAATGCAGAAGCCTCAGGAGCCGATGCGATCAACTGGAAGAAAGGGTATCAGCAATGGAAGATGAAATGAATGAAATGAAGCGAGAAGGGAAGTTTAGAGAAAAACGAATAAAAAGAAATGAGCAAAGCCTCCAAGAAATATGGGACTATGTGAAAAGACCAAATCTACGTCTGATTGGTGTACCTGAAAGTGATGCGGAGAATGGAACCAAGTTGGAAAACACTCTGCAGGATATTATCCAGGAGAACTTCCCCAATCTAGCAAGGCAGGCCAACGTTCAGATTCAGGAAATACAGAGAACGCCACAAAGATACTCCTCGAGAAGAGCAACTCCAAGACACGTAATTGTCAGATTCACCAAAGTTGAAATGAAGGAAAAAATGTTAAGGGCAGCCAGAGAGAAAGGTCGGGTTACCCTCAAAGGGAAGCCCATCAGACTAACAGCGGATCTCTCGGCAGAAACCCTACAAGCCAGAAGAGAGTGGGGGCCAATATTCAACATTCTTAAAGAAAAGAATTTTCAACCCAGAATTTCATATCCAGCCAAACTAAGCTTCATAAGTGAAGGAGAAATAAAATACTTTACAGACAAGCAAATGCTGAGAGATTTTGTCACCACCAGGCCTGCCCTAAAAGAGCTCCTGAAGGAAGCACTAAACATGCAAAGGAACAACCGGTACCAGCCGCTGCAAAATCATGCCAAAATGTAAAGACCATCAAGACTAGGAAGAAACTGCATCAACTAATGAGCAAAATCACCAGCTAACATCATAATGACAGGATCAAATTCACACATAACAGTATTAACTTTAAATGTAAATGGACTAAATTCTGCAATTAAAAGACACAGACTGGCAAGTTGGATAAAGAGTCAAGACCCATCAGTGTGCTGTATTCAGGAAACCCATCTCATGTGCAGAGACACACACAGGCTCAAAATAAAAGGATGGAGGAAGATCTACCAAGCAAATGGAAAACAAAAAAAGGCAGGGGTTGCAATCCTAGTCTCTGATAAAACAGACGTTAAACCAACAAAGATCAAAAGAGACAAAGAAGGCCATTACATAATGGTAAAGGGATCAATTCAACAAGAGGAGCTAACTATCCTAAACATATATGCACCCAATACAGGAGCACCCAGATTCATAAAGCAAGTCCTGAGTGACCTACAAAGAGACTTAGACTCCCACACATTAATAATGGGAGACTTTAACACCCCACTGTCAACATTAGACAGATCAACGAGACAGAAAGTCAACAAGGATACCCAGGAATTGAACTCAGCTCTGCACCAAGCGGACCTAATAGACATCTACAGAACTCTCCACCCCAAATCAACAGAATATACATTTTTTTCAGCACCACACCACACCTATTCCAAAATTGACCACATAGTTGGAAGTAAAACTCTCCTCAGCAAATGTAAAAGAACAGAAATTATAACAAACTATCTCTCCGACCACAGTGCAATCAAACTAGAACTCAGGATTAATAATCTCACTCAAAGCCGCTCAACTACATGGAAACTGAACAACCTGCTCCTGAATGACTACTGGGTACATAACGAAATGAAGGCAGAAATAAAGATGTTCTTTGAAACCAACGAGAACAAAGACACAACATACCAGAATCTCTGGGACGCATTCAAAGCAGTGTGTAGAGGGAAATTTATAGCACTAAATGCCCACAAGAGAAAGCAGGAAAGATCCAAAATTGACACCCTAACATCACAATTAAAAGAACTAGAAAAGCAAGAGCAAACACATTCAAAAGCTAGCAGAAGGCAAGAAATAACTAAAATCAGAGCAGAACTGAAGGAAATAGAGACACAAAAAACCCTTCAAAAAAATCAATGAATCCAGGAGCTGGTTTTTTGAAAGGATCAACAAAATTGATAGACCGCTAGCAAGACTAATAAAGAAAAAGAGGAGAATCAAATAGACACGATAAAAAATGATAAAGGGGATATCACCACCGATCCCACAGAAATACAAACTACCATCAGAGAATACTACAAAAACCTCTACACAAATAAACTAGAAAATCTAGAAGAAATGGATACATTCCTCGACACATACACTCTCCCAAGACTAAACCAGGAAGAAGTTGAATCTCTGAATAGACCAATAACAGGAGCTGAAATTGTGGCAATAATCAATAGTTTACCAACCAAAAAGAGTCCAGGACCAGATGGTTCACAGCCGAATTCTACCAGAGGTACAAGGAGGAACTGGTACCATTCCTTCTGAAACTATTCCAATCAATAGAAAAAGAGGGAATCCTCCCTAACTCATTTTATGAGGCCAGCATCATTCTGATACCAAAGCCGGGCAGAGACACAACCAAAAAAAGAGAATTTTAGACCAATATCCTTGATGAACATTGATGCAAAAATCCTCAATAAAATACTGGCAAACCGAATCCAGCAGCACATCAAAAAGCTTATCCACCATGATCAAGTGGGCTTCATCCCTGGGATGCAAGGCTTGGTTCAATATACGCAAATCAATAAAGGTAATCCAGCATATAAACAGAGCCAAAGACAAAAACCACATGATTATCTCAATAGATGCAGAAAAAGCCTTTGACAAAATTCAACAACCCTTCATGCTAAAAACTCTCAATAAATTAGGTATTGATGGGACGTATTTCAAAATAATAAGAGCTATCTATGACAAACCCACAGCCAATATCATACTGAATGGGCAAAAACTGGAAGCATTCCCTTTGAAAACTGGCACAAGACAGGGATGCCCTCTCTCACCGCTCCTATTCAACATAGTGTTGGAAGTTCTGGCCAGGGCAATCAGGCAGGAGAAGGAAATAAAAGGTATTCAATTAGGAAAAGAGGAAGTCAAATTGTCCCTGTTTGCAGACGACATGATTGTTTATCTAGAAAACCCCATTGTCTCAGCCCAAAATCTCCTTAAGCTGATACGCAACTTCAGCAAAGTCTCAGGATACAAAATCAATGTACAAAAATCACAAGCATTCTTATACACCAACAACAGACAAACAGAGAGCCAAATCATGAGTGAACTCCCATTCACAATTGCTTCAAAGAGAATAAAATACCTAGGAATCCAACTTACAAGGGATGTGAAGGACCTCTTAAAGGAGAACTACAAACCAACTGCTCAAGGAAATAAAAGAGGACACAAACAAATGGAAGAACATTCCATGCTCATGGGTAGGAAGAATCAATATCGTGAAAATGGCCATACTGCCCAAGGTAATTTACAGATTCAATGCCATCCCCATCAAGCTACCAATGACTTTCTTCACAGAATTGGAAAAAACTACTTTAAAGTTCATATGGAACCAAAAAAGAGCCCGCATCGCCAAGTCAATCCTAAGCCAAAAGAACGAAGCTGGAGGCATCACACTACCTGACTTCAAACTATACTACAAGGCTACAGTAACCGAAACAGCATGGTACTGGTACCAAAACAGAGATATAGATCAATGGAACAGAACAGAGCCCTCAGAAATAACGCCGCATACCTACAACTATCTGATCTTTGACAAACCTGAGAAAAACAAGCAATGGGGAAAGGATTCCCTATTTAATAAATGGTGCTGGGAAAACTGGCTAGCCATATGTAGAAAGCTGAAACTGGATCCCTTCCTTACACCTTATACAAAAATCAATTCAAGATGGATTAAAGATTTAAACGTTAGACCTAAAACCATAAAAACCCTAGAAGAAAACCTAGGCATTACCATTCAGGACATAGGCGTGGGCAAGGACTTCACGTCCAAAACACCAAAAGCAATGGCAACAAAAGCCAAAATGGACAAATGGGATCTAATTAAACTAAAGAGCTTCTGCACAGCAAAAGAAACTACCATCAGAGTGAACAGGCAACCTACAACATGGGAGAAAATTTTCGCAACCTACTCATCTGACAAAGGGCTAATATCCAGAATCTACAATGAACTCAAACAAATTTACAAGAAAAAAACAAACAACCCCATCAAAAAGTGGGCAAAGGACATGAACAGACACTTCTCAAAAGAAGACATTTATGCAGCCAAAAAACACATGAAAAAATGCTCACCATCACTGGCCATCAGAGAAATGCAAATCAAAACCACTATGAGATATCATCTCACACCAGTTAGAATGGCGATCATTAAAAAGTCAGGAAACAACAGGTGCTGGAGAGGATGTGGAGAAATAGGAACACTTTTACACTGTTGGTGGGACTGTAAACTAGTTCAACCATTGTGGAAGTCAGTGTCGCAATTCCTCAGGGATCTAGAACTAGAAATACCATTTGACCCAGCCATCCCATTACTGGGTATATACCCAAAGGACTATAAATCATGCTGCTATAAAGACACATGCACACGTATGTTTATTGCGGCATTATTCACAATAGCAAAGACTTGGAACCAACCCAAATGTCCAACAATGATAGACTGGATTAAGAAAATGTGGCACATATACACCATGGAATACTATGCAGCCATAAAAAATGATGAGTTCATGTCCTTTGTAGGGACATGGATGAAACTGGAAACCATCATTCTCAGTAAACTATCGCAAGAACAAAAAACCAAACACCGCATATTCTCACTCATAGGTGGGAATTGAACAATGGAGATCACATGGACACAGGAAGGGGAATATCACACTCTGGGGACTGTGGTGGGGTGGGGGGAGGGGGGAGGGATAGCATTGGGAGATATACCTAATGCTAGATGACGAGTTAGTGGGTGCAGCGCCAGCATGGCACATGTATACATATGTAACTAAGCTGCACAATGTCACATGTACCCTAAAACTTAAAGTATAATAAAAAAAAAAAAAGATTTGAATTTGCAAATACAAAAAAAAAAAAAAAAGGAAAAAAAAAAAGGTTGAGTTCATGTCCTTTGCAGGGCCATGGATGAAGCTGGAGGCCATCATCCTCAGCAAACTAACATAGGACCAGAAACCCAAACACTCATGTTCTCACTCATAAGTGGGAGCTGAACAATGAGAACACATGGACACAGGGAGGGGGACATCATACACCAGGGCCTGTCCAGGGGTGGGGTGAAAGGGGAGGGAGAGCATTAGGACAAATACCTAATGCATGCGGAGTTAAAACCTAGATGACGGGTTGATGGGTGCAGCAAACCACCAAGGCACATGTATACCTATGTAACAAACCTGCATGCTCAGCACATGTATCCCAGAACTTAAAGTAAACAAAGAAAAAAAAAAAAAGCTCTGATTTGGACACCAGTGAGAATATGAAGTCCCTCGGCTTGCTGGATTTTCTTCTGTCTAGGATCGAACCTCCACTGCTATTACTATTTTCTTTCCTTTTTGATTCTTTTGGATCCCATGGAAAAATATTTATCTGCAACTTCTCCACAAAATGGAAATTTGTTTTTAATCTTATCTAACAGGAGATTCGCATATGACCAATTCTTATCTTTTAAATAAAAATTTACTTATGTGCCTGCCTGAAAGGACTGAAGATCATACCTCTACGCTCTCTTCCATGTCCTTTCTTCTCTCTCCCCTGACACAGCTGCATTGGAAGTAGCTGTAAATGGGATGGACTAATTTTCCCTACCCAGGAGGCCCACTGTAAATCAAGCGGTCACCCACTTCCAGCTAGGCATTTTGCCACACCAGGGCTATGAGAAACAGATTTAATTTTCCAATCAGCAGTTCTGTGCATGTCTGATTCTTGGCTCAACATACAACTGCTATGCTGTTTATTATACTTCATCTCTCCATGGCCTCTGAAACTCCCCAAGGCTCGGGTTCGTCATCCGCAAAATCGTGGGAGGCTGGTTCCATGGTTCTTGCAGTCCCTTCGCTTTGAATCCTTTTGTCTGTACTCTTGCTACATGGGTGTTCTCTGGGAGTTTGTTAGACATGCAGAACCTCAGGTCCCACCCAGATCCAGGGAATCAGAATCTGCATGTTAATGTGATCCCCAGGTGACTCTCATGCATGTTACCATCTGAGAAGACCTACCCTCCACCACACTGACCACAGCCACGAGCTGTACCAAGACACCACCACACAACAGCCTCGGTTATCCCTTCATGAAAGAAAAACAAACATAATGGCTGGGCGTGGTGGCTCACGCCTGTAACCCCAGCACTTTGGGAGGCCGAGGTGGGTGGTTCACTTGAGGTCAGGAGTTCAAGACCAGCCTGGCCAACATGGTGAAACCCGTCTCTACTAAAAAAATACAAAAATTAGCCAGGCACGGTGGTGTGTGCCTGTAATCCCCATTATTCAGGAGGCTGAGGCAGGAGAATTGCTTGAACCCGGGAGGTGGAGGCTGCAGTGAGCCGAGATTGTGCCAACTGCACGCCATCCTGGGCAACAGAGCAAGGCTCTGTCTCACAAGCCAAAACCAAAAACAAACAACAAACAAAAAAACAATTCTCAAAAACAAAGCAAACAAAGCAAGGCATGAGATGAGTGTGAGCCAAGAAACAATACTGCCAGGGGAATATTGCCAAAACACCAGAGTCATGCCTTGAAGTTTCTTATCATCAGGGTCACATTTCTGAACCAGAAAGCCACAGGAAAGGAAAGACTGGTCACAGACTTCCTTCTTCCCTGGACCATTTGTTACGGGAAGTTCTCAGGAAACAGGTCAGTAAGTGTAGAGGGCATCACAGGACAAACTTCATTGCTGGGTTTCCCAGAAAAGAGCAGCTCTCCCCTACTGAAGACACTTTTAGCAGACGGGCCTTCACTAGTGAGTAAATATACTAAAGAAGCATGGACTTACTTGTAGGTCGGTGGAGCAGCTGATTTGGGAGAGAACCCATGAGATCTTTAAGGACGGTAGGGATGTTCTGATTAGCATATATGCTACAGCCATCTGCGATGCCAAAGCCATACTGTGATGGGACTATGCCAGTTATGACACCTTCATAACCATGAGAACTGCACTCATGGCCTTTTCATACCCATCTGCTGATTTGATAACCACAATAATCTTCCTTAGTGGGATCACTACTCCCACTGACAGTTGAACAAACTGACATCCATCCTGAGAAGTATACTTAAAACTAGCAAGTGGCAGAACTGAAATCTGAACCCAAGTATCCCAATTCCTAATGCAACCTTCTCACTGTTCCATGAAAAGTTCCATTTTATAGAGGACATGGCTATATTACTTGGATTAGAAACTAATATTAAAGAAGCATATCACGCCTGTAATCCCAGCACTTTGGAATCATGAGGTCAGGAGATCGAGAGCATCCTGGCTAACATGGTGAAACCCCATCTTTACTGAAAATACAAAAAAAATTAGCCAGATGTGGTGGTGGCACTGTAGTCCCAGCTACTCGGGAGGCTGAGGCAGGAGAATGGTGTGAACCCCGGAGGCGGAGCTTGCAGTGAGCCGAGATCGCGCCACTGCACTCCAGTCTGGGCAACAGAGTGAGACTCCGTCTCAAAAAAAAAAAAAAAAAAAAAAAAAAGGAAGCATAAACCCATCTATCATCACAAGCACCCTCTTTTTCATACATTTCAAATTTTTGATAGGTTTGAAAAAGAATGAATTCGACGGTATCTTTTAGAAGCCAGGATAAAAGAGATTAAAGCAGTAGTCCAAGGTCACGGAGATTCCTGATGGTGGAGCAGGGCTGAAAAGCTCCCTCTTCTAGCTAAGTGAGGCCTGCCTGTCACTTTGCTTGGACAGCCCATTCTCAATAGCACTTTCCTCCCAGAACACTCTCCCAAGTCTTTAGGTTTCCCTTTCTCAGGATGAATACGATGGCTACGTGAATGGCCAGAAGTTTCACCAACTCTAAGTCAAATTGTAGTGTAGCGACCTAGGCACTTCAATGGTCAAGAGAGATACAGCCCTGTATGACGCGGCCACATTTTCCAACTTGGGGAAGAATTTATACACATATTATCACAAAGTAAATGCTGTACCACAAATCCAGTTTTTATCTTGACCTCCAGAAAATTAGGTCAGTTATTTTTAGCTACACTATCAATCTTGAAAATCTCCCAGAGTTAAAACTCAGACTACATGTCTAAATCGGGGTTTATTTTTGTTTAAAAATAACAGTTTCCTGGCCACACATGTTTAAATGAAGCATGCTTTGTCCCCTTATGGTAACAAACTGCCCTGGAAGGGACACAAACAAAGCTTCACATCATTTGTGAAAATATTCCTTATTGCTAGGGACATTTTCCTGAAATATCACTTGTCTGGCTTAGACTGAGGGTACAGAAGAAGTCCCTTTTCCTTTAAAACACATTTCCTTTTGGCTTTCAAACATCATAGATCAAAGAACTTAGACCTACCAGTGGCATCAGTCAGTAATCAAGATAAAGACCAGCCAGGCTCCCTGGCATCTAAAAGCAGATTGTAGGGCTCCTTTTTCCCGTTTACCTGTAGAACTTGTGCCAATGTGCTGATCTGATTTCCAACTACATTAGGGAGTCTTGGTCCTGCCTGGGTTGTCAGGAACTTAAAGTAGAGACTAAAAAACAACTTTATGGCCAGGCGCGGTGGCTCACGCCTGTAATCCCAGCATTTTGGGAGGCTGAGGTGGGCGGTTCACGAGGTCAGGAGATCGACACCATCCTGGCTAACGAGGTGAAATCGCGTCTCTACTAAAAATACAAAAATTAGCCGGGCATGGTGCAGGCGCCTGTAGTCCCAGCTACTCAGGAGGCTGAGGCAGGAGAATGGTGTGAACCTGGGAGGCGGAGCTTGCAGCGAGCCAAGATTGTGCCACTGCACTCCAGCCTGGGCGACAGAGCGAGACTCCATCTCAAAACAAACAAACAAACAAACAAACAAACAAAAAAACCAAGTTTATATACTACAGAAATAATCTCTGAAAGATGCTGTATTAAGATTACAACACACACACACAAACACACACACACATATCTTCTTGTTTTGAGGAAACGTACAGTGAAGTATTTAGGTGTAAAGGGCCATTATGTCTGCAACTTCCTTTAAAAATTTTTAAATATATTTTTAGAACTTTTCTAAGTCTCCAATTATACTAAAACAAAAAGTTTAGTACTGTAGGCATTGTCAGCTTTAATTTATACATATTTGGATGTCTTCCTCTGGTTCGATTTATAGTGAAATTACATCATATGCCCATTAATGTGATACAAACTGCATGTCTTCTACAAACAAAAATAAAAATAGAAGTGAATGTAATTTTGATGCCTTTTTTTTTTTTTTAACTGGAGACAGAGTCTTGCTCTGTCACCAGGTTGGACTGCAGAGGCGTAATCTCGGCTCATGGCAACCTCGGCCTCCTGAGTAGCTGGGATTACAGGCGCGCATCACTACGCCCGGCTAGTTTTTGTATTTTTAGTAGAGACAGGGTTTCACCATGTTGGCCGGGATGGTCTCGATCTTCTAACCTTGTGATCCACCCGCCTCGGCCTCCCAAAGTGCTGGGATTACAGGCATGAGCCACTGCACCCGGCCTGATCCCTCATATCTTTTAAACATAAGTCAATTATTTCATATGGTCTTTAAGCCAAGAAACAGCTATCTCTTCACTCTTCACATGCTGGAGGAAAAACTGGCTGCCTGGCTGGTTGAGAGATGTGTACTTTGATGGCTGACCTGAAGACATTTCAAGGTGATTGTTACGTGAAATTCTCTCTTCAAATCTGACTTGAAGAGTCTAACCTCTGCAGCATATGTTATGACTTCACTGTGAGTCTTCTTTTATTAATAAAATATAATGTTTTTACTAATTATAAGAGTAACATAAATTTCATGCCAAAAATGTAGAAAAAAGGAATGAGAATTCATTTACAATTCTAACAGCAGAAATAATCAAGAGTAGTGGTTTTTTTTTAATGGTTTTATTCTTACAGCATTATTTTCGTCTCTTTATCACTTTACTATGCAATTTTTATGACTATGCTTAAGGAGAGTAAATTTTTCGAAGTTATTGAGGCAATGGAGAGTCTTTGGAATGAGGATAATTAGGCCTGAGGACACAGAGGAATCATGAGGAAGAATTCTCCAGTTTCATTCCTTTTTCTGGGTACAGTTTGTTTCTCCTTCTAAGTAAGTTCCTAGATATAGAATGAATTGGAAAAAATGAAACGTGAGGTTTGCTACGTCTATAACAGTATCACATTTCATTTTTTAAAACTGCCAATGCTTTCAGTGAGGACCAGAAAGTACAGTGAGAAAAAAAAATTCCTCAAATATTAGTTTTCATGCTCTTGCACGCATTTTTATAAAGGCAAAAGTCATTCTGGTGCCTGTATACAATCTAAAGGCATAATCTCCTGGAGCCTTCAGTGCTGGTTTTGGGGTTTTCTGGAGATCAATCCACAGTGTCCCATTTTTTCTGCTGGAGCTCTGAACCCACTAAGAGAGAGCAAGAAGAGATGTAAACCTCTCCTTTGCTTCTGATAAAGCCAAGCCCTTACTAGTCCACATGATGCTTTCTCTGGGGAGTGAGTCACATACAGGAGACATGGCTTGTCCAGCTGCGTGCTGGACTGAATTTCAGCTCCAACCTGAACCTTCCAACAGGACAAGGGAGGGAGGAGAATGGGCCGTAGCAAGACTTGCCCACAGCATTGCCATAACAGCTGTGCAGGCTGTGGGTACAACTCTAAGAGCAGCACTCATTTTGTAGTTTCAGTGAGTCGTGTCCCTAAAGCCGTGTCCTGTGTGACCAGCCCCGTCTCTCAAGCTCATGAGAGAAGTCTATCTGACCGGGATAAGAAGGATCCTGGGGCGGGCCCAAGCAAATGAATGAATTGGGAAACAGTGCCCCTCCCGGCAGCCAGCAAAAACTCCGCCATGCTGTGAAGAAAGTGCATTCTAATTGATTCATGTTGATACATGCTGAATTGATGGAATTTTATACTTCAAAGGATGCAAAGAATTGGTTAGCAAGTCTGATGAGCTCATGGTAGAAAGGATGATTTTCAACATCCATACATAGTGAATTTCATTCAAAGAGCCTAAAAAGACTTATGCAGATAATTATAAGGGGATCAGGCAAGTGTGTAATAGCACAAATTATATATATATATATATGTAAAATC
Source organism: Homo sapiens (assembly GCF_000001405.40). Classification (NCBI taxonomy): domain Eukaryota; kingdom Metazoa; phylum Chordata; class Mammalia; order Primates; family Hominidae; genus Homo; species Homo sapiens. The sequence continues at coordinate 25,930,612 of NC_000021.9, forward strand.
ACAACACAGGATTGGGTCCTTTTCCCACAGACAGCACATCATCCTTGTATATATGATAGCTCATTTGAAATGTTTATTTATGCAGATTTTAAAAAGCACACAAACCCTGTAAGCACTTCTGCACAGTGGCCTACTCGTGTTTTCTTTAACACAAAACTTGCTTTCTGGTGAACAATTCTAGATATAGCAATGGTTCTTTCTCCTCTGCTTTAGCTTATTCACAAGCTTCTTTAACTTCTTTAACAACGTGTGGGGAAACCAAGCCTGGCAACAGAAAGCACTTCACATGGGGGGCTTGGAAATGAATGGAAAGCGTCTGTCTTCAGGAGAGCATTCACGATGCACAGGAGTGAGAGAAGCTGAAAAGAGTCACTTTAAAAGAAATAATCTGCAACCAAGAAAATCAAACCACTTTATCATAAACTAGTGAGCCCCTCCCTCCCTGCCTGCCTTCCTTTTTCCAGGGGAGTGCTAGAAATAACTTCATCAATTTCTTTTCACTTGAAGGGCTCATGGTTCAGAAGAAAAGATGGGCATAAAAATAATTACTATTACAAGTGTTATGGTAGGGATACCGACAGAATGACAAAGAAACAAGCCTGGGCTTTAGGGATGTGACTAGTGATATTACAGTGGGGCCCCAGGGAAAGAGATCATTGTCCTAGCAGATACAAGTGCATGTACCGAGGCACAGAGGACAAGCTGCCCAGGATCTGTGACTCTTCTGGCTGCTGTGGTACAAGGGAAGTGAAAAGGGAAGCAGCTTAGCCAAGAGGCTTTCAGTTTGTGGGATACAGAGGGCAGAGGAATACACTGACCTATACCATGAGTATGCAATTAGCAAAATCCCAGCCTATGGGAATTCTACGGGTCAAGTGACCTGCGCTTCATGAACAGGTAAACTGTAAAAAAAGGATGGAGGAGAAGCCTGGAGATTATAAAAGACTAACCAGACAAGTCAGCAGTAAAAAATGGCCAAAAGCATAGCCGATAAGGATGCACACAAGAGTGATACAGCCAGAAAGATATTTCAGGAACTGGCCCAAGGAAAAACAGTGGGCATTTTGGTGGCGGTATTTGGGATAGGGCGAGATGCTATCGGGGTGGAGGATAAACTTCTAATTCTTGACCTGAGTTTAATCTACGAAAAGAGAAAATATGGGGGAGAAAGGTTCTGTTTACACATGTTGAGTTGCAATCTTTCAGAATATTGGGTGGAGCCAATGGAAACATGGACCCAGAGAGCTCACTTCTATGCTGAAACAGCCCACAGGGAAGCATCAGAATGAAAATGGAAACGTTCCCAATACTAGCAGAACTCCACAGGCGCTTTGAAAAAAACATCCACATTAGATTCCCCAAAAGGGATTTATCTGGTAATAAATTCTGCTAGACAATGAACAGTTCCACCCATGATAAAATAACATGTTGTTGCTGCAAATTCTTTGTATTGTCTAATTGCAGTGCTTAACGTAATAAAATCAGGCTGGTGTTATTGTTAAGAACTAGAGAGTGAAGCATTTTTTATCCAAATAAAGTGCAATGGGTTTTAAATCAAATCATTTTAGAATAAGAATCCTATGAGATAATAATAAAATGCAACTTCATCTTTTCCTGCCGAGAACAAAGAAGAAAATAGTGTAGGAGATGAAAAGTAAAGTAGACCCAACCTTTTTGCTAATTTGTTTTTAGATACGTACTCCATGCAGACAATGGTGAAGTGAAGTGAAGTGAAGGGGTGTCATCTTATTCACCTAGAGAACCACAAATCTTGGTGCTGGAAAGTACGATCCATTCGACATGATGGACTATTTCCCACCCGGCCACTCACTCGAGAATGGATAACCTGTTTTCCCGCCTGGGGTAACTGCTTTCCATGGATGTACAGCTTCAGGCCTCATACGAGAGGATCTCACAACAATCTCTTCAAACTTTTTCTAATCCCCACACTTTCCAGTCTTGGCACAAGACCTCATCCAGGCTTCTGAGTCTTTGTTGAAAATTTACACAAAATTCTAGAAATGTATTTTCTTTAAGATAGTTACTTTAAAAATGTTATTTTCATCTCAGCACAGTTAGCCTTTCCTTATCTGTTCTTAAAATGTTTCAACTTGAAACTAAAAAAGAAAAAAAAAAACACATTTCATCTCAAATTATGATATACTAAATAATTATTGACTTGGCCCCAAACATTTCTACTCTTTTCTTCTTACACAATCAGATTTAAAAATGTAACTACCTTTTCTAAACATACAATATTAAAGCATACTCAACTTCAGTAACAGGTAATGAATGTACCTCAAAAGTCAGAGCCTCTACGTTAAGTACCATAGTGCTCCAACATCGTTTTTTACATTTTTAAAATTTTATTTTTTATTGATACATAATAGATGTGCATATTTTCAGATTATATGAGAAAACTTAATATATTCATATAATTTGGAAAGATCAAATCAGTATAATGGGATATCCATCACTTAAATGTTTTTCTTTTCTTTTTGCTTTGAGGAAGGGTCTCTCTCTGTCACTCAGGCTGGAGTGCAGTGATGTGATCATAGCTCACTTGAACCTTGAACTGCTGGGCTCAAGTGATCTTCTCACCTCAGCCTCCAGAGCAGCTGGGTCTACAGGCATGCACCATCACACCTGGCTAATTTTTAAATATTTGTTTTGTAGAGATGGGGTCTCACTATGATGCCCTGGCTAGTCTTGAATTGCTGGGGTCAAGTGATTTTCCCACCTCGGCCTTCCCAAGTGCTGGGACTATAGGTGTAAGCCATCGTGCCCAGCCTGTCTTCTTTACGCTAGAAACTTTCAAATTAGGTTCTCCTAGCTATTTTTAAATATACAGTAGATTACTGTAAATTAGTCACCTTGCTGATAATTAAATACTAGGTCTTGCTTCTTCTATCAAACTGTGTATTTGTATCCATTAATGAACCTCCCTTTGTAAGTATGATGTAAGCAATCCTTACTTGGCTACACTATAAGCTTCAACAACAAATTAAAAAATGATTCACATTATAGAGCATTTATACATGCCTTTTCATCTTCCAAGTGTGGTAAACATTAATTAACCCTGGCTAATTAAAACAGCCACAGTTGACACATTTACTCATTAATCAGCCTCAAGCAAATGCAAAGCATTAAACTCTTTCACGTTTTGGTACCAATTAAATGTTATTATTTTTTTTTTAATGAAGAGGTCATAAATTTAAGACATGTAGTTCTTAGATTTAAATTTGATAGTGGTTGAAAAAATTTGACAATAGTTCACATTCTTAAAAGTCAAGGAAAATAAAAACATAACCGCATTATGGGTTGAATTTTCCCCCAAAATATATGTTGAAGTCCTAATGCCTACACCTAAGAATACAGCCTTACTTGGAAACAGGGTCTTTGCAGATATAAGATGAGGTCACAATGGAGAAGGGTGGGCCCTTAATCATATTAGAGAAGACACAGAAACAGAGACATGGGGAGTAACACCATGTGAAGACAGAGGTGGAGATTGGAGGGGTGCATGTACCAACCAAAGGAATATCAAGGGCTGGCAGCAGCACTAGAGCAAGCGAAAGGCATGAAACAGATTCTCCCCTAGAGCTGTAAGAGGCAGTGTGGCCCTGGCAACACCTTGCTTTAGGACTTCTAACCTCTAGAATAATGAGATAATGAGAGTATATTTCTGTTGGTTTCGGCCATGCGGTTTGTGGTAACTGGTTCCAGCAGCCCTAGGAATCTAATACACTGCCCATGTAAGTGAATATTAGCTATTTGCTGATAAGACAAGAATTTCTGGTTATAATAAATATACTGGAATAGAATGTGGTTTCTTTTTTTTTGAGATGGAGTCTCGCTCCAGTCACCAGGCTGGAATGCAGTAGCGTGATCTCGGCTCACTGTAACCTCTTCCTCCCAGGTTCAAGCAATTCTCCTGCCTCAGCCTCCCGAGTAGCTGAGACTACAGGCGCCCGCAACCATCCCCGACTAATTTTTGTATTTTTAGTTGAGACGGGGTTTCACCATATTGGCCAGGCTGGTCTTGAACTCCTGACCTTGTGATCCATCTGCCTCGGTCTCCCAAAGTGTTGGGATTACAGGCGTGAGCCACAACACCCGGCCGAATGTGGTTTCTTAGTGAGTCCTTTACTCAAGGCTGGAATTAAACAAAGGAGATGAATCACGAGCTCTATGATAATAGTCTAATAGTCTAATCTAGCCCTCTTAAGTGCAGAGATGTTTTCCCTCTGAACACCCGTGTGTTTCAGCTCTGTTCCTCTTCCAATGCCCTTCCACAGGGAACAAATCCTTTCTTGACCACCAATGGCTGCATGACTTATCCTGAGAAGATCATGGGGATTTTGGATGCCAGGTCAACCCTTACACTCAGCAAGGAAGTGGAAGGGCCTCAGTTTCAAACACTTTGTAAACACAGAGGTTAGGTCATTTCCTCTCCAATAAGCCAGAAGCTGAGCTGTCCCTGGCAGCAAACTGTGTGTCAAATGCCTGGCGGGTTTCAGGTTTTACTAACTCCAGAGTGACGAAACATCACCACCTCTAATGCCAGAAAGAAGTCAGCTGTTGTACCTGTGTCACAACTAAATTTACTGAAGTCAGGGCAGCTGAAGTAATCTATAAAACTTAGCATGTCAATTTCAATTTAGCGTTCACATTCAACAAATTGTGTATTTAAAAAAAAATCTCCAGTAGTCTAAAAGTTTTCATTTTATTCTTGTGTAAAATCTGGAAGACTGGAATAGAATGTTTTATGGTATGAGTGTTTAGTAGCAACATTAGGTTAACTGTGACCTTTTGGCTCAAGACATGAGAAAATATAGCTAACAATGCTTGGTTATGGGTTTGTCACACTATACTTTGTTATACTATCCAGCAGTATCCACCTGCTTTAACAGTGTGGATACACTAAAAACTAATTTAAAAAAATCTGGGCTGGGCGCGGTGGCTCACACCTGTAATCCCAACACTTTGCGAGGCCGAGGCGAGTGGATTACAAGGTCAGGAATTCGAGACCAGCCCGATCAACATACTGAAACCCCGTCTCTACTAAAAATACAAAAATTAGCTGGGTGTGGTGGTGCGCGCCTATAATCCCAGCTACTCAGGAGGCTGAGGCAGGAGAATCATTTGAAACCGGGAGGCGGAGGCTGTAGTGAGCCGAGATCGTGCCACTGCATTCCAGCCTGGGCAACAGAGTGAGACTCTGTCTCAAAAAAAAAAAAAAAAAAAAAACCTGTCAAATCCCTCCATACAAGTGTATGCACTTCACATACCAAGGAGGTCTAGGATTTGAAGTTCATCAAGGCCGAGTTTAGGCTGCCAGACCACAACCTCGTTTTAATGCCTTAGGTGCAGAAACAGGAGAAATAATACCTTCCATGCCTCCCCTGACTAGCTTTAGGATAAAGAAGCTGTGCACTAAATAGACAGTAGCTGAGGAACGATGAAGAGGATCTACCCAAAGTATGAATAAGCCAACTGCTATGGATCGAACTGTGTGCCCCTGAAAATTCATGTATCAAAGCCCTAACCCTCAAGGGACCTTTGGAGATCAGACCTTTAAAGAGATAATTAAGGTTAAATGAGGTCATGGGGGTGTGACTCTGATCCAATAGGACAGGTGTCCTTATAAGAAAAGGAGGAGGCCGGGTGCGGGGCTCACGCCTGTAATCCCAGAACTTTGGGAGGGCAAGGCAGGTGGATCACCTGAGGTCGAGAGTTCGAGACCAGCCTGACCAACATGGAGAAACCCTGTCTCTACTAAAAATACAAAATTAGCCAGGCATGCCTGTAATCTCAGCTACTCGGGAGGCTGAGGCACGAGAATCGCTTGAACCCAGGAGGTGGAGGTTGCAGTGAGCCAAGATCGTGCCATTGCACTCCAGCCTGGGCAACAAGAGCGAAACTCTGTCTCAACAAAACAAAAGAAGAAGAGGAAGAGACACCTCTCTTTCTCTCTGAGAAAGACCATGTGAGGACATGATGCGTAGGTGGCCATTTGTAAATCAAGGAAGAGAGGCCTCCTCAGAAACCGACCTGCTGGTACCTTGATCTTGGACTTCCAGCCTCCAGAAGCATGAGAAAAATAATTTCTGTTGTTGAAGGATTCAGTCTGTGGTATTTTGGTATTTTGTTATGGCAGCCCTAGCAGACTAATGCATTTATCTAGTCACACTCAGACAAAAGAAAGAGCACAGGTCAGAATAGCTTTTTCTAGAGGATTCTGTTTTCTTTCTTTCTTCGGCTTCTTTTTCTTTTTTTCCTGAAGGCAATAGCTGAATCTGAGAGTAACAAGGGGCTCACCAGGGATGTGCAAGGAATTTCTTGTACTGCCCCTTTCATGGAAATGACAAGGAAGTGATTTATTTCAGATGTGACTCAGTTCAGGATTTGAAAGCACATGTGACAAATGGTCAAGTAAAGAAAAAGCTTTTCTTTTTCTTTACTTGACCATTTGCCACGCAAGTTCCCAAGTTCTTCCTCCCTATCTTGCTTCATTACAGGCAGTGGGAAAAATCCAAACAGCTTCCCCCTGTGTCTGGGACATCTCCAGCTCTGTGGTGTATTTACTTTGAAGGAACAAAAAAGGGGATAGTATATGACTTCCATCCCAAGTCACTATAGGATATACTTTAAGAAACAAGGGAGTTTAAATTGCTCTGCTGTATAACCTGCAAAATTCATCTCCTACTGCAGAATAGAGTGAGTTGCTTCTCAGGATTCGCACCTGGAGTTGGTATTCAGCACATGTTTTCTTTGTAACATTTCTGTCAATTCTCTAAAAAGACCACACTTTTTGAGCTGGCACTAGGCTCTCTGACAATCTTCCAAGACGAAGCTTTTACAGTCCATCATTTACAATGCTGACAACTCCAGGCACATTTTGTCAATTTTCCCTTTCATCTCTTATTAAAATAAAATAATATCACTTTGGATTTGAAGAGAGCCTAAATGGATAATTCTTTAAGCAGAATGTCAGTATCAATGATAGAAAGGGAAGAATCTAAGAGGGAGGTAAATGTTCTATAAGTAGAGAAGTAGGTTCACAATTTCTGAAACAGCAAATCAAACAGCAAATGGGGGAAAGTTATGAAAGGCAGAATTTTGTGACTCAAGCCCATCTTATGCTTATACAGTTTTTTGTTTTTGTTTGTTTTGAGATAAGGTCGTCCCTCTGTCACCCAGCCTGGAGTGTAGTGGTGCCGCCAGGCCTCACTGCAACCTCCAACTCCTGGGCTCAAGTGATCCTCCAACCACAGCCTCCTGACTAGCTGGGATTACAGGTGTGTACCCCTAAACCCAGCTTATTATTTTTTTGACTTTTTGTAGAAACAGGGTCTCCCCATGTTGCCCAGGCTGGTCTTAAACTCCTGGGCTCAAATGATCCTCCTGCCTCAGCCTCCCATAGGGCTAGGATTACAGGTGTGAGCCACCATGCCTGGCCTTTTATACTGTTTATTCCCTTTAGATACAGTTAATGGACATTAATAAGCAGTTTATGCCAATCCCTTTTCATAGCTAATAAGAAGTCTTATCTTGGATAAATAAAACCTAGCCACTAATGCTGCCACACCCAAATAAACTCTCTATGCATCTGAACTTCTTGAGGTTAATAATGCTTCATTGTAATATTTTATAAAATCACCACTTTGGAAGTGAACACCACTAGAAATTCACATGGCCAGTTTATAGATGGGGACTGGGGGAAGCAGGGAGGATCTCTGCAATCCAGTAGTTAGGCTCTGCCAGAATGTATTTAGAGTTGTCTCTAAATACATTCTGAGTCTCTGCTTCATTTTTTTTTTCAATGAAAATGACAATGTCTGTCATCCCATGTTCAAGACAAATATAACAAGTTTCTAAGAATCCTTATATTTTTGTTATTGCATATAAGCATGAGTTTTAAAAACCTCTGAATGTTTAAAGGATCACCTGGGGGAATAAGAAAAATGCAGATCTCTGTAGGTCTGAGGTAGAGCCCAAGAATCTGTATTTTTAACTAGAATTCCTCTAAATTACTGTGCTTCACTTGGCCCCAATTACACATTAGGAGACAATGATTTCAGGATGACAATCAGCCTTTTCCATCCAAGGACTTAAAGCAGCTAAACCGAAGACACCGACAAATACCAGATACTTTTCTCAGTCTACTGGCTGATGGCACAAAAGTGCAGAAGTCACGTAGGGCAGTATGGAAAGCTCGAGCTAGGACTGGAGTCAGCGAGAGACGCTAGCTTCCCCTGTTCGTGGATTCCGAAGCCTCAAGCCCACATTAACAAGGCCTTAGACGACAGTAAACACCCAGACTCAGGCTCCTACAGAGGGCCCCCAGTTCTGCTCTAATATACCTATTTTTCTTTAAATAAAAAACATCTGATTTTTGCACCCCAGGTATTTAAAGACACACTTTGATTTCTGAAAGGCTTTTGACCACACATGAGGAACTCCTTGGGCCTTGACCATTTTTAGCACTTTCACAGTTTCTGATTTTGATCAAGCCACTTAATCACCCAGGATTCTGAATCTGAAAACCAGGAGGGTTTAATTCCACTTTCATGTTCCCTTGAGGAGCTGTTGGCAGCAGGATGAAGGCAGGTCCATACAGAACATGGGAAGGAAGCCAGGAAGCCAGCTTTTCCTTTCACATCAAAGAGATCTAGAAAGCAAAACCTGTCTCACATTTGCATACAATATTAGACTTACATATGGATGCCATGTCTGTCAAAAGACAGGCTAATTAGGGCATTAGTTTCTTTAATGGTTGCGATTTAGTAATTCACAAATAGTCCCACTTAATTTTTCATCCTATACCTAAAGGATCTACTTCACACTTGAAGTTTAAGAAGGCTTCTCCCTTAAGATAGAAAGAAGGCATTCAAGTATCAAAATACTGGTTTCCTGCCAAAAAATAAGGGATGAGAAAAAGCAGACACTTAGCTTATCAATCAAAATGCTGGCAGGGAAAGACTACTGGATTACCAAGTTCATTCCCCTAGCCTGCACTGATTCCTCTTTTTCTCTAAAGTTTCTTATTTTTTCAGTTTTTCTCATGATACTGACATTGCCAACCAGCAGTCTGGAAACTGTTCAGGTTGATTCTTAGCAGAAAATCGAGGGGCTCTCCTGTTACTGTTAATATCCTTAAAACACTTAAATTTGGTTAGTTTGCTTCAAGCATTCTCAGTATATTACAAAAAAAAAAAGTACTCAAGAATTTCTAGACTTTATTTTGACTGACATCAGCTACCCTAATGAACAGGAGGGGACAACAGCAAGGTATATTAGGAGCATCTCCTTCCTTTTTAATCAGAATTATATAGGAATTAAGAACTCTAAGGCCACAGTAGAGTATAGTATCTTGGAAGAAGAAAGCGGAGAATGTCTGACATTTTCACTGATCGTTTAGGCTGATGGCTTAAACCATTTCCACCCAAGTTTCTTACAAGTTAGCATTTCCAGCCAACATTACCTACTGCAATTTCTCTATAATCTTAAGGGTATTGAGCCCCCAAATGAGAGAGAGAAAAGAGATGTAAACTAAACAGGAGTCAGAGAAGGGGAAACTGAGTCTGTTGCACATCATTTACCCTTTAACATGATTTTAAAGGTAATAATGCTTATAAAAATATTAGTAGTAGTAAGGGATATCAGGTGACAAGCAGAAGTGCCCCTCTCCACAGATATGCCAGTGTATCTGTAGAAATACGGTGCTAAAATTAGAAAAGACTGAACATTTTAATTTATTAGGTAGACCCAAATAGTCTAAAAGGTTTCACCCATATACTTAGCAATAGTTTATGAAAGTTCCTTTTCACCTATCCTTATCATGACAAGGCATAACAGATTTTTAAAAAACTACCAATTGGCCATAATTTTTAAAAAATTACATTTTCATTGGTATTAATAATAAGAAGTTGTTCACCTTTTAATCTACAACTAATTATCAGATATGCATGCATTTTTTTTCTATGAATTGCAGCTGTTAAATTTTTGTGAATTAATCCAATGCATCAATTCCTTTGGGTTTTCACCTTAAACATTTTTGTGGCATACAATTTGTATAATGTGAATTTAGAAGATAATAGCATAGGTGACTGGGGTGCTACAATGGATTCTCACCTATTTATTAACTTTTTAATGAGTTGATTAGTCTCTAAATCAGTAATTCGCAAAGTTTAGCATTTATCAATGTCACCTGGACAGCTTGATAAAATACAGATTGCTCAGCCCCATCCCTAGCTTTGCTGATTCAGGAGGTCAGGGGTGGGATCATGGAATGTGCTTTTCCAACAAGTTCCCAGGTGATGCCAGGCGATGCTGATGTTGCTAGACTAAGGACCACACTTGGAGAACCACAGCTCTGAAATATTCCCTGGGCATGGTATTTGCAATACATACTTTATACCTAATAATTTGTTTCAGGACACACAAATGCACATGAGATTTGATACATACTCTCAAAAAGCTAACAATCAGTTAAGTGGTAATTCACTGACATGTACACATCAAAGTAATGTTAGACACATGTAATAGGCCAAGATTGGGGATGGGCATTATAGGCAGATGGAATAACATAAATAAATGCATCCAGGGCTATGGATATAAGATCAGCCTGGCTGGCAAAGTCAGACTCATGAAGGAGATTAATGGGAAAACCTATCTGTTTTGTCTGTCTCAGGTTATTTTGAGGATCAAGTGAAACTTAGAAACAATAACAACAAAAAAAGCAAAGTCTGTGATCAAGAAGAATTACTCTGTTGCAACAATATAAACTAAGAAAAAAATACGCAAAATTCTCTGCTGCCTTGGGAGATGATCTCATGATGTGTATCATTTACTTTTAATATTTTTATTTATTTATTTTTGAGACGGAGTCTCGCTCTGTCGCCCAGGCTGGAGTGCAGTGGCGTGATCTCGGCTCACTGCAACCTTCGCCTCCCGGGCTCAAGTGATTCTCCTGCTTCAGCCTCCTGAGTAGCTGGGATTATAGGCATGTGCCGCCATGCCTGCCTAGTTTTTTATTTTTAGTAGAGATGGGGTTTCACCATGTTGGTCAGGCTGCTCTCAAACTCCTGACCTTGTGATCTGTGCGCCTCAGCCTCCCAAAGTGCTGGGATTACTGGTGTGACCGACCGTGCCTGGCCAATGTGTATGATTTAATAGCCAGCAGCAACAGGCCACTAACATGCCATCTGCTAACAGGGGCTCTAGCTATTAACATCAACAGAGCTAAAAACTCTTATGTCTGATCCCTTGCAAATGGCGAAGACCTGGCTGAGAATTATTATCTCATGCTTTCAGAGAAAACTTTGCTTGTCCTGCACTGAAAAATCTGGCTGCAATAATCACATGGAAGAAGGTATGTTTGTTGGCATGGTTCATGGGCTGGCTTATGACTTCTAAGCAGAAGATACAAAATAATATAAAAATCCTGCAACATGCACAATGTAGCTGATATTCATGTTCTCTTTAAATATCTTAACACTGACTTACATATTTAAGGGTGTGGAGTCTTTGAGCTTGGGAAGCATCTTATTACTGAGGTACAAATGCTAAAAGAGGGACATTTCTTCTATCTACCGCATTTTCAATGAAAAGATGCTGAAGGTGAATAAACAGCTCTGCAAACCCAGTTTTGTTTAACTTGGCAACAGCAGTAAGTAAGTATCACTGGACACAGAGACACTGGAATAGATTCAGTCTTTAGTCTTATTCATCACGTCTGACCTTGGGCATATTACATGGTTTTCCTGAGCCTATGAAATCATGCGGCTGAACGAGCTGAAAACTAAGATTCTTTCCTTTGCTAATAAATTTCAGCAAACGATAGGAGTAAGAACGGCTGTCTAACGAGACTACCAAATGCTACGAGACGCAGCAAGCAATGTCCCTTTACCTAATGGATACAGCTTCTTAACTGTTTATCCAAAGTCTCCCCAAGCAAATTCTAAATTATTCTAAATTATTTGAGTAACAAAGATTGGGCCCTTATACCTGTGACGTGTCTGGCAATGACAAAGAATGTGGAACATGGGAAGCATTTAATACATATTTATTGAAGATCCTGTGTCCTTATTTCTTCAATCTCCTTGCTATTCACAATGGCGAATGATATGAATATACATATATATATCCTATCATGGTAAATATATATAACATAAATCTTACTGTTTTAACCATTTTAAGTGTAACGCTCAGGGTATTAAGTATATTTCACGATGCTGTGCAATGTGATGGACGATGCATCACGGCCATCCATCTTCCCCACTGAACTATTTTCAATATTGCCAAATTGAACCTCTGTGCCCTTTAAACACTAACTCCACAGTCCCTCATCCTCTCAGCCCCTGGCAATCAGCATTCTACTTTCTGTATCTATGAATTTACTACCCTAGGTACCTCATGTAAGTAAAGTTCCATATAAAACACTTTACAAAATTTGCATGTCATCCTTGTGCAGGGGCCAGGTTAATCTCTTTAATCATTCTAATTTTAGTATATGTGCTGCTAAAGCAAGCATCATATATATACTTCTTTTTTTTTGAGATGGAGTTTCGCTCTTGTTGCCCAGGCTGGACTGCAATGGCGCGATCTCAGCTCACCACAACCTCTGCCTCCCAGGTTCAAGCAATTCTCCTGCCTCAGCCTCCTAAGTAGCTGGGATTACAGGCATGCACCACCACGCCTGGATAATTTTGTATTTTTAGTAGAGACGGGGTTTCTCCATGTTGAGGCTGATCTCGAACTCCTGACCTCAGGTGATCTGCCCACCTCGGCCTCCCAAAGTGCTGGGATTACAGGCGTGAGCACCGCACCCAGCTTTTTTTTTTTTTTCTCTTTTGAGATGGAGTCTCGTTCTGTTGCCCTGGCTAGGGTGAAGTGGCAGGATCTCAGCTCACTACAGCCTCTGCCTCCTAGGTTCAATTCTCCAACCTCAGCCTCCCGAGTAGCTGGGATTACAGGCATGTGCCACCATGCCCGGCTAATTTTTTTATTTTTAGTAGAGACAGGGTTTTGCCATGTTGGCCAGGCTGGTCTCGAACTCCTGCCTGACTCGGCCTCCCAAAGTGCTGGGATTACAGGCGTGAGCCACTGTGCCCAGTCTATCACATATACACTTGTGAAAACTTCTAAGACTTCCTTACAAATAAAAGTGGTGACTGAGAACTAAGCCATATACCTAGTGATATCTCAGTGGTGATGATAAAGTTAGTTTTTATTTGACAAAATCTATTTGCTATCAGAATACTATACTTAAAAATCATAAGCTTTAACAATTAAATCGCATGTATAAAAATTTTAGAGAACATGCAGCTATAGCAACTTCAATGCTATACAGGAAGCTGAAGACATAGGTCCACACCTCAGTATCTGCCCTCAGGGGATGGGCAGACAAATTTCAATGCCCCCCCCCAACCAAAAGCAAAGACACAAAAGGCATGTACAAGACAATACAAGTTGTTGCCAAGCACTGTTTCAAAGAAATAAGATTTAACTCATGCTTTTAGGAGCATATGTAAATACATAATAATTATCAAAAGACAAACACATTAAACAGGCTTTTTTAAACGCACTATCTGAAGTCAATGAATCCATCAACAGGAGCTGAAATTAAGTAACGCCCTGGCCTTGACCCTCTGACCCCGTTTCATGCTCGAAGTCCAAAGCCTCTTCACAAATAGTGTTTAGGTGCACACCAAGTCAACATTCCTTTGGACACGTCTCATAACTTGGAACCGGTTAATAGATGGATCCACTATTTTTGATGAGATATTATAACTAACCTTCTATGATTTACTTTCTAAAGCAGCCCATAGTGCATACGGCAGGAAAACTGTTAACTAATAATGGCACTTACTCAGAAAATACATGCAAAATTTGTTTCTGAGTTGAACACCAACAAGCAAATTAACATGTCTTCCAAACTCCGTCTCACATGAAACAAACTCATGTCATTCCCAGTTAGTGTTTGTGGAAACATATTTCAAAATTAATCTCAAAATTCGGGAAACATATTTCAAAATTAATCTCAATTTGGATTCATCTCCATACTCAGGGTGGCAAACATCACTGATTTTTTTCCCCTCCTCTTTTAAAAAATGAACCTTGAAGGCAGATGCTTGTGAAAAACAGAATAACCAGCCCTTGTTCCAGTCTAAAATCATTGGTTGTTCCCAAGACTCTACAAAAAAAGCAGGACACATCTGCTCTAGTGTTCCATGCCAGGAAGTAGTTCCACAGCCACCACTGTGGTCTGACTTCACTTCCCAATCATTTTAATTTGGATTTCTTTTTAGATTTTGTTTCAAATTACAGGGCCATACAAACGAGCTGGTGAGTTGAGAAAATAGCTTTGGAACTGCATTGGATCATCAAAAGAAACGGCAGACTTTGGCGTGGGAGACCATGCCTCAGGCTCCATCCATTTGGTTGAGGTGCCCACACATGCACAAAAATAAAAGAATGGCATAAAAACAGACAAAAACTACTGACATGTCAGTCATCATGGCTTAAGGAAAAGCTCACAAATAATTTCTCTGGAATCTCACCAAAATTTGGAGTAAAAGATGATAGCATGCTAAATCAGTTCTCTTGCTACTTCTAAAATACTAACGTTCCTGAATGGGGCTCAAGGTGGAATCATTTCGAGGCAAATATCAGTTCTAGTAGATAAAAGTGTTGTTTAAAACCTCATTAACATTATATATAAATATTCCCCAAAATGATCTACAGATCCAATGCAATCCGCACTTTTTTTTTTTTTTTTTTTTTTGCAGAAATGGTAGTGGGGGCAGGGGGTGAGGAAGATCTTAAAATTCATGTTGTAATGCAAGAGACTCCGGATACTCAAAGTAATATTGAAAAAGAAGAACAAAGATAACGGACTCACACTTGCTGATTTCAAAATTTACTACAAAGCTACAATAATCAAAACAGTGTGGTACTACAGTAAGCACAGGCACACAGATCAAAGAAAAGAACTAAGAATTAAGAAATAAACCCATATTATCTATGGACAATTGATTTTGTGTAATAGTGCCAAGACCATTCAATGGGGGAAATAATAGTCTTTTTCTTCCTTTTTTTGAGACAGGGTCTTGCTCTATTGCCCAGGTGGCGTGATCAAGGCTCACTGCAGCCTCAGCCACCCCAGGCTCAGGAGATCCTCCCACCACAGCCTCCTGAGTAGCTGGGACTACAAATAGATGTTATCATGCCTGGATAATTTTTTTGTAGAAATGTGGTCTTGCCATGTTTCCCATTCTGGTCTTGAACTTCTGGGCTCAAGTCATCTGCCCACCTTGGCCTCCCAAAATGCTGGAATTACAGGCATGAGCCACTGCACCTGGCAAGAATAGTCTTTTTCAACAAATGGTGCTGGGACACTGGATATTTATATGCAAAAGAATAAAGTCAAACCTCTACCTCACACCATATATGAAAATTAAAATGAATCAAAGATTTAACTGTAAGAGCTAAAACTACAAAACTCTTAGAAGGTAACAGGTATAAATCGTTGTAACCTTGTTTCGGACAATGGTTTCCTAGATACCATACCATAGTAACTGCCACAAAAGAAAAAACTGATAAAATAGACTTCTAAATTGAAAATTTTTGTGTGTCAAAAGGATCCTATTAAGGAAGTGAAAATACAACCTACAGAATGGGTAAAATATTTCCAAATAATGTATTTGATAAGAATTTAATAGTATCCAGAATATATAAAAATTCTTACAACTCAATAATAACAGCAGGCCGAGTGCAGTGGCTCACGCCTGTAATCCTAGCACTTTGGAAGGCCGAGGTGGGCAGGTTGCCTGAGCTCAGGAGTTTGAGACCAGCCTGGGAAACATGGTAAAACCCTGTCTCTACTAAAAATACAAAAATTAGCTGGATGTGGTGGCATGTGCCTGTAATCCCAACTACTGGGGAGGCTGAGGCACGAGAATCGCTTGAATCCGTAAGGCGGAGGTTGCAGTGAACTGAGATCATGCCGCTTCACTTCAGCCCGGGTGACAGAGCGGGACTCTGTCTCCAAAAATAAAAATAAAAATAAAAATAAAAATAAAATTAAGAAAGTAAGGTAAACAACCCAATTAAAAAATTGGGCAAAGAATCTGAACGTACATCATTTATTTGAACTGAACAAAATAATCCATAACAAACCATTGCAATCGCATGAAGAAAACACTGTGGTTGATATTTAATTCCTCAAATTTCTGCCAGCGTCCATTTGGAGCACAATAAACAAGATCAATATACTGCACTGAATTATACATATTAAGGTCAACAATTTGTCTGCCAGAATGGTAGAGAGCGCAATATTTTTTTAAAAAAGGAAACTTTTTTTACATTCATTATTCCTAGAAAGTGTATTCTTTTTAATGTAGCTAAAAGGATTTACTTTTTCCTAAAATTATGGAGTAGAAATACATAAAAGAAAGTATCTGTTTGCCAATGGTAAAACTATAAAAATCATTCAGGAAAACGGATGCTGTATTACATGTGAATTTTTAAAGGTCATTATCAATGACTTCCACAGATCATCTGGATGACATATGCACTATATTTACAGATTCCATAATTAAGCTCCAAAGCAAGAAAAAGAGAGCTTACCTAATATCACAACCAAAAAAGGCATAGAGAGCTAAACGTATACAAAGCACTCTACTAACCACCACTATGGGGTGAGTTCGACACCTGCAGGTCTGTAACCTCAAGTCTGCAGACAGACCAGTTGGGGACCTAAGGTATGAAGTGTACTGGCATTCACACATTTGTATCTTGCTGTGTGGAGACATTTCAACATGGCAGTCCAAATGTCAGAAAACTAGGAGGCTGTCTTAATAGTATACCGTACTTTGCCATTCATTTGACAAAGCATTTTCATTTATAAATGAGTGGTTCTATTTTGAAAGAGAAATTGTCTTGGGTCAAAGATATACATTTAGACACAGGCAGCTAAACTTACAGGCCTCATGTCTGTTACTTAATAACACTAGGGAAAATATGAATAAGGAGCTCTGAGACTATTATGAAACCAATGGGGGAACAAGGCTTTGGTTGTTGATAATATGTATAAATGTTCTTGGCCAGATGTGGGGGCTCACGCCTGTATTCCCAGCATTTTGGGGGGCCAAGATGGGCAGACCACCTGAGATCAGGAGTTCGAGACCAGCTTGGCCAACATGGTGAAACCCTGTCTCTACTAAAAATACAAAAAAATTAGCCAGGTGTGGTGGCACACGTCTGTAGTCTCAGCTACTTGGGAGGCTGAGGCAGGAGAATCACTTGAACCCGGGAGGCGGAGGTTGCAGTGAGCCGAGATCACGCCACTGCACTCCAGCCTGGGTGACTGAGCAAGACTCCATCTCAAAAAAAAAAAAAAAAAAAAAGTTCTTATGTCCAAATACTTAAGTCAGCTGTAAACCATTAAATCTATATACATTTAAAAGTCATTTCTTATGAAAAACAAAGTCACACCTATGTTCTTATAAGAACAAAGTGACAGCTCTCTATTTGCTGTTATGATTTTTTTTTTTTGATGTTCATCCTTGACTAACAATTACACATAAGGATACTTGAAATTCTCAATAACATTAAATTTCTATTTTGTTGGGCTGGGAAGTGCTATAAATATTCTATTTTAAACCTAGTCTACTTTGGACCCACTAAACCCCCAAATCAACAGGCTTATTAGAAACAGAATATGGAAACACTGTCTTTGAAATAACCATGCTGCATTTTTCCTGAAGAGTGGAACATTTTATCAAGAGGCCACAGTAAAATTGTAATAAAAAATAAGCATCCTTTCATTATTGCGAATTTCTTGATTCCCCGCCATATCTTTCAATCCTGCCCCATTCACTATGGATTTATTCAGCCAGAGATCTTTCCCGCATCTGGTTTATAATAATTCATGTTTTTATTAATTTTGAATGCTAGAAGAAAAAAAATGGGTATGAAACAATTATGCCTTTGTTCCCTCTTTATTTCCTACTGCCTTTCTCATAAATTGGTTATTATAGCATTCTGTAAAACAGCCATCTCTGAAAAGAGCTACATTTTTAGCCTTGAGGTAGCTGCAAAGAGAAGCACACTTTGATAAATAACCTCAGTGCCAATACAAAGAGTAGAATAGAATCCTTTTAGCAGAGATTTAAGGAAGATTACAAAGGACAAAGAAAACACCAATCATTTTTAAGTAACAATTTGACAAAGCAAAGGTTGAAAGGATGAAGGGATTCTGCCCTTTTGAAGGATTAATAAATAATTAAAGCAGAATATGAACACTGAAGAGGAGCCATAGTTTCACTGAAATAATGATTCCATCGTTTGTTGAATGAAAAAATATTAATGAAGACCTACATAGTGATTTAAAAGAGGAGATTTTATCTCTATACAAACAATGCCTGAGGCCATTCTTTGCAAGAAATCTTCATAATCTGCCTGAAAATAACTTTTTAAAAAATAAAAACATTAATAAATGACTGAGCCTGGGAACTTGCACATAATAATTAAAATTGAATGAAAAAAATATGAAATTATAAAATAAAACACGGGCCTTTTATAACACAACAGGACACTTGAAAATTCACACTTATTTGTCATGGGAATAGCTTCAGACTGTGGTTGGCGGTCAAACAGGACAGCACAATTAAATCAAGTAGATGACCAAATAGCAGAGGGTCATGGTACAAAGAAGGACCATGTTGTAAAATTTTATTAATAAAGGTCCTCAGAACCCTGATTTATGCTTTGTTATCTTGGCCAACCACATCCATTTAGTTAGCTTGATCAATCACAGCTTTAGAGGATGCTGTGGCCTAGGAAAGAAATTTGTTTTGTGTGGTGCTTACGCTAGATGTCAAGGAAGGAGTTTTGGTCAGGTCTTTAGGGTTACGGAGGAGCCCACTTCATCAGTCCAAGTTAAGGAGCATCTGCCTTTTTATCCTGGGGACTGGCTTCAACCTTATATTTATAATTACTAATATCTAAAAAGTACCAGGGTCCTTGCTGGATCTTGAGGAGGCAAGGATGACCAACATATATCTGGAAGAGTTCACAGGATGGAGGGTTAGTAGAGATATAAACAAATAATTTACTCCAAGTTAGAGTATGGTATTGGAGGTGGATACCCAGTGCTTTCACATTGAGGTTAAGTAGGGGAAAATTCCACTTCAGAGAGGAAAATAGGCAGCAGAAAGAACACAGATTTTGGACTTCTGGCAGGTCTTGGCTTCCACCCCACTTTCATCACTTTACTATCTGGGCTGGGCAAGTTGGCAAACTCTCTTAGGTTCAAAGTTCAATTTCTTCAACTGTAAACTGGGGATGCTATCACTGAATTTCCGAGTATCTTCACTAGCCCATATGCTGCCTTTGTGTGAAATGCAAGAACAGCCCACTTCCAGTGGGTGTGCACAATGCCAGAGGGCTTGGCTCCTTGAGTGGGATGTAGAATAAAATTATCAGTCTCCACTCTTACCCTAAACCACCTGCCACTGCCACATCTCTATATGGCGGTCCTGTACCTCAACGGGGAACATTCATAAAGAAAGAATGTGACCATCAGCATTATCACAAAGAGGCACTCATTAGTTGGTTACATGGTTGTCACTCAAATGCCAGCTCTTTTCTCCGTTCTCTATGCAAATTAGAAAGGGTTTATAGGACTTGGGCATTTTACTTGAATCTTGAAAGGTGCAACTTTTCAAGCAAGGAAAAACCACAAGCAGCTTTTTTTTTTTCTTTTTTTTTTTTTTTGGAGACGGAGTTTTGCTCTTGACGCCCAGGCTGGAGTGCAATAGTGCAATCTTGGCTCACTGCAACCTCTGCCTCCCGAGTTCAAGTGATTCTCCTGCCTCAGCCTCCTGAGTAACTGGGAATTACAGGTGCCTGCCACCATGCCTGGCTAATCTTTCTATTTTTAGTAGAGATGGGGTTTCACCATGTTGGCCACGCTGGTCTTGAACTCCTGACCTCAGGTGATCCACTGCCGCCGGCCTGCAGCTGTTTTTTTTGTTTTGTCTTTTGTTTTTAAGGGAACTTGCATAGTTCCGAAAAGGAGGAATTGAAGTGGGAGGGGGCCAATGTGAGATAAGAGGTAGGGTGACTGGCTGGGAGTCTAATGACACTGATGAGAGGACAGGATCTCAGGTAAGTAGGGGATGTGCAGAGATTTCACATGAACACAGAAGGCCAAATATACAGAACTTGCAACTAATAAGAAATAATGGGTGAGGGAGAGGAAGGCATCATGGATAGTTTAGGCCAACCAAGAGAACTCAGAATAGAGTGTGTAAAACAAGTAAATTTCCAGAAGGACATGAGTGTTATACACATTGATTGCAGGTTCAGAGGCACATGGGATATTTGGGGTCTGGAATATGGCACTGGGATTCAGTACGCTGGCTGTGGCTAGACCCATGAATTTGGGATTCACTGAAGTTAGTGGGAAAGTAGCATGAACAGACAGGATGCCTCAGGGAAGCACAATGGAAGATACAAGGCCAGGGCCAGAACTCACAAGCATGATGAACCCTATGCTCTGGTCACAGTTTACTGCTCACAAATTTAATGTCAATTTTCCCCTTCACCGATAGCATTCCTTCTTCTCAGCATGACTCCATTCTTCCTCATTTTCACCCATAAAAGAGAATTCTAATTGGAAGCATAATTTACTGAAGCAGATATACCTCTCCCACTAAAGATACTGGCAGTTCCCCAGACTGGTGAAAACCTCTTATCCATAAAGCAACTGTTACCATTATTTAATTAAACCATTGTATCTCTCTACAGATGTTTGACTGCATTAAGCACATCCTAATTGCTTGTATTTATAAGCACAAACTTCTATACAAAAGGCATGCATTTTTAGGGACTTTAAAATTTTCTCCTTTTGCCAGTGTCTCTGAATTTTAGTATGCTATTTGTACTGAACTGACTCCAAATCTAAAATTTGATTATATACAGAAATAGCAAATAAATGCAACTCAGACTAATGACAAAGCATTTAATCAGAGAATATTAGAACGACTACAAGACATAACCTGGAAAAAAAATCTATGAAGAACCTATTTAGAAAGTAAGCTAAAAGCAACACTTTTTATTATGAGAAATTTTAAACACATACAAAAGTAAAAAGAATAACATGAGGAACCTCTAATAACATTTGGCTTAAGCAATTAGCACCCCTGGCCAATCTTGAAGTTTCAACTATATTCCTACTAAAAAGGGACGTATTGTTTTAAATGTTCCTTCAAATGAAAAAGGACTATAGATGACAACTAGGTTCAACCCAGAAAAGCTATTCTCCCCAGCAAACCACTTCTGTAGCTTTGACACTAGCAGCTCAGATAGTGTACAGGGTTCGTTATTGCAAACTTCTCTTTCTATAGAGAACAGTCATTTAAAAATGGAAGCACCCAGGATTCCAAATGAAAGGTTTTTAAAAAAGATTATCTTTCAGAATGTGGCATCTGGTATATTTAGAATGATATATATGTCATTACTTAAAAAAACCCAACTAATGGGTGGATTGAGAGCATATTACATACATACACACACACACACACACACACACACACACACACATTAAGAGCACATACGTAATATGTTCTTTATTTTTATTATACTTTAAGTTTGAGGGTACATGTGCACAACGTGCAGGTCTGTTACATATGTATACATGTGCCATGTTGGTGTGCTGCACCCCCTAATATGTTCTTAATCCAACCTAATGGCTGTTTTTTTTTTTCTTTTTACAGAAAAAGATTCCATGATACTAGTTATCTAAATATCCTCCCTGGTACTGAGATTTGAAGTTTATTGTGCTGCCCTATTCTTGGGCATTTCGTAATATTCAAGATATCTGAACCACCATCTGTTCTGTGGAAGTGTGACTAATTAGTGGCTAATGTTTTCAGTAGTATAGTGCCAAATAAAAAGTTCTAATAATTTAATTATAAAGAGTCAACAATAATTGCTGGGTGAGGGTGGAATATTGGTCATCAACTTTTTAGTCCTTTGTAATGGCTTATTTCCCTATAGTTATTACCTATGCCACTTCAACTGAAGTCACATGTGAAAACAGGCTTAAGATAGCTGTAAAAAACAAACAAACAAACAAACAAACCATGTTTTCTAGAAGATTTTAGCTTCAGTTCATTAAGACTGATAAATTATTTCATTTTGTACCTTCTACAACTTTTTGGAGAACTTCTTTACACTTATTTAATACATAGTATTTTAAAGGTTCCTTACTGATGTCTATTCTCCAAGTATACCTGAAAAGTATATTTGTTTGCTAAAGAAACTTGATACAGTGAAAAATTAATTGGAGATCTCTGTTCTCAATTCATGGTGTAGACTAAAAACTCCACCTCCACTATCTTCATAAATTCTTGCTCAACACTGAGTTGCTCCTTCTGAACAAAAGCTTGGCACACTATGAAGTTGCTTTTTTTCTCTTCTTTTTTAAATTAGAGAGGGGGTTTCACCATGTTGGCCAGGCTGGTTTCGAACTCCTGGCCTCAGGTGATCTGCTCACCTTGGCCTCCCAAAGTTCTGGGACACTGCACCTCCCTGACATATGAAGTTTCTTCTGCAAGTTATGTAGCTCAAAGTATAATTTCAGATTCCGTCCATTAATGTGCAGTACTGAACAGAACATCATCACTTGACACATGCCAAATATTTCACAGCAATACAAACAATATTTACAAGGCCACATAAATCAGGAAAGAATGAGCAGAATAACACTGGCATAAAATGGGAAAAAGTGAGGGCCAGCTGTTCCCTTGAGCGGTGTTTCAGGCACTTCAAAGTCGGACTTACTGTAATGGGTACATCCATCTACAACATCCTGGGTGCTCTGATTCCAGATGATAACCTGTATCTATTTCCAACCCAATTAACAAAGGGTAGGATTCTTTATGGGGAAGGATATGCCAGATACATATTGCTTATATGTTGGTAGACTACACACTAAATCTCCAGTATAGGTACATATGCTTATATTGAAAGATGCACCAACATAATCGTCATCTATGTACCTTTGTGAAGTAAGTTAAACAGTTATGGGCATTTTGGCAGCTGACAGAGACTCATGTGGTATTTTATTCTCTTTCCAAGAGAAACAGAAATGAGAGATCTTAAATGAAATCATTAGTCATTAGGAAAACTAGGGACATAAAAGACAGTGGGCACACAAGGTCAGTTTCCTGGTTTTGATAATGGACTATAGTTACGTAAGATGTCACTGGTGAGGCATGTGGGTGATGGATGCATGAGACCTCTCTGTACTATTTTTCCAAGTTCTTGTGAGAGTACAATTATTTCAGAATATAAGTTTAATAGCCCACTATCTTTTAAGTTTAAACAATGATGTGGTTCAGAGAACACTCATGGCTTCCCTGCTCAGCCATCAAAGAGAATTGTGACTTACTGAATATAACAATAACCTCAAAGTCACAAGTCACAGTTATGTGTTTTGGCTGTGCTACTTATAATGCATGTGACACAGGCCAGTAAGTTACTCAAATTTTAAGTTTGAGCTTTTTCATTTGTAAGATGGAACAATCGTGACACTCAAAAGATGAAGAATGAGTTTTTTTCCCCATTAATTGTAAAGTACCAAAGCATCATAATTTGAGAGCCATAACAAGATTGGGCAAATTAGAAAAAATGCTGCCACGTATAATTCAATAACAAGTGTCCAATTATTACAAAACTATACCCTAAGTCAGGCGACATTCCTCCAGTCTTACAAGTATGGAGAGGTAAGAACTGATTCAATTGCTAAGGCTAGTAAGCTAGTTCCAGCCTGACAGTTTCATCGTAAAAGGCAAGCTGTTCTATTAACTTCCATATTCCTCAAACAGATAACTCACTTCCTCAATTTTCCTCTGGGGGAAAATACATGTCCATGTGCAGCATCAAAAGAACAGCTTACTTACCAACTTCATCCTGAATCTCCTCGGCCACTGCAGGCACGTTGTAGAGCAGGGAGAGAGACTGATTCATGCGCTCATAAATCACACGGAGGTGTGTCATAACCTGCATCAAAGGATGACAACTCCAGGTCAACAATGTCTGGGGGTAGGAATGGTTCTTTTTCTTTCTTTTTTTCTTTTTTTTTTGAGACGGAGTCTCGCTCTGTCGCCCAGGTTATTTTTCTTACCAAGCACTGCAGGTAGATACAAACTTCCAAAAGAAAACTGACAAAACACTGCTACTGTTAAAAAGGTTGAACTGAAAGGGCAACTTTATTTTTCTTGTTCTCCTATTTCTGTTCTCTAACTTTTTGAGCTCAGGTTTAAGACTTGATCTTGAAACTTACCATTATCTTGTATGCTTATAACAGCCAATTAAAAAGGCTACCTCTGCCACCTCTGATTCCTAATACTGAGGCTCTCTTAACAGGACCCTCATGCCTAAATACATTTCTTTGCAAATTTCCCCCTAGAAAACAACGTATTTCAATTTGATTGGCTATTTCATGCTATATATATTTAACTCTTTCATTCAAGAAAATGTAAAATTTCACATTTCCTAAGGTAGATCCCAGTTTTCAGCCTTTGGGAACCGGGGAGTATAAAATACATTATTACTGGGCTTCATTTAGGCTCACATGAAATCTCAACATTCCAGTAGGTTTATGATTGCCTGCCATACTTCAGTTGAACCAGTTTTCAAGATTTTAGTTTATACAACTTTTGTTTTTCTCATTTTAGTCATTGGTTTTAATCAGTTCCTTAGCAATCAGTTAGCAGTAGACTAAGATTTTTACATTTGTTATTTTCATAACTCAGAAAATGCCAAACCACATATTGCTCTAAGACAAGCTTTTAGAATTTACCAGAAGTTAAAGAGCTCTTGCCATAGGGAAAACACCTATAGGTGCTCGGAGAATGCGTGGGATCCTGTCACCAACCCAAGAAGCAAGAATCCTGGATTGTCAAAGCTGCAGAAGATGATTATACCCCACGCTTACCTGGGACCGGATCTGAGCGGCTTTCTTGGGATCCACCATGCGCACATGCTCGAAATGCTTTAGGGTGTGCTGTCTGTCCTTCTGTTCTGCGCGGACATACTTCTTTAGCATATTGAACACGTGACGAGGCTGTGGGAGGAAAATGAAAAACTCTTTTTCAAGTTTGTGCAAAACACTGCTTCTTCCATTGGCGATGGGTTAGAGGTTCCACTAATGCATCCGGTCATGTGAACGTACTGTGAGTCACCTTTTTGCAGGTCTGCCTTCTAAACATTTCTCCTACTCCTTTCTTAATGGGTAATTACTTAGATCGGCTGCTTTTCACTTCCACAAGAGCATTTAACATTCTCGACATATATGATGACTGTCCTCCTTACTCAACATTTTCTTTTTAAATAGGAGTACTCTGCTATAGAAAGAGAACAGATTTGAGGTCTGTCAGGTTAAGTTAGGTCCTTCTCTTTTCGCACCCAAGGGGCATATGTGAGACTACATTGCTACGTGTACATTTTGAAGACCAGAGGTAATGTCACACAGATAATCCCATCACCAGTAACATGTAACATACGAAATCAAAATGAGAAAAACAGGAAATTTAACCACTATTTTGTAAGCCAAGGAGTAACTGAACTGTAAGAGACATTATATTTTTCTAGGAGAAAGGCCATTGCTAAACTGTATTTATTTTACTCTGAAATTTAATTAAGTTCTTTCTAAGCTATCAGATTCTAATTCTTTCAGCAACAATTACATTTCGTCTTAAGTGCTCCTATTTTCTTTCTAATTGGTTCCATTTCATTTTTATTTTAGTTTTACCTGAAAACATCCATCCTAATAAAAACTAAGGACAAAGATTCCCTGGTCTTCAACAATTTCATCACTATATGCATTCCACTACATGATTTTGTAAGATGATTTCCAAAAACACAACATTTCTTCTTCATTAAAACAAACAAACAAAAAAACCAGTTGTGAAAATTCATGTTGGGAATAGAATTTTGGTCATTTGGGCAAACCTAGCTATTATTAACCCATGTGTCATGAGTACCCTGAAAACCAGTTGGAAGGTACAAAATTTATTCCAGAGATGGTGTGTGTGGTGGTGGGGCGGGTGGTAATGGAGCTTTTGTTGTGTTATCCATATCCTATGGGATGTGCCTCTCCTTCCCCTTTTGCTTAGTTAACTTAGGAGCCATCTCCCTGCCATCTCAGGTGGAACGAGGTACCCTTTTTCTGTGCTCCTATGAAATACTGTGCAAATCCCCATTAATGTACCTAACTCATTAAATTATCTATGATTCTTACTCCCCTCTTTAATGTGAGATCCACAGGGCTGGATTTGGTCTTTTTTCTTTATTTGGAACCCCAATAACACAGTGCTTGACCCAGAGGGTGCTCTGTATTTGCTTGGTGAATGCCTGCCACAGAGGCCATGCTACTGTACTTGAGAAAACAAATACATATACACAATAAAAATAAAACAACTTGGGCTCATCTGCCTTCTTTTTTCCTAAAAGAAATGTGCTTCTCTATAATCCCCAGAAAGACAGCCATCACAGCTTGCAACAGTTCTTGGCAACTTATTACAACTCTCATCTGAACTGTGAAATCTGGTTGAATTTACAAATCAGAGGATGACCTTTTAAATCTCAGAAGAAAAGTAGTAAAAGAGGTAATGACTGATAAGCTATATCTCTATATATTGAAAAGAGGATAGGTTATACATGTGAATTAAAAAAAAAGAACATTTGAAAACATCAGAGATTAAAGGCTGACTCTTGTTGATTGTGAAGGATATTTGATATGCAGAGTTGTGTGATCAGGATCTTGCACAACCACCCTCGATGCTTGCTTGTTATTAAGCACCAAGGTCTTAGAAATCTCTCTAGTTCTGTTACCATTATTCATCCAAGACTGGAGACAGAAGGGGCTGTGACTAATCGCATTTAACCATGATGTTCCTTCCTGGCCTTCATGGATGCTTTCTTAGTTGCTCTATTTCATTTTTCTCCCTTGTAAAGGATTTATTGTTTTGAAGAAAATGGGATGAATTTTTAAGAGTTTAAATAAGAAAAAAAAAAAGCACTTCAATTAAAAAAGTAAGGATTGCTTTGGGAGTCTGAGGCAGGAGGATCACTTGCAGCCAAGAGTTTGAGACCAGCCTGGACAACATTACAAGAACCTGTCTCTACAAGAAAATTTTAAAAATTAGCTAGGTGCAGTGACACATGCCTGCAGTTCCAGCTACTTGGGAAGCTTGGTCAGGAGGATTATTTGAACCCAGGAGGTTGAGGCTGTAGTGAGCCCTGATTGCACGACTGTACTCAAGCCTGGGAAAGAGAATAACTGCCTGTCTTTTAATTAAAAAAAACAAAAAACAAAAAACAAAAACAGTAAGAATTGCTTTTCATCATAACTTCTTTTTTTCCAGTTAGTCATCTATGAATGTTTTTGTAAGATATTTTGTCCTAAAAGGACTGTCACCAACAAGCAGGTACACCAGGATGCCATGGCCCCAGGCTGGCCTTGGCATT
Source organism: Homo sapiens (assembly GCF_000001405.40). NCBI lineage: Eukaryota > Metazoa > Chordata > Mammalia > Primates > Hominidae > Homo > Homo sapiens. The sequence continues at coordinate 25,958,161 of NC_000021.9, forward strand.
ACTACTTCAAGCTAAATTTCAATTTAGAGAAGATGCAGGTCATTTCTGATGACCAACATCTGGATCTCCCCTTTTCTTCTCCTATCACAACAAACAGCATATATTCCCACTAATTATTATTATTATTATTCTTTGAGATGGAATCTCGCCCTGTCTCCCAGGCTGGAGTGCAGTGGCGTGATCTTGGCTCACTGCAACCTCCGCCTCCTGGGTTCAAGTGATTCTCCTGCCTCAGTCTCCTGAGTAGCTGGGACTACAGGCACGTGCCACCATGCTCAGCTAATTTTTTTGTATTTTTAGTAGAGACGGGGTTTCGCCATGTTAGCCAGGATGGTCTCCATCTCCTGACCTCGTGATCTGCCCGCCTTGGCCTCCCAAAGTGCTAGGATTACAGGCGTGCGACCAGTGCACGGCCAATTAATTATTCATGTTAACATACATTTAAAAATAAGCACAAAAGCCTTGACTTTTCCCACCTATGCAATTCAGATGGCAGTATCTTTCAGATAGTATTTGCAGATTAAATGTGTTCAGTGATAGTTACCCAGAATGATGCGTAGTCCATTGCTGATACTCAATACACATTTATTTCTTTCACTCAGGCCTTATCTATAAATCATCGACCCCTTTCTTTCCTCTAAGTAATAAGAGTTCAATGTGTATTGACTGCTTCTGAATGAGACAGTATATTAAATGCTTTTTGCTGGTAACTCATCAAATCTTCGTCTCAGCCCTATGACAGAGTCATAGCAGCTCTCCCCACCTTATTGGTGAGGCATGAAGCACAAAGGAGATTGTGGTTACATAGGCTACATCCCTGGCCCAATGGTTACACAGCTAGTTAGTGTTAGATTTGAAGAATGGGTTAGTCTCACTGTCTTGGCTCCAGAGCCTCCTTCTCCTAATCACTTTGTGATCTGGCCCTTCAAGGAGAATCTAAAATAGACCAAGTTTAAGATAGTTCTACAAAGCAACTTACGAAGTTAAAAACAGGCCAGGCGCCGTGGCTCACGCCTGTAATCCCAGCACTTTGGGAGGCCGAGGCGGGCAGGTCACGAGGTCAGGAGTTCCAGACCAGCCTGGCCAACATGGTGAAACCCCATCTCTACTAAAAATACAAAAATTAGCAAGGCATGGTGGTGGGCGCCTGTAGTCCCAGCTACTCGGGAGGCTGAGGCAGGAGAATTGTTTGAACCTGGGAGGCGGAGCTTGCAGTGACCTGAGATTCCACCACTGCACTACAGCCTGGGCGACAGGACGAGACTCCGTCTCAAAAACAAACAAACAAAAACAAAGTTAAAAACAAAGAAATAAGTGCATGGTTAGAAAAGACAGTCTGTTCCAGGAGTACTTGCCTGACTTTCTAGTTTTTACAAGTGCAGGTAATATTCTGTGGGCCATGCTAACATCAGCTCCTTTAATTGTGCAGAAGGTTCAGATTTAGCTTGTTCAGTCTCTCAATTACTGTCCTAGGTTTCTGGAGTTCCATTATTCCTTAGCTAATGCATGAAATTATTTAGCTAATTATTAAGCTAATGTGTGGGGAGAAGAAAGAGCAAGATAGGAATGTCCTCTATCCATGTGGATAAAGGATTAGGATTACTGGAAAGTGATTCAAGGTATTAAAGTTAGGCTTTTGTGACATTCATGGTTTCTAGTGCTAAATTCATCCTTATCTTCTATTGAGATGGGTAATTAAATGGTGAATGTATTCACATGTTTTCAATTGCTGATCTCATTTAATACTGCCATTCTCCTTCAAAATATATTCCTAACTTATCCTGAAAATCCCCAGAGTTTGATAATAATGTTCCCGGACTGAACTGAGGGTTGGGCTACTATACCTCACAGCCCAATAACGAGATGCAGATGAACTGGGAGGAAGAGAGTTTTTATTTTTGTAACCTTTTACAGGGAGATGGCCTGGAAATTAGTGCCAGACCAACTCAAAATTACAAAGTTTCCAGAACTTATATGCCTTCTAAGCTGTATGTCTACGTGTAAGTGTGCATTCATCTCATGACAGAAGTGATTAACTTCTTTAATCCATAACTAAGGTCTGAGTCCTGAAGACCTTCCTCTGGAGTCTCAGTAAATTTACTTAATCTAAATGGGTCTAGGTGCTGGGGTGATTACTCTTATCTTGTCTCCTGCTAAATCAGGGAGGTTTGAGGAGTTCCTGCAGACCTCCAGTAAACTTGTTCTTGGAGGCCTGTAGAGTTTCTTCAGACTCCCAGTAAAACTTGTTAATCCTAAATGGGTCCTGTTAAGAATTCCTTGGTTTTGCCAGGAAAGGCCTAGGCAAAACTCTTGGTGGGCTTTTGTTACATTCCAGCCTCTGTATAAGGGCGCTGGCTTTTTTTTAGCTTTTAGTATTTAACTGAACCACTCAGTCAGTACGGAAACAGCTGTTACGGAGGCCTGCATTAGTGAGATTTGGCCTGCCACAATAACAGAGTAGCAAAGGAGGCTCTGAGGACTCCCCAGGCCTCAGCTCCTCCAGGGATAATGAGACCTGGGAAACCCCTTCACTGTTTATGTAAGCTGAGATGCGCATTTTGTGTGCATCTACATAAACACAAGCCTTTTCTTCCTAATGCCTATTGGATAAGCAAAGCCTGGGAACATCAGATAATTCAGGAAGACCTTAGGATATCTCCCAATAAATGAATTTGCAGGGTTCTGCTTCATTGATTTGGCCACCTAAACACATCTCTAGGAATCATGCTTGGAAATGAAAACAAAATCAGATTACCTTCTTTGTTGGACGGTAGGCAAATAAATCATACCAAATAAAATGGTAGTTATCTCTATCCCTCAGAAACAAATACTATTTTTAGTTAAGAAAGAAAAAACACAGGTGTAAAAAGAAAATAATTCTTGGGGCCCCCAAATCACTAAGCTAAAGGGAAAAGTCTAGCTGGGAACTGCTTAGAGCCAATCACCCTGATTGTCTACCCTGGAGAGGCTAATCAGAAACTCAAAAGAATGCAACTGTTCATCTCACCTATCTCTGACCTAGAAGGCCCCTCCCCACTTCGAGTCTTCCTGCTTTTTGTTTCAAGCTGTCTCGCCTTTCCAGACCAAACCAATGTACTTCTTATATGTATTGACTGATGCCTCATGTCTCCCTAAAAATGCATAACACTAAGCTGTGCCCCAACCACTTTGGGCACATGTCATCAGGACTTCCTGAGGCCGTGTCACAGGTGCATCCTCAACCAGGGCAAAATAAACTTTCTAAATTAACTGAGACCTGTCTCAGATTTGCTGGGTTCACATAGATAACAGTTCCCTATACTTTTATATTTTTGTTGAGGTTAAAAAAAAGACCTCCCTCCTTTTGATATATGATTCCTGCATATTTCACTCAAATAAATAAATAATTGCCCTCACAACTTTTGGCCAAAATACAAATCCTCCAGGCTTAACATTTGTTATTTCTTGAGCTATAATAATGTATCTAAGAATAACAAGGTGTCCTGATTGTCTAGTGAGGTTTATTTTATTATGCTAAGACAAAGATGAATTTCTTAAAATTTTAATTAAAAACACAGAAACCTTCATACAGGAATGGTAGGGAAAAACCCCTCTGTTATCTCTATAGAAACATATTCTCTTAAAGTAATTGCTATTACTATTGTCACAATATTCATACTTAAGACGGGTTATTCATATGATCAGAAAAACAAAAGAATTCAGTGGCTCACGAAAAGGATATTGATAAAGAGAGTTTAAGAAACATTTTTTTTTTTTAACCTGCAGGCATATAATCCGGATCACCCTCATGTCTTTAAATCTTCTGTTACTAGCAATAATTTTTCTGTGTATTAATACTACAGTCTGGTTATATTGGCATTAGATGGCTAATCTCATTATTAAAATATATGGCAAAGAACAGAGGAAGAGATCTGTCCCAGGAGGACTAATTATACCGAATCCTATTTATTGTCACTACTGTTTCTGAAACAGTGTTTAGCTCATAATTATGTGCTGTCTGTTTGCAACTGATGTGACATTTTTTAATTTGTACTAAACTCACCTCACAATCACACTGCCTTTTAAAAAATCATTCAAAATAATTTATTAAAGGATTAAGAACAGGCACCACCGAAATGGCTTAGACATCATTTACAGCAAGAGGAAAGAGAAACATAAGATTTACATTTTAGAACATTACTCATTTTCCTCTCTGGAAACAAGAGCGTAATGTATTTCTACCTCTAGGCACAGTTCCTGCCACAATTTGGTTGCTAATAAATATTTGTTAATTAAATTAATGAGTAACTTGCAGCTAGATACAATTTCAGAAATAGGCCCAGTAGTGCAGAATATCCTTCATAGTCTTCAAGTAGAAAACAAACACCTCTCTACTCAGAATAGTGGCCTTCCCAATTTTCACCGAAATACTGACATTAATAAACCTACTTGATGTATCTATATAGTGTGCTTGGGTACTTTAGAAAGTAGTTTTAACTGGGAACTCTTCCCAGAAAATATTTAATGGACTTCATAGCGTGCACAAACTCGTCTCAAAGAGAAGATTCATTTCATTAATTTCAAAACATCTCACATATTGTGTTCTTATAGTTTGATGTCAAATTGATGTAGGTAATATTGAAGAAAATTTAATGGCCTTTCCTGATAAAAGCTAACACGGTTTTGGAGATGGAGTCTCACTCTGTCGCCCAGGCTGGAGTGCAGTGGTGCACCTCCACCTCAACTCACTGCAACCTCCACCTCCTGGGTTCAAGCAATTCTCTTGCCCCAGCCTCTTGAGTTCAGCTGGGATTACAGGCGTGCACCCTCACACCGACCTAATTTTTGTATTTTTAGTAGAGAAGGGTTTCACTATGTTGGATAGGCTGGTCTCAAACTCCTGACCTCAGGTGATCCACCTGCCTCGGCCTCCCAAAGTGCTGGGATTACAGGCGTGAGCCACCGCCCCTGGTGCTAGTACATTTTTTATTGATTTCCCCATTTCTTAGACGTATTTACTTTTTCATTTTTCTTTTATACGATTTCTCAAATTTGGTGTTGCTGGGACTTGGGAAAAGTCTCATACATTTGACTAATGGCAGGATGACTCAATGCCAGTCACGTCTGAATATGTAGCTTATTACTTGACAGTTCACGTGGGAAGTGTATTAAAATTATTAAGTCCTATTGTCCCACTCCACAGCTTTATGCTTGATCTAGAAATCTGGCATCTTATCATAATAGACACTTGTGCCCTAAACCCGTTTCTTATGGAAGGCAGTGAAGTGTCAAGAGCGTTTAAAAGCCCTGGGCATAATCCTGCCAAGAAGGAAGTAAATGACTCACTGTACGGGAATCACCCCAACCTTTCCAGGTCACAGAAAACCCTCTCCTGGAGCATTAAATTGCACCCTGGTGGTTTCCAAAACTGAACAAAGCAATTCTCTCCTGCTTTCATAAATAGGTTCAGAACTATTATTTTCACAGTTTTACACCCTGGATTTCAAGAAATCTTGAGCATATAAAATGTAGAAAATTTCCGTGTGCAGGTTTAAAAATCACACTTTAGAGAGTTAAGTCTCTCTGTGCTTGAGATGATCTTAGTTAAACGTAATATTTGGGGAAACTGCCATGGGGACCTCTGAATCACCACCTTTATTGTCTTTAATGCCAGGAGTTGAGCTGAATTTTTAAAGTCTCCTGCAAAATTTATCCACCTTCCTTTCTTCAGAAAGGCAAACAAATGATCTTTGTAGTTTAAGGTGAGTATAAAAGGGCAAATGATAATCCCATGCCAAGGTGGACACAGAAGTCTTGAATGAAGCAATGGAGAAAATGGCAGTAGATTCTCACACTCTCCCCCTTTGGTGTTTCTTAAGTTTTAACAATATGGATCCATTAGATGGAAGGATATTGAACAACTAATCTCTATTAATCCACTTAGTTCATAAGGCCAGAGCAAAACTTTTGTTTATGGCCAAGGAGTTATCCCAATGTTCCTTCCCAGGGTATCCGGTTTGCTGATGCGGCTCTGATTTTGTACTGAACATGACGCAGGAGCATCTAGGAGTCATCTATCATCTGTTCTCTCCTTCCCGTGGAAGCAGATCACTTCCTCATAGGGATGTGTCACCAAAGCCTCCATGTACTTCCTCTAACAATCTTTCTCCTCTTACGGAGGAAGACATCTTCCTACTTCACAATTTTGTCTCAACTTTCAATGAATCCTTTTGATTTTCTAATTATGGCTAACAAAAGCTAAAACAACAGAAATTGCAGAAAGAGGAGAAAAATTAACTCCAATTTGCAGACGGAATAGGAGGAATCCCTTTATTAAATCACTTGCTCCTAGTTACAGGTTATAAAGATGGCAAACCTGGGAAGTAAAGACAAGAGTTTATGTTATAAAAGGTAGAAAATAGGAGTGGTTTTAATTCTCTCATCACTTAGTGACCTTTTTTCTTTTCTTTTTTTTTTTTTTTTTTCTGAGACGGAGTTTCACTCTTGTTATACAGGCTGGAGTACAATGGGGTGATCTCCCCTCACTGCAACCCGGGTTCAAGCGATTCTCCTGCCTCAGCCTCCCGAGTAGCTGGGATTACAGGCATGCGCCACCATGCCCAGCTAATTTTGTATTTTTAGTAGAGACAGGGTTTCTCCATGTTGGTCCGGCTGGTCTTGAACTCCCGACCTCAGGTGATCCACCCGCCTTGGCCTCCCAAAGTGCTGGGATTACAGGCATGAGCCACCACGCCTGGCTGACCTTTTTACAAATCTGGTAGGTTTCATAAATTTTTTCCAGGGTATTTTGCTAGTTCTCAGAAATAATTTATTTTGGTTGTTCAGACCACAGTCATAAATTAGTGAAGGCAGCATATAGAACTGAAATTTAGCACCCAACACAACCCCATGATTCATGCTTTCAGACAAACTCTAGCACAGAATGGATAAAGAGCTAAGATCTTCTGACCTGGGAATACAGAAAGGACAGAAAATGTTTGGACTTGTATGTCTTCAAGCTTTGTTTAGTCAAACAGTGAAACATGTGTACACTTAATGATGAACAGAATTAGTAATACAACCCAGAAGGCAAAGCGCACAGTGTTGCTGAAATCATAAGCAAAAGATATGTTCGACTAACTCGGACCCTTGCAGAGATTTGTCAAACGGTCTGATCATCCGAAAAATGCCAACTGTGACATATTCTTGACTTTTTAAGAGAGATTTACAGCAATCTGCTTTAATTTTGCATATTCATACTTGGACTATGGTGGTCCTGCTTCATACATCCTCTAACTGGTTAGCCTATTCAAAGAAAAGTACATTTGCATTTCTTTTAATTTTACCCTCTCCTCTTCCCATACCTAGGCAGTGTTATGACCTATTAGAAATTCTGAGTTTTTTGTTGATATTAAAACATTTATATAAGGAAACTCAAGGTGATGATACTTAAAAGCCAAACATCACCTGGCATCTTTAAACTGGTATCCATGGTCAACCTTCACAAAATGAATGAACCCCTTAAAGCTTATGCGAGATTGTGTTTGCGTGTGTATGCGTACATGTTTCCAGGGTGAGGATTCTTTGCTACCCATCTGTTCTCTATCAGTCATACCAGGCAGGTGAATAACTACTGGATCTTTAAATGTGCTATTTGTCTACAAAAACTAAATATTTATATTTTCATAATACATTTTCATTCTCAAAGATAAAATGAACATATATATTAACATTAAAATACGTAGGTTTGCTGGAAGAAAGCAGAGCGTAAAACCATACGGTGCTATGGGTTTTAATAGCATCCTGTGAAGACCTATTTGCATTCTGAAGGCAGTGACTGAGCAGTGCTCCACTGTGGAGGGAATCTGGGTGATGAATATGGCCTCAGTGGCAAAAGACAGCTTTTAAGCTAATGCCTTCCCAACATACTTCTTAATGTTCTATGTAACTTAATTAAACCCAGAAACCACTAGTATCTCTTGTTACATACTTCCCATTTGTATGTAGCAAGATTTTATCGAACTTGGTAAACATTCAGAAGGTAGGGAAGTAATAGTACTGAGTGGCTTTACTGAAAGAGCATGTATACCATTCAGCATAGTTTATAAGATTTTGTTCACTAAATGCTAATTCTCTCATTTTCCTTCCCATTCACTATCTGTTATTGGGTTTGCCCTTAGGAGTGCCCAAGCTAATGAGTCCCCCTTTGCTCACCAATGTATACAGAACTCAACTAAAAATAAACGGATGGTGAACAAATAAATAATAAATATGTAAGTATAGAGCAATTATTTACTTTTCTGAAAGATGATCTTTTTGGCCTGGCAGTCTTTCAACTTTTAATTCCATTCTGATTAGCTTCATAAAATTTTGGTTAAATTCAAAACCTGCTGGTGGAATGCCTTAAACATTATAATATTCATCTGTCCACATACCAAGAACTCAGCAAATAATTTTTAACTTACTATCAGTTACATTGAGGTACAGATGTCCCATATTTGCTTTGGAGATATATGCTATATACATATATTTTATAAGATAATTTCTTTTGCAACGAAAAGTGATGGGTAGAAATAATTGGTTTGTTGGGTGAAGGGCAATTAGCGGTATCATATAAAAGCTCAAGTTTAGTACCACAATTTCTTTTTTGCTTTAGAAAAGAAAGGTACACCAACACCCACATTGGTTAAAGTTTGGTTTAGTTGTAATCCACATCATATAGTGGCGAAAAATTTATTTATGAGGTGGTTTAAACCTTCTCATGCCATCACCTGTTTACCTGTGACAAACCTCCCATTAATGTCTACCCTTGTTATCTCCAATGACGGCTGTTTCTTGTTGAACATTTATTGCTCTTCTGCTGGAATTTACCAAATAGCCTTGAGCAAAATCTCAACTTAGTGATGAAACCGTGCTCTTTAATGAAGAGTCTCACAGAATTCATGTTCTATCAAAGAATTATGTGAAGAAGTTTCCAGAGATCTCAGCAAAATTTAACATGTGGCTGAACCATTCAAAAATGAGAAACCAAAGAAGGATGCCGATGCTATAGAAACTGCCAACATTTTTTTTTTGCTCAATTAAACTGATAGCCTGAATGTGAAGCAGCAGATAGAAGCATGAAATGAATTTCAGTATGGATAAGATGGTTTCAATCGTTAAGACACTGAAAAAATCCAAACAACACAACTGGGATAGATAAACAGATGTACAGGAAAATGTTTCCTAATTCTCACTTCCCTTTAGAAAATGCAGTTGTTGAAGTCAGAATAATAATCATGATAACTGTCTGATGAAAGATTTAGACTAAGTATCTGTAAAAACACCAAAAATCTCAGAATTACAAAGAAAGCTTTGGCTGTGTATCCCTTATCTTTAAAACAGTTCAAGTCTTACAAATTAGGGGGTGCTAAGGTTTTCCAAACCTAGGCCTACAATAGAAAGTTGATTGAAATAAAAAATCCCTATCTGGCCTTTGGTTTAACTGTACAGGATCACATTAAGTCTAATTTCTCTTCAACAGTCAGGACATATCATCATCTTCTGTCTATGAAGGATAAGCAGAACGCTGAGAGTTACAAGGGGAAAGGCTCAGACAGCATTTAGTTCCTGTTTCATGAAGCTATGAATAGTTTGAGTACGAGCCCTGACAAAGTAAAAAGCAGGAAGTGCATGACTGTAGAGGGCAGGTTAAGAAATGATGAATGCTTAGCTTTAAGTATTTAATCTGGTAGCTTGCAGGCCTCCAAAGGTGGTAGAAGTTAACCTCCTGTGCTGCAGTTCTGGAGAGGCATTTAATTCTTCCAGGGGGAAAAAGTGCTAACTCCTTGATTTTCCAAAGAAAGTCTAAGGAAAGTAAAAAGGTGAAGGGGTTGGTGTTTAGAAGAGTCACTAGCCTTCAACAGAGTAAGAGTTTTTTCTGAGTGCAAAGACACAGCTCTGCTCAACTTTTTTTTCCCATGGGGAAAACAACTATTTTAATAATTGTAATATTTCAAGTATTTATCTCATTTTTTAACTTTTAATTTTGGAACAGCGTCTTGCTTTGTCATCCAGGCTGGAGTGCAGTGGCACCATCACAGCTCACTGCAGCCTTGACTTCCTGGTTCACACTCACACCTCAGCCTCCAGAGTAGCTGCGACTACAGGCGCGCACCATCATGCCTGGCTAATTAAAAAAATCTTTTTTTTTTTTTTTTTTTGTAGAGATAGGGCCTTTCTATGTTGCCTAGGGTGGTCTCAAATTCCTGGGCTCAAGGGATCCTCCCACCTCAGCCTCCCAAAATGCTGGGATTACAGCTGTGAGCCACCACATCTAGCCTAAAGTATTTATTTTAAATACATGTGCCTATATATGTATGACTCTAAATATGAGTCAAACAATGCATTTTTAGGTTGACCATTCAGTGTATTTGCCTATAGGTACATAACTAAATCAGAAATTTGAAACATACAGTATACTCAGACACAGGGACTCAGGAAATGAAATTCATTAGTAGAACAAGGAATTCTAGCTGCACAAAAACAACATCTCATAACACTTCCACGTTTAGGTTTAAAAACTGAGTAAAAGTATGATTTAAATCTGAGCTTCAAAGAAACTGAAAACAATCCACATTGTTTTGGAATCCCGTGTTTGCAAAGTCTGAGAATATACGGTAGAATTTGTTAAGGGTTAGACAGGTAATTATTCTAAGTGGTAACATCTACAGAATCTATGGAAACGACACTTTTGATTTACTTATATTCAAATACCATTTACTGAATACAGTTGTCTGCATTTTCCAGGCACGGTGGTTAAGTATGAGGGAGATCTCAGAAATATTTATGTATGACTCCTATTACAAGATGTGATCTTTTTCAGACAACCACCAGTAAGCTCTGGATTTATGTCTTCAAGAGGAAGGTATAAAAGTCCTCAAGAAGGCATTTAATTACGCCTGCAATCTCAGCACTTTGGGAGGCGGAGGCTGGCGGATCACGAGGTCAGGAGATCCAGACCAACCTGGCTAACACGGTGAAAGCCCGTCTCTACTAAAAATACAAAAAAAAAAAAACATTAGCCAGGCATGGTGGCGGGTGCCTGTAGTCCCAGCTACTTGAGAGGCTGAGGCTGGAGAATGGTGTGAACCCAGAAGGCGGAGCTTGCAGTGAGCCAAGATCACGCCACTGCACTCCAGCCTGGGCGACAAAGCAAGACTCTGTCTCAAAAAAAAAAAAAAAAAAAAAAAAAAGAAGGTATTTACAATTTTCTTGTGCCTGCCAAAGTGCAGACCTAAGTGCCAGGTCAAGCCATACAACATTAAAACTTAAATGAACACCTAAAGATGGTAACTTAACAAAAATGGCAAGTAATGCCCCCTAGACTCCAGGCCTGTGACCACCCAGCCACATTTTATTACAAAGGAAAGATTTAAAGGTGAGTCATGGTGGCTCATGCCTGTAATATCAGCACTTTAAAAAGCCGAGGTGAAAGGATCGCTTGAGGCCAGAAGTTCAAGACTAGCCTGGGTAACACAGCGAGACCCTGTCTTTACAAAAATTTTTTAAAAATTAGCCACACATGGTGGAGCTTCTGTAGACCCAACTCTCATGAGGCTGAGGCAAAAGGATTGCTTGAGCCCAGGAGGTTGGGGCTGCAGTGAGCTACGACTGGACCACTGCATGCCAGCCTGGGTGAAAGAGCAAGACCCTGAAAAGAAAAGAAAAGAAAACAAAAGAAAAGAAAAGAAAAGAGAAAAGAAAAGAGAAGATTAGAGAAGAGAAGAGGGGAGGGGAAGAGAAAAGGAAAGGAAAGGAAAGGAAGGGAAGAAGGAAGGAGGGAGGGAGGGAAGGAAGGAAGGCAGGAGAGAAAGAGAAACAGAGAAAGAGAGAGAGAGAGAGAAAATAAATAAATAAATAAATAAATCCGAGTTAAGAATTTAACAGGAATCCTTAGATCAATCAACAACAGTGATCTGATTTTTGACAGTAAAATATTTCTTCCTAATCCAGTTTTTAATTTTTTTTTCAAATGAACATGTTGCCTAATTCCATATGAAGCAATGCGGAGGCCCACAATAAGCACGATTACAACCACTCTAAAATTATCCCCTTTGATAAAAGATGACACTTCGGCAAACATTCTTGCCACTGCCTTTCCTGTGATGGCTGATGAGACTAAACTGAGAGTTTAAATGTACATTTGTTAAAGCCTCCATTCAGCCCTCAGCTTATTTTTAGTCCCATCAATGTCCATTTAGCAAAGATCTTACTTTAGAGATTGGACTTTCAGCTGGAACGCTTCACAAGTTTCTGCTATAAAGATTCTGGTCTCAGCACCCACCAGCCTATCCTTCTCTGGCAAATGATCACACGGCTCCTCTCCTGAAAGCGTGTTCTCCAAAAAAGAGAGGAACCAAGGAACTTTTGTTCTGCAGAGATATAAAAAAAAATTTCCTGACAAGTGCCTTGCTAAGATAGAGAATTTTGGCAAATAGAAAATGAAAACGCTAATATGAATATTCTTTTTCAAAAGCTCTTTGTTTAGAGAGGAAGCTCGTTCTAGTGAGAAGGCACCACAGTGACTCGCGGCTCTACCCTCTCCCTTCCCAGCAGTGTCACCCTGAACCAGCCGCTCCATCTCCCGAGGTTGCAGTGATATCATCGGTAGAACAGGGTAAATAGTATCTTACGTCTTGGAAGAATGCCACGAGCTCTTTAACGGCTCCTCATGGCTTTCTGTGCACTGTAACTTTATCCATAGAAAGAAAAATCAAAATGGTGAGGAAAATCGGTGCAAATGGGTGACTTTCTGGTTAAGTTGCATAAAATGCACAAACAATTCCAGCCAAGATTGAGTGAGAAGAACTGGATTTACCCTCCTGCCTGAACCACCAATAACTGGACAATATATTCATATACAAACAGCGTTTCTTTTTTTTTTTTGAGATGGAGTCTTGCTCTGTCACCACACTGGAGTGCAGTGGCACAATCTCGGCTCACTGCAACCTCTGCCTCCCAGGTTCAGGTGATTCTCCTGCCTCAGCCTCCTGAGTAGCTGGGACTACAGGTGTGCGCCACCACACCTGGCTAATTTTTTGTATTTTTAGTAGAGACGGGGTTCACCATGTTGGCCAGGATGGTCTTGATCTCTTGACCTCGTGATCCGCCCGCCTTGGCCTCCCAAAGTGCTGGGATTACAGGCGTGAGCCACCACACCTGGCATAAACAACATTTCTGCAAGACATTAGACATCAGGTGAAGGACACTGATTCCTGAAAAGGGGAAACAAATGAGGACTTACAGCTGCCAAACTCATGGCCCTGAATTTCCAGGTCATGGTTTCAGGTGGGGAAACCCACACAGAGCCTAGAGGACTCGTGGAGTGGAGGACATGAAGTGTGTGGAGAGATCAAGGTAGTTGTAATTCACAGGACAGGGTATTGGTGAGGAGAGAGTTGCTCCAAAAGAGAATCCAGAGATGTGCAGAGTGATCCCTGAGAATATAGCTGAGTAATGATGGGTACATGCATGTGAAAGAAACTGAAGCCAGGGGGAAAATCACCAAAAAGAATTAGCATTAACAGTGCTTGGTGTTCACACAGGGACAGGAATAATGCCTCTTCCCACGAGTCAGGTGAGAAAACTTAACATTCATGGTAGATGACTGAGAAGGGTCTTGCCTCACTAGTAAGGAATAACTAGTCCTAGGCTGATAACTGCTTCTATCCCACCTAACAAATCTAAAAATGCAAAGCTCAAAAGGATCAAACTGTTTCCAAGTAACTCAACTATGTGACAGAAAAAAGCTCAAGAATATTACAAAAACACCTAGCATTCAACAGGTTTAAATTCAGCGTCCGACATTTAATAAAAAATTATGAGGCATAAAATGATACAGGGAAATGCCACATGTAATAATAAGCAATCAAAATTGATTCAAAGTTGACAGAGATGTTAGAATTAGCAAACATGGATATTTAAACAGTTTTCATATAATAACTGTATTCCATAGGTTCAAAAGTTAAGATACAGACGATATTATGGGTGTTGGGGGTAGCCCAGGTTAAATTTCTATATACAACAACTACAGTATGTGAGGTGATAAGATGAAAAACGGCCAGATGGAATTAAGGGCAGACTGAATGATACCATGGCATATCAAAATTAAATTGTTAAAAACCAGTGATATAGAGAAAACTGTAAAAACAGAAAAAAAAGACATGTTATTTTTAGAGAAATAAAGATAAAGATATCAACACAAATAAGACAGCAGAGTATCATCTTTCAGGCAGTGAAAGAGAAACCTCAATCCAGTATTTTTTACCCAGCAAAAATATTTTTCAAAACCAAAGGTATAAAAGGGACATTTTTGGTCAAAGCCAAACAAAGATTTCATCACCAACTTATGTGCACTCAAACTTTTTTTTTTAAAGAGACAGGATGCCCTTTGTCACCCAGATGGGAGTACAGTCATGCAATCACAGCTCACTGCAGTCTCGAACTCCTGGGTTCAAGTGATCTCCTATCTCAACCTCCTGAGTTGCTGGGATTGCAGGTACAAGCCACCAAGCCCAGTCTCTAAGACATTTTAAAGGAAATCTCTCAGGCAGAAGGAAAATGATACCAGCTGGATCTGCGCAAAGAGTTTACAGCACCCAAAATGATGACTTCATGGGTAAACATGTTGTTTTTTTTTTAAATTTACAACTCATTAAAAAATAACTGTTTAAAGAAAAACATCAACAATGTAGTAAGGAAAAAGTATGACAACAACCGCTTACAGAGAGAGAGAGAGATGAAAAATGGAAGTACTTTTGTAAAGTACTGTCTGTGGAGTGGTATAATATCATTTGAACTGACATAACATCATCGTGACAAGTTTAGAATGTTTTCTATAAGCCTAAAGCAACCAGTAAAATAACAAACTAGTTATAACTTATAAACCCACAAAGGAGATAAACCAGTAAAATAACAAACTAGTTGTAACTTACAAACCAACAAAAGAGATAAAATAGAATCATAAAAAATTTCTAATTAATCCAAAAAAAAAAGAGGAAAAAAGAAGAACAAGGAACAGACTGGACAAATAGCAAACAAATATCAAGATGACAGATTCAGTGACAACCATATCCATAACCTCATTCAGTGTACATGGTCTTCCCAATCCAAAGGAAAACGCAAGACCCAATTACATGCTGCCTACAAAAAATACACTTCAAATATAAAGACAAACAAGGTCAATAAGAGTATAAGGATGGAAAAATGCACCACATTAATATTAATCAAAAGAAAGCTGGAATAGCTTTATTAATATTAAAGTAGATTTTGGAGCAAAACATTACAAAGGATAAAAAGATCATTTCATAAGAAGAGGCTCAAGGAGGGCCTAACAGCCTGGAACATTTACACGCCTAAAAACACAGCCTCAAACTATACAAAATAAAAACTGATAGCACTGTTTAGAAAAATGGCCCGGTCCACAATCACAGGCAGAGCTTTCAATATCCCTTGCTCAATGACAAACAGAAAGAACAAATGGCTGGGCATGGTGGTTCACGCCTGTAATCCCAGCACTGTGGGAGGCCGAGGTGGGTGGATCACCTGAGGTCAGGAGTTCGAGATCAGCCTGGCCAACATGTTGAAACCCTGTCTCTACTAAAATACAAAAATTAGCTGGGTGTCGTGGCTCACCTGTAATCCTAGGTACTTGGGAGGCTGAGGCATGAGAATTGCTTAAACCCAGGAGACAGAAGTTGCAGTGAGCTGAGATTGCACCACTGCACTCCAGCCTGGGTGACAGAGTGAGACTCCATCTCATTTAAAAAAAAAAAAAAAAAAAAAGAACAAGTGGACATAAGTTACACACTCATGCTCAGAAAGTTCCTTCCATTCCAAGTAAGCTCTCCCACAGAATGCCGGTGAACACATCTATGCCTGTACCACTCAACATGCCTTTTTGGGGCAATGATCACTGAAAACCATGAATAAGTCTCATCATTGCTAATGTCATGACTGACAAATGCTTCCCCACAGAGAATATGGCCACTGCTCTGAGATGGAAATTTGAGTTCTAATTCTTTCTGGTCCACTAAAAATTCTTACAACTCAGCCAAATCTCAACTTTCCTTGACCTTAGTTATATTATTATACTTACATGATGAGGGGGCTGGGCAAGGTTACTTCTAAAATCCTTTGCCATGGTCTGAATGTTTGTGTCTCTCCCACCCCCAATTCATATGTTGAAACCTAAGCCACAGTGTGATGCTATTTGAGGGTGAAAGCTTTGGGAGACAATTAGGCATGAGGGCAGAGCCTTCAAGATTGACATTAGTACCCTTATAAAAGAGGGCCCAGAGAGCTCTCTTGCCCATTCCACCATATGAGGATACAGCAAAATACAAACAAAAACAAAAATAAAATAAATAAAAGATAAACAAAATTTAAGTTCTATGAACCAGGAAGCAAACTTTCACCAGACAACCAAGTATGCTGATGTCTTGATCTTGGACTTCTCAGCCTCTGCAACTGTGAGAAATAAACTTCTGTTGCTGATAAGGTACCCAGTCTATGGTATTCTGTTACAGCAGCCTGAAGGGACTGGAAGACATCCTTCCAGCTTTTGTGTTCGAACTTGAACTATGCCATCAATTGTCACCACCTCAGGAATATTAAATCAAGTCAGGGCTTGCAATGTGAGTCCCTGGGAGTCCTGTCTGGCTGCTCTGTGGGGAAGTGTGAGTACCTGCTGTGTAGAGATGACCTTGTGGAGGTAGCTGCCCTGTGACCCTTTGACCTTCAAGATGGAATGGACAGGGGTTGAACCTCTGAATAACAGTGCTCAAGGCATTTCTCCTCATTCTTTTTGTATGGCTTCCAGTTCCCAGTGCCCCACCCTTACTGTCTGTGCTGTGACCTGAAGTGTGAACTCGGCTGCAGCGAGACCTACCCGAGGAGGAACAGCCTGCAGAGCGGTGATGTAGTTCTCCAGGGCCAGGCGGCGGCGGTCATTGAGCATGGCTTCCACTCTGGCCATGTGTGTCTCCACCAGCTGCTGTCTCTCGTTGGCTGCTTCCTGTTCCAAAGATTCCACTTTCTCCTGGAAATGCTGCCATCATAAACACATATGTCCATGGGGACTGAATAAGTAGGATGAAGCAGCAATTTCAAGTCTTCTAAAAAAGACATCCTATTCCATTTTCTTCTAGTGCTAAAAAGTATCCTAAAGACTGCATAGTCATTCCAACATTGACTAATTCTACGTTTTATAGCTTACTTCACTTTCTTGCACTCTCCAACCCTCATCAAACCTACTTTCTCATTGAAAATCAGTATTTCATAGGCTCTCTGAAGGCTGATTTGACTAATAACTTTGGATAAATATATGCACTCTTGAAACTCTTATATTACATATTAAAAAAAAATCCCTCTCTTACTAACAGTACCTCAAGTAATTGACCATAATAAACTGTTGGTTTACTTAAGGTAATTTTGAGACTGGTTTCCATCAAAAATTCAAATTCTCATAATTTTTGCTGGAGGGAGAAGCAGCAGAAGATTGTGGTGACTGAAAAGATGTATTATTAATAAAAAGTAGATTGCAAGTTACAATGTGAGTTTTATGGCAATGAATTATAACTTGAAATAATTGGGAGCAAATATAAGGCAGGATTTAAACAACTCAATTACTAGACAATGATTAAGAACAGCTGAAGTTCATGGGACTATGAACAATCACACGTGAGGTGCTGGCAGATAAAGGTAAACCTGCAGACACTCATTAAAAAGACTGCTGGCATGTGATGTTTGGTAGGAAATGGGTTCAGGTTTTACCTGGATAACTGCCTTCTTATCAGCTTTAGGCAAGTTCTTTGCTTGACGTTCTGCCTCTTCCCATTCTCTCATGACCTATAAATTAAGGAAACATTTGAATTTAAAATCATCAGTTCATCCTTTGAATACAGACTTAATAGGATGGATGATTATGTTTTTCCTCTATTTTTGTCATTTTAGATATTTAAAAAATTTATTACATACCCCTTCCTATCTGAAGAATATTTGACCTCCCACTAGGATATAAATAATTAATCACAGCAGTATATTAAACATAAATGTTCATATTTATTGCAGGAATATAGCTTTTTGAGTCAAGGTTGGTCTTTTTTTACCCCGAGAACTGACAGTCATTTGATTTGATGTGAACAAATACCAACTATTCATGGAAGGCACACATTAACTGAACAAGGTCTTCCAATATTAAACTGAACACCTAAGTTTTACTCTCTTATGAAAGCAACTGAAACCATTTTAAACTGTATATTTTGACTTTAAAGAAAATATGACATTTTATGTGTGTGTGTGTCATGAATACAATGCCAAAAAGCAGTACATAATGGGGGAAGAAAAAGAAGACTTCTGCTGTCTAATATCCTAAGACCTATCCCCCTTTAAAGAACTGATGGGGAATTAAGGCCCTTTGAGCTTGCCAACCTAAGTCATGAACAGCAAGGATTACGCTAAGTCCTTCCAAAAACTCCAAGAAAACATGTAATATTCTGAATGCAGCAAACATGTATTTTTTTACAAGTAGCACTAATTTAGTAACCAACTGCTATGGTTTGAATGTAACCCCTAAAAAGCATGTGTTGGAAACTTAATCCCCAGTGCAACAATGTTGAGGGGTAAGTCCTGTAAGAGGTGATTCAGTCTCTGTCCTCATGAGTAAATTAGTATCATTATGGGGGGAGTGGGTTTGTTATTGTGAGAAGTGGGTTGTTATAAAACTCAGTTTTGCCCTCCTCTTGCCCTTCTTCCTTCCACCATATATGATACAGCAAGGAAGTCCTCAACAGATGCCAGCACCATGTTCTTGGACTTCCCCACCTGCAAAACTGAGAGCCGAATTTTAAACTTCTTTTTCTTTACAGATTATCCAGGCTGGGGTATTCTATTATAGCAACACAAACTGACTAAGATATCAGGTGAATGTGTTTTGTAGGAAATCAATGCTTCCTGCTCTCAACTTTGATGTTCACCTGGATTTCCCTGAGAGAAGTTCACTCATTAACCTGATACAAAAAGTAAAAGTCTGCACCTCTGTATGTTGTTCAAAGAAAATATTAACTTCCTACCACCTACAGCTGCCTTTTCAAGTGTATGACAAGTAGAATTTGTTTGAAGTGCAACTCTGAACTAGGTAAAATGAAGAAAGATCAAGGAAACAAAATATTGGTTTGGTGCCAGATGTGTACTTGCATACTCTGTGTACTCCCAAAGCATGAGAAAACTTGATTACTGTATTATAAGAGCCTGTTTTTTGTAGGTACTTAGCCTTAAGGAATAGACTCTTCTAACATACTTCAAGATGGGAAAGAAAAAGAGGCTTGGAATAAATAACTATAGATAGAAGACTTCTATGAGACAATACTATATCAAATCACCATGTGGGTTCCTAATTACAGATTTTATTGTCCATTGGCATTCATTCTTTGTATATGATAGGCAATTAGCTTCTTCTTGTTGTTTTTGTAAAACCATGGAGGAAACAAGATGGAATAAATATTTCATTACACTTGAAAAGCATATCAAAAATAATCTCAAGGTTCACAGCAAAATTGGGACAAATGCCCTGCTGCAATGAACAAGAATAGAACATGGAAGAAAAGAAACATATTGTCCCATCTGCTTTGGTGCTTCTACCAAGTTAATAAAGGGAACCTGTGGGCAAGGGGGAAATGGAAGACCATCTTTGCTTTATAGATGAGATAAGCCTTGCAATATAAATATTTCAATTTCCTGCTTTGGGAATGTTCACAGTGGTGGTACTCTACCAACAATTCTTCAAGCAAGGAATCTCAAAATTAGTTTGAGATAGAAGTTCAATGTTCTACTGCAATGTGAGAACTGATTTCCCATATTACATTTACATTTTTTCCATTTTACCTCATACACTTTAAGAAACTGGACTTTAAGCTTTAAGCTGGGGGAATCCATGAAATAATTAAAGAGATTTATTTAGCTAATGAGTTGCAAATAAGCATTACTATAGAAATTAACTCACATTTTGATTTTCAGAACAATTTAACAATATCCTATACCCCCACAAATAAACAAATCACCTGCACCATCCCACTAAGACTCTACTGCAAATGAATACACACTATATGTAGGCTGACCATCTCCCTGTGAACAGTGAATTTCACTGTGGGACTGATAACAAGTAGCATTACTGCTGACCCTGTATTAAGAGCTTTACAAAATCTATCTAATTTAATTGATTCCTCACAACAGCTTGTGAGATTAGCCAGGGCCATCCCATTTTACGAACCAGGTTAAGGTACCAGCTCGAGGCTATGCAGGTAAAAAAGGGAGAGGGAAGAATATAAACCAAGATCTCTGTGGCTCTAAAGATCATGTTTTTGTACCCTGTGGTACCCAATTTTTTATTATAAAATAAAAAATTCATTAGGTGAGCTAAGTTTATTTATATTTAGTGACAGGAGAAAGGGGCGCTCTTAAAATGTTGCTGCTTATCTTAAAAATAAAAACCTAGGCCAGGCACAGTGGCTCATGCCTATAATCCCAGCACTTTGGGAGGCCCAGGCGGGTGGATCACAAGGTCAGGAGATCGAGACCATCCTGGCCAACATGGTGAAACCCTGTCTCTACTAAAAATACAAAAATTAGCTCGGCGTGGTGGCACGTGCCTGTAATCCCAGTTACTGGGGAGGCTGAGGCAGGAGAATCGCTTGAACCAGGGAGTTGGAGGTTGCAGTGAGTCTAGATTGTGCCACTGCACTCCAGCTGGGTGACAGAGCAAGACTCCATCTCCAAAAAAGAAAAGAAATAAAAACCTATGAGTTGGGTCAGCTTTCAATTTGAAGGACTTCATTTTAAGCATATACTAAAAGTAGTAAGTTTATAAGTAATAAAAGTGCTCACACATGGTTCAGCTGTAGATTTCTATTTGACTAGATGCTAGTCACGACATATAGCAACAAAAATCTACAGGTTTAGCAACAAAAATCTACAGGTTTAGAGTTATACTCCACAATGGCAACAACAAACCAAAATATGAAAAAATTCCAAAATCCTCTGTATTTGTAAGAAAACATATAACAAAAACTACAATAAAACTTAATTTAAAAAACCGCACAATTTTTAAAATTTAAAATTCTCAGGACCTGGCCCTTGCAGTGGCTCTATGGATTCTTATAAAGCAATTTTCCACTGCAGGCACAAAGGTATCAATTTCATTTGGATTTATCAATCTTCAAAGACTTGGCTGTTTCATGCAGAGAAAATGACTACTACTAAGTAGAGATTTAAGAGGCAGGCAAGTTTAAAGTTGAAAAGTCCCTAGATTTCAGCACCACAGACTATGAAGATACATATTGATTTCAGGTGTCTCACATTCCTATGACCACTGGAATCTAGTAGACAACATTCTCTGCTCTGGGACAACATCTCTTAGGTTATATCAGATATATCTGATGACTAAAAGATGAACAAAATCTACAAAATCATGAACTAAGTCACAAGTTACACAGATGTGCTAAAAGTTAAATTATTATTTTAAAGAAGACCTGTCACATCTAAAACTAACAGAGAATTTGAAATAAGTTTTCTTAATAAGGTCAAAAATGAACAAGATATACTAGGAGAAAAAATCCAGGATTAAAAAAACACACATTAAAAAAAATGCTACAGTGGGTCCACGATGAATGCAGGTAGCAGGCTTCATGACTTGAGGTCTCAAGGTTTCTATCCAGCTTGGAAAGATAATGCAGGTGTGTCCAGAAATCACTAACAAAACCGGGGAGCAAATATTTAGAATTAAATGAAAGGTAAGAGCAATGACTGCCTGTCTCATTCTGAGTATGAAGTGGGGTGTAAGGAATGGGTGAGATGTGTCAGCGTGAAGAAGAGTGGGAGGGCATTTCCAGAAGAACTCAATGCCAAGGGCAAAGGGAAGCCCAAGATGAGATGAACAGACGATGAGCAGAGTGGCCTGATCAGAACAGCAGCTTAACGCTGTACAGAAAGCAAGGGTAGCAGTTGAGAAGGAAGAGGTGGTAGGAAGACCAGAGTCAGGGTACAGTGGTAGGCGCTGAAAATGACAAGCTGAGCATTCGGTGTTTATTTTTGTCATTGTTCTTTTTTTACGACTTCATGTGCCCAGAAGTGGATTTGTGAGGGCACAGGAAGCCTCTGAAAGCTTCATAAAGAAGGGAGATAGGATGTAAATTCAAATGAGGACATTTCAGTGGCAATAAGTATGATTCATAGTCCTCCAATGCTTTCCGAACAGTGCCTGTGTCTTTCCTAAGGAAAGATCTGATTTTCTTGGCATCAGGTGAAAACTTAATAATTCCCTGTGGCTAGCTTTCTAGTTCAATTAGCTGTTAGGTTTTCATCGTGGGCAGCCACTAGAACTGCACATTATATTCCAGAGCCAAAAGTACTGTGATTATAAGGCTTTTTTCCTCTTTATGTTATTATACCAAAGTAGATCCAAGTATTGTTATTCATCTTAAGGCAAAACAAACAAACAAAAAACAAAACAAACAAACAAAAAACAGTACCTGTGTTGTACCTTTCTAGATAAACTATTAGTTTTATGTTTTCAAGGGTAGATTTTCTTATTATTCAGGTGAGGCCAAGAGGTCAGGAGATGATTATCATGGAAAAGACAGTTTGTTACTCAGCTCCCAAGAAGCCGGTACATGCCACTACATGCAGGGTCATATGGGAAGCACCAGGGTTGGTCAGGAGGGGAAAACATGAGCAAGAGCCTTTTATTGTGGTTTTCATGGAAAGAATGAGCGAAGCAGGGTAGGCGGGTTTAGGACTGATTAGTTCAAATAATGGTGATGGGGCATGAGGTTGTCCCTAGTGGTCTGGTACCTGGTCCTGGGGTGATTAGAGCAGGTGAATAGTGGCCCAGAGTATAAGAAGGTGGTTGGGAGTAAGGAGCTTTTGATTGACTGGTTTGCATGGGAAAGACATGCTCAGGGGCCATTCATTTGGCCCTGGGAGGGAGGAATCTTCCTGGGGTCAGCAGGGACCCAGATCAGAAATTACAGGAAAGATTAATTGTCTACTAAAGACTGACTGTGATCTTAGAAAATACGCAGCAGTCTAATTCATAAATTGCATTTAATGTCTCTCAAGAGATTAAGCATCTGTGCTAAGACAAAAATTTCTCCTATCTTCTGATATTTGCCACAGAATATTAACACTAAAAATGAATGGCTTACTTTAACCTGAGATCTTTATTCATTCACTTTTATGTCCTACTTCTTTTCCCCCCACATTCACTCCTAGGTTTGTAGACTACAAATCAGAAAAGTGACTGGAAAATAATAAGTCCATATTTGTTGATTGAATGAATGAATGAATGAGGAATCTGAGCAAGGGCTAAAATCCTCCATATTATCAAACTCCAATACAACATCCAGTGCCTGGTAGCAGACATAGCTTCAATTGTAGTTGATAGTATATATGGATTAGCCATGTTTTAGACATAAGTTATTTTTTAATTTGCTTAATTAAGGACCTGCTAAAAAAAAACAAACCAAACCAAAACAGGTTTTTTTTTTTTTTTTTTTTTTCAGCAAAGTATAATGAAAGGAGTACTGTACTAGGAGCAAGAAAGGCCTGGATTCTAAATGTTGTCTCTGGCTCACTGATTTTGCTTTGTGCTAAAATGGGAAGCCACTCTCTCGAACCTCTATTCCACTATGTATCACTTAGGAGACTAGATGAAATAATCACTATGGTTCAGCTCAGTTTTAAGTCTCTATGATTTTACAGACTGTAAACAATCGTAGGTTCACAATTATAACAGTCTGGGATTTAATACAAAACCTCATCTTTACTAAAGAGCATTTTGATGGATTTTAATTTACAACATGTTGATTACAGGTACTACATATACACAGAATAATAATGCCAAGTACCTTTCTTCGCCAGAGAGAATGTTACAGACATCATTTAATTTGTGCTTACAAAATCCAACTATACCTGGATCCTTCCTAGGCAGCATGTTCACGGAGGATGCAAAAAACCCACAAACTGTGCCCACACAGTAAACATTTAAAATTAGAACTTTACATCTTTAAAGATCTTGATAAAGCCAGCAGGCCTGTGGGGAGACTGAGGCAGAGGCAAGCTCAGGTTTCCCAATATCGTAGGGCTGAATGATGGAAGAGCCAGACTTACCTGGGACATTCTCTCTCGGTGCTTGGCCTCAAGCCTCTCTTTGGCTTTCTGGAAATGGGCATGTTCATTCTCATCCCCAGGTGTCTCGAGATACTTGTCAACGGCATCAGGGGTACTGGCTGCTGTTGTAGGAACTATAAAGTAGAAGAGAAGGAGGTTTGAGAAAAAAAAGCCAACAACAACAGAATAATCCACTCGTTTAATAGAAAGCCGTATTTTCAGTTATTTCTCAGAACAGAGAATTTAGTAAAGCAGCGCATACAAGACGTTAATGCTGTTTAAGAGAACACCATGAGACACTGTGCAGCACAGTAAGGATGTCTTTCACCACTCCCAAGTACAGAATGAAGGAAAAATCTTTAAAATGGTCCATTTTGCAATTATAGCATTAGAGTTCTTTACGAAACAAGCATGCAAAGAGCAAAAACAGTTGGTGCTGAAGACATGTTTTTCCAAATCCCCATGCTTTCCTAAATTACTATTTTGCAATTTTGAAAGTAAATGATGATATCATCAATATCATACACTAAGACTCCTGCAGAAACCACAGATATCTGTAATTAGCCTGTTGTAGAATAACGGCACCCCAGGGAAAAGGTAAATGTATGATGTATTTAGATAACTGAATTACGAAGACAACCTTCATGAGACAGTATGGAAACACGACAAAAGATATATAAACATCAATAAACACATTTTTGAATCACAAAAGGACTTTTCTGTCTTCATAAATTTGACAATAGTCAATGAATTCATTATGCTAGTTGTCAAAAAGAAAGTGATTTCTATTTTGAATTCAACTAATACTGCTAAGCAATATTTGAATTGCAACATATACTGCTATATTATGTAACTCATGAGCCAAGTGAATTATAATACCTATACAAGCAATTTTCCAAAAGATTAGTGAGAATTCAGAGTATTTATGAGCTTAAAAGCAAAAAGAAAAAAGAATTTTGACTTAAGAGGAAGCATATTTAACATAAAAAACAAAATGAGACGTTTTCACTATCTTTTGAGATCAAATCAATTGTTTCATTCAAAAGGTTATTCAAATATCACCAATGTTCCAAGTATTCCTATTGAATTATTACCTGTGTATTACATTTGGGATATAATATCTCAAAGAGGACTTCAATGAGAAGAATTGATAGCTAAGTCATTTTGAAACTAAACTTGAAGTTAAATACGTTTTCTACATCCTTCAAGAAAATGTCTGGAATCTTAATCCAAAGTCTTCAAAGATATTAACTAAAACCGGAAGGCTGTTAAATAATTAAACAGTATCTTTCATTTTAAAAAGAAACATTCGTTTTGATTTTTTCCCTCCACTTCAATCCTGATTAATAATCATTTTTCAAAAAATAAAAGCAGTTGAGTGTCTATCCAGATGTTGCTTTCAAGTGGAAGGAAGGAGGCAGGGCATATTCCTGGTGCCTTTACACAGCTGCCCCTGTCTTCTCTGTAGCAAATGAGGGAGTGGTGTTCCTTCTTACATTGGCAGCAACGGGGGAAGGAAGGAAGGAAGGAAAGAGTCATGTGGGGATTTGCAATTAAGCACATTTGGATTTGAATCCCATTTCTTTTTCAGATCAGCTGTGACCTGGGGCAGGAAACTTAAGCACTCCATGTTTCAATTTTTTTATCAAGTGGTGATAACATGCCGCAGGACATGATAGGAGAGCTGGGAAAATGAGATACCATACCACATGTAAGTCATCCGGCAGAGAGGGTGACACACAGTGGAGCTCATACATGTTAGTGGCCTTCCCTCCTCCTCTGCTTAATACATCCTGTTCAAATCTCAGAGCTAATGCTAACCACGGGAAAGTTCTGATACTTTTATTCAAAGCCACTGAAAATGTTTTGGTAGAAGAGTGCAATAATAAAGAAAAAAAAGAAAAGGACAAGTTTTAAAATTTTAAAAATTGAGAAAAAGAAACAAAAGAAAATACAAACTAACAAAAAATAAATAAAATAGAACCACTGAAAATGAATTACACACAGGATCACAAAGTGCAACCTACAGGAAAAGCAGTATGTATTTTTCAAAAAATGTTAGGTGTAGCCCACATAAAAAAGGCCGAAAGTATCAAAAATAAGTAAATTGTTAATTTGTAAGATTGAAACAATAATTTTGAATATTAAGACCTTTTTGGAAAAAAGGTAAATGTTTTTCTCCATAGCTTCAAGCAAACCAATATGCAAGTATTTTTAACTTAATCATTAAGTTAAAATGAATAAATGCTAAATACCACGTTCTTACTGACTTTAACTTAATGATTAAGTTAAAAATACTTGCATTTCAAGTTCCCAACTTGAAATGAACATGGTATTTAGCATTTAAAATGTGCTTCCCTAGCTTTAGTCATCTTCTCATCTTAACTGGTAGAGCTCAAATGAGAACAAGTTAAAGTAAAAGCAGAAAATAAAACAGTAACATTCTTTTGCATAGTCCAATCTGGCAGAATGACATGTTTAGGCAAACCATATTTTATGTTTGAAACAAATGAAAATGTATAAATATTTGGGGTTATACCTGCTGATGAAGATAGTCATCTGGCTGTAACTGTTATAACCATAACATAAGCACCCCTTTGGAAAACTGGAATCATAAAACTTACTATATAAGAAGGAAATTTTTTCAGCTCCTATGGTTTGCGAACACTGTCTACTGTATAAAGGAAAGAAGATAAACACTATAATCTGAATCACTATAATCAGATTGGCCTAAGTAGAAATGCACTTAGCAACATAATAAGAGAATAACCATGGAACATGAATGTGAGGTATGTTTAATAGGACTGAGGATATTAAAAAGGATAAAAACCTTCTTTTTAGGCACGTGGAAATGAATATGAATACTATATTACCAACTTAATCCATTGAATCCAGAAATATTTCTGTGGTAATTAATTTTCTGTGCCAACTTGATTGGGCCGCAAGGTGCCCAGATTAAACATTGTTTCTGAGTGTCTTTGTGAGGGTGCTTCTGGATGAGATTAGCATCGGAATTGGTGCACTCAGTAAAGTAAATCACCCTCCTCAACATGGGCAGGAATCACCCGATCTGCTGAGGGTCTGAAAACAAAAGGGCAGAGGATGGAGCAGTTCACCCTTTTTATTTCCTGGCTGCCTGAGTCAGGATATTGGTCTTCTCTTCTCCCTGGACTGAAATTTACACCATTGTCTTCCCTGGTTCTCAGGCCTTTAGATTTGGACTAAATCATACCACCAGCTCTCCTGGGTCTCCAACTTGCAGACAACAGATTGTGGGACTTAGCCTCCATAATTGTTGTGTGAGTCAATTCTGCAGAATCAATCTCTTCCTATACATATATATCCTATTGGTCCTGTTTCTCTGGAGAACCCTGAGCAATACAATTTCTCTTCAAGTAAATCTTTGTTAACAGTCCCAGTTATTTCCCATAGTTGAGGAAGCTGTGTCTCTTTTTATCTTTAACTCAAATTTTTCAGCCATTCATACAAACTCCCCATCTCAATTAGTGTGAGTGAAATTATCCTATATTCATACCAACCAGCAAGCCAGATTACTGTCTAGTCAAGCAGAGAAGGATAGCATATGCTGATATTGTTAAATGAATTTAATAGTTCATTACTACTGCTCTGCAGCTGGTGAGGATCCCGGAAGGAGAGAGCAATTTTAAGGTGGAGTATGTCCAGAGAGCTCAACTTCTATTTCGTGAATATCCTTATATCCTAAAGAGATTAAATTCATAGGACTGACTACCATTTTGTGATTATGTCCACAGAAGGCCAGAGACACGTGTGCCCTATGTCCTCACCCATCAAGGTACTTCCTTTTGGGAAGGGAGTGGGGCTCAAGGAATGTCAGGATATGTCACAGGACACAGAGGAAACAGGAAGCTGTATATCAGCAGGTCACTGATATATTTAAGGTACTTAAAACACAGGTCACTGTAACCACTTAGAAAGTGGAAACAAACTGGCTTTAGGAGGGTTTATTTCTGGTTTTGCATTTTAAACTACCATAAAGCAGTTTATCCTGCTCACAGACCTCTGAGATTCCACGGAACCTCTGATAAAGGCTAGGATTTCGGCCGGATGGGGTGGCTCACACCTGTAATCCCAGCACTTTGGGAGGCCGAGGTGGACGGAAGTTTGAGACCAGCCTGATCAACATGGAGAAACCCCGTCTCTACTAAAATAAAATAAAATAAAAAAATTAGCAGGGTGTGGTGGCGCATGCCTGTAATCCCAGCTACTTGGGAGGCTGAGGCAGGAGAATCGCTTGAACCTGGGAGGCGGAGGTTGCGGTGAGCCGAGATCATGCCAGTGCACCCCAGTCTGGGCTACAAGAGCGAAACTCCGTCTCAAACAAACAAACAAACAAATAAATAAAGGCTAGGATTTCCATGTTGGCACTCCGTCTCAAATAAATAAATAAATAAAGGCTAGGATTTCCATGTTGGCCAAATGATAACAGCCTCTTTTCATCAGAGCCCACCATGCTAGGCATGTTCTGTGTTCTCGTTTAATACATGGGAAGAAAAAATTACCCTATTTTATTGCGTAGAGGCAAAACACTATCATTTAACATACCCATTTGCATCCCTAAACACACACAAATAAAGTCTGTTAAGATTGGGTAAGCCATAAAAAGGCTGTAAAGCTAATTTTTAGAGTAGTAAAGGGCCAATCCATCCACATGCTGGGGCACTGTAAAGGGTTTTTGTTGTTTTGTTTTGTTAATGAGCAGCACAACTTGGCAAAACAACCATATGCTTTGTTATGATGTCCGTTGGCTTGTTTTCTATGAAACAGCTGTTCCTGCCCCAAACACTATCTGGCAAATCCTTCAACAGAAGTTGGGTCATAAAGCAGGGATCAAGTGAAAGAGCCCATGGAGCTAGAATATGGAGGACGTTCTGGCCTTGGGTCCCTCCTTCAGCCTGCTCACTCATGCCTTCTGCAAGCAAGCTGGCTAGGTATGTTCCCCCCTCCACAAAAACCTAGACTTAAAACGAGACAAAACACAGGGTTCAATATCCTTAGCTCTAGGTTTTGACCTCTAGATGCCTAGTCATTAGCAGCAATACCAACATCACATGCATAAGCTTTTAACTTTTTAAATGACCTTTGTATTTTAGTCTCCTAACAGAGCCTTGAGGGGCATGGTAGGATATATAGGCTATTACCTCCCTTCCTTTTAATAGTGATCATGTGTATCTAAACACTCATAACAAATGAAAAAATGTAACAGAAAAGCAGTTCTAATTCCTAGTACATCACTGCTTCAAGGTGAATATTTGCTTCCAAATATACAGTGGCATTTTGGATGACTAACGCCTTCTACATAAGCCACATCCTTATTCTTTGCCACCCTGGGAAGTCAGAGGTATCAAAGCAGCTGAGACAGCAGCTCTGACATGGACAAACTATCCTGCCTTTAGTGCGCCTGTTCATTCTTTTATTCCTCCAGCCCACCAACATTGCAGCCCTTATTATATGTGAGGCACATGGGAGAAACCAATGAGAAAAACATGAAGGCCCTGATCCTGGTGGAATTATATTCTAGGGAAAGAAACAATTACCACAAGAATTTTTTAAAAGCCAGTAAGTCATATTGTTAATATGTGATTTGTATTATGGAGAAAAAGAGGAAAAAGAAAAACAGAGCAGAGTTCAGAAGGATCGGGAGAGCTGAGGGGAGAGGGGAAAGGTAGACCGCAGTAAGTGAGCGACCAGGCAGAGTCTTAAGTGAGGAGGTGACATTCAGATCTTCCCAGCTGGCTGCTGGAAGGACATGGCAGGCAGATGACAAAACTAGCACGGAAGCCCTAAGAGTTGAAGCTGGCTGGCAAATTCCACGAGACCCGCATGGCCAGAGCTAAAGAAGCAAGAGAGGAAGTAGTGGGAGAGGCAGGGAAGAAATGGGGGACATCATGTACAGCCTTAAAGCCACAGTAAGGATTCTGAGGGACCAGCGTGGGCTGTTTGAGGGGGAGTATATGTGATGGGGCGTTTTGTTGAAGGATCACTCTGGCTGCTATGGGACAAAAGTAGAAGGAAGATCTTTTAAGAGGAAAAGACAGGCTGGGTGCAGTGGCTCACGCCTGTAATCCCAGCACTTTGGGAGTCTGAGGCGGGCAGATCACCTGAGGTCAGGAGTTTGAGACCAGCCTGACCAACATGGAGAAACTCTGTCTCTACTAAAAATACTAAAATTAGCTGGGCGTGGTGGCAGGCGCCTGTAATCCCAGCTACTCGGGAGGCTGAGGCAGGAGAATTGCTTGAACCCGGGAGGCGGAAGTTGTGGTGAGCCAAGATTGTGCCATTGCACCCCAGCCTGGGTGATAACAGCGAAACTCTGTCTCAAAAAAAAAAAAAAAAAAAAAGGAGACAAAGATGAAGGTGGCTTGGACCAGGGTGGCTGTCACAGGAGGTTGTTGCCCTCAGCCCCCTTCCCACACGAGAAGGGTCAGATTCCCTTCTTTCTCTCACACCAAAATGCTGTATTACCTCAGGGAACTGAATATGAAAACGGGAGAAACTGCTTTCACATGTGCGTGAGGGCTCATTTCAATTTTAATACTGATACACGCATGCTTGTCACAATACTGCCACTTCACACTGTGATCTATTCTCAATACCTGCCAGAGCTCTGTTTTCTGGGGTGAAGTAACACAGGTTAGCTTTCAGTTTATTCATAAATGGCGATGCTGCACCCAACGTTCCTATCACAAAATGCTCCTCCATCACTGGGGCCAAGACACCAACGAAACATTTTCCATACCTGTGTTTCCTCTGAGAAAACTGTTAGCATTTGAAGGGAAGTTACTTTAAAACAGGGGAAAACCTGCTAATATCTTCAGGATGAGGCAGACGTCACTCTCCTAGCCTGTCTGAAGACTCCTTAGAGGATAATCCATTAAGTTGAACTGTACATGCACTGATTTCCCTCATTTTAGTTCTGATTTTGTAATCATTGCGGAGCACTCCATTTCATATTCATACTAATGTGGTACTTCACATTCATATAAGAATGTGGGGTCAAAATTAAAGGCACTGTGAAAGATTGCCCCTATCATTTTGATATGCATTTGTTTCCTCAGGCTCTGGGGTGACCCATAATTTTACAGTCACAATGGACTCAGGACACAAAAGAAGAAATGACCCACCTTCAAACAGCAATGACCGTGGCCATCTCCAACAGGCCAGAAGGCTGAATGTTTCCCTAAACCAAGGCTTATGAATGGCATTCAGTCGATATATTAATATTAGATTCTAACAAGAAAATTGGGTTAGTCTCCTTTCATCAGCAGAAAAGCAATTTATCTCTACAGCCTTGGTAACAGAAGATTAAAACAAATTAAGACCTATATAAATCATTGCCTTATCATTGAAAATGCTATTTGATACCGACCCAGCAATGTTGTCATTTGAGATGGCTATAATTTAGGAAAGGAGACAAGGAGGATCATTTATATATGAGTGAAATATAAACTTGTTAGCGTTCATGTGAAACTTTAATCTTGAAACATGGCAGAGCTTTCCGAGTGCCATGCTTATTATAACTTAAAAAAAAAGTGTCTCTAAAAAAAAAAAAAGTGTCTCTCCATTTTCCTAATTTCAAAAATAGTTAAAACTCCTAACGCATTCTACATTCAAATATTTATCCTAACCATTAAGTCCAAGATAGAGGAGCCATTTATAACAAGAAAATACAGTTTGTGATCCTCCAGTGTAATACCAGACTCTCTTAAAAACAAAATAACAACAAAAGAAAAAACAAAGGCATTCTCCCCCTAATATGCCCTTGTATTACAATTTTATAGTCAGTGCAATCATAGTTGGTGGAGAACACTATCAATGCATCACATGGACATAAGGTAATAAAAATATAATCTATGATGTGTTTACTCTAGTCAAGCTACATTTCTTTTTTATGTCCATGGACACATACTGACATGGGAATTTTTTCAAATATATGAACTGAATGTGAAGGAACGAATGCTGGCATTATTTTTTTATTAACATCTATTCTCTATTCAGCACATCACACTAAAACTTAAAAGCAACCTCAAGTTTGAATCTAAAAAATATATGTGAAGCAATAGCAATAACTGGCGTCCAGAATGGGTTAACCTTAGGTTATTGTTTTTTGTCAATTTGTCAGAAGCTATTCTTGACTTCGTTAATGGAGGCACATAAAGAAATAACCTGTCATAGCTGCTCAACACTCAATAGATGAGTTCGAAAAGTCAAAATCTTCAATATTGTCCAGTTTCATATAAACTGTAGCAGTAAAAGGAGATGGTACAGTTAACCTCTATGGAGGTCTTAAGGATAAAGCTGATTTCATTTTACCCCAGCCTTCCAGAGCAATCTTCTCCTACACTTCTATATTTCCTTTATATGGTTATTTACCTCTACGGCATATCTGGGTCTCAACTCATTAATAAAATTATCAGGTATTGATAGCCAGTACTCAGATTCCTTTGCTGGTGTCTCTCAAAATACCTGGCCTCGCACATCCTGGGGTCAAAAATAACTGCTGCACAGTTCACAACTGCAAAGATACGGAACCAACCTAAGTGCCCATCAACCAATGAGGGATAAAGAAAATGTGGTGTATATATACCACGGAATACTAGTAGGCCAGAAAAACCACAAAATAAAAGTCTTTTGCAGCAACTTGGATGGAGGTGGAGGCCATTATTCTAAGTGAAGTAATCAGGAATGGAAATACAGTATGTATTCCCTTATAAATTGGGAGCTAAGCTATGATTATGCAAAGGCATAGAGTGGCATAATGGACATTGGAGACTCAGAATGAGGAAGAGTGGGAAGGAGGAGAGGGATAAAAAACTACGTATTGGGTACAATGTACACTACTCAGTGAAATGGGGACACTAAACTCTCAGACATCACCACTATACACTTCATCCCCGTAACTAAAACCACTTGTATCCCCAAAGCTATTGGAAAAAAAATAAAAATAAAAATAAAAAAACCTGCTGTATTAAACCAAGGATCAGCTTGCTGGCTACCTTTTTTTTCCCCCTTGAGATGAAGTCTCGCTCTTGTCCCCCAGGCTGGAGTGCGATGGTGTGATCTCAGCTCACTGCAACCTCTGCCTCCCGGGTTCAAGTGATTCTCCTGCCTCAGCCTCCTGAGTAGGTGGGATTACAGGCGCCCATCACCACGCCCAGCTAGTTTTTGTGTTTTTAGCAGAGATGGGGTTTCGCCATGTTGGCCAGGCTGGTCTCGAATTCCTGACCTCAGGTGATCTGCCCGCCTCGGCCTCCCAAAGTGCTGGGATTACAGGCGTGAGCCACTGCACCCAGCTGCTGGCTACTTTTATAAAAGTAGTATTATCGGAACACAGCCTTGTCTATTTGTTTACTTATTGTCTATTGTTGCTTTCATGCTACCACTGCATAGTTAAGTAGTTATGACAAACTGCATGATCTACAAAGCCTAAAATATCTATAATCTGGCCTTGTATGAAAAATATTTGCTGACCACTTTATTAAACGATCCACTTACCCTCTTTTGGCAAATAGCTAAACAACAGAGCAGAGACATAATGAACATTCTTTTACCACAGGTAGAACATCTCTAATCTGAGAATCTGAAATGCTCCAAAATCTGATAATTTTTGAGCACTGACATGACATCATGGTGGCTGGGATAGCAACACCTTTGTTCTCTCACAGTGCAACGTACAGAAACTTTGTTTCATGAACAAAATTATCAAAAATACTGTATAGGCCAAGCGTGGTGGCTCACACGTGTAATCGAAGTACTTCGGGAGGCCGAAGCTGGTGGATCACTTCAGGTCAGGAGTTCAAGACCAGCCTGGCCAACATGGTGAAACCCTATCTCTACTAAAAAACACAAAAATTAGCTGTGTGTGGTGGCAGGCGCCTGTCATTCATTCCAGCTACTTGGGAGGCTGAGACAGGGGGATCTCTTGAACCCAGGAGGCAGAGGTTGCAGTGAGCCGAGATCACGCCACTGCACTCCAGCCTGGGCAACAGAGCGAGACTCCATCTCAAAAAAAAAAAAAAATTGTATAAAATTATCTTCAGACTTTTGTATAAGGTGTACATGAAACATAAATGAATTTCATGTTATTTCATCATGAATACATCAATATTCCGAAATCCAAAATCTGAAGCACTTCTGGTCCCATTTTAGAGAAGAGATATTTAACCTGTATTCAAAGTAGATGGCCCTTCTTTTTAAAAAATGCTGAGTTGCTAAGCAATCCAGTTCCTTTCAATTTTAGGGTCATCTCTAATTATTATGGCTTTGAAGAAAAAGCCATTCTTCCTATCTAAGCATTTCCAGATACCAAAGATTTAGCTTTTCACACTTGTTAATCTGATAGAATATACTGGCACTGACGTGACAGGTAGTTTAATTCACCATCACATCTTTTAATGCTTTAAAATTGTTCTCCCTCCCTAGGTTGGTTGGGGAGCAAAGTGTAATCCCAGGTTGCCTAATCTAATTTGGCAGTTTTAGTTCCAATGGTATTGCAGAATGTGCTAATGGGAACTAACATTTGCTACTGCACAGTGAAAAGAACAAGAATAGTGTGATTAAGAACAATAGTTCAAATTTGGCCAAAGATTAAATGGCCTAGGCATTCAGACTTCTGTCTTATGGCTCCTGTCTTTACAACGACCCTGGGGTTAAGGTGGCATATTCCATTGAAAGGCTGCGTGGTGTGAGTTTTCTACGATTTGAAAATTATGAGCTTCTGCGGCAACAAACTTGGAACCTGGGGATGGAACTTGGGGCCTGACTTGTTAAGTTCCAATTCTTTTCATATTCTCTGTAAGTGTACCAGTCTGTTTCATGTCATCTGGACCATTCTGATGTGCCTAGAAATCAATCTTTTTCCCTCCCTCAATCCTGCATGGGGTCAGGCCTACACCTCTGCACAAACTATAAGGCCATCAAACATAATCCTAAAGTACAAATAACCTGTGTAGCAAGACTATAGGACATCTCTACAGATGGTTGTCCTCCAGCATATCCTGGGATTCTAGGAAACTAAGATGAAACAGAGAGGAGAAAGGGGTGGTGCATAGGTGAACCAATGACTTCAAACTAAGGGATTTGCTGGTTTCTCTTCTGCTGCCACAGTAGCTTACATTAGAGCAGGAAAACTACGAGACCTTCAATACTATAGTCAGGACAGCAACAGCAACTTCCACTTTACCTTGCAAATATTGAGAGCTTGGACAATAGTCTAACAAATTCAATTTCAAACATCTGTCGAGAATTGGATGATGCTGACATTCTAACATTTCAACATGCCCCCAAATTTGTGGAAAGTACACGTGTTTACACCAGGAGAGTTCTATCTCTGAGTCAGATGTGGGGAAACTACTACTCTAGAACAGGATTCTCAACCAGAATGTGACCCCCTGGGCACATTTAGCAATGTCTAGAGACATTTTTAGTTATCACAGCTGGAGTTGTGTTAATGGCATTTAGTGGGTAGGGGTCAGGGGTACTGCTAAACACCCATATGCCTAGGACAGACTCCTAAAAATTAATTATTTGAATCAAAATGTTAATAGTGCTGAGGTTGAGAAACCTTGGTTTAGTTGTTTGTACCACATGTCAGCGCAAATGAAGGAGCCTGAGATGGGACACACTTTGGCCAGATCACATGGTGCAATCTGCTGACTAAAAATTGGCATGATGCTCTTTGAGAGATTAAATGCCATTAAGGAGTTGGTCTGTTTGCCTTTTGGGATGCAGTCTGATGGAGACAGCACCAGAAAAAATGGTCACACTCTCATATTTAAAATATAAATGAATCCACAAATATTTATATAATTTTATTGTCTACAAATACTATATTTTGAAGATTAAATGTGAAACCTTTTGCACTGTCCTAAACCCAAATGGGCAGGTGCAAAACTAATGTCAGAAATTAACTCAGCTCTCGTAAGATTCTTTATCCCAAATGAGAAAGGGTTTTTTTTTAATGATTTGAATTCCTATGTTCACGAATAAAATGAAAGCTCTCAGCCTTATATTTGTGGTTTAGATTTTTATTTAAAATAACAACAATAAAATATGTCCCTAAAATTGCAATGCTCAAAATTGGTTTTTATGACAAAAGTTTGAAACCTAGAAATGCCTGATTTATGGCAAATTATTGTTTTTATAATGCAAACCATCATACATTTTCTCCCTAAGTGTAATCTTTTATCAGTTCAACTGAAGAGCTTTTTCTATCTCCTTTCACATTTGTTATTTGACTAGAAGCAGCTTAGACTGAGCAACCTGTAAAACCAACCACCTTTGTGCAGAAATATCATCCAACTGGCTCTAGATTGTTGAAGGAGCAAAGTCAAGTCCAAGTTGCCCAGTCTAACAGGCTTGCTTACCTTCTAGTTCAGCTCCTTTTCTCTGAATTGAGTCTGCCATCTGAATTTGACCTCCAGATGACCATGACTTTTTCAAATCAAATGTGCAGTTTGCTATAAATAAGACCACATAGCTGCACAGGCTATAAATAACTAGAAATTATATGTTTTTTTCCTTGTCTGTTTGTACTAGCACTGCAAAACCCTTCACTTGCTGTGATTGAATAGTCTCTGTAGGCAGACAAGAAAATATAGCTGCCCAAAGCACTTCATCCTCCTAGAATGGAAAGGTGTCAGGATCCCAAATACACTGCAAGTAGATGGAGAAAATTACTGGGAAGGAGAAAATTACAAAAGAGACTTTCAGTATCTGTTTGGAACAGTGGATGATGAAAGTGGTAGTTACGTGTACAGCATGAAAATAAATTTATCAGACAATGATGCTTGTTTCCATCAGTTATTAAAAATGGAAAAATAGAATTCTTATAAATGCTAAAATGAAACAAGAGAAAAATAATCACTGTTTTATAAAAGAATGGGAAAGACATTTAATTTACTGATGCGTGCTCTATTCATGGCATTTAGGAAAAAATGTTAACATTCTTCATCCTCTTTTCACTGTTTTCTGTATTCTTAAAATGTGCTTCTGAATCGCAAATGTGATTTCACTAACCGGCAAAACAATGTCAGAACCAATGCTTAGCCATTTGGTGTGGAGTGCGGCCAAAACGTCATTTTGGGTTTCAAAGCCTGGTCCTGCCATGTTCGATGGCTTGGGACAAGTCACTAAGCTCTTGAAGCCTCATTTTTTCTCGTATGTACAAAAGGAATGAGGAAAATGCCCACAAAGTGTTCTGAAGAAAAATTAAATGATCTGTGAAAATGCTCGGTACAATGCAACTCAACATGCGTACCTATGTCAACACTATAGTGGAATAGCTAGAGCTTTTTCCTAGTCTGTCAACCCACTTGCTGTACTTACAGTGTTTTTAGAGAAAAATGCTTTTTTCACAACAGCAAAAGAAACGTTTATGTTGCAGCAGTACAAACCACATCCTTCAAAAGTTATACATAATGTGAATTATTCTGAATATTTTATGGAGGCCATTAAAAAACTTTATAGTTTAGGATGCAGTCTTTTTTAAAATACCTAATCCTTCATCTATAATTTATCATCTTTAAAAAAGATAACTGGCTTCATCAGTTTTGAGATGAGGGTTTTTTTTTTTCAGGATAATGTACACAAATGCTAATTATAAAATATCTAAGTTACAACTGAAATTGTGCCTCTTCTTCCAGCAATCATAAGCATAAATGGCATATATCATCCCTAACCTAACACTGGATAAATCTATTTCTGGATGGAATCCAAATTCAAATATGAGTACTAAAACCACATTTTAAAACTAAACTCGTCTGATATTACAACTGAAATAAAAACAAAACATAAGACACTGTAAGTAAGGCCTGCAGTGGCTGGACAATGCATTTCTTTATAGGAGGCTCTTTCTCTACTTCCTAGTCAAAAGGTGAGCACCTCTAACCTACCATTATGCCTTCTGGGAGAGGAGAAAGAGGGGTTCCTAATGTCTAAAAGTGACCCTTCATGTCTAAAGTTGAAACCGGGTCTTATAACACACATAAATTGAAATCTGCGTGTACGAATTAGTCCATGTACTACAATACCATGAATATTAAGTACTTTTTCTGAGGAAACAAGTTACTTATGTATTATAGTCTCTTGTTAAATCATGGCATCTTGATGTAACCGAGTACTCTATTTTAAAGATCTTTCTTCCTTTCTTTTCCTTCCAGTTTTAGTAATGAAATGGTAACCTTTGCTCTCTTTCTTCCCACCAGGCACTCCCTGCACAGCGCTTCCATTATCTAATTACGCTTATAATTATTATTAAAATTATTAATGCTTGCTTAGAAGTTCCACTGACTGACTTAGGCACCTTCAGAATTCTCCCTCATCAGGAGATCACCTCAAGGCTGCAGTTAATTTACAACCCGATTGTGCGGGATGCGCCAGCCCACTTACCGAACTGGATAATAACTCAAGTCTTTGGAACAAGTCCTGTATAGCAGCACCTCCTCACCCCTCCTTCATGCCCTGCATTCCAAGCTCCCCTTTTTAAGCCTTTGTTTTTTAATCCAAAATTTGAGATGGTTGCTTTGAGGCAGGAGCCTGGACCATTTCCCCATTGCTAGCTTTGCTAAGTAAAGTCACTTTCCTTCCACTGCACCTAGCCCTTGTTCTTCAGTTCTGCAAAAGCAGTGAGAGGCTAAGCCTGCTCTCAGTTACACTGATAGCTTTTAGGAAATAAAATAGTAATGGCAAATACAATACAATGATGTTGTCCATATAATATTCAATAAAACCAGACTAAATAAAAAGGAAATTGGTCAGAAATAGAAGAAACTTAGTCAATGATGTTCTTAGCCCAACATCTCAAGCTGTCTGGCAAAATCAGATGTAATTACAAGCAAGGTAATGGGAAGAAACATTTTACTAAGACAGGTGTTCAAGAAACACAAAACCATGCAAAGAAGGTGATGATGCTGGAGTTATGTGAACCAAGCAGCATCCTCCTCCCCTCTTCCCTTCCCTCAGGTGAATGACAACGTACGTTTAACAGGATCTCGGGCAAGAGGTTCCTGGGTAGTCTTGAGTAAACTTTGGGACACTATGGAAAAAATAAGAGAACATAACTAAAAACAAAAAGAGAAACATGGGAATGATGGCTGAAATGCACGAGTCCACTGACAAAAAAACAACCTAACAAACAAAATCACTCACTTAGGTTTGGTCCCTCCAACAAAACCAAAATGAACATATAAACATAAGATCTATTTTCGTAAGAAGTTAACATTTGAGAATGCTGGATATTTTGTCTCTGATAGTATATCCGAGTAACAACAGGTTTCTTAACAGAAGAGGATTTCTTGCTCCTTTTGTGCCAAATATCCCCAATTCCCTTCGATGCATTTTTTCACAAAAACTCCATTTATTTCACTCATTCATAGGACAGCATGTGGCTCTCGGCTCTGGCTGTTTGCTGAGGCTTATACTCTCTACTTATTCTTGTCCACCCATCTAACTGATCTTCAGCCTTTGCCTTCTTCATACATTATTCTGTCACCTTTCCCCTCTAAAATCAGGCATAGCTAGCCTCATCTAATACATCTCTGTTGGGAGCATCGACCTTTTGCAAAACCCTCAGCAAACTGTGTGCCACCCAGGACACCTGGACAGGTGCCCACTGGTCACTCCCAGCCCAAACTGATCAAAGGGAGAGAGTGTTAGGTGAAGGGATGGCAGTACTGGGGTGAGGTGGAGAGAATTTTAATCTCTTGAAGCAAATTCATCACTGCTAATAATTAAAACCAAATAAATCTCTTATTACCAAAAACTATACATGATATTTCAGAAAATGAATCCACCCAGGGAAAGGGAGAAAAAAGTTGCAAATCTGCCAGGAAACCTCTCCCACCGGCTAAACCAGTGAGAATCACTGTAACAAAAGGCCTTTGTTCCAAAGGCTGCAGGCAACAGAATTCTCCATTGTGTTCGCAATACCTGACCTAATTGACTGCTTTGTTTGAAACTGAAGAAGGGAGTCCTTTGAGCCAGAAGCTGCAATCATCCAATCAGAGCCAGAAAAAAAA
Organism: Homo sapiens; assembly: GCF_000001405.40. Lineage (NCBI taxonomy): Eukaryota > Metazoa > Chordata > Mammalia > Primates > Hominidae > Homo > Homo sapiens. The sequence goes on from NC_000021.9 coordinate 25,998,399, forward strand.
AAAAAAAAAGCCCTTGAGGTTATCAGTTCCTACACCTGTTCACACATGGGACTGAAGCAGTCATCTCATTCACTGGCGATGGCAGGAGACCAACAGGAGCTTTTCCATTACATTCCTCTTAGATCCTGGGCTCCTTTACAGTGGGGGTATTAATGGTGCAGGCCCTTCTGTTGTTTTGCTTAATCCTAAGATCTTGCTGCAAAACAATTTATATAATCCCTAGGAATCTCAGGCAGGAAATGTGGCTGCCACCCTTGCAACACAGCGGAGAATTAGGCAGGAGTCTCTCAAAAAAGTAATACACAGTTATTGAGTTTCATTTTTAGTTATCAAGCTGAGCTGAATAATTACTTCTTGAGTAGTTCATACTTCCTACTCATGAACAACAACAACAAATAAATAAATAAATAAATAAATAAGCACAATTGGGAATTTCACTTGGAAGTCTGTTAACGACATGGAAGTCTCACATCTGGTACTGGACCTCCTGAGAATTACCTCTTTGGGGAAAATTTCATCATGCACTTAAGTCATCATGACTTCATATTTTTATCCCCCGGAATTATGAAAAGCTTAATGTTCAAGAGAAAGACTTTGAAAATTATGTTCTGGCGGGGTGCAGTGGCTCACGCCTGTAATCCCAGCACTTTGGATGGCCAAGGCAGGTGGATCACTTGAGGTCAGGAGTTCGAGACCAGCCTGGTCAACATGGTGAAGCCTTGTCTCTACCAAAAATACAAAAAATTAGCCGGGCGCAGTGGCATGTGCCTGTGATCCTAGCTGCTGGGGAGGCTGAGGCAGGAGAATCACTTGAACCCGGGAGGCGGAGGTTGCAGTGAGCCAAGATCACGCCATTGCACTCCAGCCTGTGAGACAGAATGAGACCCTGTCTTTAAAAAAACAAAAAAAATAAAATTATGTTCCTCGAGCCTTATGTCATTGAAAGTTTCTCACGTTAAGTCAAAAGTTTTCTTCTACTTTCAAGAGAAGAAGCAGAAGTTTGACCTGGCAAATGTCTGTGTGCTGAGCTCGGAGGGGGCAAGACGGGCACTTCTACCCTCCGGCATTTGAGATGCATGAGCTCAATTCAATCACATTCCCTCATCAGCACAATAAAAGACATGTTATGAACCAACTTAAAGGTATTCATCACAGCCATACACCTTATCAATGCAACTCAAGCTGCATCAGCCAGGCTTCCAGTGGTAGACAGTATCTGCACAGGTAGTGCACATGCATAAACATGAACACATATGTACACGGACAAACACATAAGTATGCATTTGCAGAAACGGCTGGCTGCAGAAGACAAAACAGCCACTCCAGCTTTGTTTAAAAGAGAAGCACTCAAAAGTCCCTCTGGATTGCAAGACATATGTGCTACAGCTAGGAAGAGAACACATCCATGGCCATGCTTTATCAGGGAAAGACGGAGAGGTGTGCTCATGATTGAACATACTGCGGAGACTCTGAGCAATTAGAGAAGTGGACAGAAATGTGGTTAGTGGTAGCAACAGGCCCATTCCCAAGAACCAGGAAAATCAATCTGTTACAAAAAGCAGAGTCAGTGGCGAGAGAGACGAAAGGTGGCCAGGCTCGAAGAAGGGTCCACTTACTGGCGCTGCCACACACGGCCATGCAGTACTCTTCTGTGTCAAAGTTGTTCCGGTTGCCGCCACATCCGCCGTAAAAGAATGGGGCACACTTCCCTTCAGTCACATCAAAGTACCAGCGGGAGATCATTGCTCGGCACGGCCCCGTCTCGGCTTGTTCAGAGCACACCTCTAATCAGAGGAGATGTGGGGAACCACATTTAGCATGAAAAGGCACTGTCTCTCTGTTCATGTATACACGTTTACTTCTTTTAATCCTCCCAGTGGCAACCTGGACTGGTTTATTAGGCAGCATCTACCAAACATTTACTGAGGAATTTAACTGGCCACCAGGACTAGAGATTTACACCTCTCAGAGCATGCACTGTCATCTGGTTTAATGAGTGCAGGACTCGGTAGCAATAAAAGGATTCCGGCCAAAGGTGAAAAGATCATTTGGCTGCTTTTAGATGAGTATGAAATGACGGAAGGTATCTGCACATCACAACAATTCTCCATTATAAAAAATAAACTTCTCTTTTTAAGAAGTCAACTTTCATGTAAGGAAACTGCTTTGGTTATGAAGCGAAAGTTTAAGCCCTCACAAACATCTGATTGCTTTCCTTAATAAATGATTGCCTTAACTCAAATATAAAATTAATTGCATATATTTTGAATGTTTTCCAGTGTTGGAAGCTGTCTGTCCATTGACTTTATCTGGAAACACATGTCATATCTGTAAATGTGACTTATACTCAATGACATTAACTTAAGACCATTCATTTGTATATTAAGATATGTACTAATATAAATGGTCTTAAATTAACTCTGATTTAAGACCATTTTATTTGTATATTAAAATATGTATTTATATATTATACATTAATAATTTAATTACATATGCATGAAGTACATCTATAACAACGTATTATTAATTCTGCTATTTAATTGATATTTATATATTAAAAATCTGTATTATTTGTATATATTTACATACACATTAAGTACAACTATAACAATGTATTATTTAATTATGCTACTTAATTGATATTTATGTATTAAAAATCTGTATTATTTGTATATTTTGTATATTTACCTGACCCTTGGGCAGGAATGTTCCAAACAATAAAACGCAGTCAATCAACTCCAACTGATTAATACACACCACGCACTGTTATACATTAAAACACATCTTACCTGTCAACATGTCTTGCCACCCTCCCCAAGATCAGTTTCACTCATCCCTGATTGCCTCAAAGTCAATCAGTGACCCATCCAATTGCATGTATAAAGTCAATCCTGAGTAGAATTATAACTCTACCTCCCATGTATATCCCATTTTTATTGGAAGTGAAACAACAGCCCAATTCTCTCTCTGGGTTTGTGCCCTGCCCTTGCTAGACTGACGCCTTAGCACACACAGATGTCTTCTTAGTTTTACTGACAGAGGAAAAAACACCTTTCTAAAAGATGAAAGCCACGCATCACCCATTACTTCCAAGTTAGGAATATTCAACAGATTCTTTTTTTCTTTTTATGAGACAGGGTCTTGCACTGCCGCCCAGTGGCACAATCTTGGCTCACTGCAACCTCTACCTCCTGAGTTCAAGTGATTCTTGCGCCTCAGCCTCCCAAGTAGCTGGGATTACCCTTGTACCAGCACGCCTGGCTAATTTTTTGGTATTTTTAGTAGAGATGGGGTTTCACCAGGTAGGCCAGGCTGGTCTTGAACTCCTGGCCTCAAGTGATACACCTGCCTCAGCCTCTCTAAGTGCTGGGATTACAGGCGTGAGCCACTGCCACTGGTCCTTCAACAGATTGATTCTAATTAGCCAATCAAAGACAAGGATCCATCACATCTAGGCATGGCTTTGAGCTTCACAGGCCAGAAGCTGCTCTGTCAGTAACTCAGAGGGGATATGGTCCCTAGACCCAATTCACTTTTAATAAATCAGGGTGCCAGTCCTTTAATTTTGGAAGATAAATAAAATTGCGAAGTAGATGGGATACTTACGTCAACAAGTTGGTTGGGTTTCATCCTGTAAGAGTATTGTGTACAGAAATCCAATTTGCTTTGGGAGCGTGGACTTTGAAAGCAGCAGTACTGAGTGAGATGGCCTTAATGATGGATGATAATGAGGTTGATGCTTTCGTAGCCACGTTTCCATCTGAAAACCACGTGAAGAGTGTCAGATCATCTTCATGTCCGTTGCATGGCGCATTTCTCCTGCGGAGTGTTTGACACCTTCTGGGCTTAGTGCTGACTGTCCCTCCTGTTGACATCATCGTGATGGTAGCCACCTCTGGTTTTACCAGTACTTTATTGCATCTACTGAAAGAGCAACGTGTATAGGGAAGTAAAACAATAGTTAGTCCCCATTTGTATTGACATTGTGGATCCCATCAACTATAGCCAGCAGTGGTCTCTGCTCCCAGAGCTTACCTTCAGTTGTAACAAACATCTACAGCTTCACTTTGCTTTCCTTCTCTGTATCTCCTTCACCAATGTGTACATATTCATGTCACATGCTCTTTAACGTTTCTAAGACACAACAATACCCATTATTAATCTCTTACTCAGGCAGTGTTAATTCCAATAAGACTGCAAGGCAGCAGTGCCTCCAGAGCCTGCACTGTGCCGGGAATTGGCACTGGGATTGCAAGCACCGTGGTCATTGCTACCAAGGGAGGCACAGAATCCCTTCACCCCATAGTCACGGGAGCATTGGCAACAAAATTTACCATGCCTTGGCAATTTATGCTGACCCTCACATTTTGGCATTAAAAAAAAGTATCATCTTAGAGTACCAAATATGTGTCTTCTTATAGATGTGTGCCACGGGCCTCGCAGTGAACATCACAGCTCTGCAGATGCACAAACCTTGTCTTTATGAGTCTATATATTAAATAAAAGTGGTAGAATTTTGGATGGGTGCAAGTCAAGTAATGGGATAAAAGAATGATGATCGAAGGAGATGATTCATGATAACTATGTGCCCTTATGTGAAACCTAGCAACAATTTCTTACTTATGATAAAGGCACAATCTCCCCAGTCCAGAATCTAAATGGCATTATATTAACATTTTCCTATACCACTAATTAAACATAATGCTACATTCATTTTATTTTCTTCTGCCTCATTCTATAACAGCTATGAAACCATTTGTTATAGCTAATTCGTAGAAGCCAGGCTAAATGAGCCCTAATCAACTAGAACAAGCATTCAGAACTCAAAATCCATTTACATGTTAATTAAGTAAATAGTATAAGCTACACGTTGAGCCTACAACTCTTGCTGGAGTCTCCAGCTGTAAGAGCCTTAACTCCTTCCTTTCATAAAGGCCAAGAAAAGAGTGAGTTAGTCCCTATTCGGGGAGTGTTGGTTGGTTCTCCCAATCCTGTTAGGGGCAGTTGGCACTCTTGACTTTGAACGGCCCCCAAGAGTTTCACTGCCTTGGTGGAGTCCAAGTGGGCATCATGGGCAATAGCAACAGATCCCACAATACTCAAATACAAAAGGCTACCTGAGATAATGCGGTCAGGAATGGGTGTAACAGTGTATGTTAATTTAATGTCAAATACATAATGTATGGAGAAGATGTACGTGAGGCTGGAAGAACAGGACTGACAGTGTGCTTTTGTTACTTCTCAATCTCTAAGAGACAGCTACCTTGTCCAACTGGTTCTCATCTGCTGACATGGAGGATGAGCAGATAGGCCTTCTCTTAACATGCAACCCCTCTCCTGGTGAAAAAGAGCTTCTCGTTATAATTCCCCCAATTGTCAGCAACCCTGATTCCCCATCACCTCAACTCTCACTTCCCAACACTTTCCCTCAGGGAAATAATGAGAACAGCAACTTCCTACAGCAGTGAAGCTGACTTCGGAGAGGACTGGGAAAGGAATGGAACGTATCCTCTATCACTCATAATTATATTCCTACTCTACTACAGGGAAAGGGAATGCAACTGTTTGTTTTCTCTGACTTTTTTGCTAACCCTTTATTATTCCAGAACAATTTTCCATGTAGTAGAAAAGAGAATCTTAGCCTACTCTGGGAGAAGCTGGGACTGAGGGTAGGGTCAGCACCAGCGATGTATGATGCTAATGCTTTTACACAAAGTATGAATAAGCACACAAGAAATGGCCAGTGCCTCTCAGAAGTGAACACGGAGAAGCAGCAGCATAGACTTGGGTTAAAGCAGTGTTAAGGGATTAATGTCAATTTAATAGTTGTGATACTGTACTGAGTGAAGACTATGCAGGGTCTCTTTGTATTAATTCTTTTTTTTTTTTTTTTTTTTTTTTTGAGACAGAGTCTCGCTCTGTTGCCCAGGCTGGAATGCAGTGGCACTATCTCCACTCACTGCAGGCTTCGCCAAGCTCCGCCTCCCAGGTTCACGCCATTCTCCTGCCTCAGCCTCCTGAGTAGCTGGGATTACAAGCACCCGCCACACACCGGCTAATTTTTTTCGATTTTTTAGTAGACACGGGGTTTCTCTGTGTTAGCCAGGATGGTCTCGATCTCCTGACCTCATGATCCGCCTGCCTTGGCCTCCCAAAGTGCTGGGATTACAGGCGTGAGGCACCGCGCCCGGCCTCTATTAATTCTTTCAACTGCATGTAAATCTACAATTGTCTCAAAGAAAAGATTTTTAATTTTTTTTCTTTTTTATTATACTTTAAGTTCTAGGGTACATGTGCACAACGTGCAGGTTTGTTACATAGGTATACATGTGCCATGTTGTTTGCTGCACCCATAAACTCGTCATTTACATTAGGTATTTCTCCTGATGCTTTCCCTCCCCCAACCCCCCACCCCCCCAACAGGCCCTGGTGTGTGATGTTCCCCGCCCTGTGTCCAAGTGTTCTCATTGTTCAATTTCCACCTATGAGTGAGAACATGCAGAGTTTGGTTTTCTGTCCTTGTGATAGTCTGCTGAGAATGATGGTTTCCAGCTTCATCCATGTCCCTACAAAGGACGTGAACTCATCCTTTTTTATGGCTGCATAGTATTTCATGGTGTATATGTGCCACATTTTCTTAATCCAGTCTATCATTGATGGACATTTGGGTTGGTGTCAAGTCTTTGCTATTGAAAAGATTTTAAAAAGCCCACATAAAAAAATGAATATAGGAAGCCAGGCATGGTGGCTCAAGCCTGTAATCCCAGCACTTTGGGAGGCCGAGGTGGGCAGATCACCTGAGGTCAGGAGTTCAAGACCAACGTAGTCAACATGGCGAAACCCTGTCTCTACTAAAAATACAAAAATTAGCTGGGCATGGTGGCGTGCACATATAATCTCACCTACTCGCGAGGCCGAAGCACTGGAATCACTTGAACCTGGGAAGCGTACATTGCAGTGAGCCAAAATAGTGCCACTGCACTCCAGCCTGGGCGACAGAGTGAGACTTGGTGTCAAAAAAAGAAAAAAATAATGATAATATAGGAATATTGATTTTTCAGTTTGCCTAAGAGTTCTAACCTTGTCTCTTTACTTGACTCAGAGATTGGAAGATTTGGAAATCTCAGTTTGAGAAAATTTCCTTTACATCCCTCTCTAGCAATGGGATATTAGTAAGAGATCTAACCAATCAAGATGCTCACCAAGTAGAAGAGTTTTAGAGCACTGAGACCTGAAACACATCTTCAATAAGCCGCATCTAGTTTCATGGAAGATAAAAATATCTCAAGAGAGAGTTCAAATGCTTATGTTTACATTTTCTATTTTTCTCAATAGCATAATTTCTTCCTTCCTAATCTACTGAAACTTCTAAAAACATCAGCAAAAAACCTGTTTCACATTAATTACTATTATCACTCAGTGGAAATTTATAAATCAGCCACTAAATGTAGAGGATGCAAAATTAGACCTTATATAACTAAACCCAAATAAGATTCCTGTGAAAATTAAAACCGTATCTTCAAAATGTATACTATATGTAATTATTATGTCAATTAAAAATAAAGTTGAAAAGAAAACAAATTTAAGAAAAAACAAAAAACTCTTCATCTGCCTTCTTTGTTCTCTTCTCAAAATGTAAAATACTGAGAAAACTAACATTTTGAAATCATTTTTGAAATCAAACTTATTTTTTGATTTCCAATCCACCTTTCTGTTCAAAGTAAATATCAGAGATAATAATGGAGAAAATTTGTTCAGAAAAATAAAAGCAAGAATATTTCCTAAAGAGAAATGTTAGAAACATAGGCAAAGACTTACATGGCTATCTAAGGAACCACAATCCTTTATTGATGTTGAATTTCTTACACTTTCAAGATCACAAATAGCTTTTCTGATATTCACTTATCTGAATTCTGCTGGCAAGGAAGCATTATGCCTTCTTTTGTAACAACTCTGCTCACTCTTCAAGACAAAATGCCATTTACTACACTGAAATGCTGGTGTATACGAAACACAAAGCAAAATCATGTGCTTCTAATAAAACTCCACGCATTTTATCTTTGTAAGGTAGGCCCTTGCTGAGATTTGTGCTCGTGTCAACGCTACATTCCATTTTCTAAAAATCAGTATAACACAAAATAATACAGAATCTAAGCCAGAGCTCCCTGGATTATACAAAATGATTATGCAATTCATTGTTCAAAAAATAATGCTCAACCACAAAAAATTAGTTCTGAATAGATATTTCAAATTGGAGTGAAATTCTTTGTGGACAACCAAGGTTAGAAAGCTGATTTTACATATTTTAATAAATTTAGAATGAACACAGTTGTGAAACTGGCAACCAGAATGGGGAGAAAATCTCCACTTTCAAATGTACGATAATTATAATGCCTTCTTATGAAGCAAAGTTAACAGATTAGCAAATAATTCGCTGTAAATAAAGTGGTAAATAAAGAATAAAGCTGGTTTTAGAATAAAGCAAAGCTGGTTATTATTATTTCATTTTTAATCATTGAATTTCAAGTATTCTCAGCCTACTGGAATGTATGTGAAATAAAACTATATTCCATGTGATGTATAAATTTTAAATTTACAAATTTTGGGAAAGCAGTCACAATCAAACTAGTCATTTAGAGAGAGCTAGGAACTATATTTTCTGAACTTTTTTTTAAAAGGCAACATTTTATAGCATTATTTTCTCCATACTCTACAAGAATATCTACTTAAACTTCACATAATACAACTATTTCTCCTTTCTGACAGAAATTCCCTATCTTGAACTCTTTTTCTCCAATTTTAAGTAGAGTAAAAAGGGCAAATGTAAGACAAATATAATTTATTTTTGTAATAAGTTACTTCCTTAATGTAACAGTGGAATAAAATGAAAACGACATAAATATTAAAATCCACTAAGTATACAAAACTTCAATATTTCAAATAAACGTTATAATTTATAAATATAATTATAATATATTAGATTATAATATATTATATAAAAACTTTATAATTTATAAATATAATTTATGTATTATATTTATAAATTATATATTATATACTATATATTACAATATATAATTATATAATACAATATACAATTTATATACATTTTATATAAATGTTTACATAATACATATATCTGTCTGAGCTCAATGTAGTTCATAACAACTTTATTTTTTTAGCCTAAGTTATTGCTGTAATTCTAAGTATTACTACGTGGTGACATTTCATGAGCCTAAGTTATTAAAATCAAACTTGTATTCTGTTGAAAAATAAGCAGACAATATTTGCATTTGATTCTACTGATGAAAAAATTTTAAAAGCCAACACAATAGAAAACTGGTTATTTTTTAAGAACGTGATTTTCCCAATTCTGGAACCATGTACTTTTAATAGAAAAGAACATTTTTCAAGTGCTTGTACGTAGTGGCAAGCAGTCGTCAAAAAACATGTTTAGAAAATTACTCTAATAAGGCAATAAATTATCAAATATTTATGACCTAGTAATCATATTTTACTAAATAGAAGCATGTAAAATTAGGCAAGCAAGCTTGAACTGAAGTCTTATGACAAATCTCACTTAAGCTCCAAATATGGATTGAAATACAAACAAAGATGATGCAAACAGCTGTGCATGCTAATGAAAGCACTGCTTCAGTACAAGAGGATGGTGCTAATTTGTCACGGAAGTAACTAGAAGATATCCGCAGTTGGCTAGCCTTTTTACTGAATTGCGTTAATTCTCTCAGGCTAGCCAATACATCTGTCATTCTAATTATACCTGACCCAATTCTCATCTCTCCATGATGAAAGATTGTTTATAAAATGCCACCTGAAGGAGATTTACTTGTAAAGTATTTAGACTAATCAGGACTCCCGTGACGGTGTTAGGGAACACTCACAAAAGGGTACCACTGTGGTTTTTCCTCAACCTTTGTTTCCTGTTTGTTATGGGAATAAACTTGCTCTTCACTGAGCTGCGTGGTTAGCGTGCAACAGGCTATTAACAAGAAGCTCAAAACTCGGGATATCATGTCCTGTATTGGAAAATAAGGGGAAGTGCTTTTTCTTACTGAATGAGAGACAGGAGTATGCTGGGAAACTGGCACTGTCTAGAAAAACAAACAAATAGAACACTCTTGAGTTACAGTGTATGCCAACTGCCATGGTATAAATACTCCCACCATTGGTATTTCAAGCTACTAATGGCTATGGCTTACAAAATTCCTCTATACTGTAATAATTAGCTTTTACAGGCTAGCAGGAGTTGGCTACACTACCATGTTAATGACAGGAAATAGGGGCACAAGTGAACACATGTAGGGAGACTGTAAGAGTTTTTCGGTTTCCTTGGTCTTGAGGTGTGAATTTAAGGAAAGAAAAGCTCAGTAGGTAGATGTCTCAGGATTGCCTCATACTTGTTGGTATCTGTAATATACCAAGAACAATAACACCAAAGGTAAGAATGGTTTTCCTTTTCAGTTTCTTACTTCCTGTCTCAATGCTGCAAATCTGCACCATATGGAAGGCAGGAGACGCTACTAGAGTCTACTACTCAAAATAGGATCATGGACCAGCAGAGTCAACACCACCTGGGACTCAGGCCCCCCATACAGACTCAACAACGATTGTTTTCCAAGGGCCTTGGATAACTCGAATGGATATCTCAGTTTGAGAAGCAGCATGATCAACCTTATCTTTTAAATGCAATAGATATGTCAAAACGTGAGACATAAGATTTAATCATTTTCCAAAAGAAGTAGTTAGGGAAGAATTAGTAAAAGTTGCATAGGTTTTGGCTTATTAAAAGAAGTACACATATATTTGGGAAAAGACAGATACAACAAAATTAGTAGTCTTAAGATTCAAATATACAGCTCAACAACTTAATTTGAACAGATTGAACAGATTGTCTATACACATTTATTTTACTCTGAAGTTCTGTCCTATCTCAAGCAACATTAAAACAGCTTCGATACCTCTGCCTTAGATCCAGTACCAAGATCATAATTTTCTTACTCATATTAAGACTATTGAAATACCAGACTTCTTAGAAAGCTGAATTCAAGTGGTATCATTCCTATAATATCCCAGAACATCAGAAATATCAAAGTTTTTATTTTTACTTGTAAAAATAATGAAGAAAGCCAAGATCAATTCAAGGGCTTAGAATATACTTCCTTTTTCTTTTCTTTTCTTTTTTTTTTTTTGAGACGAATCTCGCTCTGTCACCCAGGCTAGAGTACAATGGAGTGAACTCGGCTTACTGCAACCTCCGTCTCCCGGGTTCAAGCGATTCTCCTGCTTCAGCCTCCCGAGTAGCTGGGACCACAGGTGTGTGCCACCACGCCCGGCTAATTTTTGTATTTTTAGTAGCGAGGGGTTTCACCATGTTGGCCAGGCTGGTCTCAAACTCCTGACCTCAGGTGATGCACCCACCTCGGCCTCCCAAAGTGCTGGGATTACAGCATGAGCCATCGTGCCTGGCCAGAATGTACTTCCTTATACCACTTCTCTGTAAAGAAAGAATTAGATGATATTTCTGTTCCGGTTTAAAAAAAAAAAAAGAAAAAAAGAATGCCTCTAGATGTAGGTCATGGGTTGGAAGGATGGTCCTACTGTTTCATGTCCTTTTCTGGGGAAGACTGACATGTACACCTCTCCATGTTAACTGGCTTCTTGTCACAATCTCTAGCAGGCAAAGAACCTACAGATTCCAGCTGGGAACAGCAGTGTCTCTGGTTACAGCACAGATGCTAATCACCATTTGCTATTTTATAACAGTGGACAAGGGGAGAGTGAATTCCTTTTGAACAAAAAAAAAAAAAAACAAAACAAAACTAGGAAAGCAGTTTACCTCCATATCTCACTGTCTACATGGCAAATATGCATACGCAATGTTTCAAGTCAACATTTTATGTTGTTTTCTGTTTCTAAATAAAGCTACTAGACTACATTACACATTTTATCAAATACTTGCTTTTACCTTACTAAATGTGTATTTATCATATTTGCTTTGGCATATTTTTGTTTATTTTACTTTTTCTTATACAATAAAAAATGTTCACTGGTTATCTACAATGTGCAAAGCAGTGATACAGAAGTTAGAGCTTACATTAAAATGAGACCAGCCGGGCTTGGTGGCTCATGCCTGTAAACCCAGCACTTTGGGAGGCCGAGATGGATGGATCACTTGAGGTCAGCAGTTCAAGATCAGCCTGGCTAACATGGTGAAACCCTGTCTCTACTAAAACTACAAAAAAAAAAAATATATTAGCCGGGCGCAGTGGCAGGTGCCTGTAATCCCAGCTACTTGGGAGGCTGAGGCAAGAGAATCGCTTGAACCTGGGCAGCAGAGGTTGCAGTGAGCCAAGACTGTGCCACTGCCTTCCAGCCTGGGTGACAGAGTGAGACTTCGTCTCAAAAAAAAAAAAAAAAAAAAAAGCAAAAAACAACAAAACAAAAAAAACACACAAAACTTAGCTGGTCTTGGTGAGGCACACCTGTAATCCCAGGTACTCGGAGACAGAGGCAGGTGAATCGCTTGAACCATGGAGGCAGAGATTGCAGTGAACTGAGATCGTGTCACTGCACTCCAGCCTGGGCGACAGCAAGACTCCGTCTTTGGGGGATGAGACACAGTATTGCACGGGTATTTCTCTGTTCACTTTTTTATTTTTATTTATTTATTTTTGAGACGGCATCTCAGTCTGTCTGCCGAGACTGGAGTGCAATGGCACGATCTCAGCTCACTGCAACCTCAACCTCCCAGGTTCAAGTGATTTCTTTGCCTCAGCCTCCCAAGTAGCTGGGATTATAGGCACCCATCATCATGCCCGGCTAATTTTTATATTTTTAGTAGAGACGGGGTTTCACCATGTTGGCCAGGTTGGCCTCAAACTCCTGATCTCAAGTAATCCGCCCACCTCAGCCTCCCAAAGTGCTGGGGTTACAAGTGTGAGCCACCACGCCTGGGCTTCTGTTCACATATCTAAAGCTGCTCATCACTGCAGATCTCAACACCATAGCCCAGTGTTTTGCAACCAGAGAGAGTCTATCCCCTACTCCTCCCAGGGGACATTTTTGATTGTCATCACTTGGGGGTGCTGCTGGCATCGAGTAGAGGCTAGTGATGCAGCTAAACATCCTACAATGCACAGGACAATCATCCGCAACAATTATCTGGCCCAAAACATCAATAGTACTAAGGTCCAGAAACCCTGCCATAGCCCAAGCAAACACCAGAAGGATTCGTGATGCATTTTAGTAACTTTGCCCACCAAGACTACTGGGCAGCAGTCACCAGCACTTCAGAAATCCTGGGTAACAAATGCTAGTAAATTTCCAGAACAGATGCAATCATAAGAATTGGCAAGCAAGACTTTTCTTTGCTCCTATCATGAAACATAAGAACCTAAAGTCACGTGCAAGCAACATAAAATTGCCATCCATATTCTGTGATACTTGCATATTCTGTCTAGAAATTATACCCAATAAGAACATATATAAATTTAAGAAAGAGGCAACCCTACTCTCATAGTTAAAACACCTGAACAGTCTTACCATTATTATCAACTAAATATAGCGTAACCTTTAACATTTCCTCTGCCTTAATCTTTTTTTTTTTTGGACAGGGTCTCACTGTCACCAAGGCTGGAGTGTGGTGGTGTGATCACGGCTCACTGCAGGCTTGACCTCACCTGGGCTCCAGCGACCCTCCCACCTCAGCCTCCTGAGTAGCTGGGACTATAAGCCTGTGACACTACAGCCAAAACAACAATTTTTTTTTTTGGTCTCCCTATGGGGCCCAGGCTGCTTGCAAACTCCTGGGGTCAGGCGATCATCCTGCCTCAGCTTCCCAAAGTGCTGGGATAACAGGTGTGAGATACCATGCCTGGCCTGTAAACACTTTTTTTTTTTTAACACTGTAAAAGTCTCAATGTTTACAATTTGGGCTGCTGTCTTGAAAATTAAGGGATTCTCTTGAGCATCATTTTTATATGAGATTCATTCATTCTTGCCTCCCCTTGACTTTTTACTCTTCTACTAACAGAATCACAAAAAGTCAGGCATATTGGAAGAGGTGGTTGGAAACCAAAGATGAATTTTCAGGAGGGCAAAATGGTTAAAGGCTGAGAGAAGCAGCTGGTTAGGCTGTAAGCCACTCTGCTTTTGGAAACTCATTGTTCTGCAAGGGAACTAAAGATCTCCATTCAAATCCACAGCTTTGTAACCTGCTCAAGGAATCTGACTGTACTTAATCAGACCTATGGCTTGGCTAAAAACGTGTGCCCGGTTGGGTGTGGTGGCTCAAACCAGTAACCCAGCACTTTGGGAGGCCAAGGTGGGTGAATCACCTGAGGTCAGAAGTTCGAGACCAGTCTGGCCAACGTGGTGAAACCCATCTCTACCAAAAATACAAAAATTAGCCAGGTGTGGTTGCACACACCTGTAGTCCCAGCTACTTGGGAAGCTGAGGCAGGAGAATTGAGAATTGCTTGAACCTGGGAGACGGAGGTTGCAGTGAGCCAAGATCGTGCCACTGAATCCCAGCCTGGGTGACTGAGACTCCATGTCAACAAAACAAAACAAAACAAAACAAAACAAAACAAAACAAACAAACAAAAAGGTGCACCCAGCTGGTGCAGTGGCTCACACCTGTAATGCTAGCACTTTAGGAGGCCAAGGCAGGTGGATCACCTGAGGTCAGGAGTTCAAGACCAGCCTGGCCAACATGGTGAAAACCTGTCTCTACTAAAAATACAACAGTTAGCCAGGCGCGGTTGTGTGCGCCTGTAATCCCAGCTACTCAGGAGGCTGAGAGAGGAGACTCACTTGAACCCGGGAGGCAGAGGTTGCAGTGAGCCGAGATCGCGCCATTGCACTCCAGCCTGGGCGACAAACAAAAACTCCATCTTAAAAACAAAACAAAACAAAAAAAGTGTGCCCATGTAAATGTATGCATGTTTAAATGAACCTGAACCTCTGAGTTGCTGGATTTCTTCTTTGAGGTTTGATTTTTTTTTTTCTTAATTGCAAATTCTTGAGTTGAGTACAGTTATTGTGCCTGAGGCATCTGCACACTTTTTTTTTTTTAAAGCAACTGATTTGGGGAAAATATGAGAAAGACTAATATTCTTTAAAAATCTAGTTTCTGGCCTTTAATTAAATTGGACTAAAATTTTATTTTTAATAAATCTAGATATAATTGTATTAAAATGCCTTTCACTGATTACTTCTGCTATTCTATTTTTTTTTAATTGGTAAAGCCAGGTTCTCACTATGTTGCCCAGGCTGGTGTCAAATGTGTATCTTTGTGAATATACTAAACCACTGAATTCTCTCTCACACACACTTCTATATGGCTCTATTCCCTAGTCTCATCACATTTTAAGCAACCTAATTATCTGAGTGGGCTTTCTAGATTGAGACCATTAAACTACACGGAAAGATGCTTGTCCATGTCCTGCTTCACTCTGCCTCTATCAAAGTGTGTATCAAACACCTCGGAATCAATGGCTGCCATGACATGGGGCACAAAATAACAGGCTGTTACCTGTCACATCTATGGTCAGTGCTGACACTAGTTCTCTTGACATCATTAGCAAGCATGCTACAACCCGGGCGAGAGTAGAAGTGCATCCTCTCCATCTTCAAAACACAAAGGTAAAGGCCTGAGGCTTGCTCTATAAGGAGGAGCCATTACCCTTTTGCCCTGTTCCCAAATACTCCCTGGAGCTTTAGTTTCATTTTTGTACAGCATGCTACTACTGAGGCCTCCAACTGAAGTATGTGAGTTCATGTTCGGGTTCACAGCAAGTTAAGTTCACAGTTTACCCCAAGCTTTGTGGAGAGTTAAATATTAATCATAAGTAAAAATCCCGTTAGTGAATTATAGGATACCTTGTAAGTGTCATGTCCATTACAAACAAGTAACAACAGAGGCATGAGAATTAAGCTAAGCTTTGTTTCTTCTCCCCTTGAGATCAATACAAGCTACTCTGATTTACTTCAAGTATGTATTGCATTCATTCTATTTGGTGCTCTATCACCCAGTAAATCCCTATTCTTCCTTTATAATTACTGATACGCCAACTTCTCTGCAACATAGTAGGTGAAAACTTTTGTTCCGGGCTGAGCACTTTCTCTTCTCCATGCTGCCAAAATTCCTTCCTAGGCAGGCCTGAGAGACTCATCCCTCTCAAGGACAATGCAGATATGGCTAGAAGCAACCTGAGCAAGCCACTTTGTTCCTATCTCTGTGCCCCCAGCAACCAATGCCATGTCTGGTACCTACAAGTGCCTTGTGGATATTGGTGAAATGTATAGCAATAAATCAAATGGTACTTCTCCCAGATTAATTGTCACCAGAAGAAGAAAAATAATTTAATTCTGCCAAGGTCAATCACTTAGCCCAATATAAGCAATATTCGGATCAAACCTTTTAGCTTTTATCATCACATGAGACGGTGAAAGAGCCATCTGTATCAGTGTCTCTATCTGTTCACTTAACAGAAGAACTCCCACAAGGCTTAAAATACCTGCAAGAAATAAAACTCTATCTTGAAATGCAGTGGCATCTAATACTATCTTATCCAATTTTCAGCTGGATTTAAAATTTAAGTGCAGATATTTCAATATACAGTGTATATTCACACAAAAAAAATTTAAGCAAGAAATGTTTCTTTTAATCATAACATAATGTTCTCTCTAAATATCAGCTTTATTATACCAATAGATATGGATAGGTTACATTTATGCCTTTTATAATTAAAAGTCAACTTATTGGTTTACCTTTAACATTCCTCATTAGTAGTAAACATTAGTTTGCTAATGTTTCAAATGCAATGGAGGATCGGAATGATGATATAACCATAACTAAGAGAGCAACTAAGGTTAATTGAGCAGTTACTGTATACCAGGAATTATGCAAAGTGTTTCCTATAAATTAATTAATTTAATCCTCACAAAATAGTTAAATATTGGATAGGTCTTATTAATCCCTATTTTACAAAAAGAAGCAATGAGGATTCAAGGTTATTTGATTTATACAAATTTACACAGTTAGTAGCTTGTAAGGCAAAGATTTGAATCTGGACAGCTTGAGTTTGTAAATTGAACACTTACTGGGCATGATGGTAAGCGTTTAACATAAGTTACCTAAAGTCATTCTTACAAGAAACATGCAAGATAACATTACCATCTACACTACACACATAAAAAACAGGTTACTTAACTGGCCCAAGGTCATAAAAATTCTCTCAAACACTATACTAGTCTATCTCTAACCAAAAAAAAACAAACCCTACCTCAAAAGAAATCAACTTGATATGGCAGTATGTGAAATAGAAAGAACTTCACAGTCACCGTCTTATAGTGAGAATCAGGGGTTAGCAAATGGTTTACTGAAAAGGCCAGATAGTAAATGTTTTCAGTTTTGCAGGCAACACAATCTCTTTTGCGATCCTCAACTCTACTTCCAAAACATGAAAACATCCATAGACAATTTTTAAACAAATGGGATGGGCTGTGCCTAATAAAACTTTTGTGTAGAAAACAGGAAAACAGGCTATTTTTGGCCCCAATTTGCTGACCCTTGATCATTACTCTTATTTGTGGACCCCCGATCATTTTTCTATTTTTTTTTTTTGAGACGGAGTCTCGCTCTTGTCGCCAGGCTGGAGTGCAGTGGCGCAATCTCAGCTCACTGCAACCTCCGCATCCCAGGTCCAAGCAATTCCCCTGCCTTGGCCACCTGAGTAGCTGGGATTATGGGCACGCGCCACCATGCCTAGCTAATTTTTTTGTATTTTTAGTGAAGACGGGGTTTCACCATGTTGGCCAGGCTGGTCTCTAACTCCTGACCTCAGGTGATCTGCTCACCTCAGCCTCCCAAAGTGCTGGGATTACAGGCGTGAGCCACAGCGCCAGCCTGATCACTTCAAGTAAAAATTCTAAAAATTCAGAAATGCACAGTGTAAAATAATAGATGAATATATGCCTATATCAAAGGTATATGCATTTACAAGGGAACACAGGTTGAAATGAATTTGTGTGTATTTATAAAGAAAATAAAAAGTGTAATTTTGACATGAGTGTAGCAGAAATATCCTGGCCTATCTAGGTCCAAATTCTGATTTCATCACTTAACCAGTTATGTGACCCAGGACAATTTATTTTATTCTTTTTTTGAGACGAAGTTTCGCTCTGTTGCCCAGGCTGGAGTGCAGTGGCACAATCTCAGCTCACTGCAACCTCCGCCTCCTAGGTTCAAGCGATTCTCCTGCCTCAGCCTCCTGTGTAGCTAGGATTACAGGCGCATGCCACCACACCTGGCTAATTTTTGTATCTTTAGTACAGATGGGGTTTCACCGTGTTAGCCAGGATGGCCTTAATCTCCTGACCTCGTTATCCGCCTGCCTCGGCCTCCCAAGGTGCTGGGATTATAGGCATGAGCCATTGCGCCCAGCCCAGGCCAATTAAAAAAATTTTTTTCGGCCACGCATGGTGGCCTGTATTCCCAGCACTTTGTGGGGGGCGGGGGGCGGGGGGCGGGGGGTGCCGCCAAGGTGGGCAGATCATGAGGTCAGGAAATCGAGACCATCCTGGCTAACATGGTGAAACCCTGACTCTACTAAAAATACAAAAAAATTAGCCGGGCATCGTGGCAGGCACCTGTAGTCCCAGCTACTCGGGAGGCTGAAGCGGGAGAATGGTGTGAACCCGGGAGGCCGAGCTTGCAGTGAGCCAAGATCGCACCACTACACTCCAGCCTGGGTGACAGAGCGAGACTGTATCTCAAAAAAAAAAAAAAAAAAAATTCTTGGCCTTAGAGATCTTGGCTTTAAACGGGGAAGTAAAATTTCCACCACACAGCATAGTTACAAGGTTTAAAGACAGAGAATCACTGCTTTAAAGCACAAGAGGCCTGTTTTCCCGGCTACTTGGGAGGCTGAGGTTTGAACTCAGGAGTTTGAATCCAGCCTAGGAAACATAGCAAAATCCCGTGTCAAAAAAAAAAAAAAAAAAATTTAAATTACATTAAAGGGCAAGAGTGGTGACCGTGAAAATCTATATCTGCAACAAAGGCTTCAAAAATCTGCCAGTCTCCCAGGAGGTAAAATGCTGTCTGCTCTGCCCCAACGATGCCTTCCACAGTAGCAAAGAGCCTAGCCATCAGCAGGGGTACAACGAATAGTTGCTGAATAAATGGAACATAAGGAAGAAATGTCCAGTTCCTCTGGACAGGGCACAATTGGCTAGATTAAATAAAAGATTATGCCATTTATTACAATACCCATTTCAATCAGAATTTAGAATTTATGGCTCAATCAAAACTACCCTGATATCTCTGGTTTCTGAAGTACAATCCCTTCTTGAAGAACAGAAAATTAGGAGCAAGTATCTAAATACACCACTGTTGTACTCAAATCGGTAATGGCTTATTCCACTAGACCAATAACCAATAATATCCAAGTATTTTTTTAACAACCAAAGATGACAATAAGCCCCCAAAACCAGATAGATCTTGCAATCGTGTGCTCACTTTTATTTTTATTTTTTTGAGACAGGGTCCCACTCTGTTGCCCAGGCTGGAGTGCAGCGGATGTGCTTACTTTTAAACAATAATTTTATTCTACTGGAATCAGTGACAGAGAACAGACATCTTCTCATTTGGGTATCATCGATTCTAACACAATATGGCAGAGAAGATTATGACTACGCTAAAAGTGTCTTATTTTTCTTCCCTCCATTTCTTTCCGGTTTTAACGGGTTATGAAATTATTGAGTTTTTTATGAAGCACATTAAGGACTGGTATCAGTAGCAATATGTTGGTAATGATGACAATTTTCTTAGAAAGGATGGCTGTAAATCACATTTTGTTCCAGGTACTGAAACACTAACACTGAAAACAAGATTGTAAGCCTCCCTGCAGTATCTCATCTTTGCAAGTCACTTCTAATTTTTATGTTGAACACAGAAGCAACCTACTTGTAATTAGAGTTTTACAAAATGAGTAATCACCTATGGCGTTGCCATTGCTCTCAATTAGGGAAGAACCACAAGTCACCTTTTGTAACAGTGAGGAGGAGGAAAAGGACTCTTTGCAGCTGACCCCTTTAACGTTACCCTCTAAAACATCTACTTCTTTACTGGAATTAGCTACAAGCACAAAAAAATTATCTCGCATGGGCACAACTGACCATAACATGTTTCTGTTAGGCCCCCTTTCCCAGGAAGACTTGCCTCAATTAGAGCTTTTGTTCAGGAGTTTGAGGTGGAATGAATGGACCTGCATTAAAGATTCCTCTATTTCTGGGGCATTAACAGTTGCTATCTCTCAATGACCAGGTATCTTGCTTTCAGAAGGTTGCTTTTGTTGCTCTTCTTGCCAACAAAATTATTAACTTGTTATTTTTTAAGGTTCATTTCTTTTTTGCCTTTAGCCTGGAGTGTTTTGTTTATGAAATTCTTTTAACTGCCTTCGTCTTTCTACAGGAAATAAAACAATACAACATCTCTGTGTTCCGTCTTAATATCAAATAATACTACCTGCAAAACTCAAGCAAAAAGAACTGGACTAATGCAGACGATAATGAGACCAATTTATCTCAAGCAAATTGTCTTGTTCTAGAATATGGGCCTAAGTTTATGTGGCATCCTCTCATTGTACTGCATAACTGATGTCACTCCTTGTTCACCTGTTACCTCAACAGTACTAGCATCAAAACAAAATCTCTTTATTGTCTCCTGGAAAAATCTGCAGCGCACAGTAGCTTCTGAATTAATATTTGTTAATTAATCACCTGCAGTTAATGCCCATCTTTGCCAGCCTGGCATTGAAGGTCTCTATATTTTGGTCCCAACCTAAAAGACATCTGCTCTAGCTTAAATTGGACCAATCCTGTCTCCTAAATATGCCTTTCCATGGCACCACATTTGTTTTGCTAGTCCTGATGACTCTACAGCAAAATCCACTGGTAGACACACCACCCACCCACACTTTTGGCTCTAGTTCAAATGTCATGCTCTCCATGGAACCTTCTCTGATCAATCCAGAAGTTCCCTCTTACTCTCGGAGGCAGGTTCTGTGTTCACATTTCTTACAACACAGATGGCTTTGTACTTCTTTGACTTCTATTTCCTAAGAGATTTTAACATCCACTAGGGTTAGCTGGTCTGTGTGTGCTCATCATCCATTCCACATGGCCTAGCAAAATGGCTTGTACCAAGCAGGTGCTCAAAATCTAATGTTTCAAGTAAAATGGGACACTAAACTGGTTCTATTAAACAGCCCAGCTTGATGGAGATTCACCAAGGACTTTCAGTCCCACTGCAGGCTGCTAGCTGCTGTAATTTGTATTCACACTTCATTTAGGTTTCGAGAAGAGAAGCCCTGAAAAGCTGTCCTTCCCTGCTACAGGCATCAGGCTAACAAGTTCATTTGACCAGATCTGCCATAGTTGGTCCTAACAGTTGTATGAAAAACACCCTGAGAAAGCATGTCTCAGTATTTGAAAAATGGTGGTTTAAACAAAATGCGCATTTACTAGCACATTTACTTATGTGCTAAAGTGAGTAAGAAACTGTCATTAAGTAGGGAATGATAAACTTAATCCATCTTGCACTCTGTTCTTTTTTTTCAAAGAACATGTAAAACTTTCAATAAATTTTAAGCTAACGCTGAGTGTTTAATTCAGAATAATCTCAATTTTAAAAGCTCAAGTTAAAGAAATGTAGAACCTCAAAAATACTGTGTTAAGTGAAAGAAGTCGGACACAAAAGACCATGTATTATATGATCCCACTTATAATAACAGTCCAAAAAAGGGCAAATCTATAGAGACAGAAAGTAGATTAGTTGTTGCTTGGGGCTAGAGGTGAGTAGAGGGCTTAACTGGGAGTGAGTATGTGTGATCTTACTGGAGTGACGAAAATGTTCTAAGATTAGATTATGGTGATAGTTGCACAGCTTGGCAAATTTCTTAAAGCCGCTGAATTATATACTTAAAAGCAAATGAAACTTATATGTAAATTACACCTTAATAAGGTAAAAAATGCAACAAAGGGAAGAAAATACTATAGTGACAACTATGAATATAGTTGAGGGAGACAAAATAGCCCATGTTAAGCTCTAATAGAACAATAAATCTGAAATCATTAAACTTTAGCAAAAAGTGAGAGAAAGCCACTTTTTGTAAATGCTGTAACATTTGTGGTTGACCTTTATAAGTATTTGCAGTACATTAAAATTCAGTAAGTACATATTCATTCAATCTAGCTCTAGAAGCATCTTTTACTATCTGCCAAGCAGATGGCAGATATGAAATGCAGAACTCTTTAAGGAACAAATGCATACTCTTTAAGGAACTCAATCCAACAGTTTACTCGTTTCTGTAACATTTGGTCATTTAATATCAACTGAATGTTTGTTTTTATTTCATGGAGACAAGTATGACCTTTAGTTCTTTTAGTTCACAATATTTGCAACACAAACATTAATTCAATAGAGAAAGTCTAAGACATTAATACTATATTTACTTCTTGAAGAAAGCACTGCCGTACTTCCCAATAAAACAATGTAAACTCAACATAAATCACCTCTGTTAAAATTCATAGCATAAAATAATGCGATACTCACCAAATCTTTTTTTTTTTTTTTTTTTTTGAGACAATCTTGCTCTGTCACCCAGGCTGGAGTGCAATGGTGTGATCTCAGCTCACTGCAACCTCCGCCTCCTGGGTTCAAGCAATTCTCCTGTCTCAGCCTCCCAAATAGCTGGGATTACAGGTGCGTGCCACCACGCCTGGCTCATTTTTGTATTTTTAGTAGAGATGGGTTTTCACCATGTTGGCCAGACTGGTCTTGAACTCCTGGCCTCAGGTGATCCGCCTGCCTCGGCCTCCCAAAGTGCTGGGATTACAGGTGTGAGGCACTGTGCCTGGCCCAAATCTCCTTCTTTAATGAAATCTAATCACAACTACTCACTCAACTAAGATTTATCGAAACTACAAGCCAGGCACTCTGTGCAATACTGAATAAAATCAAGTCCTTACCCTCAAGGAGCTCATCGTCTAGGTGGTAACAGACAATATTATATAACAAACACTCACTGCCAAAGGAATACCAAGGAGTCACCTAACTCAGTGTTTGTCAAATTAGATGACTACCTGGTTGGGCGGAGTCTTGTAGAATTAACTTGGGATTTGCCAAGCAGCATATACAAGGTACAAAACAAACTGTATAATAAAGATTTCACATTATTTGAAATTGTTTGCTTGTTAAACCAAAAAAATTTCACAAGCATAAGAAGCCTTTTGGAAAAAAAAACATGTTTTTGATTGGGGAAGGCAGTGGTGCTAGGGTGGATATTTCCAACTCTGGTATTACGCTTTCTTTTCCTTGGGGGTGGGGGGAATCCAAGCAAATGGTGGATTACCTCGAACCACCTCTTCCACAGACTCTGTGGTGGTGGTGGTGGTGGTGGCAATGCTGGTGGTTCTCTCTGTGGCTTCTTCGTAGGGTTCCTCAGCCTCTTCCTCTACCTCATCACCATCCTCATCGTCCTCGTCATCATCGGCTTCTTCTTCTTCCACCTCAGCCACTTCTTCCTCCTCTGCTACTTCTACTACTTTGTCTTCACTGTGAAGGCAAACACAAATAACAGAAAAAGTCAATTAAACACATTTCAGGGAAGGAAAAGAAAAGTCGTCCATATGGAATTTTGGCAATTTGAGAAGAAACACACCCAAAACTTCAATTCAGCAGGTCTAAGTATAAATCCCAGCTCAGTGGGTCTGCAAAAATTTTTATCCTTGGGGACAGTTCTTAGTTTCTGCAGTTGCTAAAAGGGGATGCCATGAGTCTAACCACAGGACATTCTGGAAAAGGGAAAATTACGGAGACAATAAAAAGATCAGCGGTTGCCAGTGGTTCAGGGGGAGTGGGGAAGGGATGAATAGGTGGAGTAGAGAGGATTTTTAGAAACTACTCTGCACGATACTGTCATAAGTAATAATAGATACACAGCATTAAGCATTTGTCAAAACCAAGAGACTATACTACACAAAAAGTCGCCTCTCATGTTAAAACAGGAATACTGGTTAATAATAGTGTATCGATATTGGTTCAAACGTACCATACTAAGGCAAAATGTTAATCCAGGGGAAACTGTTGGGGAGTGGGGAAGTGAGAGGTAGAGGGAACTTTTTGTAGTTTCTGCTTGAATTCTTTGTAAACCTAAAACTGCTCTGAAAAATGTAGTCCATTATAAAAAGTGGGGTGGTGGATATCAAAACTGAGTTTGCCGTATTATGGGAATTACTTCTCATAGTGCACATACAAGAGCCGCAACGCATTGCACGGTAGCGGATACTCAGTATATGCTGGTGGAAATTGGTTTAAAAACTGCAACTGAGAGCTTAAACTGGACACACAGGTGGAAGATGAAGCTGACTTAAGTAAACCTGCAATGCCCTGTGGTCAGGGATGCCTGCTGGAACTCACACAGGTGGAAGATGAAACTGACTTAAGTAAACCTGCAATGCCCTGTGGTCAGGGATGCCTGCTGGAACTCACACAGGTGGAAGATGAAACTGACTTAAGTAAACCTGCAATGCCCTGTGGTCAGGGATGCCTGCTGGAACTCACACAGGTGGAAGATGAAACTGACTTAAGTAAATCTGCAATGCCCTGTGGTCAGGGATGCCTGCTGGAACTATTTAGTTGCGTACCCTATGGTTACTAACTGCTTATGTTTTGTAGAAAACCAAATATTTCAGTGGTTCTCAAATTTCAGTGAGCATCAGAATCACCTGGAAGGCTTATTGAAACACAGATCACCTACCTGCTAAATGTGGTGGCTCATGCCTGTAATCCCAGCACTGTGGAAGGCTGAGGTGGGAAAAAACCTAGAGGCCAGGAGTTTGAGACCAGCCTGGGCCACACGGTGAGACCCTGTCTCCAAAAAAATTAAAAAAAAAAAAAAAAAAAAGCCAGGCATGGTGGTGTGCACCTGTAGTTCCAGCTACTCAGAAGGCTGGGGCGGGAGGATTGCTTGAGCCCAGGAGTTCGAGGCTGCTGTGAGCTATGACTGCATCACTGCATTCCAGCTAGGGAGACAAAGACACTGCCTCCTTAAAAACAAACAAAAACCAGCCAGGCATGGTGGTGTGCACCTGTAGTTCCAGCTACTCAGAAGGCTGGGGCGGGAGGATTGCTTGAGCCCAGGAGTTCGAGGCTGCTGTGAGCTATGACTGCATCACTGCATTCCAGCCAGGGAGACAAAGACACTGTCTCCTTAAAAACAAACAAAAACCAACACAGATCACCAGGTGCCTGTGGCAGTTTCTAATGCAGCTCCAGAGTTTCTGAATCATGAGGCCTTGGTGGGGCCTGAGAATGTGCATTTCAAATTCCCAGGTAATACTGATGCTGGTGGTCAGGGGAAAATATTCTGAGATCCACTGCAATATGCTGAGAATAATGGCAAGAGATAACCAGTAACTCAGTGAAATTGGGAAGAGGATCAGAAATATTTATGGTATTAAACATTTACATGCTGATGCATCATAGTTTGTAAAAAATAAGCAAATTTGGATGGCAAAAGAAGGGCATGTCTAGAACAAAATTAAAAAGGCCTATTAGGAAATCCTTGTGGAAATCATGTACCTGTCAAGGCAGGCATGGTTGACAGCATTTGAATATCTAATAGTAAAAGCCTATCGTATACCACCTAGCAGGACTAGAGGAATAGATGTCCTTGATCAGATCACAAAACCAATACAGGAGAAAGACCTAGATGTGGCAGGGGGTTTCAACCTTTCTGGGGCAACTACCACAGGTCTATTCGAGAAGTACCATAGTAATAGAATTAAAAGCTGCTATGCTGACATTATAATGTACCCAGAAGGAAAAAAAAAAGCGAGAGGGAGAAAGCAGAAGGGAATTATTACCACAGAGCTGATTCTGGCCAACAAGGAGAAGCTCATCATTGGGAAAAGTGATAGGAACCCGGGATTTGTAGCCACAGGAAGCCTTGGACTCGTAGTGAGAGCACAGCATTATGTAGGAAATCAGATTCCAAACACGTGAGACAAGCGAACACTATGATTCCATGATCTACGACAATAGAAAGGAAGACTCCTCCATAAACCTGAAAGGCTTTCAAAGTCTAACAGGACCGCCATAAGTAGTTTTGCTGAGAGTGAAAGGGAAAGATATGTAAAGAGATTAATCCATCAATGGCAGGAATTCTCTGATTACCTCAGGATTTAAAGCATGTGTTACACAAGTTGTATAAAGATGTGTATGATCCCCATGGAACACCTGACTCTGATTACGTAGGATACAAGAATAGTATAAAGGGCGTTTATAAAAGTTTCAAAAAAATGTGTATGACCCCCAAGTGGAACGCCTTTCTAACTCTGATTAAATATGATGTAAGGATATTAAGTGAAGACATCCGAAGAAGTTTAGCATGTGGCTAAAGAATAAAAAGAAACTGATTAAGCAGAATAATTTATTAATAGCAACTTACTCATATGTTAATAAATGAAGTGTTAATACAGAGAAAATCCTAATCAGTTATTGTAACATTTCCACAAGACTAGGACGAAATAGGTGAAAAGAGAAACAGAAAACACTGGCACTGAAAATCAGATGTTGGAAGCCTTTATCTCCTCGTAGAAATAAATGAGGTGAAATAACTGACTTTTTTTTTTGACTGCCCAAATTATTGCACGAAAGTTTACTACGTGGGGCTACATTTCAAAAGAATCCTTAACAGTTGCTCAGCTGCCCTGAGCTTCTGCCTTTGCATTTTTCTGTAGGATCTCACTGTTGTATTACTGGTGAATCAAAGAAAGATGACCTGATGCATGTCATCAGTTAATTTACCGTGTTTGAGATCTCTTACTTATTCAATCAAATCATGGGCACTAACTAGCGCTGTTTTCCAATTTAAGTGGAAAATTCAGGGAAAGTCAGGAAGAAAAATCAAACCAGTATTCTCTTTAAATCATGATGTATACACGTGATCTTGAACCATGACTGGAATGACGATGTCCAAGTGTACCATCCAGGGTTTGGACAGCACCGTGTTTCCAGGTGGGATGGTGAAAACATGACCCTGGGTATCCCCAGGTTCCTTCTCCAGGCTTCTTTGTTATTACTTGGATGTGGCCCTTAAAGCTCTGAATAGAAACCATGTTTGTAAAAACAGCTGTTTAGTGTGATCTGCATTCTGGTATGTGTCTAGCCGTGAAAAAGAGTGAATTATATGCCCATCATCCATCCCTGCATCTGCCTGAGCAATTTACTGGCATAATAACCAGGAACGGAGACACGTAATAAATAGTTCAACCGGCTAAGGAATTAAATTACTTGGCCTAAGAGAACTCAGGTCCAAGTTCTTATTACCATAGCTTTGATTTCTGGAATTAAATTTAGATGTCCATGAATTCAATTATTCATTTGGACACTATTTAAAACAAGAGCACACGGTTTTGTTTGAATAATGCTGCATCTTCCCAAAGAATGCCAAACACAACAACATTACAACTTTTAACTGCAGTTTTCATGAACAGCTAGAAACACTGAAAGGAAAAAAATGACTTTTCCACCACTTCTTCAAATGCTGGACAGACTGTTGTCCTGTGGACTTGTTTTGAAAAGCTCATCACAGTTTAAGGAGTTGCAAGGGAGGAACAGTTTATGGAAATATAAAGCTGAGCATCATAAAACAATTTCCTTACAAACAATCAAATAACAACTCACAATAAAATAAACGCTTGGCAACATAGTGGAACATTCATACCACATTCGCAGACTTTAGTGGCTATCAATTTATAGTGGGTGGCTTTTACAGCTTTTAAACACCAATAACAAACATTTTTACAGAACAAGGGAACCATCTGAAAATGCTGACCATCCCCAGAGTATCTGAATTTAATAAGGTCAAAGGGACATTCCTACGAGGAAATAAATCACTGATGATAAAATTTTATGTGTCAGCATGCGAGATTTTACTTGGATGAAGGAGAAATGACATCACAAAGGTGACTCTCCTTCTGTTTCTAACTAAAGCTGACCTTGATATAATTCCACATGCAGGTGCCGCCTGATAAGTCCCTTTACAGAGTGAAAGATTTTGATTCACACACCAATTTTCATTTCTGTTTATTAAAGTCATGCCAAAAAAGTCACCATTTGTATTTTCTAAGAAAGCCATATGACATTCTAGAAATGGCAAAATTATAGACAGTAACAGATCAGTGGCTTGGAAAGGTTAAAGGCAAGAGAGGGTCGAACAGGAGGAACACAGAGGATTTGGGGGATAGTAAAAGTACTCAGTATGACACTACAATGGTGGGTACATGTCATTAGACAGTTTTCCAAACTCACAGAATAAACAATGCTGAGAGAATGCTAATGTAAACTATGGACTTTGGGTGATAATAATGGTGTCAGTGTAGGTTCACTGATTGTAACAAATCGCTCTAAGGGGGACGCTGATAATGGGAGAGGCTGTGCAAGTGTATGAACAGGGAGTATATGGGAGAATCTCAGTACCTTCTGCCTAATTTTGCTGTGAACCTAAAACTGCTCTAAAACAATAAAGTCTATATTTATTCTTTCACAGTCTCTGTTAAGACGGACTTTTTTCTTCTTGCTACAGATAAACAGGGAGGAAATGACAGAGAGAAAGCTCTGATTCTCATGGTTATGTGAATATGGACTATCATGAGATCCAACCTACTTGCACTGATGAGGGAAGAGGGAAGACAACCAATGTCAGTTCCTGAAATGCAACCAACCAGGGGAAAGCTCAGCAGGAAGAGGTTCAGACTCTTCCTCTGTGGATATGAAAATGGGAAAAAAGAGTCTAGAGGCTCCCAGAGTCAGAAGAGAGAGAAAATACAGTAGTTTTTTTCAAGAAGATAAACAGACGGTTCTCCTTCTCTCTGTCTCAACTCTCCAAACTGCCAGAGTCTAAACTGGAAGGTACAATGGCTGGATAAGTCAGTTTGTCCGAAAGGAAAGCAGTTTTTGAAATTACTGCTACTAAATTAGGAAAATGTTTCCGGGGAGGGAGGGCAAAGTAAGAAATAGCCAGTACTTCTCCCGCATAAAGGCACTGTTAGAAGCGAAACACAAGGGGACACATCACCTAATTCTATTTGAATTAAATATGAAAACAAGCAAACTGCAGGCAAATAGAACTCAGGGGAAAGGCCAGTAACTGGCAGGGGCCAGGAGAGAGGATTCTAGGGGCCAGCAAGTCTCTGTGTTCTGGTCCGGATGCTGGCTATCTAGTTGTGTGGTCTTAAAAAACTTTGCTTACTTGCATTACCTCTTATGTGTACTTCTCTCTAAATAAATCAGTAAAAAGGTTGAAAAGGGTTTCTTGTTACTTGCAGCTAAAGGCATAAGCCCACCTGGGGCCCTAGGTTTAAGGCCTCCAGCTTTAGGAAGATAACCACATGACTGGACTACCAAAAATTCATGACTCAGGCCTGAGGAGGTGGCTCATGCCTGTAATCCCAGCACGTTGCGGGGCCGAGGCAGGCAGATCACTTGGGGCCAGGAGTTCGAGACCAGCCTGGCCAACATAGTGAAATTCCGTCTCTACTAAAAATACAAAAAATTAGCTGGACGTGGGGGTGCACGCCTGTAATCCCAGCTACTTGGGAGGCTGAGGCATGAGAATCACTTGAACTCAGGAGGCAGAAGCTGCATTGCACTCCAGCCTGGGTGACAGAGTGAGACTCTGTCTCAAAAAAAAAAAAAAAAGGAATAAATAAATAAAGTCATGACACAGCTGATTAAGAATGAGCTATAAATCACAATCTTGATCTGAAATTAGGCTATATCATCATTCTTACACATTTAATGAATACTTATTCTGAGTGAGACAATTCACACTAACTGCTGTATGAGTAACAGACATACTGCAGATTAAACGCTTCAGAAATTCAACAGAGAAGTGATTGTTGCGAGCCAGAGGCATCTGAGTTGGCCGGAAGTGATAGGTGGCTGTGGGGATGAGGCAGGAATATCCACATAATGCACAAGTGGAATAAGAAGTAAATAAAATATAATGAAATTTTACACAGGCACTGAGTTTTAACAGTGAGGAAGGGTAAACTGCAGAGACACGGGGATTCAGGTATTTTTTTTCTTTAGCCAATGGATAAATATTTGAGTTGAAAGGCATATGTACAAATTGATGATAATGAGCAAAAAAGTGGCAATGCATTCATTCATTCATCCATTGAATCATTCCATTAAGTACCTCTCTAAGCCAACCCCTAGTAATTCAATCAACAATATTCGCTGTGCTTTACCAAGTGCCAGTACTATTCCAGGTAGTGAAGATAAAGCACTCAATTTCTTGGAATCTATCTATTAGTTGGGGAGGTGTAATATGAGCAAGAAAAAAAATTATGGAAAAGTACTATAGGGAAAGGAGATGGGGCTAATTGCTAATGAATGACTATGATAGATGTGTGCCAGGGATGGGTAGCATTTCAAACAGGGTGGTCAGGGAAGGGCCCCACGGAAGAGCCATGTGAACTAAAAATGCTGAAGTCGGGCACGGCAAAACCAAGAGAGTGCATGGATGGCTGAGGCAGGGGTAAGAGCAAGTGCAAAGGCCCAGGTGTGAGGAAGAGATTAGCACGTTCAGCAAAAACAACAAAGGGCCAGTGAGCTTAGGGAGTAGCAGATGAGGGAGGAAGTATAAGATCTGGTGGTGGAGACAGACAGGCATAGTGTTACCCAGTACGGTTACATTTCTTACAGCAACTGGAACGACTCAATGAGATTTAAGTTGCAATGATGTCTCTGGCTGCTGGGCACAGAATGGTCTCCAGGGAAAACATGAATGGATGCTGGGAAGCTGGACACTGGGCCAGGAGCTAGGGGTACACTGGAAAGCAAAGGTGGCTCACAAGGCAAGTAGCCAAAGGCCAGACACTGACCTCAGCACCTGTATAAATGCAAAATTACTGCCCTGATAACAATTACATACAGCCAGAAGACCCAAAAGAGTGAGTGCTAGTGTGTCTAGTGAGGCAGAGATTCCAGGTGTCTAGTGAGGCATGACTGAAATGTGACCCAAAGAAGGTCCGAAGTGAATGAAGTCCAGGGGCCAAAGATAGCTCTCCACTAGGCAGGGTGGGTAGAGCATGTGCAAAGGCCCGGTGACAGGAGGGAGGGAAACCTGAGCACCTGAAAGGGAATTGGCTGACAAGAACAGAAAGTGGGCTCCAAGAATGGCAAGTCAGCAGTGGCACAGAGCAGGTCTTGGCAAACTGCAACCCGCAACTTGTTCTTGTACATCCTGTGAGCTAAGGGTGGGCTTTGCATTTTTTAAAGGATTATAAAAAGAAAAGAAAGGGGGTAAAAATGACAGCAATATGTGACAGAGATTGTATGCGACCTGTAAGGCCTAAATACGGATTGTAAAAATGACCATTTAAAGTCAAACCAACTTCTCTCAACACATGCTCCTGTAAACCCTGCCCCACTTACGTTAGTGAATTAGTGAATTTCTAAAAAAAAATTACTGAAACAAGCAAAGAGATCCGAGAAGCACTAAAGCCCAGCTTTTGTGTAAACCAGCAGTTCCTGGGCAGAACCTTTAAAAGACAATCTCTCTTTACTCTGCTATCTCAGTACACACTTAGGGTAACATGAATATCCTAGCAATAGAGCAACAATCTAAACAATACCCCTGGGACATGATATAAGACAAATCCAAGGAGTGGACAGTTTATAGGAAAACTGGTACAGCTTCTTCAGCAAGTCAGTGTCAGGATATAAAAAGTGCTATTCTGAATCCTAAGAATTAAGGATGTAAGATGCTGGCCCTGGTGCCGGATAGGATGTGAAATGCATAACCTGTGAAGGACCTTTCTGGAACTCAGGGAGAATCTGAATATGGACATGGTATCCAATGGTACTAAAAATTTATGTTAATTTTGTGGGTGAGATGGTATCATCTGGACTCTGTAGAAAAATGTTCTTAGATTTTAGAGACATATACTGACATCTTAAATATGCTTCCTATCTGAACTTTTCTTTAAAATATCTTGGCATCATAAAAAGTATGTTTAAAGGGGGAAAATGATATTCTGGCAAGACTTAAATTTGGAATATAATTACAGTAAAAGGCTAAATTGCTTTTTTAAAGGCTATCTTGGAGGCAAGAAAAGTCATATATTATCAAAAGCAGATTATTGTTCTGACAGCTTTATGAACCAACTAGAATTAAGGAGAAGCACCTAAGGTCATAAAAAGTTTTGGAGTCATTTTAAATTCTTGATATGTGAAAAAGTTTGGTTAATCAGATGCTAGGCCAGAAAACTGTGAACGAGCAAATTCCTCATGTCCAAAGGTTTAGCTGCTACTAAGGATGGGTGATCCATATATATTTTGGGTGGAGAGTTGGAAGTATATGACCTTTGGCTGTCTAACAAATATTTGAGTTCCAGGGTCTGCTCTGGAGTCTAGGGATGCTGCAGAGAATAAAGCAGACAAAATTCCCTGCCTTCCTGGTATTTACATTCTACAGGGAAGGAAAGATATAAGAAAACTAAAACAACGATGTTACACTAGCACATTACAAGGTGACAAGTGTTACAGAGAAAATGAAAGCAGCAAAGCTAGGGGTGGGCTGGGGCTGGTAGTTGGCCGGGCTGTTGCAGTTTCTACAGAAGATGGTAAAAGAAGATGCCCTGAAAAGGTGTCAATGCAGCAAGAACTATGTGCCTGGCATCTCCTTCCACTGTGTCCATACACATGAGAACTACTACACAGCTATAGGTGGTCTGTGTCCAAAATGGCTACAAAGCAACCTAGGAAAGTCACAAAGTAAGAGAAAAGCCTGGTCCTTTTCTTTTGGGGGCACTTTGTGAAGACCTATTCCTTAGAAAGAAGAGAGAAGCTGCATGCTTCTGGGCTTCTCCCCCTCTTTTTTGGGAAAAAATAATTGGTTCTGTTAAGGAAGTGTATCAGTCTGTTTTCATGCTGCTGATAAAGACATACCCAAGATTGGGGAGAAAAAGAGGTTTAATGGGACTTACAGTTCCACATGGCTGGGGAGGCCTCAGAATCATGGCGGGAGGTGAAAGGCATTTCTTACATGGTGGCGGCAAGAGAAAAATGAGGAAAAGGCAAGAGAAAAATGAGGAAGAAGCAAAAGCAGAAACCCCTGATAAACCCATGAGATCTTGTGAGACTTATTCATTATCGCAAGAATAGTACAGAGAAGATCAGCCCCCATGAATCAATTACCTCCCCTGGGTCCCTCCACAACATGTGGGAATTCTGGGAGATATAATTGAAGTTGATATTTGAATGGAGACACAGCCAGTCCATATCAGGAAGCAAAAACAACAAACTCTGCTCCTCCTTCCAGCACGCTCCCCAAAATGCAGCAATACCTTGTCCTGCCCCAGATTCGTAAGTGGAGCCCCATTCCTAGGAGAAAACAGATACATCTGCACCACTGATCCTCAGTGGCAGAATATGCCAGGTATCTGTCCAGGAGAAGAAGCCATGTGGCTCAGGCTACAGGGTTTATAGCCCAAGGCCTCCCTTGCCTCTGTGCTCTGAGGGCTTGAAGTAAGTAGAAAAGTACTTTAAATTGTATCATAAAGGTAAAGATGATGTAGCTTCTTGGGTTAGCCACAACATTTAGGAAAAGCATGTTCTGGAGAGGTAAGACTTTTAGTTGATTTTCCATTAGTGAGCTAACATTTTTCCTCTTCCAACAAGCCCACTTTCTTGCATTGGTAAGTATTAAGTATCTTTTTTTAAAGTATCTGTGGTTGGTTGGCATCTGAGAAATCTGTAGGGTCAAATATCAAATAGACACCCCTAGCACAATGCCACAAATGCACAAGGGATGAGGCTATGAAATTTGTGAATTCTTTTCCTTTCTCAAGGAACGACTACACTTACATATACTCCAGTTAATTGTATGTTCTAGTTATGTAGATCCTAGAGAGAAGGTCTAGTGTGGTGATTAATGGTGACTTTCCAGAGCTCAGCCACGTGGGTTTCATTCTCAGTGCTGCCACCTGCCAGCTCCAATGTGACTATGAACATGTCACTTAGGCTGCTGTGACTTGGTTTCCTCATCTTTAACATGGGATGGAAATATTAACCACCTCAGGGGATGGTGTGAACAGCCAATGATGTAAATAACACACTTGGAACAGCACATGATAAGAGTTAAATACTGTGCCTATTTACTGTTTTTAACTACAGCTTAAATGTATACTTATGACATTTCTTTTCTTTTTATTGCTATTAGGTTTTGAAAATGGTATAAAAATATCATTTGTTTTTCACAGGTAATGTTTTTCTTGGGGCTTATTATTTTAGAAAAAAAAAAAATATATATATATATATAAAGAGCTATCCTTTACTGGGCGCTATGCCTAGTAAGTTCCCAACTGCTGACTATAGGCTCAGAGCCCTGCAGAGATGGGATGTAAACAAGCATAAAACAGTGTTTTCAGTGAAGTGCATATTAACAATAATGGGCTGAACAAAGAATGTTCATTGGTGGAGTTTGGGAGGGACAGACTGAAGAATAATCTGTTGAAGAGGTAACAGGTAAACTGGGACATGATGAATGAATAGAAATCTACAAAGAAGGTAGCAAACAGGACACTGTAGAAACAGGGAATGGCACCCGTAGCAGATGAAGAGTGATATGGTTTGGCTGTGTCCTCACTCAAATCTCATCTTGAATTGTAATCCTCATAATCCCCATGTGTCTAGAGAAAGACCTGGTGGGACGGAATTGGATCATGGGAGTGGTTTCCCCATGCTGTTCTCGTGACAGTGAGGGAGTTCTCAGGAGATCTGACAGTTTTATAAGGGGCTGTTCCCACTCTGCTCCTCGCTCTTCTCTTTCCTGCCGCCTTATGAAGAAGGATGTGTTTGCTTCCCCTTCTGCCATGATTGTAAGTTTCCTGAGGCCTCCTCAGCCATGCAGAACTGTGAGTCAATTAAACCTCTTTCCTTTATAAACTACCCAGTCTTGGTTATATCTTTATAGCAGTGTGAAAATGGACTCATACAAAGAGTGCTACAGGAATTGCCAATTCTCAGTATGGTGGAGGAGGGGGTGGACTGCAGGAAGGGAGCTGACTAGCTGTAGCTCTGCTCTTTTATGAAGGGCTTTGTTTCACAGGCTGAGGAGTCTGGACCATCATCTAGATGCAGAGCCTAGTAGAAAAGCCTGAAGCAGAAGAGTGGCAAGGTTAGTTGTATTGCAACAAACATGAGCTAGCAGAAGCATGGAGGACAGATAGGTGGAGGAGCGACAGTTGGGATGTGAAGGCGGTGCTCGTGAAGCCTACTGAGAACTTGGATAAAATAACAGCACAGAACTGGTGACTGGGGATGAAGGGAGTGAGTAAGAGGAGGAATCTGATGCTTTGAGTTGGAGAATAGTTACTAATGGTAACAGAGGATACAGGAGGAATTAAGAAATGGAGCTAATGGGTTCAGCTTTGATCATGGTAGACTTGAGATTCTGTAAGACCCCGCTGGAGAGGCATACAGCAGACAGCTGAAAACAAAGAACAAAAAAATCTGAGCCACTAATACACAGGCACTGCTTTTCTATTTCCATTAAATAAACAGTGCTGCACTTTGTTGTTTTTTAAACTAAAGAGCTGCCATTCCTGAAAGACCACAGATAATAGACCAGATGCCCACTCACTTTCTGCATGGATAATATGTCCCACTGTGATACCATTATTTAAGTAGAAACAAAATCTAGCCTTATGAAGTCTAATTATACCATTCCTCCTCCTTCCTTCCCCTCTCTCTCCCTGCAAGCATAATTCAAGACTGCTTTCCCATTCAGAGATCTATGTGAGAATTTTAAAACATTGTTGCTGATTAGTCTCTCTAATCAATAAAAGAAATCTACTATCGGCCAGGCACGGTGGCTCAGGCCTGTAATCCCAGCACTCTGGGAGGCTGAGGCGGGCGGATCTTGAGGACAGGAGATCGAGACCATCCTGGCTAACACAGTGAAACCCCATCTCTACTAAAACACAAAAAATAGCTGGGCATGGTGGCGGGCGCCTATAGTCCCAGTTACTTGGGAGGCTGAGGCAGGAGAATGGCGTGAACCTGGGAGGCAGAGCCTGCAGTGAGCCAAGATCATGCCACTGCACTCCAGCCTGGGCGACAGAGCAAGACTTCTCAAAAAAAAAAAGAAAAAGAAAAAGAAAAAAAGAAAAGAAAAAGAAATCTATTATCGATTAGATTTGATAAATCTATTATTGACTAGAGAGACCAATCAGGAACAATGTCTAAAATTGTGTATGAAAAGCCATTCACTCATCAAATGCTAGTGGCTGCTAAGTGTCTGGCATTCTGCTGGATCCGAGGCTCCAAAAGGGAAAAAGATAAGCTCCCTGTACTCAGAGAGATTACATTCTATGGGGGGAGAGAACGACAACGAACCAATAAAATACTAAAATGTGATTCATTTCAGAATGGAAGTAAATAGGCTGCTAGGATTGAGAATAATGAAGAAGGGGTGTTTTCTTCAGAAAAGAATGATCAGGGCCAGGCATGGTGGCTCATGCCTGTAATTCTAGCACTCTGGGAGACGGAGGTGGGAGGACTGCTTGAGTTCAGGAGTTTGAGACAAGCCTGGGCAACAAAGTGAGATCTTGTCTCCACTAAAAATTAAAAAAAAATTAGCCAGGTGCAGCCTGTAGTCCCAGCTACTCAGGAGGATCTCCAGAGCCAGGGAGGTCAAGGCTACAGTGAGCCATGATCATGCCACTGCACTCCAGCCTAGGTGACAGAGCAGGACCTTGTCTCCAAAAAACAGAATGATCAAGGGAATTCATTCTGGAAAGATGGCAACAAAACTGAGGCTGAAGGTGGGACCTTGGAACATCCATTATAGACAATGAGATCTGTCAGCCCGGGGGTTAGCAAGCTGGGGATATTGACTTGTGTGACACTGAGCAGGGGAGAGTCGGGGGAAAGAGAGGCATGGGGTGATACTGCGGAGGTAGGGAGGAGCTGGGTCAAATACACTAATACCTGTAAGGAATGTAGGAGGTCAAACCTGACACCAACTACGTGTTTGTTAGTTGTTACCCGTTATCAATTATCCTCAGCATATCCAAATAAGGCTTCATTGTTTTCTCTCTGTGCACTTGGTTTTTAAGCGTATTGGTAAGCCACGAACACAACTTAAATTTGGGGGTTCCAGGATCTGCTTTATGTAAATAAACACTCTACATCCTGGCTGCTGTACAGAGAATGGCTTGGTGTGGGAGAAGAAAGCAGCGCATGTGTCAGGGAGAGAGAACGAGAGCAGAGATTAGCAGGATACGGAAATAACTCCAGCAAGAAACAATGGGAGTTTAGATTAGTGCTGGAAAAGATGGAGATAAGTGGATAAATCCAGAATTCATAGGATGTGCAGAAGAGACGATGATGAGTTCTAGGTTCTCAGCAATAATCCCTAGGAGAGGGCATAGGACCATTACTGAGATAGAATAGCTTTGAGAGAACCACATTGAGGACTGGGTAGCAGGGGAATTAAGAACTCTCATTTGGACATGTTAGGATTCATATGCCTATGAAATAACTAGGTAGAGTCTGGCCTAGAGAAATAAACCTTGGCCTAGTCTACTTACAAATGGTATTTAAAGTCAAGGGCATGGATTACAGCAATCAGGAAGAGCGAGCCAGAAAGAAAAATAGTATAATAATTGTAAAGAGATAGCCAGTGTCAGGAATTTAATGGATGAAATGTCAAAACAAAACAAAATCAGCCAAGACAGGATAATTAAAACCACAAAGGCTAGGGTGGGGGTGGGGGGTAGAACTGGGGGGTGGGCACTCCTAAAGCCTGCATAAACAATGTGTAGGAAAGACAGGCTGGAAATGACAGTGACACACAGGTTACTAGACAAAGGGCTTCTGAGAAATGGCAAAGGTAACCAATTCTAAGAACTTACTAATCTTAAGGTGATTTATAGATAAAAGTCCCATCCTATAAATGTCTGGATTCTTGAGCCCAGAGATATTCTGGGTCTGTCTGTACTGGTATTCTGCTGGGCAGGTAAAGGGGTTATGAAGAGAAGTACTATCTTACTTGCCTGTCAACTAATACTGATGACAGAGCAAAAGCGTCATGCACTTTACAGTCGTGGTCATAGCCAAAGATTGCAGATGTCCTAGACACAGTATTTGAGACAGAGAATGGAACATACATAGCCAAGTTACTAATATACATGTTGGGTAAGAAGATTCCCAAATGGAAGGAAGGTAAAAAAGCTCTGTTCTAGTACAACCATTTGAGGATAGTATGGAGATTCCTCAAAAAACTAAAAATAGAGCTACCATACGATCCAGCAATCCCACTACTGGGCATTTATCTAAAGGAAGAGAAATCAGTATATTAAAAGAGGTATCTGCACTCCCATATTTACTGCAGCACTACTCACAATAGCCAAGATATGGAATAACCTAGATGTCCAAAGAGACTAATGGATGAAGAAAATGTGATGTGTGTGTGTGTGTGTATGTGTGTGTGTCCGTGCGTGCATGCACGTATAATGAAATACTATTAAGCCATACAAAAGAATAAAATCCTGTCATTTGAAGCAACATGGATGGAACTGGAGGACATATGTTAAGTGAAATAAGCCAAAAACAGAAAGTTAAACACCACATGCTCTCATATGCAGAAGCTAGAAAATGTTGATTTCATAGACGTAAAGAGTAGAACAGAGGATGATGGAGGCTGGGAAGGGTAGGTAGAAACTGAGGATAGAGAAAGATTTGTTAAAGGATACCAAATTACAGCTAGATAAGAGGAATAAGTTCTAGTGCTCTACAGCACTGTAGGATGACTACAGTTAACAGTAATATATGACATAATCTCAAACAGCTAGAAGCAGGATATTGAATTTTCCCAACACAAAGAAATGATACATGCCTGAGATGAATATGCTGATCAGTCTGATCTGATCACTGTGTACCCTGTAAATGTGTACAATTATTACATGTCAATTTTTAAAAATAAAAATTTTTAAAAAGGTACCTTTTAATGAACGGTCTATGCTTAAAATGTTGCTAGGTGTGTTTCAACACCAATGAGTTATATCTGAGGTTGGACCATAACTAGACGAGGCACTTAGAGATGCGGTAACTGTGGTCTCAGCATCCTGTTCCACTGCACTTAGTTCCACCATCATTGTATTACAGTAAATGCAATATTGCTATCCTGTGACTACCTTGTAAACATATTTTCATAAAACCAAAGTGCTTCATTACCACTTCTGATATGTGTATGAGTCCTTGGCTCCAATTTTCCAATAATAGTAGCTATACAATTATGTTGAAAACCATTTGAGGCTAACCATTAACATTCAAATGACGTACAATGGGAAACGAATGAATAGTATATTCTAGGAGATAAAAGATCAAACCTTTGATATATCTTCTCTTACTTATTAGTAGTTAGAGTTTAAGATACAATATTTCTTCTAAAACCATTTCAAAAATATAATTTAAATATAAAATTGAAGATCCTAAAAAAGTATAGAAGTTTTAAAGTAGAATGACTTTGCTATTTGAATACCTATTTAAATTTCTATTTAAAATGTCCAAAACAGCCCAAATCAATTCTACCTTCATTTTTATAGCAGTTTTCTAATCATGAGACATCATACTTTCTAGTCCTTTTTGCTTCCCTAAAATAAAAAAACTCCTACATATTTAAATTCATAAATAAGAATTATCATTACTTGATTACTACCAAAACTAATTTTAATAATGTTCTCAACCTTATCTAGGATAGAAGTGCTTAAGGAGCCATTACGTATTATTATTGATTATGATTACAAGACCTACAATAATTTTAAAATAACTAATTAAAAAGGGAACATGTTATAATAGCCATGATTATCAAACCAGAGGTGGGAGATGAGTCATTGAGCCCCAAGGAGAGTCTTTGTATTCGACAGTGTGAGATGATGGGTAGAGAAGTGATTTGACTAAGAAAAAAATCACCCCAGCTGGCGCGGTGTCTCACGCCTGTAATCCCAGCACTTTGGGAGCCCGAGGCAGGCGGATCACCTGAGGTCAGGAGTTCGAGACCAGTCTGGCCAACGTGGTGATACCCTGTCTCTACTAAAAATGTAAAAACTAGCTGGGCGTGGTGGCAGGCACCCGTAATCCCAGCTACTTGGGAGGCTGAGGTAGGAGAATTGCTTGAACTCAGGAGACGGAGGTTGCAGTGAGCCGAGATTGTGCCACTGCACTCCAGTCTGGGCGACAGAGTCTTAAACAAACAAACAAACAAAAAAAACATCCCATGCTGCTGGCCTGCTCCCCCAACAATTCCAATCTACGCATTTTAAACAAGTCCACTGTAAACTTTACCGGCTTGATATGCATTTACACCAATTAGTCGTTTTGGAAGCAAATACCGTGATACAGATTATTGCAATTTTCCCCATGTTTGAGGTAAAGAAATAGGCTCAAAAAGATTATATATGAGGGTAAAGCACATTTTAAACCTTTGAAGATATTTTTGAAGCAAAGATTATCTTATTTACTTACAAGTCTTTTCTTTCCTTGACTACTTGGATGCGTCTATTACACCTGGTTTCTGTTTCCACCCAATGTCTTTTTAGGCAGGTTAGTTCTATCATCATGAAATCACTGTAAGTGCAATACTGCCCTTTCCTTCATGATGTCATTCATCTCTTTCCCAGTTTGTTATCTAACACGTATTAACATTTTAGTATCCAACTACATTAATCTCATGACTACTAGCATTGAAAGAACTGATAAAAAGATAAAAGCAAACCCTTACTGCCTGGTTTGACAATAAGTAACAGCTCTTCACAAAGGCTGGCAATTAGGTCACTAAGCAAAAAATCTTGGAAGACCAAATTCGACCAACAGCAAACAGTGGTCTCAAATGTAAAAGAAAACTTAGGTTATATGCTACGCTTACAATAGCAAATTATGTATACTGCTTGAATTACTATTGATCTAAATAAAATGGTGCTATGCTATAAAGATTATTTTCAAATAATTTCTAATATCAAACTATACTTTTGAATACCCTTGGCAAATCTTTTCCAGAATTACACATTCCTAAAACAATGAGCCAATCCACAGGCACGTGTGGCCTACTATATGCTCAACATTCACTTCTCTTTAAAACAATTTACATGACAAAACAAAGTACAACAGTGAACATTCATCAGTTGCACCTTCAAATGTCTGACAACACAATCAGATGATCTGTGTGTCCTTTACTTATTAAATTGATAACAAATAGAAAATAAAATGTAGATCTGAAGGAAGCACTTAATTTTTTTAATTTGCTCAATTGCAAAAAATTTATTTATATAAATATATAAAATGAATTGCTATATTAAAAGAATAATACAAATTAAAATACTATAAATAATAACTTGACTGCCTTACAAAATCAATTTGAGCTACTGTATTTACAGATTGAGTAATCCTTATCCAAACTGCCTGGGACCAGAAGTGTTTCAGATTTCAGATTTTTTTCAAATTTTGGGATATTTCCATACATATAAGATATGTTGGAGATGGGACCCAAGTATAAACATAAAATTCATTTATGTTTCAAAAATACCTTATACACACAGCCTGAAGGCAATTTTATACAACATTTTAAATAATTTTTGTTTCAGAAAGGAAGTTTGTATACATTGAACACATAAAGTCACATAATTTTCTACGTTTGCTGTCATGTCAGTGCTCAAAACATTTTGGATTTTAGGGCATTTCAGATTTTGGATTAGGGATGCTCAACCTGTATTTTATGGTAATAAACCGCATTTCTTTAAAAATATTGTACATTCTTGGCTGGGCATGGTAGCTTATGCCTGTAATCCCAGCACTTTGGGAGGCCGAGGCCAGTGGATCACTTGAGGTCAGGAATTCGAGACCAGCCTGACCAACATGGTGAAACCTCGTCTCTACTAAAAATACAAAAATTAGCCAGGCATGGTGGTTGGCACCTGTAATCCCAGCGACTCGGGAGGCTAAGGCAGGAGAATCGCTTGAACCTGGGAGGCAGAGGTTGCAGTGAGCCCAAATCACACCACTGCACTCCAGCCTGGGCAACAGAGTGAGACTCCGTCTCCATTAAAAAAAAAAAAAAAAAGCTGAGTGTGGAAGCAGGCACCTGTAATCCTCGGGAGACTGAGGCAGGAGTACCACTTGAACTTGGGAGGGGAGGTTGCAGTGAGCTGAGATTGCACCATTGCACTGCAGCCTGGGTGACAGAGCGAGACTCTATCTCAAAACAAACAAACAAACAAACAAACAAACAGTACATTCTAGAGTTTAAGCTAATGAAGACTGTTCTCCCAGTATCTCACTCCATACAAAAATATATATTAAAAATTCAGGTGATCATGGCTTTGGCTAAGTGGCATTAGTCTACCACCTACAATTTTACATTGAAACACTGGGGATACTGCAAATGTTACCTAGTAAACTAAAAGTGTTACTTTGTAAACAGGGAGGGCAAAAAAGGAAGCTAGTTAGCTCCCACTTGGGACAGATTTTGTTCACTCTCTACCTCTACTCAAAGGAAATAGTTTGAACATCTCTAAATTATTTTCGTAATAATTGCCTTCCTTCCAAAACAAACATGGACTTATAATTTTGCTGAGTTCCTTGTGGTAAGTTACTGGTACTAGTTTAAGCCACATGGCTCCCAAGTAAAGCCAACAGTTTTTGGCTTGATATGCTAATATGTAGATTTTGAGGCCACAGTAAAATTAATTAACTAATTAAAGGGTTATTTTTCCATGTCACAATGGAGAGTCCTATCTAAATTAGGGGTTTTACACTGAAGATACAAATATCCAGATGGTTTCAACAAGAAATTAATGTTTCGGTGTACTATTGCCAGAGACCAGTTAAAATCATAAGAATCTGTATTTTCTTCCTCTTTTCCTACTATTTTTAAGCCAGGGAATTTGTACAGTTTAATTAAAAGATACTGGAGGGAAGAAAAGAGTCCATGCATCAGTAGCTTAGGATCCTTAGCACTGAATAATCCAACCCTCCAAATAACTCTTACAAATGAATCCTACAGTATTTCTCATTCAGCAATATCCTGTTACTGGGGCAACCTGTGCCATTAGGTCTCAGTAAGCAGCACAGTCTCATTGCCAGATGTAGCTCAGACAGCAGCAACTCAAGCCCTGCACTACAGAGGCATCTCCTCTTCCAGCCATCACCTGCTTGGAAACAAAAACAGACCCCACTGGTTTGGCCACACATCTGTAATCT
Source organism: Homo sapiens (assembly GCF_000001405.40). Classification (NCBI taxonomy): domain Eukaryota; kingdom Metazoa; phylum Chordata; class Mammalia; order Primates; family Hominidae; genus Homo; species Homo sapiens. The sequence goes on from NC_000021.9 coordinate 26,041,762, forward strand.
GCTTAAGGCTATAAAAGTGTTTTGCTTTTCTTTTTGACATACATGTAGTCCAAGTTTATTCAATACAGGAATCGAGCATTTCTAAATAAGGACCTCAAAACTGGCAGCCAGTTCCCTCAAAAGAAAATGCAAGTTTCTGCTATTCTCCTATTCGTCATTTTCAAATGAGTTCTCCTATTTCAGTATAGACAGTCAGAAAGCCTCACACAGTCCTGGAAGCTGCCAACCCAGCATTATGACAGCTGCTTCTCAAAGCCATGAGCCATTTCATTAAATCCACTCTTACTTGACTCATCCACTGGCAAAGATTTAAAGCTTTAATTTATCTTTTGTATGATTCACTTTGCGGCCCTCTAAAGTTGTTAGGTTTTTTTTCCTTGAGCATTTAATATCATTTCTCAAAATGCAATGCAGAAAGGCAGCTGAAAGATTATATATTCAAAAACTTGTAACTCCAGAGATACAAATAAAAAGATATATAGTCAAATACAGCCTCTCTTTCTCTCTCACCTAATTTTAAAGACAAAGTACTGAATAGACATAAATTCTCATGACAGCCTGAGCTCATCAGGTAAGGCTATGAATGTTTCAACATCACTAGCTAAGTGGAAGACGGCATGTGCATAATTTATTACATGATTGAATGACAAGTTTTCACTAACTACAAATCATGTATTTGTGAAATGCACCATCTATAATACCATCTGGTTATTATTTTCTGAGAAAAGTTCTCAGAGCACAATGACCATAATTAAATTTGCTTTTGACTAGATGTAGCACTGTGCCACCTACAAATTGAGCCTGTGCAAGCGTTTTATGATGACTGCATTGATTATTGTTATCAAGATTTCACCCCTTGGTCTGGCGTGGTGGCTCATGCCTGTAATCTCAACACTTTGGGAGGCCCAGGCAGGAGGATCACTTGAGGCCAGGAGTTTGAAAACAGTCTGGGCAACATAGTGAGACCCCTGTCTCTACAAAAAAAATAAATAAATCAAAATAAATTAGGCAGGCATGGTGGCAATGTGTTTGTAGTCTTAGCCATTTGGGAGGCTGAGGCAGGAGGATCACTTGAGCCCAGGAGTTCAAGGTTACACTGATCTATGGTTGCAATACTGCACTCCAGCATGTGTGACAGCAAGAACCTGTCTCCTAAAAAAAAAAATCACTTTAATATAGTATCTGGAACATATCAAATGCTCAAGAGGTTTAGTGCCCTTCATTACACTGGAGGAAAAAGGTGACATTTTGTACCTCTGCATGCTCAGATACAGTTTGTTTTTGAGTTGGAAATATTTCATACTTCATCTTTTCTTATTCTTACAATTTTCCTTTATTTATAATGTAGCCATCCCTCTTCTGCCCATGGAAATAATGAAACATGGGACCCATCATGCTATGTTATTAGACTCCTGATGCAATTTTACTTAATTACTGCATGTCTAGAATGATATTCCTTAGTTTTTCTTTTCTTTTCTTTTCTTTTTTTTTTGAGACAGAGTCTTGCTCTGTTGCCCAGGCTGAAGTGCAGTGGTGCGATCTCAGCTCACTGCAACCTCCACCTCCTGGGTTCAAGCGATTCTCTGGCAGTCTCCCCAGTAGCTGGGATTACAGGCACATGCCACCATGCCTGGCTATTTTGTATTTTTAGTAGAGAGGGGGTTTTTCCATGTTGGCCAGGCTGGTCTTGAACTCCTGACATCAAGAGATCTGCCAGCCTCGGCCTCCCAAAGTGCTGGGATTACAGGCATGAGCCACCATGCCTGGCCTAGTTTTTCTTTTTTAAAGACCAGTTAGTTTTGGTGACACTATTAACCTTAAGTTAACATGATGACGTAGGTGTATGTGTTTGATGTGAATGCCAATGTGATTCAACTCAAATACTTGTTGAGCACCTAACTACCTAACTTATAGAAAATTATGCCAAGTATTTTCCTGCATCAGGTTGTACAGGCCTCATAATAAATGTAAATTCTTGGTAAGTAGGATAGGCTGTTAACCTTTAGAATACCATCAGGTCTTGGACACAATTTTACCTTTGAGTTCTGAGCACTTCTAACTACTTGTGGGCTGATATTCTCACTTTATCCATTCATAGAGAAAAAGAAATTTAATCGACTAAAACTCATTCTAGCTTGTACTTAACCATGAGTCTGAGATATGGTATGAACCTCGATCTTTTTCCTATATTGTGTTCCTATGTTACAAAATATTTATCATCCGAAGAATTATTTCATCATTAGCCATCAACTATTTAAAAACTGTGCTAAAGAAGACAAAATAATATGAGCATGAAAGAATGATATAATTGCCTAGAAAGGTGATGCAATAGGGAAATTATCACATTTTTATTGCTGTGTTCCCAAAGTACTGCATCATCTTTCAAGATGGTTTAAAAAAAGTCTGCATAGTCCCAGCTACTTGGGATGTTGAGGCATGAGGATCACTTGAGCCCAGGAGTTTGCAGCTGTAATGCACCATACTCACACCAGTGAATAGCCACTGCGCTCAAGTCTGGGCAACAGAGTGAGGTCCCATCTCTTTAAAAAGCATGATAAAAAGAAGTCTGGAGACTCACTGAATATAGTCAAAAATCATCTTCCACATATTGGCAAATAGGAACAACTGACAGAAGGAGGCATTTTACCAATTAGATAAACCAGAAGAAGAATGAAATTGATCACGTAAGTAAAACCTTAGGCTATGAGCCTTCACATGATATCCTAGATGAATTTTCTCAAGCTCAAGAATTGACAAGTGAGCAATGTATTTCTTTCTTTCTTTCTTTCTTTTTTGAGGTGGAGTTTCGCTCTTATTGCCCAGGCTGGAGTGTGATGGTGCAATCTTGGCTCACTGCAACCTCTGCCTCCCTGGTTCAATTGATTCTCCTGCCTCAGCCTCCCGAGTAGCTGGGATTACAGGCATGCGCCACCACGCCTAGCTAATTTTGTATTTTTAGTAGGGATGGGCTTTCTCCATGTTGGTCAGGCTGGTCTCGAACTCCCAACCTCAGGCGATCGGCCCACCTCGGCCTCCCAAAGTGCTGGGATTACAGGCGTGAGCTACTGCGCCCGGCTGAGCAATGTATTTCTAAGAATAAAAAGGAAATATGGTATTCTCATCCACTTAGTCATTCAACAGGAAGGATATCATCACTCAATATTATGTGACAAAAACATTAACCATCATTGCTAAAATGATGTGACAGTATTCCTTGCCATTTTATGATGCTTATGCAACACATTTTATGTCTGTGCAACACATTTATTTGATACCATTAGGAAGTGGACAAATGCCCAAGGCAGGAATCTCTCTAAGGTGATTAGAAGAGATAATGCAGAAAAAAAGGGGGAAAAAAAGACTGGCTTGATCATTTTAATAGCTGTTTACAAATCCAAACTTGAAAACATTTTATTCCTGAGGGAAGATGGCTATATTCTCTCTTCAATAAAATTATGAGCTGTCAATGTTTTAAATATCTTAAATTTTTACAATAATTAAATGAAATTGCAAGTATAAAAAAAAAAGACCAAGAAATATGATGAACCTAATAGAGATGTATTTGAAATGTAGAACCAGTATTTGTAAGACGGATATATTTCAGGTTCGTGCATGGCAGGTGATTAGCAGCTAGCTGCATTCCAAAGGATAATGCTCATTTCAGAAATCCATACCTTCAAAACTGGGAAAATACAGAATAAACATGTGGGTTTACCATATTTAAATTCTTCGTAAAATTAAAATATTTACTATGTTAACTCTTATTAAAATTGCTAATAGTTATTTCTCACTATTCCTTTATTCTTAGTTCTGTAAATTGTTTACCAAATAATCTAAAAATATGAAACAATAATAATATAAACGGCCCACTGTATCTAGATAGTCAATGGTGCTGGCCTGGTTTTCTGGTGTAGTTAGAGGGCAAGGTGACGTCTTGCCATATGTGACACTCCAGCAATCACCAGAACTGATGAAGTTTAAACTGGGTTCAATACGGAATTGTATATTCCAATGCACGCACACCTGCATACATGGCCATACGCACCCACACAAGCCACCCCGAGCTGTATTAGTTCATTTGCATGTTGCCGATAAAGGCATACCTGAGACTGGGTAATTTACAGAAGAAAGAGGTTTAACTGGACTTACAGTTCCACATGGCTGGGGAAGCCTCACAATCACGGTGGAAGGCAAGGAGGAGCAAGTCATGTCTTACATGTATGGCAGCAGGCAAAGAGAGAGAACTTGTGCAGGGGAACCCCTCTTTTTAAAACCATCAGATCTCGTGAGACTTATTCACTTCACAGGAACAGCATGGGAAAGACTTGCCCCCATGATTCAATTGCCTCCCACCGAGTCCCTTCCACAACACATGGGAATTCAAGAAGAGATCTGGGTGGGAAAAAAGCCAAAACATATCACTGCCCCCCAAACCAGAGAGTAACATTAACTAACCTGGCCAACATGGTGAAACCCTGTCTCTACTAAAAATACAAAAATTAGCTGGGTGTGGTGGTGAACACCTGTAATCCCAATTACTCGGGAAGCTGAGTCAGGAGAATCGTTTGAACCCAGGAGGCAGAGGTTGCAGTGAGCCAAGATCACACCACTGTACTCCAGCCTGGGCAACAAGAGCAAAAACTTCATCTTAAAAAAAAAAGAAAAAGAAAAAGAAAAAAAAAAACTCTTCCAAGTTATACAGTCTTAATGAAAATAAGACACGGTCAAAAGGAATCACTCCTCCAGATCTTAAGCAGCTCTTTAAAAAAAAAATGTTCAAAGAAATAGAAAAAAAAAATCATCTAATTATCCAGAAAGATACATCAAGTTACCTCTCAGCACACGCTCACCAGTGTCTGCAAACCTAAACCTAAAAGAATACATCGATAATTAAAGATTGTTTCTTAAAAAAAATGTGAGTACCTCCTCTGCAAGAGGAAAAGTGTGACTCTACAACAATTAGAGGGTCTTCTAACATTTCATTTGCTTTACGAATTCAGCAACCCCCATGGACCACTGGGTTCAATCAGATTCTGCAGTTCCAGGTGAGGAGCAGCTCTGCCTCCAGGGCTAGGCTGCCTACCTGGCTAGTCTTACAAGTTAGCTTTCCAAATGAATTTTCCCATGGAAAAAAATCTTACCCACGATGGCTGGAGTCTGTGTATTATTAACATTATGTACGTAATTATTATTATTAACATTATGCTACATAATGTTAGTAACAGTCTGGATTATGCTACATTACAGACTGCATAAATAGGTATTTTGAGGTGATCTGAGAATATGACCATTACAACACTGGAGAAAAATATACTCGGTAATTTACACATAAATTTCTGAAACACTACCTGTTTTGCCTATGTTAAAGATTTACCTCTTTTTCATACCTCTTTTTCAATGAGGTCATAAAACAGAGCTCATCCTACAAGGAATGTTTCTCTAAATGCCCCATTAGCGATAGAAAAACACTCATCTTCTATCAAAACAAGCCTCATTAACTACCAAACAACAAAATACTGTGAATCAAATATTGTTTCCAGGAAAATGGTAGCTCGTTTCTCCTTCTTCAAGAATTGTCACGTAGCATCCCCTGAAGATGTTTTAAGTCAGGTACGTTAAACTTCTATTCTGATTTTACATTTCAAGTGTCAAAAGGAGGGCTGGTTCCTGGAACAAGGAGGCTGCCAGTTGGCAGGAGCCCACCTTGTGTGTGGATCAGTGATGCAACACCTTTCTGGTTTTGTCCACATGAAAGAAGCCCTGCCCGCCTGCAGGGCTACAGGAAAAGAAGTTAAAAAATAAAATGGTGCAAGTGACCTGATATACTAATTATACTGAATCCAAACCAATTTTTTTAAATTTTAAAAACAAGAATAGTTAAAAACAATAATAAAAATTCAGTGGCTCAGCCTTAGAAAACATTACTAGGTTATACAAACCGTCTGTCTTAATGGAAAAATAAAGAGTGATAAGAAATTTCAAGTCATCCAGGAACTACACTGTCCAAATATAGTAGTCACCAGCCACATGTAACTATCAAACACAGTGTGTGGCTAGTATGAATTGAGACGTGCTGTTAAATGTTAAAAGAAGTGTTAAGACTTCTTACGAAAGAAAGAAACATAAAAAAAGAATGTGAACTATCTTATTAAATTTTTCATATTGGTCACATGATATTTCAGATATACTGGATTAAATAAAATGTTGTTAAAATTAAATTCACCTGTTTCTTTTTACTATTTTTAAACTGTCTATTAGAAAATGAAAAAGTAAGGCCAGGCACGGTGGCTCAAGCCTGTAATCCCAGCACTTTGGGAGGCTGAGGTTGGTGGATGACGAGGTCAGGAGTTCGAGATCAGCCCGGCCAACATGGTGAAACCCCACCTCTACTAAAAGTACAAAAAAAAAAAAATTAGCTGGGCATGCTGGCACATGTCTGTAATCCCAGCTACTTAGGAGGCTGAGGCAGGAGAATCGCTTGAACCCGGGAGGTGGAGGTTGCAGTGAGCCGAGATCACGCCACTGCACTCCAGCCTGGGTGACAGAGCGAGACTCCATCTTAAAAAAAGAAAACGAAAAAGTATGTGGCTCACATTACATTTGTATTAGACAGTTCTTTGCTAAAAGATGGGAGGCTCTATAACAGGGCCTATAGAAAAAAAAAGGCAAAAAAATTTCATAATGTTTTAAGAAAGTTTATGAATTTGTGTTGGTCCGCATTCAAAGTCGTCCTGGGCAGTGGGCTGGATAAGCTTTCTACAATATCCAATCGTGGACCATGAAGTCCTTACCAAAAGCTATGAAAAAAAATTTAAAATATACAATTTACTTTGTCTAATATTTATTGAGGACCTATGTGCAAGACATACCAGACACATAAACTATAGTTTGGATTCTAACAGATAAAAAGAGATATGACTACAATTAATTGGAAGATAAGTTATGGTCTTATAAGAAAAAGGTAAAGCAAGGGTAGTATAGCAGAGCAAGGCACCTGTAAAGACTTGTAAAGGCTGCATCTTTTCAGGTGAACATTTATAAATATATAGATTTTGACGGGTCATAAGAAGTGGCACTTTAGAGTTGACAAATATCTTTATCATACATTAACCCCATTTGACAAAAAAAGGAAAAATATTTCAGATGGGGCAGAACGGTGGGAATGAAAGCCTAGAGAAAGAAAAGGTCAATGGTTTTAGGATGCCAGGAGAGTCACATACATGTATAAGGCTGAAAATGCAGGCTGAAGCCATGTAAGAGACTTCTGAATGCCCTGCAAGAGAATTTGGACTTTTCTACAGGTAGAATAAACCATCAAATATTTCCTACCAACTGTCAACAGGATTAAAAACACATAGTAGAAAGATAGTAACACATGGGAAAGAATTATCTGGGAGGAGGGTGGATGAAGCCTGGGGGTGTGGGGGAGAGGGAGACTGAAAATGCAAGAAAGGGAGAGGAGATGATTGAGAGTCCAGCAGAACATAATCATAAAAGGGAAGACAGGAAACAAAGGGATAGAAGAAGGTACAAGAGTTGCTGAAGTACAGGAGAAAATTCAATGGTTTATTCAACAAACACGTACTGGGCACCTACCAAATGTCAGGTACCATGTTGCAGAAATTCACAATGGATGACGGTGGAGGGGTCATCTGTAGAGCATGAGAGAGAGTTACGCTGGGAACCAAGGAGAATGAAGTTGGGCTGGATCAACTGCTATGGGGAAGATGATAGGTCATCAAGACAGAGATAATTAGGTGCATCTAGTAACATTAAGATCCCAGCTGATGTTACAGCATGAATAAGAAATGGAATTAAGTGGTAAGGTTACATGACTTGATACTTTAGAAATCCCAGAAGCAACTAAAGAAAGAAATTAATTTTTCCTAGCTATGGAGAATTGACAAAAATATGTTTAGAAAATGTGAAGGGTTTCAGCCAAGTCAAGGATGTTCAATGGAATAGGTAAGAATGGTTATCCATTGATTCCATCCTGATTAGAAAGGCAGGCAGGGAAAAAGAGGATAATGGACTAAAAGCCTGAACTGGGGAGGTGATTATGAGGGAAGATCATGATCAGAGAGGAATATCAAAGCTATAAACCTTATGGTACTATTTCTAAGGAATTTCAGAGTCTAAAGCATGACTGTGTTCAGGTACTGAAATGGGATGTAAATGAAGGTAACTAGGAAGGAGCTGGCTAGCATTTCAACTGAATATCAACCTGGATAGTGACATCATCACTGAAGACTGTAATTGGTGGGGGTAACCATATGACCCAGTTTGCCTGGATCCTTCAGTTTATGACTGTGGTCCCAGTGTTCTAGCTGATATAGACAATAAACTCTATGGGGGCCCTAGTAGCAGATTACACCAGAAATTAAAAGAAAAAAAAACAAGCATCCTGTAGTTTGCCGATTATAAACTTACAACTCCTATTGAATGTGCTGTTTGGAAATCTGTAGCTCTAGGGAACATCTAAGAGAATACTGAAGGAATAAGATAAGTGATACAATCATCACCCTTCGGGGGATGAGACAGCATAAAATCAATGCCTGAACCAGATGGCATTTCCAACCCAAAGATTCTCATTTTATAATTTTATGATTTGAATATAGATGTTTGCCTTCAGTTAAGAATGAGAATCAGGTAAGAAGTAACGGGACTAAGCTCCCTAAGAAAAAGAGGCGAAAATAGGTTTCTTTACAATCAACAAATCAAAGGTAGTTAAAAAAAATTAACAAGCATTTATTAATGCCTTTGACTTCCACTATGAAGGAAAAGAAATGATAAAAGGCCAAAAAAAAACCCTTACACATCCACACAGAGAACGCCCAAAATCTCAAACCAAACCTTTAACGAAAATTCACCTTAAACTAATGACTGACAATCCCAGAGAGCATTTAAAAATATTTTTAAATTAATGACCAAAACAGAACGCCATTATTATTTCAACTCCCTGTTAGAACTACCAGTAACCTATGATAGTTATCAGTGGGATTTTGATCCCAAGTTTAATATTAAATAGTTAAAATTAACTCTGTGATGGGTGACTGATATTATTAATTCAACAGGATGCCATAAAAATTCATAGTTCAGATTTTTGCATAACAGCAGACTCTGATGGGAGTGGGCAGAGACCTTTTCAGTGATAAACAGAAAGATTAATTTACAGGATACAAATACTCCATACAAGATGTTTCAGCATCTCTGAGGCTGAACACAAAGGCCACCTTACCTCCCATCTGCATAGTCTGTGTCTGCTCCGCCCCACCAGACATCCGAGTCATCCTCCTCCGCATCAGCAGAATCCACATTGTCACTTTCTTCAGCCAGTGGGCAACACACAAACTCTACCCCTCGGAACTTGTCAATTCCGCAGGGCAGCAACATGCCGTAGTCATGCAAGTTGGTACTCTTCTCACTGCATGTCTACAAAGTGTAAGGAGAAAACAGTGAGTGGTAGAGTAGATGTGTTTCATTGTAAGAAAACTCCACATAAAATAATCAACATGCAGACCCAATATATTAGGAACCAATTTCACAAAGGAAAAGATTATTTGCTTTTTGAGTGAATTTACAACAGGATTTTTTTTAGCATGGGTTACACTTTGGTACTCTTTTTATTCTTGTTTATTATTTATTTAATAAGACCACGATGTTATATAATAGAGGTTTATACGAACAACTGGAATGGAAACTAATTGGGAAATAAGATGTAGCAGTCTCCACTGGTGAACAGATACCAGAGAATTAATGCCTTCTGGCTTAATTCGTGTATCCAGAAATTGTGCGCATTCCAGGTAGATCCCCAGCTCACTCCTACCTCCCTTACAGATGGAAGTTTATCTCACATGGACCTGCCTTATCCTAGAAATTCTGACTCTCTTGGTTCACTTTCAGAGTAACAATCCTGGGAAGAGAAGAAATTATCCCCTGCAGCCACTAAGAATCAGAACTTACAGTCATTAGAGATTTCTCCTTGAATGTCTTTTTGCTTTTCTGGGATTTGCTAAATTTGCACAAATCTAGATTAGCATAAAGTTCTGAGAGCATCCACTAGTGATAAATGAAGGATGAATAATTCAAGACATAAAGGTAGACAATGAAAATATTACAGACTGTATTTTGACCTTATGGGAGTCATTTCCGTTTCTTAGAGACAAAGGATTTTTCTTTTGAAAACACAGAAGGAATAAAAAATGAGGTTATCAAATAGGTAGCTGGACTTCAAATTATTTGGTTTGTTTTCTTAAACTCAGCAAGCTCTTAAACCTCCAAAACACATTTTTACATAAAAAACATTTTATTCTACAGTGGATCCAAATATACTATTTTATAAGAGGCATAAAATAATACTAAATCTTCAGTGGTATTTTCTGTCTAACAGCTATAAAGCTATGATACAATGGTTAAGCTAAGCTAGATCAGATTTCTCAACCCCAGCACTATTGATGTTTTGGACTGCCTAATTCTTGGGGGTGGCGGGTGGTTATCCTGTTGACTGTAGGATGTTTAGCAGAATCTCTGGCCTCTGGGCACTATCAGATGCCAGTAACACCACTCCCTCAAGCTGTAATAACAAAAAATGTCTCCAGACATGTTCCGGTGAGGGACAGGGGATCAAAATTGACTCAAGTGAAGCACTATGAGCTAGATAAAGGAGCCTAATTCTAGTTAGCCTAAGACTGATCTTGCCACAAATAAACCTATATAAATTTATTAGGAAACCTATCAAGGGGACACAGCAGCTGTGAAGGTGGTCTTACCACACAGTGACCTTTTCATGCTAAGTATCTTACATCTTTTATTGGCTTAGCCAAAAGCAGAGGTTAACCAAGTGCTCGGTCAGACTCACCCTGTGGAAAAATCAAGATGGTAGGCATGGCCTGCTGAATATAAAACTGGATGGTATAACTGAGAAACTGAATTCTAACTGGAGCTTTCAGGCTGGTATAAAAAAGCTACTTCACTGTTCTACCACTGTATTCACTAATAGATAACAGGGGAAAAGGCTAAATTATTAAAAAATTGTATATGACAAAAGAAAACAACAGGTGCATAAAAATAATCTGAAGGGTAAACTTTAAAGTTATAACTATTAGAGATTATATTTTTAAGTTATAAGGCATGGCACAGACAACTTATATTTTTAAGTTGCGAAACACGGCACAGGCACATAATGAATCTAGTTCAACTGGCCCTATTTTTGACTTTTTAAAAATATTCATGGATGGGGAGGCTGCGCATGTGTGGGGACAGGGGGTACACGGGAACTCTATTTTCTGTTCGATTTTGCTGTGAACCTAAAATCACTCTAAAAACTAAAATCTGGGTTACGGATAGTAGCACTGGGTTTTTTTCTTAAATAACTTATCAACATAGCTGTTGCCTCAAAATACCCCTAAAATGCCATTAAGCACGTCCCCAGGAAATCTTCACTTTGCAATAAGAAAGAATTTATGGGCTGGTACCTCTTTGGCGACGGTGTGCCAGTGAAGATGAGTTTCGCAAACATCCATCCTCTCCTGGTGTAAGAATTTGCACTTGTCAGGAACGAGAAGGGCATCACTTACAAACTCACCAACTGAAAGAAAGGAAAACCACTTCCCGTCATTCCATCTGTATCACAGTGTTCTTACCGCAGAAGACATCAAGGAAAGATAGACTTCAAGACAAGTTAAACAGCCTTTTAATGCCTAAGCAACCCAATCAAGACCCTACTACCTTTAGAATGTTACGTCTGGCCTCCTTAAGCAACTCCGTTTCTTGCCACTTCAAGTTTGATGGTTAAAATAATGCCTAAATGCTGCAAGTGAAATTGTCCCTTAATTAATCTGAATTTCTTGCTTCAAAATTAATCCTAAAAAAGCTGCTTAACTAGAGAACCAATTACCATTCTACTACAACAGGGGAGTAAAATATAAATATTGACATTGTCTAGGTAAGCATTTGAGCAGAATCAATATAAATCCCTACTTTTCTTTCTTGGACATTTTAATCTGCTTGTAAGTAACAGAAATTTTAGCATTTTTCTACTTCCTAAGCAAAAAACCCAAAAGTGTATTTTATATATATGTTTACATAACACACATAAGAGAGAGAGAGTTTAATTCAGTTTATTCTGAAAACTGTCCCTCAGACTTTTGTTAAATCTTTAAAGAAAATGTATATTATGCAAATTATTTCTAGGCATTTCTGGTATTGAAGATATAAAGATATTACATAAAGTCCTACATGAACTCAGTCTAATGAAGGTAAAAGATGGATAATTACCACATTATATGTAAGCTGTAAACTTAATTTTTGTTTACTGCAATATTCCCAGCTTTTAGCACAGATTCTTGCACATAGTAGGCAATAAATATCTGTTAATGAATGAACAAGTTAAATTCTGTAATAGAGATAAGGAAAGTGTCAGGCCAGTATCTTGGGTGCAGTGGGAAAAACCTCAAAGAAGAAACAATATTCGAGATGAATCTGAATGGTGAGAAGTAGTATGCCACATGGGAAATGAATTGAACTTCCATAACGTAAGGATAGACTCTGTCTTGCTTGCCATTATACCCCCACAATTCCTGGCCTAGTTCTGTCAAACATCAAGAACTCTATTATAGAATCCAAATGGATGGATGGATGGGTAGCAAAAGACCCTTCAAAATGAGGGAGCCTCCTGTGCAAAGACAGAGTAAAGAACCAGCAAGGCATATTTGCAGCCCATCTGGATATGGGTGGAAGCAGAAAGCAAGTGGCAAAGGGAGTCCAGAAGGAAGTAGCACTGGGGAAGCATGCTGGACTCCAATTTTAAAGAGGCTTAGGTTTTGGATGCCATTTTGGAAGAAGCAACATAGGCCAAAAGTTTTTTTTTTTTTTTTTTTTTTTTTAAGATAGACTCTATAATTAAGTGAAGGATAGATCAGCATAGTGAAACCATGAAAGCAGGGAGACCACCAAGTAGGTCACTGTGGTCCTTCAGGCAAAACATGCAAGAATAGACATAAACCCACAACTCCCACGGAGCAAGGAATACAGATCGTCCACACAGCAGCAAAGACAGGAATGAATGTCTTTCTTTCATAGTACGCTATAGGGCATTTTCTGAAATGCAACATAAAGAGGGATTAAAAGCCCTAAGAAGGGGAAGGAAGTAACTTTTCATTCTCATAAAAGGGTTTAAACTTTAGTCTGTTTCTAGCTCAAACATGTAAGATGTAGCATGATACTGAAGTACTTATTTCAATAAGTACTATTTAGATAAAAATCTAAGCAAATCATAGGGGAGAATAAGCACTGTATCTTGTCATTCCTTAAATCTTTAAAATGATCAATGATGCCCATAGCAGTATAGTGTGTGTTGCAGGGAATGCAAAAATTATGAGACATGGTACCCCAAAGGCTGCAGGTGTCACTTTGCAGGGAAGAAACCAGTGAGTACTGAGCACACACCCCATGCAGCTCCACAGGGCCACATCACGGGTTCTTTTATAAACCTCACTTCCCAGGGGAGGAATCTCCGCCAAGAAACCTAAGGCTACCTAACTCAGGAGATTATAACCTAGCCCCAGAGATAAGCATTAAGATATAAATTATAAGGAAAGAAATAACATGATAATGCAAATGATACCACATTTCTCTTTTACATAGAATGATATAAAACAAAACAAAACAAAACAAAAACAAAAAACACAAGAAGACCTGGAGAATGGAAAGTAAAGGTAATCTCATCCAAAACAAATACACCATTCCCAGGTGGATTTCTCAGGGTTTCTGAGGGCTCTCAGGGTTTCTGAGGTCAGGGACTAACCCTAGCTGCTTGGAAGAATACCTGATATCTGAGGCATCCCAATTTTCTAGGTTACAGGAGGCCAGAAGTACCCTATGGCCTGAAGATGCCCACCTCATCTGTCAGCTCTGCTCAGTCATATTTGCAAATGTCCAAACTAAGAAGTGATGCTTTTCTATTTGACAAGTAACTACTGGAAAGATTAAATGCCTGTCATGTACAAATAGGTCAAAGAGTTTAAAAAATCTAATGCTGGCCCAAAGCTACTAAATCAGTTCGTGAGAAGAGCCAGAGCAGGTATCAGATACACTCGACCTTGGCCTGCAAGAGTTCTTGGGGGCATAAATCAGACAGTAAGTGCCAAACCACAAAACCAAATCATCTTGTTTTATCTGCCCTTAGTCAATCTGCTGACGACTAGATTATAATGCAAAGCTAAAGTTACCAAAACATATTTACTTATTCACCAAAAGGACATGTACTGCATTAATCTTTTTGTTTGTTTGTTTTCAGACAAGGTCTCACTCTGTCACCCTGGCTGGAATGTAGTGGTTGGATCAATGGCTCACTGCAGCTTCGACCTCCGGGGGTCATGCAATCCTCCCACCTCAGCCTCCTGAGTAGCTGGGACTACAGCTGTGCACCATCATGCCCAGCTAATTATTTCACTTTTTGCAGAGACAGGGTCTAGATATGTTGCCCAGGCTGGTCTCGAACTCCTAGGCTCAAGCAATCTGCCTGCCTCAGCCTCCCAAAGTGCCGGGATTACAGACATGAGCCACCACGACCAGCCAGTCTGAACATTTTTAATGAGGAGTTGGTAAACAAGCTTTTCTTAAAAGCCTGAATTAATTAAAAGTTGCCTTGGATATTAGGAGTTCATTAGCTAAGGATGTTACTCTTACTTTCATCTGGCAGAAAATCTATCCAAGAGAACCATATTCTTGAACTTGTGTTTAGGACAGAGGTTGGCAAACTACTACTTGTGGACCAAGTCTGCCCACCCACCACCCCCCTGCCCCCAACACCTGTATTTCTGCATTAGACTGACTATAACAATTGTTCATTATGTTTATAAGTGGTTACTGAACTTTCTAACTTGCAAAACATTTCATTTGATACTGCCAAGATGGTCTTAGCTTCTTATATTGCACAAAGCTAAGAAATATGTGTCCCTCAAAATGAGAATGGTTTTTTAAAGGATTAAAACTGGTTACTTAATAAGCTCTCAGGACTAATGGCAAAATAGAAACCTCATTGTATTCTAACATTAAAATAAAATTTAGCAGTGGACAGCACTGCTTACATTACTTTTAAAATTTGATGAAACATGTTAGAAGGTTACACATCAGAAATTGTAAGCGATTCAACCACAAAAATCTGTTTTTAAAAACTTTTAATAAGCGTTAAGAGTGCTAAAAGTATAATGAAGCCTTTTTCACCAACTGGCTTAGCACGGTTTATATTTTCTCTTTTTAATTAAAAAATATTGTACTTAAAAATCTTTGCTAGGACAGCAGTTACATGGAAACTGTACTTTCTACTCAAACTTGCTGTGAACTTCCACTGCTTTGTTTTTAAAAACAAAGTTTATTAATTTTAAAAAGCCTATGATCGTATATACCTGGAGTTTCTCTCCACAGCCACGTATACCTTATTTTTATAAATGCTTCTGCTTATTTGCTTTGATCTTTCAGGTAAAAAGAGTTCTTAACAGAATTCTGATGTAAGAGATCAAAGACTAAAACAAATTAAACATCATAATGAGAAATCATGTTCCTGTTTACAGCAAACTTTAGGCAATTTGGCACCATTTATTTCAAGTGGATAAATTCATCAATATACAGTATGCATGTTTATTGAGAAACATACAACCTGGTTTCTTGCTAAAACAATTCACAATTTATATTCAAAACGCATGTCACACACCACACACACACACACACACACACACACCCAACTGAAAGGGTGTTTTCAAAGCTAATGAACAAAATCTGGGTCTGGCTTCTTGGCTATGAAGTCTTGGCAAGGTGAACAAGGATGGCAAATTCAATAGGAGTCTGCAGGCCTCAATCTGCTAGCTCTTTGGTGGTCTTTGGGAGGACTGTCTAGCTCAAATTACCTCATTTTGCAGATGGGAGGAAAAGAGCTCAGGTCAAGTGACTTGCCCACAGAGCCAACTGGCAGAAGAACTAGACTGAAAATCCAGGTCTCCAGTTCTCCATCCAAGAGTGGTAACTCAACTCACTCATTTAAACTCTGTTCAAAATGGTTCATTTGGCCCATTTCCTTTGGCTTTTACAAAAGTAGTTCACTTTTAGACTGTGAAGTACTTTAATATTATAATCTACAATGTGGTCAATTTGACAATAAAACTAGACTTAAATTAGCTAGCAAGCCATATAGAACAGCTGGGAATGCAGTCAGCGGCAGAGAATAGACCACATGTCAAACCGTGGCTTAAACACACGGTAGGATTATGTATCTCACCTAAGAAGTGACACTGAAGCTAGGGCCACTGCAGATATTCCATGATGCCATCAGGGACCAGCGTATTCCTATCTTTCTGTACTGCCATCCTGAGCACGTTGGTTTTATCCTCGTGTTTTATGGTCACAGAAATTCAAGACTCTGTGTCCAAGTTCCAGACAGAAGGCAGGAGAAACAAGACAAAGGTGAAAGGTTTTCTGTTGTTGTTTTTTCCTCTAATAAAGCTTTGCTGTTACTTGGGAGGGACATACTCCTCAGCAAATTCCACTGAGGCCATATGTGCCATTACTGTGATCTGGTCACATGCACCTGCAAGGGAATCTGTGAAAGTATTTTCAGCAGAGCACATTGTCACCCTGAACAAAAAAAATCTGGAATTCTTTTAGAAAGGAAAAAATGGGAATGAATATCAAACAGGCGAGTAGCAGAGGCTCCCACACTATGGAATTTAAAGTATATTTTTCGATTTCTTTATGTTGTCTTTTCAAAAGACAGACAGAATTCCAGGAAGCAAACAGAATTCAGAGTAAAAAGTACTGCAACTAAAACCACAGTAACTTCCCAATCCATGACATTGGGAAGAATGAGAAGGGAAAGATGTATCAAAACTGACTCTGCTGCCAGGATGGCGGCACCTGGGGGTGTCATCCCAGCTACTTGGGAGGCTGTGGTGGGAGGATCACTTGAGCCCAGGAATTTGAGGCCAGCCTGCATAACTTAGAGAGACCCTACCTCTAAAAATAAATGTTTAAAATAAAGACATTAGGCCGGGCGCGGTGGCTCACGCCTGTAATCCCAGCACTTTGGGAGGCCGAGGCGGGCGGATCACAAGGTCAGGAGATCGAGACCATCCTGGCTAACACGGTGAAACCCCGTCTCTACTAAAAATACAAAAAATTAGCCGGGCGTGGTAGCGGGCGCCTGTAGTCCCAGCTACTCGGGAGGCTGAGGCAGGAGAATGGCGTGAACCCGGGAGGCGGAGCTTGCAGTGAGCCGAGATCGCGCCACTGCACTCCAGCCTGGGCGACAGAGCGAGACTCCGTCTCAAAAAAAAAAATAATAATAAAGACATTAAAATAAAAAAAAAACAGACTGCTGAAGTTTTGAGCATCAGAGTGGGGTTGAGTAGATTAATGTAAAAGATTCTAGAGCCATACACAGGTTCTTCAAGGCACAGATTATTTGAATATCAGATTAAAAGACAATATTTCTATGAACTGCTGGGGACTAAAATGATGTTGGCCAGAATCATGGGAATGAAAGGCCAAAAATGCCTGAGGTCTTTGGACTTCTGCCCGAGGTGTGCCCTCTCTTCCTCATCTCTCAAGAGGTAAAGATGATTCAAGAAAGTGGGGGAAATGTTCTGGCAATGTAATTACTGTAAAATGCCAAAGCCTCGGTTTCCTTGTGCTATGGGCCCAGATCTGCCTTGTGAAGATAAAACACCAGTATTGTTAGTAACTCTGAACTGTGTGCCTGCCACCACCCTCAATACTTCACGTGCGTCTTCTCTCACCGTCCTCAGAACCACACCAAAGCAGCTACAATGATTTCACTTTATAAGAGAAGGCAAGGGCCGGGCACAGTGGCTCAAGTCTGTAATCCCAGCACTTTGGGAGGCCGAGACGGGTGGATCACAAGGTCAGGAGTTCGAGACCAGTCTGGCTAATATGGTGAAACCCCGTCTCTACTAAAAATACAAAAAAATTAGCCAGGCGTGGTGGTGCATGCCTGTAATCCCAGCTACTCAGTAGGCTGAGGCAGGAGAATCGCTTGAACCTGGGAGGTGGAGGTTGCAGTGAGCCAAGATAGCACCACTGCAGTCCAGACTGAGCGAAAGAGCGAGACTCCGTCTCAAAAAAAAAAAAAAAAAAAAAAAAAAAAAAAAAGAGAGGGTGAGACTGAGAGACTATGTAACAGTCCAGGTCACATAGAGAGTAAATGGCAGAACTGGGAGAATTAAATGAATTAATATCCCTAAAGTACTCAACTAGTGCCCAGAACAAAGTTGCTCAATAAATTATATTAATAGTATCCTTCTCCCCAGTATCTATCTCATCAACCACAGTAGTTTCTCATAATAATAATCATAGTAATCAAAACAGCAACAGCTACTCTTCATCATTCACTAATCACCTATTTCGCACCTACTGAAGACACTGGGGTTTTATATGTTCATTGCACCATCACCACCTACTTGTAGCCCCACAGAGATGACATGGTACTGTTTTACATGTGAGTACTGCTTATGATGGGGTGAATACATGACAGCAATCAACACAGCGGGGTGGAGTCCCTACGACTGGAGAAGCAGAGAATCTGAGTGATCAACTCTTTCAACTCTTGCACCGAGTGCTGGTCCTGGCTGGGAGGGGGTGTTTCCTAAATCCCCTCTTGCAGCCACTGTCCTTTATCCACTAACTCTTCACTGCATACTTACAATTATGTCTCAGTGCTAAGAATACAGCAGTGAACAAAACAGATAAAACGATATATGATCCTAGCGGGGAAGCGATAAAAAATACAGATAAAAATACAGTGTCTGTTGGATGGTAATAAATGTTACATAGATAAAGCAGAGAAAGGGGTGGTTTGTTTGTTTTTTCTGAGGGGTGAAATTTTAAATAGGGTGGTCAGGGAATGCCTACTTGAAAATATGACATTTCAGTGAAGACTTGAGGAAGTGAGGGAACAAAGTATTCAGAATCAAAGGGAAGAATATTCTAGCCAGAGGAAGCAACAAGTATTACACAAAGTCTTGAGGCAGATGCATGCCTGGTGAACTCACAGAAGAACAAGGAGATCAGTGCTGTCGTGGAGGAATGATGTGGAAGAGATCAGTGGGCAAGCGAGTGAGTGACAGCCAGGACAGGACAGGGACAGCTGACTGCACGGGGCCTTAAACATTGTCCAACTCTGGCCAGTACTCAGAGTAATGCTGGAAGGCTCTGGGGTGGTTTTCTAAGCTAATTATTCTTGCCCTAGGGGGTCAAGACTAGAAGTGAGAAGACCAGGAAGGGGGCTCTGGCATTAATCCAGGTGGGAGATGACAATGACTTGGACCAGGATGAGAGCAGTAGAGGTGGTGCGTGTTCTCAGATTCTGGATGTCGTCTGAAGGTCAGATCTAAATAATCAAATAGAAAGGAGTCAAGAATCTAGCTTGTTTCTATTCCAACAGCTAGAAGATGCTTTATACTGAAGATGATGGAAAAGTCTGGACAAGACTTTCCTAATTTTTCTGTGTAGATGTGTAGACAGGTAGAACTTTTGAGAATTATGTACTTACTAACTTGTATACACTAGATATGTGTATATGAAAATGACAGCTACAGATAAATGTTTTCTTAAGTGATTTTTTATTTTACCATTTCAGACTCTTACTCCACAAATTTTTTTGTCTTGAATGTGCTCATTATATGCTATCTTTTGTAACTTTCACATTAACAAATAGGCTGGGAAAATTTTCCTGGGAGGCATCTGTACTCAAGAGACGGGACGATTACTTCACAGAAACAGCCAAACATTTCTCAACAAACTTTCCATGTGATAAAACTGTTATGGTTTTAGCTTCAGAGTGTGGGCAGTTACTGGGTTCTCAAAGAGGACATGAGGGTGAATTACACATCCTTTTAAAAAGTGGCTGTTGCCGTCACCAGCATTTCACTGTAACTATTACCGGATAATAGTGAGAACTGACAGATGGGATTCTTCAGATGAGAACTATTTGCCAGATGGTAGGAACTAAATGGATCAAGATAAGCAAAAAGGCAAAAGAAGTGAAAACTAAAAGTTTTACCTAAATCATCTCTCCAACTTTTCCAAGTGCACAGATCCAGCCTCACATACGTACCATATACACACACAGATGGCAGAGTGAGTATAAGACAGAATAGTGCTGGCCGGGAGTGGTGGCTCATGCCTGTAATCCCAGCACTTTGGGAGGCCGAGGTGGATCACAAGGTCAGGAGTTTGAAACCAGCCTGGCCAATATGGTGACACTCCGTCTCTACTAAAAATACAAAAATTAGCTGAGCATGTTGGCGCGCACCTATAGTCCCAGCTACTCGGGAGGCTGAGGCCGAAGAATCTCCCGAACCAGGGAGGCGGAGGTTGCAGTGAGCCAAGATCACACCACTGCACTCCAGCATGGGTGACAGAGCGAGACTCTGTCTCAAAAAACAAACAAACAAACAAACACACACACACACACACACACACACACAGAATAGTGTTTAACCCAGGCTCTGAATAACACTGGTCTTAAAATAATAAAAATAGTGCAAAGGATTTACTTTAAAAAAGAGAAAAGAAAAAAAAAACCACGGGAACAAAATAAGTATTTATGGCCAGGCATGGTGGCTCACACCTATAATCCCAGCAATTTGGGAGGCCGAGGCAAGTGGATCACCTGAGGTCAGGAGTTCGAGACCAGCCTGGCTAACATGGTGAAACCCCGTCTCTACTAAAAATACAAAATTAGCTGGGCATGGTGGCGGGTGCCTGTAATCTTAGCTACTCGGGAGGCTGGGGCAGGAGAATCGCCTGAGCCGGGGAAGCAGAGGTTGCAGTGGGCTGAGATTGTGTCATTGCACTCCAGCCTGGGTGACAGAGGGAGACTCTGTCTCAAATAAATAAATAAATAAATAAATAAATAAATATTTGTTAGCAGTCTTGCAGCTTTTAAAAAGATCCATATAGGTGTGGGTTAACAAATTTTTTTATATTTTTTATTTTTTATTTTTTTAAGAAAGAGTCTTACTCTGTCTCCCAGGCTGGAGTGCAATGGCACGATCACAGCTCACTGCAGCCTTGACTTCCTGGGCTCAGGTGATCCTCCCACCTCAGCTTCTCGGGTAGCTGGGACTACAGGCACATGCTACCATGACCAGCAATTTTTTTGTATTTTTAGTAGACATGGGGTTATGCCATGTTGCCCAGGCTGGTCTCAAATTCCTGGGCTCAAGCAATCCACCTGCCTCAGCCTCCCAAAGTATTGGGATTACAGGCATGAGCCACTGTACCCAGCCTGGGTTAACAATTCTGATACGGCTACGCACATATACTGAAACTGAACAATTAAGTACATAGATGGTGGATGGAGTGAGAATTTATACATAACCAAGGAGGAGAGATATAGTGTCCATGTGGTAATACGTTAGAGTAGGAAACATCCGGATGAACTTGTATTTAGCTTAATATAGACTAGATATTATAGCTTAATATAAATACAACTAGTTAGCTATAGAAATATTTATAGATCTGCATAACATAAGGGTGAACATGGACAAATACATTGCCTTGCTCTATCAACTGAGAAGTCTTAAAAGCAAAGAAACTCCAGTGGCAACGAGCATCCTTAACATCCAGATTTTAATACTATTCTCCAATAACATTACTCTCCAATAAAAGGAACAAGGGCTCCTTGGAGGAACAGCTGATTCTAGGATTAGGGCTGAAAATATGCAAGATGAGACTGCAGCATCTTGTAAGAAAAAAAAAAAAGAGGCTATGTCAAATGAGCATAGGAACCAAGTGAAAGGGCTTCTAATAGCTAAAGCCGGAATAATTTGAGCAATAAAAATTATGAAGTAGTGCTGGATTAGAAATCAAAGTACAATGTAAATATCCATGAGTCTAAATGACTGAATGAATGAATACATAAATAGGAAAAAAGAGACAAATCTCCTGCGCAGAAGAATTCCAAATAATTTATGTAGATACTCTGCCCTCAAGAAAATGAAGCATAATTCTCTGCTCCTTAATTGTGGGCTGTGCAAACTGACTTCCTTCCAAAGAGTAGAGCACATAAAGTGGGAAGAAGAGTAATTTTCAAGTGGAGAAACTCAACAACCACCACCTGAGCCAGGTGATCAAGGTCAATGCCAACAGGGCTGTATCATGTTGATAAACACGTACCCTTGATATGATGTGATGAAATGGGCATTTTACCTCTGTGGTCTTCCTTCTTAAAACCAATAACCCCAGGCAAAGCATGAGAAAATTCCCACAGAGGGGAATCCTACAAATTATCTGACCAATACAAAACCTTTAAGGTTATTAAAAAACTAGAGAAGTATAAAGAAACTGTCATAGCCAAGAGGAAAGGAGGCTATGGAGACCTGACAATTAAATATAATGCGCCTTCCTGGATGGCATCCTGGAACACAGAAAGGACATTAGACAAAAACTAAGGACATCTGAATAAAGTATAGACTTTAGTTAATAACCATGTATCAAAATTGGTTTACTGACTGCAACAAATGTACCATATTAATATAAGATGTTAACAATAGGGAAAACTGGATGCAAAGCCTATGGGAACTCTCTGGACTATCCTCTCAATTTTCCTGTAAATTTAAAACTGTTGTAAAATATAAAGTCTATTTTAAAAAAATTTAATGGCTTGATATAAAAGTTCACATAATAAGGTGTCATGCCAAACTCCTACTGACTGCAATGTGGATGGCACCAGGTTCAAGAGCCAGAAGAGGCCCAGAGCTAGTGAACCGTATGTCTCATAGGGTTTTACTGGGGGCTTGCATACAGGGTAGAGAGTCCAGTGGTGGTGGGTTGGACAGAGGAACCGCAGCCGCTTGCAAAAGGCATGTGGTCTCTACAGCATTCTCATTTAACACCCTCCCCCTAACAATCTCCACCTGGCAACTTCCACTTAACTCATAACAAAGGGTCTCAATCCCCGGCGAGGCCCATGTTCCACAGAAGGAGATGAGGGCTCAGATGTTCCTTACAGATAAGGAATGGCTCTCTGGGTTAGCCACTCCTGGATTTCTTTGTTGTTGTTTTTTTGTTTTGGGTTTTGTTGTTGCTGTTGTTTGAAACAGAGTCTCATTCTGTCGCCCAGGCTGGAGTGCACTGGCGTGATCTTGGCTCACTGCAACCTCCACCTCCCGGGTTCAAGCAATTCTCCTGCCTCAGCCTCCAAAGTAGCTGGGACTACAGGCCTGCGCCACCACGCCCAGCTGGTTTTTGTATTTTTAGTAGAGACGGGGTTTTGCCACATTGGCCAGGCTGGTCTTGGACTTCCGACCTCAAATGATCCACCTGCCTCGGCCTCCCAAAGTGCTGGGATTACAGGCACCGGCCACCCCGCCCGGCCCACTCCCGGATTTCTTAACTCAGAACTCAGAATCAGGTGCACCTGCCACACAGGATCATTGTCAGGGCATGTTCAAGTCAAGTGATCCCTGTCAGGTGCATCTACCATACATAGAGGCATACCTATTTGATTCCACATCAACATTCTAGCCTTCAAAAAAAAGTCTATAAAATTATTGTAGTTGAAAAGAACTAGAATTAAAAAGAGCTTACCAACTCAGGCATCTCATCTGTGGTATCTATTAATAACTAGACAGCGCTTGGTTTGACTTTTTTTTAGAAAAAAATATAAGTAATGTGGCATTTAAATTTTTTAAAAATTCAAGAATTTCAAAATTATCACATATATACCGAAAATTCTTTGCTTTCCAAATTTAACCTTGTCTTAGGAATGTAAACTAACTGGTCAGAGAATTCATTCCCCTTTACAAATGAGGAATCTTGAGCCTGATGAGGTTTGCACAAAGCTAATGACAGAGGTGGGCTCAACTCTGAAAACCGACTCTCATTCCAATGTTCAGGACCCCAAGAAATGTTACAGTAGTCTTACTAATTTTGAATGACAGCTTCCTCATTAACCAACCCAAGATAAGTTATAGGTGCTTTTTTGTTGCCTCTTTTTGACTGCACTATTAGTCATATCTTGATTTTATCAATAACAGGACTTCTTGTTACAAGTATTTAATAATTCCAACATTCGTTAAAAGATGGAATTGTAAGAGTAATAGTTGTTAAAGCTTTCCAGATTAGGGGTTTTCAAACTCAAACCATGCTTCAAAATCACCTGGGATCCTGATCAGTCTGCAGATTCATCTTCTCCCTAGCTCCACAGCCTAGATCTGATTTACGTGTTCTGGGACGCGCCTGAAAACAGACCTTCCCAGGGTGGCTCTGCTTCAGGTGGCTCATGGATCACACTTTGAGAAATGATATTTGGAGCAGGGCTTCTCAAGCTTTACAGTGCCTATGAATCACCTGGGGGCCTTGTTAAAATGCAGGTTTTGATTGGACAAGTCTAGGGTGGGACTGAGTCTGCTTTTCTAACAAGCTCCCAAGTGATGTGATTCAGCTGTTCCTTCCGGCAGTAAGGGTCTACTTAAGATAACCCATTACAACTAATCTCATTAAGGTTTTTAAAAATTTTAAGTTACAAGTTATTGCTTTGTAAGACACTCTTTGCTTACCCACTTTTAATTATACAGTTTAGTGTTAAGTAGATTCATATCGTTGTACAACCATCACTACCTTCCATCTCCAGAACTGTTTTCATCTTGCTAAACTAAAACCCTGCACACCATTAAACAACTCCCCATTCCCCCACCTCCACTCCCCATTCCCCCACCTCCACTCCCCATTCCCCCACCTCCAGAACCTGGAAACCACCATTCTGTTTTCCATCTTTTTGAATTTGACTCTTCAAATTCAAAAAGGTACCGCATATAAGTAGAATCAAGTATCTGTCTTTTGGTGACTAGCTTGCTGTGTCCTTTTAAAAAATAAAAATTTTCATGCTTCTCTTCCATAAACCTGCATCTCATCCTATAGATTTGTCACTTTTGGCACCAACTTAAGGACTGAGCGCCTTTTCACACATCCCTAAGAGCCAAGCTGCTCCTGGTTCGCCTTTTGTTTAATTATAGAAGTTACAAAATAAGGTAGAAAGAGTTCTAGATTTGAAAACAACACAATGACTCAAGCAGATCAAGTGATTTCCAAATATTAAAAGGTGATATGATAAATGCCTCCTGGCCAGAGAGGTGCACATAGGGTGAGAGACAAGAATAAAAATTAAAACTTAACATAATTTGATAAGAGATCATCTCTGCTACTGCTGAGTATTACTAAATACCATTCTATGCAGGTCCATGTAGGATACAAAAGAACCGAGATATAGTTCTGGACCAAAACAGCTTGGAGCAGCTTTGTCTCACAGAAATATAATAGAGGCCACATATCTAATTTAAAATTTCCTGTAGCCACATTAACATAAAAAGGTAAAAAGAAACAGGTAAAATTAATTTTATTAATATATTTTAACCCAGTACATCCTAAATTTCATCATTTCAACATGCAATCAATGTAAATAATTATCATTAAGACATTCTACATTTGTTTTTTTCTCCCAGACTAACTTTTTAATATCTGGTGGGTTTTTTATACTCACAGCATAGTTTGGACTAGCCAGGTTTCAAATATTCAATGGCCATGGGTGGCTAGTGGCCACCGTTGGGCAAGACAGACTTAGCATCAGATTTTAGAGATCAATAATATATTTCAAGGAGTAGTGACTTGAATGTGGACAGGTTGGGGTTATGGGAGAAAATCTAAAGCCAAAGA
Organism: Homo sapiens; assembly: GCF_000001405.40. Classification (NCBI taxonomy): domain Eukaryota; kingdom Metazoa; phylum Chordata; class Mammalia; order Primates; family Hominidae; genus Homo; species Homo sapiens. The sequence continues at coordinate 26,067,490 of NC_000021.9, forward strand.
CACAAACCTAGGCAGAGAAACCATAATAAGCTTGAATACACTGAGACTGCAGTACACCATTTTATGCGCTATGCTATCTTAACGCATACATTTTAGTCAATGGGAGGCATATCACTAGGATTCTATGTTACCATCATTAACCCTATTGATCAGCAAACTGCTCATCTCCCCCCATTTCTCTTGTTGCAGTTCTCATATCATAAATTGTATTTATAGGTGTGTGATTAATTCTAATACAGAAATTAATTTAAGGTTTCCTTTAGACTTGAACCTACTTTAGCTTAGTTCAGTCCTCTGTATCCCGAGAGATGAGCTGAAAAAGCAGATATAGTAGAGATAATTCTAAATTCCCTACTTTGTTTCTTCAAAATATAGGTATTCTCACTGGTTGCTTTCTCCTAACACTTTCCTTTCTTTCTGCCTTATTTAAAAAAAAAAAACAAAAAACTCAAAGCCTGATAGATTTTAGAGACGCAATTAATTAAGGTTATATACGGGGCTTTTTAAAAACCACATAATTGCCGACAAAATACCAACCAGGTTGGTGTTCCGTGAGGCAAAAGAACCACAAGTCATTACCAAAACCTTAACTCATATGGGAAGGTAAAAATATACAGCATGCTGTTTTCACATACCATACTCAGAAAGCCATGTGCGAGGGAGGCTATAATCAAGACAGGAAGAGGCATTTTCACAGATAACTTCTTAACGGGGTTGTAGACTGTCACTCTCACGCCCCTCACTTGTTCTTTCCAACCTATTACCATCTGGCCTTGCTCCAACAATCTGCAACTCTTCTTTCAAGGTCAAGAACAACAAATGCCATCAGTCTCTTCTCAGCCCTCCAGTTCTCTGACTACTCTGCCACATTCTCTTTTTTTTTTTTTTTTTAAAGAGACGGGGATACCCTCTGTCAACCAGGCTGGAGTGCAGTGCTGTGATCATAGCTCACTGCAGCCTCCTGGGCTCAGACAACCTTCCTGTCTCAGCCTTCCAAGTAGCCGGGACTACCGGCACATGCCAACATGCCTGGCTAATTTTTTTTTTAATTATTTTTTGTAGAGACAGGGGTCTCGCCACGTTGCCCAAGCTGATCTCAAACTCCTGGCCTCAAGCAACTCTCCTAGCTTCAGCCTCCCAATTTGCTGGGATTCTAGGCATGGGCCACTGAACTTGGCCCACTTTTCTTCTTTAAATTCAATCTTCTCCAGTTTCCACCAATCTATCTCAAGCCAATCATTCTTTCCCTCTCATTGGCTCCTCTTTTCATAATTCTGATTATAAAGTAAGGCTCTGTCTTCTACTCTTCTTGCTTTCTCACTCAGACATATCATCCATGCCTAAGGGTCAACAGCCTCCTCCACTCTTTCAATTCTGACCTTTCACTTAGCATTCCCAGTCGCTTGCTGCATGCTTCCAATTGCAGGGTATTAATTACTTTTAGCAAATGTACTAGAATCAAGTGCCCAACTGATTATCAAATTCCGGAAGTGTACCCAAAGGACAATGACTAATTCCTCATTGGGTCAAAGTCTTTCCTATGTGGAAGCAAGAGAAAGGAACAGAACTAACACTGAACATTGTGAGGAGCCCAAAACATGACTCCTGCTGAACACATTCTATTTGGTTGTAGAACCCAACCAATATAGGCCCCGTTGATCGATTTCCCCACAACAAGAGGAGGTCATAAAAATCATGCTTCCACTTTCTCAATAGATACTTATCGCTCATGAATGTCTGTGAATCAGAAGACCATGGGACTATAACTCTACTCCACTCAAACTCTCCATACTCCCAAAGCTGGACCTCATGGTCCTCAGATCATGTAATACTCAGACACAGCACTCCAGTAAACCACTTTCTGGCCAGAAACTCATCCTTCCCATAGTTCCTCTCCCTTCCATCCACTACAGCTTGTTCATCATGATCCTGAGGTCCTGGATGCTGCAGCACTCTCTGCAGTTATCAGGGGAGGCTTCACTGCCTTCAGTTCATTTCCCTGCCAGCCTGGTCTAGGACCCTCAGCACACACACTCATCACTGCACATATCACCAACGACCACCCACATGCTTTTGATGCCCAGGCTCATTTGGTCCAGCCTATTTCTCTCCTAAGTGTGAGACTCAATAAATACACAACCACCCCACTGTGCTCTTCAAGAGCTTATTAACTGCCTCTTTTAGATTCTCCTGGGTATAGTCCAGACTTAAAATGCCTCACTTTGGGAGACAATGTAATTTAACCATTGGAGGAACAAATGTTGGTCTATATATTTCAGGCATTTTCCAAATAAAAACCTCCAAGAAAAAGCAAACTTGTATCTTAAAAGATGCAGAACTATTTAGGGCAAAAAGTACACAGAGAATGAGAAAGAAAAAAGATGTCACTGCATTTAACAAAAGAGTTAACAATATTGTTAACAATAACAAGAGTTAGCCATGAAGTAATTAGGATATAGTACTTGAAACTGGCACCACCTTTTACCAGGCATTACAATATTGCTATGAGTTCACAAAGCTCTGTTAGAGCAGAGGAAAAAGAAGGATTTGAATTCTGTCACTGTACTAGCAACACCACCTAGGGATGAGGAAGACAATATCTAATAGAATAACAAATAAAGTAAGTATACATGATTCATCAAGCTCTTCAATAAAAATGTATTTTAGAATTTATCAACATCCCTTTTGAATCATGTTTCAAAAATCACACAATCTGTTCAAACACGGATAGACCCCCAGATAAATCAGAATCTCTCTCTCTGTTACCACGCCTCTGTGGACTTAGAAATCACCACTTAGATTTGTAAACAAGGCTTAGTTTCATTATTGTAAATCAATTTGGCAGGACTTATCACTCCACAGAGAGCTGAAATAATTGAATTTCTGGACTTCTAAGGAAGAAGGTTTAAGTACATTAAGGCTTCCAAAAGGAAGATCACCAACTCTTCTTTAGCAGAAAATGCCCCTGGAGAATTTTGAACCATTTCTTGATCTAGTGGCAACTGGATGTTATCAGTGGCAACTAAGGTATCTGTCTACACCTGCTGAGGCTCACAAGTAAAAACTAAAAAGTACTGTGAATCTCTGTGATAATGGAGCGTAAAGCTACCACTTAAGTCTTTATTACTAGTAAGTAACGGATTTTAAGAAAAAAAGAGATACTCAAATCTATCTATAGATAACCAAAAAACCAAACAAAACACCCAGAAAAATCTAAGGTTGAAGAACATATATAATTTGAGACTTTTGAAACAAAACACCCAGAAAAATCTAAGGTTGAAGAACATGTATAATTTGAGACTTCTGATCAGAGCCTTCCTCAATAATGTAAGTTTAAAAACTATTACCAAAGTGACAAGATCCCATGTCAGATAGCAGAATGAGAACAAGGCTACTCTTCAACTTAGTCATCCTCTTTTATCACTACAACTTCAATCATAGATGTAAATGGAAATTTCTGCTTCCTTTGCTACTTTTCTGCTTGACTGAATTTTATAATGAAAAACGTCTGTTCCTTCCAGGCAGAGCACGAGTGTCATTCAAATTGTACACACCAGGCAAAGAGTGAATGCATTTGTTTAGATGCAAAAATCATTTAAATATGTGTCATTATAGGCTGCAGCACATTTGCGGATTCGGCAGTTTAAAATTCTCTTAAGCAATAAAGCAAGGCATCAAATGAAAGTGCACTCAGGCTTCAAACATCTTCAGACTATGTTTTCCTGTTTGCACACAGCGAGCCCCGCCTTCCTTTCCTGACCCCACTCAAACAGAAAGCAGTGGAACCATGCCCTAGCCCATCCTATTACCCCAAACGTCTTCCAGGTCAGCAATCCAAAGTCACGTGAAAGCTCCATCTTCAGTTTCCCTCTCCAGGGAGCAAATATTTTGAAGAGCAAGCATTCCAAGCAAGCAGAAACTCAGCCTTTAAATCAAACTAAGCTTAAAAGTAAGGTCCTGCCGCACACAGAAGGCAACAGAAAAGTGTCTGAAGAGATAGCTCCCATTTTATATTTAACATTTAGAAATGAGAAAACTGTGTGTGATTAATGCTTATAATTAGAGGGGGTTAACCCTTATTTCAAATAATGTAGTTCCTGTCTTTCATTTAAAATTATAAAGATGACTAAAATGTACATGAAAGGAAAATTACAGTTAGGATCTGCTGTGTTTTAACCCAGAACTGTGGTTTTTTGAAGAAAATGCTGGAAAAGATTCTGATTTGGTAAGAATATCTGGATATGAGAATCTTCTAAGAAAGGTGATTTACCATTTTCAGGCCAAAGGCAGAGAGTTTCTAACAATGATAAAATTAACAGGCTGTAGGATCTTCATTCTCTAAGCTTCAGGTGACCCTTTTAATGACTAAATAAAGTGTGTACTCAAGGTCACCCACGAGGAAGAAAAAGGTCAGTTCCCTCTCTTGAGGGACCCCCTCCCCACTCACGCTATTACACAGCAATTCTAGAGATTCACTTCATTTTTGGTTTATGTTCAAACTGTCTGGATATTTCAGGGCCTTCGCTTTTAAGTTTCCATAATAGGGCAGTTGACTATTTATATAAGTCCCTGGAAAATGTGTATTTTTAACGTCATCTAGAGTAGGCCACCTTTGGGGGAAAACAGCTAATGGGTTAAAAAGCCAACTGGTGTACCAAGTATGTACAAAAGACATCTTTTATAACAGTTCTCACGTGCAAAAGAACATTCATTAAGTATAACAATAAATAACAGGCAATATGTGCATTTTTCCAGACCCTAAGCACTTGATAAAGCCATATTGTCATTTTACACTCATTTTTAGTAGCTGTTTAATTGGTATTCCTGTATAGGACAGTTTTGTAGGTTTCCGGATTATTTCACATTCTCTTCTTCCTAGTTATAAATTTTGGTACAACTGTAAGCTCTCCTCACACTGTAATAATTACATTGCTGAGACCACATCTGTTTTTTTAAAAAAGATATTTTGCAAAAAATATATTTAAGTTGAAGTATCTGAAATACTTTTCAACGTCAAACTTTGAGAGGATTATGCTTAATTATATATCTTCACATCTTTAAATTGTTAAAAATGAATGCATAAATATTTCCTAGGGATTTATGCTTGATTCATTTGATTCTTACATACTAGTTGTTATTTACCGGCAGAGAAAGCAAAAGCAAAAAAAAAGAAAGCAAAAACAACAAAAATAGTTGATTCTGGTGCTAGTCCAGAATCAGGTTGATTTCTGCATCAATAGCAGGGTTTCTACATTAAATTCATTCAAATTTAATTAGTTCTCTGCATAAAATCAAGGGTCTAGGAGAATTTAATAAAAGCTGAAAACAATCCTATCCTTTGCCTGAAACAGATTTTTATCCCAAATGGTACTCAGCAATAAGCCAACAGAGAAAAATGGAATAACAGACATATGCCATGTTCACGAGTTCTCTGTTTAACCTAAGAAGTCTGAATTTGCCATTTTTTGATAAGGAACTGGTGTACATCTTAGAAGAAATATTCCATTGAGTCTGAATTCTTGGTGGAGCACCCGCAGAAAGAGAACCAGTAAATAGTATGTATGAGGCCTGGCCTGGACATAATGACTCAGGAATCATCAATGCAGGCCTCTGAAAAACCACTGCACTTATGAGATCTCCTAGCAAGTATGTGTTGTGTGAGAAAATGGACAACCCCAGGGTACTCCTATTAAACACTGATATTTAGAATTTCTGAATTCTGATTCTAAATATTTTGCAATATTTGGAATTTCTGAATCCTAAATATTGCAAAAGGTGGCGCGGGGAGGACGGGGAAGGGAGCCTGAAAGGAAAATGGAGGACAGCAGAAAGAAAATCAGAAGCAGCAGAATGACATCAGTGTGGGGAGAATGCACCCATCAACCGATGCCACTGAGAGACTGTGGAGGACACAACAGTGCCCAGTGAGTCCGACAACCAGAATGATAGCAAAGAGCTCATTCCCTGGAGCTCAAGGAACAGATGCCTGATAACAGGTGACTGTGGAGGGAACTGGAGGTTACGAAGATCACACAGGAACTTCTGACTACCATATAAAGAAGCATATCTGTGAAGAGACAGAGCGAGGGTGGAAGTTAAAGGAATACACAGAGTTGAATGACTGGAGTGAGGGATCAGGGAGCTCTAAAGAAGAGGAAAAATATGAGAAGGCTAAATACTATTGAGATGTGAAATTAAATACAGGGTCAGTAGGCCAAGGGTCTTTATGAAGTCAAAGATCAGATACAATGAGAGTAAAGGACCTACTGAAGAAGCTGTGTGCACAGATGCCCAGGAATTCAGACTCACCTAAGAATTTAGAACAAAGGTGGAAAAAGAAAACTAAGCTCAAATTATTTAAATAGTACAACAGGGTAACTTCTTGACATACTGAACATGAGCCTATTCATGTTAAATATGCTTGGAGAATATCATTAGTCCATGGCTTACAATCAATTCTAAGCTTTCAAGAAAGCAAGAGCTACAGGACCTATTCATAAAAATATAGCAACATTGGGAAACTAATTATCTTCCCAGCTGATAAAGATACCATCCAATAAATAGGGGGATCTTCAGTGACATCCAAACCTTCAAAAAATATATTTTAAAATGTTATACCACGTTCTCGGAAGGTAGTTAACACTAAAAAAGATTTGGGGGAACTGAAGCTGAGTAATATTCTTGAAAATACAGGTACCTAATCAATAAATAAAGAGAATGCCCCCCAAATTTTTCATGGCATGAAAATACTTAAAGGTTTAAGAGGGGAGTACCTACATCTATTAATACACCAAACACCTACTGAAACGCCACATTCATGTAATCACTTAATAAAGACATTAAAATAGGATGACAGGAGTTCATGTTTAGCATTTATAAATAGTATCCTAACCTTTAAGGTACAACATAAGAATCTGAAATTTCTAAAATCTATTATCACTGAATAATATTTAGAAGCAGATTTCTGTGAAAATTAATTCTTAAGGCCAGGCGTGGTGGCTCACGCCTGTAATTCCAGCACTAGGCCGAGGCGGGCAGATCTGTTGAGGTCAGGAGATCGAGACCATCGTGGGCAACATGGTGAAACCCCCTCTCTACTAAAAATACAAAAATTAGCCAGGCATGATGGCGTGTGCCTGTAGTCCTAGCTACTTGGGTGGCTGAGGCAAGAGAATCGCTTGAACCCGGGAGGCGGAGGTTGCAGTGAGCAGAGATTGCGTCACTGCACTCCAGCCTGGGTGACAGAGAGACTGTGTCTCACAAAAAAAAAAAAATCTTTATCATTAGCCTTAAAAACTAAGGACAATGAAACTATTATAAATGAATCTAATGGTATGTTTTATCTCTAAACACAGATGCCTCTGATACACTGACTTTTTACTAGACATGTGTAGGATAGGTTTAACCCTATTTCTGGAGTTGAATGTTCTTTTTATTAAGATCCAAAGACACTTGGTTTCTTCTCTTCTGAGATCCCTATGTTACTTCTTGGTTGTTACATAAAACCTGCTCTTCCTTTGTTGATCAATAAGGAGTAAGTAAAGTAAATGATTTTGCCATAATCTCAGAAATTCTTTTAGGCATGTGAAATTGCTGCTCCACATCTTCTGTCTTTCTAATGTTTGGGCTATTCTTTCTTTTCCCTTTCCTTTTCCAATATTTGGCTACATCCTCAATTCATTCATTAAATCTATATATTTATTAAATATGTACTATGTACCAGACATGTTCAAGCTCTGGGAATATTTCAGTGAATTGACAAAAGTCTCAATTATCGAAGAGCTTACATTTTGAACAAAAAGCAATTATTTCCCAATGTTTGAGCACCGCAGGAAAGGGTTAACCATCAGCATCATGCACTACTTATTCACAATATAGCTGCACAATTATTGTTTCCTCTTATCAGGCCCTCAAAGCCACTGATTATAATACTTTGTCCCAACCTATTACCCTACAAGTTTGCTAGTAAAATTCGAAGATGACCAGGAGCTATTTGCAGGATACTACAGGCTATGAAAGTATTACTCCAGAGTATAATCAGTTTTTTCCCCAATCCAATTGTATCATCTATTAAAAGAGCTAACATAATAAAAAGCTATATCCTGATGCCCAGAATTTACAGCGTAACAAGGACTAAGAAAGCAGGTATCTTAGAGGTAACTTTAGCCTATTAATGACATGTGCAGTACAAATAAAACCACATTGAATGTACAGATATTTTTCTGGACATCGAATAAGAGAAATAATCAAATGAATTAATGTCTGTCCAAATCAAAAATCTCTACAAGTGTTCCAACTTTAATGAACCAACTTAGTTCTATTCTAATTTTCTATTATTATTTCTCAAGGCTACCAACACAAACTACTTTCCCTGGAACATCCCCATGAATATATTTATTTATTTATTGTTTAATTTTTTTTGAGACGGAGTTTCGCTCTTGTCATCCAGGCTGGCGTGCAGTGGCGCGATCTCGGCTCACTGCAATCTCCGCTTCCCGGTTTCAAGTGATTCTCCTGCCTCAGCCTCCTGAGTAGCTGGGATTACAGGCGCCCATCACCATGCCTGGCTAATTTTTGTACTTTTAGTAGAGACGGGGTTTCACTATGTTGGCCAGGCTGGTCTCCAACTCCTAACCTCAGGTGATCTGCCCACCTCGGCCTCCCAAAGTGCTGGGATTACAGGTGTGAGCTACCACGCCCAGGCCCCATAAACATTTTTAAATCTACACCTCTTCATTTTCTTTACGTATCCCTCAGGATCCACATCATGGGTCTACTTTCTTTCAAACAACTTTTACCATATGCTCCAGCTCACACTACCATCTCCCTACCTCCTATGCTCACAACAACCCCTCATATGACTTACATTAAAAAGTTTACAATTATTAATTAGGATTGGAAGTTTCCAACAGATTTGTAGTCAGGAGAGACTATTCAGGGAACATGAGTCTAGTTTTGATCACATTGAGTTTGAAGTTCCTGAACAAACACGTGTCACTAAAGGAGTGAAGATAAACATGCTTCTAGAGTAAAAACAATCACAAGTACAAACCTCTACAACATCTTACACAGGGAAATTCAGCCCTAAAGTCTATCAAATGGGCATAAAGGTAATTTTATATTTGTATAATCTTAGGTTATAGCCAAGAAAAAGCAAACATCTTGTGAAGTTGAGATATAGCATACAACAAACTCAGCTCAATTAAACCACAGTTTAGCTTTATCTAATTCAAAGTTAGGACGCCTTTAACAGTAACTTGACTTGCAACTTCTAAGCTTAAAAGAAATTTTAGGCTGGGCGCAGTGGCTCACGCCTGTAATCCCGGCACTTTGGGAGGCCGAGGTGGGCGGATCACGAGATCAGGAGATGGAGACCATCCTGGCTAACACGATGAAACCCAGTCTCCACTAAAAATACAAAAAATTAGCCGGGCGTGGTTGTGGGCGCCTGTAGTCCCAGCTACTCAAGAGGCTGAGACAGGAGAATGGCGTGAACCCAGGAGGCGGAGGCTGCGATGAGCCAAGACTGCGCCACTGCGCTCCAGCCTGGGCGACAGAGTGAGACTCTGTCTCAAAAAAAAAAAAAAAAGAAAGAAAGAAAAAAAGAAATTTTCCAGATTAAAACAAATGTCTGGAAACCTTAAACTCAACTTCTTCCTGCCATCAAATATAGGCCTCCTTGATCGATTTCTCCATAACAAGAGGAGGTCATAAAAATCATTCACGGCCATCTCATTTAGTTGTCTCTTCTGCAACTTACTCCCTAAACTCTGTGCTTAAATAACTATTCTCCTGATTTTTCCGCTGTAGGTCTTCCCACTATGGAACATGAGCCCACCCCTTTCCCTTCCCACCATCCTACTGGTATGGTTTTACCCCATATATGGCATCTGTATTGTGAGTCTGCCAGAACGCTCATACTTAGGCGTATTTTTATCTTCGTATCTTACAACGCTGTTATTTTGTACTTTTGGCTTTTCTTTGTCTACAGTTAATATTTGCCCCATTTAAAAAATTTGCCTCATTTTCTATGCATCCATCAATACTGTATCTTTCCCAAACGCTCCAGTAGAACCCTAAGAAGCATGCTAAGTACAGGAAAATCTTTAACGCAGGTAATGCATCAATGCCATTTTTTCCTGGAGGCCTCTCTCCTGCGACCAGCCTCGTTCGTCTCCTCCAATCTGGACTAGCTGCTCTCCAGACGGTTGCACAGCTGTTGCCTGAGATTTCCCTTCACTATAGGGTTTCAAAGCCAAAGCCTAAGACTCACTGACAGGAGAAGGAAAAAAAAAAAAAAAAAAAGACAGACACTCCTGGGATGCATCACCAACAAGTTGAAATTTATCAGGGGATATGGAAGAGGGAATGTTTAATGAAACCACTCAGTGACTAATATGATAAAAGAGAAAGACGACAGAATTTATCCTTTCACTGAACACTGAAACAAATATTGAGAACCTTCTTTGTCAAGTACTAAAATCTGAATATTTCCTAACAGCCTTTGACACTGAAATTAAAATACGTCTTAATCCAGACTGTAGATTCATCTTTATGTCGTTTCTTATATCCATGATGCTTATTTGTGTACCTGAAAAAAAGCATATTCTTTTCCTCAGTGCTAATTGAGAACTGGCTTTAAAAATTCATTCTTTATTTAATCACAAACATCAAATAACTTTTTAAAAATATAATACGTGAGAAAAAAATTGTCCTTAATTTCATTTCAGTATTCCCTTCATAATAAGTAAATAAACAGTTCTGCTTTTATGGGTATTATCTGGAATTATAAAGATATGCTGTACCTAATTCACAATAGTAAACTGAAAAATTTTAAGTCCACAAAGAAGCACTTGTTTAGTTCTTTTCCTAGGGAAGAAATACATCAAAAGTTCCCATAATTTATTATGAGAAGTCTATGTCTAATATATTTTACATATTTATATACTATTTTTAATGTAGTTCATTATTTAAAACATAATGAAAGCTTGGGTTTCATGGCAAAGGCTGAAGTTAATTCAGTTAATGCCATTATTTTATGTTGTATGTAAGCTACTCTTCTACCCCAAGAATCGTAATAATAGCTGTCTGTACCACTCTAAACACTTCCTTAAATTTCATATTCTTCATCTGGCTACAATTATCCACATGGCATAAACCATAGAGCTCTCAATCCCAAAATCTTAAGTTTTGTCACACACAAATTCTGTTTTCTACTACAGCTGTCTGGAAAGTTATTTACTGGCTTGAATGGTTAAAAAAAACATCAAACTCGGCAGGGTGTGGTGGCTCACGCCTGTAATCCCAGCACTTTGGGAGGCCGAGGCGCGGATCACCTGAGGTCGGGAGCTCGAGACCAGCCTGACCAACACGGAGAAACCCCGTCTCTACTAAAAACAGAAAAATAGCTGGGCATGGTGGCACATGCCTGTAATCCCAGCTACTTGGCAGGCTTAGGCAGGAGAATCACTTGAACCCAGGAGGCGGAGGTTGGGGTGAGCTGAGATTGTGCCATTGCACTCCAGCCTGGGCAACAAAGAGTGAAACTCCATCTCAAAAAAAAAAAAAAAAAATCAAACTCAAGACAATATCTCAAGATTTTTATTTGCTTTGGAAAATGACACGATGAGAAGAGGGTTCTGAAGACAAAGGGGAAAACTGTTTCCTTTCTCTGCTTGGGGTAGGGACTGATGGAAACACAGTGCTTGAGAAAGATGCTCAGAAGCGGCTAGAGTAGAAAAAGAACTTTGAAGAAAGTCCACTTTCTTCTTTGATTCCTCATCATAACCATTTGTAATCATTTACCTCAGAATAAAAGAGAAAATTCCACGACAATAAACACAGCTTGAGGTTAGCTAGAAATACTGTTCACATTAAATTTATGGTAAAACAGCAAGCTGAAATGGTGTGGGAATTATCTAATAATTTCCAAGACTGAATTACGCAGCTATAAAGCAACAGCAGCTGTTTACTGGTTGGCCCAGAAAAGTTCACATTTCAGACCACCAGATCAGACATAACAGTATTAATTCCTCATACAGGGAGAAATTTTTGAAGACTCAACATAACAGAAATCCAGTGTTCAGCTGATACGTTATTAAATCTGACGGCATTTTTATGGCATTTTTAAACTATGACACAGCTTCAGGAAGTCCTGAAAACTTGAGCCTCTAAAGGCATTTTTGTCTTTTTTATACAACATAGGTGCAAAAAGCTGAAAAATGTGACCATGACCGTGTGAAATTTAAATTATACCTTACTTTTTATTTTTACTTCTGTGGATGCCAGTGTCTGTCTTAGTCTGTTTCTCCCTATATACACTGTATATGGAAACCAACTAAAAGCCTATCTAGGCCGGGAATGGTGGCTCACGCCTGTAATCCCAGCATTTTGGGAGACCAAGGTGGGTGGATCACCTGAGGTCAGAAGTTCGAAACCAGCCTGGCCAACATGGTGAAACCCTGTCTCTATTAAAAATACAAAAATCTGCTAGGTGTGGTGGTGCACGCCTGTAATCCCAGCTACTCGGGAGGCTGAGGCAGGAGAATCACTTGAACCCGGGAGGCAGAGGTTGCAGTGAGCCGAGATCTCACCATTGCACTTCAGCCTAGGTGACAGGAGTGAAATTCCGTCTCAATAAACAAACAAACAAACAAAGCAGCATCCATAAGAAATTAACACAAAATATGTTTAGCTGTTCATTTGAAAGCAAATGACTGGGGTTATAATTCACTTGTAACACTTAATAATCTCAAAGTTTTGATTTGTGAATTCCATTATCTCTTGGAGAAAGCTACAACACACATATAATTAGTGGTCTAACTCAAATAGTGCTGGAATTTCCTATAGAAATGGCTAAGCATGAATAACCAAAGTCGCAGGTGATTCCTAAGATTCTGCTCATTTTTTAAGTTTTTTTTTAAGTTTTTTGTTTCTTTCTGCTCATTTTTTTTACATGACTGAATTAAAATAGCTTTTAAAAAATTTCCTGCTTTCCGCCGGGTTGTGGTGGCTCATGCCTGTAATCTCAGTACTTTGGGAGGCTGAGGCGGGTGGATCACGAGGTCAGGAGTTCAAGACCAGACTGGCCAAGGTGGTCAAATTCCGTCTCTACTAAAAATACAAAAAAAAATTAGCCAGTAGTGGTGGCAGGCACCTGTAATCCCAGCTACTCGGTAGGCTGAGGCAGAGAATGGCTTGAACTCAGGAGGCAGAGGTTGCAGTGAGCCAAGATCGCACCACTGCACTCCAGCCTGGGCGACGAAGCTAGACTCTATCTCAAAAAAAAAAAAAAAGAAAAAAAAATCCTGCTTTCCAAAGATTACTGGTATCTTTTACTGGAAAATGGTTCCTAAAGACCATAATCTAGGTGCAGTACTGGTGTTTACCGCTACTGAGTTGGTCTTTTAGGCCTTTTCATTATTTTTAGGCCTGCAGCGGACAGTATTTATGGGGAAAAAATGTTATCTGAAATCTACAACAATATGTTATACTGAGAAATGATACCTAAAAGTCAAACTCATGACTACAGGGTATCTTTTTAATAGATTATATGTTACATGTGAATCTTCTTTTACCACATCAAAATTCTGATTCTCAAATACATGGGATGATTGAATTAAAATATCACACAACTATTCACTTATGTTACACCATATTACTTATGCACCAGGCTCAGAATTACACACTAATACTACCACCATTAATAGAAAAACAGTTGTTTCTTTACCCACATCTTCTTCTCATTCTTCCCCATTAAAGTTACTGTCACAACAAGGCTGTTTATTTCACCTGGGTGCAGGCAGGCTGAGTCCGAAAAAGAGTCAGGAAAGGGAGATGGGGTAGGGCCATTTTGTAAGATTCGGGTAGGTAAAGGAAAATTGCAGTCAAAGGGGGTTGTTCTCTGGGGGGCAGGGGTGGGGGTCACAGGGTGCTCAGTGGGGGAGTTTTTGAGCCAGGATGAGCCAGAAGAAGGAATTTCACAAGATAATGTCATCACTTAAGGCAAGGACCGGCCATTTTCACTTCTTTTGTGGTGGAATGTCATCAGTTAAGGCAGGAACAGGCCATTTTCACTTCTTTTGTGATTCTTCACTTGCTTCGGGCCATCTGGGCGAATACGTGCAGGTCACAGGGGATGGTTTAGCTTGGGCTCAGAGGCCTGACAGTTACAGAATCTCTTTATTGTCACAGCATGTAGCTGTGGAATACTATATTATCATACTTTTTACCATCGTTGAGTCTTAGTTTTTATGTTTCTCCTTAATGCTCATTACCCATCCTTATATCAGTTTTTCTCTAGGTATTTTGGGTATCTGAAACTTGTTCTCTAGCAGATTCTACAGGAAAATAATGTGAAAATATGCCCTGAGTTATTGTACGTTGATATTTATTTCATGTGATCATATCTGAATGTCAGTTTGATTGAATATAAAATCCTTGTTTTGGCTGGGCATGATGGCTCATGTCTGTAATCCCAGGACTTTGGGAGGCCAAGATGGGTGGATCACCTGAGGTCAGGAGTTTGAGACCAACCTGGCCAACATGATGAAACCCCATCTCTACTAAAAAGACAAAAAATTAGCTGGGCGTGGTGGCGGGTGCCAGTAATCCCAGCTACTCAGGAGGCCGAGGCAGGAGAATCGCTTGATCCCAGGAAGTGGAGGTTGCAGTGAGCCGAGATCACGCCATTGCACTCCAGCCGGGGCAACAAGAGTGAAACTCCATCTCAAAAATGAATAAAATAAATAAATAAATAAATAATCCTTGTTTTGCATTGGCTTTCTTTGATATGTTAAATGTTGCTTTATTTTCCTTTGGCATAAAGCACTGCTGTCAAAAAACTCTTATTAAAATATAGTTTCTTTGTAAGTGAAAAACAAAAATATTTCCTGCCCTCAAAAATTATAAACTTAGTTACCAAAAAGCAAAAAGTACTATGTGTATACATAAAAGCAATATACATTCATTACCATCTTGAAAACAATTATTTGGATATAAACTTTAAAATTATAAAATAATAGTATTCATTATAAATGAATGAAAACAGTAATGATTTTTAAAAACTACTACTCTTATCATGACCAATTACCTCTTCTTTTTGAAAAGTGAACTAGTTCCTACCTTAAAGACTTTGTTGACCCTCTGTCTGAATACCTAAAATACATCTCCTTTCTTGCCTTGAAATCTTATCCTTGAAATCTTGGCTCACAATGCTACTTCCTGTCAAGTCTTCCTTAAATTCCTGAGCTGAAATCCCATCCCCTTCAGGCCCACTATCAACTCTGTAAGAGGGAGGCCCACATTTCACCCACCTCCAGGGGCTCACACACTGTGGGTGATCAATAAAACGTACACAATGAATACGTAACTGACCTTTTATTGGTCAATTTTGTAGGACTTATTTCTCTGAGAATATTCAATTAACTACTTCCTAAGGTGGAAATTTGGAAAAGCAATATTTAAAATTGTTTAAATAGATTTAAATAGTAATTATTTTAAATGGCCTTAAGTAGAAATTACAGGCGCTTTTACTCTATCAATAAAAAAATCATAGCTAAATGTAGGGGTATCCATGCTTATGTTAAACTCAGGATCATAAATCAGTATTAAAATTTTCCTCCATATTTTCATAAACAATTATGTGGCGCATATATTTTATTACACCAACTATAAGATTTGCAAGGCATTCCGCCAATAACTGTTATATAAAAATCAACTAAACACAAATTTATCTACCAGGATGTTTATCACAGCATCATTTATAACAACTATTACACCACCACAAAATAAAGAAAACCACCTAAATGACCATAAAAAAGAGTAAACACATTACAGTGTCTGGTGTGATGCTACATTAAAAATTATGCTCTCCAAGAATATTTAATTTCACAGGTAGAGTATTCTAAAAATGTTAGGTGTAAAAAGCAAGTCACAAAACAGGAAACGATTAAATAACACTAAAAACAAAAGCAAAACATACATGAAAAAAATGTAGACTGCAAGGAAGCCAAATGGTTTTGATTATTTTTAGCTAGTGGTTGTATTTTCTCAACTTTGTACGTTGAATATATGTTACTTTTGTAATCAGAGAAATTTCTTTTGAGCACACATTTGCAATTCTTAGCATGTACTACAAATCAGATGTCCATTAGCCTTGCTATTCATTTTTCAAAGCAATTACTAACAAGCCTTGGGACAATATCATGCCAAATAAGCTGGGTTTCTTTTTCTCACCTATCATCTAGGACCTACAGAGATAGATAAATTCTGTGCTTCAAGAAAATATCAGCAAAGCCCACTCATAAGCCATAACAGCAGTTTTTCAAAAGTTATCGTTTCTTTTTAATGCCTCGTTACTTAATGACACCTGAATACAACTCCAGTAAAGAAGACAAAACTGAAGATGTAATGAAGTATAAATCACCCATGCTATTAGAGCTCTTATCAATCAAAACATTAGTTGTTAAAAGTCCCAGAAAGAGGACACAATACCAGGTACAATAATTAAAATGAAAAGAAACAAAACTGGAAACGGAGCCAAGAAACACCACTACGCTTCCTTCTTTTCAAAATGCGATTGTTAAAAAAGTCAGTCTCCTCAACTCATCCTCTGTCCTGAGTTTTAGAAAGCAAATCAAGCAGGAGCCAATGCAATTGAGGCAATTATGGAACTTGGGACAGGGCCAAGGAAGTGCTGCAGTGAGCCATGGAGGATGACCTACCTAGAAGGGCTCCATTTTTTTTTTTTTTTTTTTTTTTTTTTTTGAGACTGAGTCTCGCTCTGTCCCCCAGGCTGGAGCGCAGTGGCGCGATCTCGGCTCACGGCAAGCTCCGCCTCCCGGGTTCACGCCATTCTCCTGCCTCAGCCTCCCGAGTAGCTGGGATTACAGGCGCCCGCACCACGCCTGGCTAATTTTTTTGTATTTTTAGTAGAGACGGGGTTTCACCGTTGTTAGCCAAGACAGTCTCAATCTCCTGACCTTGCGATCCGCCCATCTCGGCCTCCCGAAGTTCTGGGATTACAGGCGTGAGCACCGCGCCCGGCCGAAGACACCATTTTTATAGGTGTTCTTGCTTAATCAAATGGAAGAGGGCTTCACTTTCTAAGTCTTCCTCACCCAGAAGGAATCTGTGAGATAAATGTAAGCTCTTCCCATTCTTCCTTCTGGCCTGAAACAAATGTGGCTGCCATATGCAATTTTGGAGGGAAAAAAAATTAAGGAAGATCAAGAATCTTCCTGAAGAATCAGTGATGATTAATGCTGCTTAAATTTTGTTGAAGATCGTATGAATGAACGTTATTTTCTTTTATTTTGGCATCATGGTGTTTTCAAAACTAAAGTGTATTTTCCCATACTGTATGTATAAAGCTCATAAAGTACAACTACCAAGAGATAAAACAAATTAATGATCATTCTGTGTCGACTTTCAAGTCTTTTGACTTTTTTCTATTATCCTTCAATGGTACTACATACAAATACAAAATTATATGTACTGATTTCATAGTCTATCTTTTGCTGATTATAAAAGCTACTCATTTATTATACAAAGTCATAGAAAATTGCTTAAATAAAATCAAAATCACCTGTAATCCCACTGTTGGGAGATAAACACTGATAAGATTTCTTTTCCGGACATGTTTTCTTTTACTTAGTATGCTGGTTCTGAAGCATGATTAACGTTGACCATTCAAAGGTCCCATGGGAAGGCCACATATAAAGGAGTCTGATGTCTCTCCAAGGATGGCTGATTAGCCTTTCCTGATGAAGAAATGCCCAGCAATTCTGGTCATTCCTTATGAGACCATGATGTAAACAATCAAGAACATTCAAGAATTTGCATCCTTCTTGTATGCAGCAGCTGGGCTCATTAAATAATGAGAATGATGAAGTCATCATTCTCATCACAGTGCATGTATAGGTCCCACACATGCATCTCCCATGACTTCAAAATTAGTAGGATTTCCACAGTGCAGGTCGGTGGGGAGAGGAGGCGCCATGGGCACCAATTCTCTAGCACACTGGATTACATACGGGGATTTACAAGATCCTTAAAGTCTACAATAAAAATGTTTTTCCATCCTCATCGCCATCTTTAAAGTTTGGTGAACTCTCATGTGACATTTCTGACTATTGTGTTGTACTGATGTGTCTCAAGAGAGTTGTTGTTTACATAAATTCAAAGAATTACCCTGGTATAAAATGTCACAGTATTCAAATACATCCTTTCCATGCTAAAGAAGATAGCTGTAGATAATTGATACAAAGGCAGCCAAGAAACCCAGAAAACAAGGCATGCTTTTCCTAAAATTGTATTAAAACAATAAAATTCAAAATTAATATGAATTGAATACCTTTCTCATTTGACCATATCTGATAAGATTTCTGGTCATTACTACTTACACATTTGGAAGGTCTTAATTACAAAATGAAACAGAATGACATTTAAGGTAAAATTCTTTCACTTGTAATTCCTTTTTTGGATTAAGCTATTAACCTGACTTTGCCCCAATAATTCAACAGTAATTTATTTTACGCAATGTTCCTTGCCTTTGCTGGTCAGAGACAAGTACAGAAAAGTGCCAATTTCAACAGTGGATCTATTACACCATGAAGAGCAGTCATTCAAATGGAAAGGGTTGAAAGCTTTGCAAAGAAAATATTCTCCTTGAGTAACAGTAATGATGTGCTTGAATCACACATGAGATAATTAATAAAATGTTCACATGATTAAGATGAATCTTACCCTCTGGTTCCAGAGGTACTACCAAAAGCAAAGGGTGAGATGAGAAAGCCAACTTATTCTCAAGGGAAATTATCCACTCCATGGGAAGAAAGTGGCAACAGCAACCTGACATACTTTCCCCATGCAGACAAGAAATGTATAGCACATATGTCCGAGGCAAAATATTACAGAAAAATAATCCAGTGCCACACTGGATCCTTCATCTGATAAAGAGGTTAGGAAGGTTGTATGCCACACATAACAAGCATTTTTCTCTCTTCAAGCTTTGTTTTGAATTTTAACACGCTTAATGTTTAAGATAATTTTATTTTGTTTGCTAGGTCAGTAAAAAAAAAAAACTCTTGTCTAAAACATATATTTGGATACAGTCAAGAGATTTTAGAGCATACTTATGTTAATGCTGAACAGTAATTCTTTGTTAAGCAGGAATAATATGTAAGAATGTTACCTACTACTACTATAAAGTAGAAAACATATCACATGGAGATTTATCCTATACTAGGTCATGGTTGTCTCCTCTGTCAACACAACGATAGCTGTGAGTTTCTTTTTTAGTGCTATTGTCTCTAATTCATAGTGAATATTTGTTTTAAAACAAATTTTTGTGTATACTGTAAAAAACACTGGACCAATAATCAAGAGAGCTTGGACTGTAGTGCTGACTCTCCCATTTATTTGCTGTGAGTTATAGCAAGAAATTCAACCTCTCTGGATCTTGGTAGTTGTATAGCCTGTGAAGAGAGACGAAGAACTAACACTGCCTGTCTATTAAGTGCAAGTAAAATGTACATCAGTTACACCTATGTCCCTATGTTACCTATGTTACACCTATTGGAAAACCTATGTTTTTCAGTTCCTTTTCCTGAAAGACAAGGCATGCTCTACATACTCTACCAGGTTATTTTATCAACTCTGTATTATACTCTGGGCTTGAGACCTTTGGAAAATTTGCCACTACCTAAGAAAAAAGCAGCACCTATATTCCTTAATTCTAATCTAAGGTTAATAACAAAGTAAGAGACAACATATGCTCTACTTGTCATATTAGGGTCTAATTTCAGGTCCAATGGAAAAGGACCAGTGATTCATAAAATGAGAAAATATGGTAAAATGATTCAACACGCCAAGTACCTACAGGAAATAGCAAATGATTATCTAGTCCCATAGTAGTCAAGAACAGTTAGTGTCAACGTGCTCATTTCACATCAGACACAACCAGAACTGAGAAATTTGCTTAACATGTCACAAGTGACCCAACTTTTTGAATTATGTACCTCCACATCAAAGGAGCCCAGAATCTGTTCGGAGGATGAAAGAGAAATCTGATAATGGTTGATGGCAAAGCCTTGGCAGGAATAAACTCCTTCCCTGAGAAAGAATTATTTTATAGGCTTCTCTCCATTTCTCCTTGCCAGTCTCCAGCCTGTGCTTCACAGCTGGGTAATTATCTGTCAGTGGAATGATATATTTTCAAGTGGTTCTCTTTCCATAATGGTTAAAAACATAAGGTGAGGACAGGTCATTAACTTTACTATCAAACAGGTATTTGGTAGATGAGATTAATTATTTAAAACCACATTACTTAGGCTGTTGTTTCCCTAAATGGTGCATAATGCAGTGTAGCACAACAAATACAAATATTTGGACAGTCTCCGTGTAATTATAATATTATTATAAAATCTTCTGACTTGATATTGAGATCTGAGAACATCTTTTATATCCTTTATTACTTGTTGTACTGTTCGTTCACTTGGAGGTTTTTTTGTTTGTTTTTGTTTTTTTAAGAGACGGGGTCTCATTATGTTGCCCAGGCTGGTCTCTAACTGCTGGGCTCAAGCAATCTTCCCACCTCGGCCTCTTACAGTGCTGGGATTATAGGCTTGAGCCACCACACCCAGTGGAAGGAGAGCTTTTCAGAGATGAGGAGGCTTGAAGAGCAGGGGCAAAGGAAGTGATCAACAGATAGGATAAAATAGACCTGGGGTTCAAAGGATATTTGCTACAACAACTGGCACTAGGTAGTAAATAACAATCTTAATGTGGATTTCATCTTTCCATCAACTTTAATACAAATCATTCTGAATAGAATATGAAGCAGAAAAATCTATGTAAAATGATAAGTTCACTTCTGAAACATGACTGCAGTTTTGAGTGTCATACCAGGAGCAATAATGCCCATCCAAAGCCCTACCTGTTCTCAGTGAGCTTACATTCTAATGAAAATATATTTGGAATACTTCATAGAACAGGTAAGTAAGAACCAAAAGAAACAAATCATTAACAAAGCCTGGCCCATCAAATTAACAGACTCATGATCTACTTCCTAACTTGTACTGAATTGTTCAATCTCTGTGTGTTATTTCTTGGTGTAATAACTAAGTGAGTATAAAATACACAGTTCCTGGGGACAGATGACTTCTATATTTTTTTGAGTAGGAGTTCTGTATCTAGAATTTAAGTGCTGCTTATTTTCATCTAATTAAACTGCACTTTTTGATGAACCAGAAAAGAGTTGAGGCCTTATAAAGCATATAGGAACAAGGAATAAGGAGGAAAAAGGAAACTCTTGAATTATCAGATGTTTAAGAAATCTAGTTTTCTACACTCTCTTCATCAATTACATTGTAAGTAAATTCACCAGGTGAAATCTTCTTTCTAATGCCCAGTGTTTTCATTTTATGTCTCAAATTATGCACATGAATGAACAGCAATCAGTATGCTCTTAGGACATTCATTTTTGACCATATATTACATAGATCTCCGGAATCTTCAGTAAATATCCTTACTTTGTAAGTTTGCTGTTGGATTTTCTTTGAAATATTCCTTTTAACCTTTATAAGAAGTCATCAGAATATACATCAATATTTGTCCACAATCTCCACAGACAATCTCTATATCCTTATTTACAACCTGCCTACTGATGAATACACTTGTGGAAAACATCTAGATGTAAGATACCAGAGCAAAGAACTTGACTTCTGCAATGACTGGTCACATAAAAACAACAACTAGGAACAGACTAATAACCAAGTTAGATTAAATATGGAGTATGACAGTTTCCAGAGGAAAAGAGCACGATACCACATAAAACTACTCAATTTTTTTAAATAAAATGTTGAGGTAAATTTGAGGTTTGTGACAAAACAAACATTAAACATTAGTAATCAGACTGTTTCCTCCAGTTTGATGTAAGCAGAAAAAAAGCCTTCCCAATTCCAATTCCTCTACTATCACCAAATAAGAGGAGTAGTTATTGTAGAACAGCCTTTTTTTTTTTTTTTTTTTTTTTTTTAGAAATTAACAAAATGCTGCAGCTTCACATTAGATTCTTTCTTCTAGAAAGTCTATGTGAAGAAACACACAAGGCCCCTGTTCATGAGAATCATCTATGCGATACGGTAAAATAAGAATTCCCGGATCCGCTACTATAGGCATTTTTCATTCAGGAGTCCTGGAACTGGCCCAGGAATTTGTAATTTCAATATACACCCTGGGTAAATTCATTCTGAGGCAGGGAACTCAAAAATACTGCTCCTATAGGGTCAGTGCACAGAATGTAACTGCAAGAGTCCAAAACACAGTACAACACAGAGTGGCAATGTGCTGAAGAACAAGTCTGTGTATGTGACCTAACAGGAGCATCCTCTTTTTCTTCCCTCAAGACCAGGCCCCCAATCAACACCAGCCCCACGGCCGGCCGGCTCACCTAAGCAGCGGTAGGGAATCACAAAGTGGGGATGGGTCTTGCACTGCTTGCGGCCCCGCTTGCACCAGTTCTGGATGGTCACTGGTTGGTTGGCTTCTACCACATTGGTGATCTGCAGTTCAGGGTAGACCTGGGAGAGCACACAAAAAGAATCAATTGTTACTTGAGGCAGGGGCTGGCATTTACAAGCATCTAACAAGCCTCCACTGTAAGGTACAGGTGGAGTGTCCCTTATCCAAAATGCTTGGGACCAGAAGTGCTTTCAAGGTCTCTGACTTTTTCCGATTTTAGAACATCTGCATTATATACTTACTGGTTGAGCATCTGGAATCCGGAAAGTCCAAAATCCAAAATACTCCAATGAGCATTTCCTTTGAGCATCATGTTGACATGCAAATAGTTTTGGGTTTTTGAGCATTTCGGACTCTGGATTTTTAAATTTGGGATACTCAACCTATACCACTATCCACTAAGAGTCAAGCCTGCTCTACCTCTGACCAAGCTAAAGAAATTCAGTACAAAGAAAAAGATAGCAAATGAACAAGCATCTAGCTATTCCATTCAAAATATTAAGCAATGCAACTTTTTAATTTATTGTACTCATTTAGACTTAAAATATTATTTTTCCAGGGGAGCTAAAATAGAAACAAGAGGGGGAAAGGAGGATTCTTACAAGCATGGGGTGATTTTTGATGTGAAATAAATTGGTGTAGGATAATAGTCTGTAATGTCCTAAACAAACGTTACAGTAGATATGGCTGGGGATATTATGTTTAGTAAAATTCAACCTCCCCCTATCTCTCACTAATCGGACAAACATTTTACAGGATATGACACATAGAAAGCTTTCTATATAAAAATCCTGCTCTTATTCCAAGTAATTTACATGAAAATAACTTATCGAAAAGTTATCAAGGGTGTCATTTAGATAAAAATAAACTCATGAATTCTCTTTGCTCCTATAACTAACTACAGCCCCTTGCTTTGATTACTGTTGTGAATACATCATGGTGTTTAACTGAGCACTTAGAATGAAATGTGAAACTTGATCAATTAAATCACATTTGTGAAATATCAAACCACTTCTATTTATTAATGAGTAGAGATTTGAAAGAAAAACATAAACATAAAAATCTATTTCGAAAATGTGCATTCCCTTGCATAAACCTTGCATTGCAACAGGGTGGTTGTTTTGCCAGATAAATAACAACGAATAGAGAAGTGACGGTATAAGCAAGGGAATGATTAGAATGCTGGGCCATGCAATCTCAAGTGGCAAAAGTGAGAACATGAGGGGAATTAGACACAGGTAAAAGGTGGTAGGGACCAGTGGAATCTGAGTCCACTGATCACACTCCAGGGGCTAAAGAATGTATGGCGCACAGGACTGGAGAAAGTGAGGTGGTAATAAGTAGTACTTGGAGAGTCAAATAATTGAAATTAAAATTTTGGAGGAGTTGCAGTGATTGGTCATTGCAAGGAGTATAATATGACCATTGTAAGCAATGGGTGATGGAGAATGATGAAAACAAGGTCACTGGAGGGATGAGAATCATGAACTGACAAATTGGAATACTGGAAGGATCATTGAGATCAATATTAGGATCACTTAAGAATCAGCAAATGAGCAGCTACACCTGATGACAGCAAGGCAGGAGCTAAAATCTTCAAAGTCTGAATGGTGAACATCGATGAGGTAGAAAGAGGTCTGGAGATGACCAACAGGTGGAGGAGCAAAGTGATTTGTCTGAAAGCATGCACTTCAAGCTGAGGTAGGGGGGCTTTTAGGGAAGAGAAAGGAAGAGTGGTTTGGAAACAAAAATGAAGAGGAAAAGAGGAAATGAAGAGGAAAAGAGGACATTCCCACCTCTAGGGGCAACGCTGTGAGGATTTTGAGAAAAGAACTTCGACCTGAGAAGGCTACAGGAGAAGTAGTGCCTTCCTTGGAGGGAGAACAAGGTTTCTGAGCAAGATAACATCCATGGGGAGTTAGACGATACACGGAATTTCACTCACAATTGTCCATGACATTCAGAGGGCTTGACAAATCTAAATTAATAATCCCTTATCTTTGAATAAAAGTAACTGAATCAGGCTGAATTTACTGCTTCCATTTTAATAAGGCAGTAGGAGAACTATGCATGGCTTGATGTCAATTGAGCGTGACTCAATCTCTGTCTAAAAAGTTGATATTTTGTTCATCATGGAGTTTTTTTGCAGTAATTTTGATTTTTAAAAATATTACATTAAAAATTCTTAATCTCAATTCCTGACTGCCTTGTTTACCTCACCTTAGTCCCAGACCCCAAAAAAATCAGTTAAAAAATAAGGTACTGTGAATGAATAAATAACACTGTGGGGTACACACCTAGAAAATGGAATGTCATTCAACACTAAAAGGAAATGGGCTATGAACCCATGAAAAGACATGGAGGAACTTAACTAATATTGCTAAGTGAAAGAAGCCCATCTGAATAGGCTCCATACTATATGACATTCTTCCCACTATATGACATTCTGGAAAAGGCAGAACTATGGAGACTAAAAAGATCAGTGGTTGCCACGGGTTTGGGTGGTTGGGGGCAGGGGGAGGATGAACAGATAGAGCACAGAAGATTTTTAGGGCAGTGAAACTACTCTGTATGGTACTACAATGATGGACATATGTCATTATACATTTGTCCAAACCCAAAAAATGTATACCGCCAAGAGTGAACCCTCAGGGAAACTATGGACTTTGGGTGCTAATGATGTATCAATGTTGGTTCATCGATTGTAACAAATGTACCATTCTGTGGGGGATGTTTATAATAGGAGAGGCTAAGCATGTGTGCAGGTAGCAAGTATATGGGAAACCTCTGTACCTTCCTCTCAACTTTTCTGTGAATCTAAAACTGCTCTAAAAAACCGTCTATTTTAAAAACAAAAATTTAAAAATAAGGTATCAATCAGTGTAGCAGCAGGGGATAAACTCAGTGGTAGAGGTATATGCTAAGAGAACACACAAAGAAATCTCTAAATCAGAATCCTGGGGTGGGTGCTGAGAGAGTTATTCTTGAAACCACTGCCACAGTAACCTAGCTCCAAAGGGATCCTGCTATTAATACTTCTCTTTATTTTACTTTGTTCTTAAGTATCTTAATATCTCAATGCAGGCACTTTAGATCACAGAAAATGCTCTAAAAATGCCACTAAAAATTTAATATTCCCATGGCTTTTTTCCTATATAATGAAAGGTGAAGTGGCTTTTTGTACAGGAATATAATTCTCCCACCGTCTTTACTTGTTTATTAGATCACAAAGCTGCAGCACTCATGAGTCATAAACTGTATGACACCTGAGAGTCCACCCTGAGGGACATGACTTTATGTGCAGTAAAGTGTGAGTTACTGCATCTTTCTAAAGGGTTCTTTTCACTGAAAGACAACCCTGCTGAGAATTTCCTCAGGAGTCATCGGTTTTCTATAAACCCAGTGGCAGGCATATTCACATCATGGTTCCCTCTATACAACTTAAAACCAACGAATTGTTTGTAGGGTACAAACTGATTACCAGGAGAAAAGGATCTCTTTTTCATGTTGGTTGCATACCATCTTCAGATTCCTATGGTAATAGTTGGTGCAACAGGGCAGTAACTGATTAGGTTGACTATTTCCAAGTAGGTAGAATTGCAAATTGACAAATTAAAATCCATGAAGACGGGGCTTTTCCCTAAAGACTAGTACTAGAACTTTATACAGTGATCAGCCAAACACAGAATTTACTTCCAGTTCCCACCAGGAAATCTAGAACATGCGTGTTATTTTCTGTGCTTCAGCTTCTCTCTCTATAACACCAACAATGACAATTGTTAATATGCAGATGGATGTGGAGATTACAAAATTTGAACCAGGCCGGAGACAGTGGCACACACCTGTAATCCCAGCACTTTGGGAGGCCGAGGCGGGCGGCTCACGAGGTCAAGAGATCAAGACCATCCTGGCCAACATGGTGAAACCCTGTCTCTACTAAAAATACAAAAATTAGCTGGGCGTCATGGCACACGCCTGTTAAGTCCCAGCTACTCCGGAGGCTGAGGCAGGAGAATCGCAGGAACCCAGGAAGCGGATGTTGCAGTGAGCTGAGATCACACCACTGCACTCCAGCCTGGTGACAGAGCGAGACTCGGTCTCAAAAAAAAAAAAAAAAAAATTTGAACCACATAAAGCCCATGCATAGTTTTTTCCTACTGTCCTATTAAAATGGAAGCAGTAAATTCAACCTGATTCAGTTACTTTTATTCAGAGATAAGGGATTATTAATTTAGATTTTCCAAACATAATGCAATTTTGCTGTTCCAACATCAGGAGGTTTATTTAAGGGGGAGAACATTAGCAATCAAGGTAACAAAACTTCTTCTGAAGCAGAGCAAGACCCTTTTGATAAAGCAACTGCCACATGCACAGCCAACTCCCAGCTCAGAAAGCAAACAACGAAACAAAACAAAAAAAGAAACAAACACGTTAAAATTTAAAATTCCAACAAAAATTCCCAATATCATCCCTAGGTTTTTATTAAATAACCCCAGTAAACATCCAGAGAGGAAAAAAAGCCTTTTTATGTTTACATAGATATAAAAATATTTATATTTATATAAAATATAAATATATAGCTCATTTATAAAGATATAAATATAGTTCATTTATATTTAAAGATATAAATATAAATATAGTTCAACATTTTAGACAAGAATAAAAATTTCATCAGAAATACAAATGTTCTCGTGGCTAGATTAAGTTCCTGATTTTTATCATAACTATAGTAGTCCTCCCTTATCTGTGGTTTTGCTTTCCATAGTTTCAGTCCAAAAATATTAAATAGAAAGCTCTATAAATAAATGAGTTTTATTTTTCTATTTATTTAATTAATTTATTTTTTTTTTGAGATGGACTCTCACTCTGTCGCCCAGGTTGCAGTGCAGTGGTGCAATCTCAGCTCACTGTAACCTCCATCTCCCAGGTTCAAGCGATTCTCCTGCCTCAGCCTCCTGAGTAGCTGGGACTACAGGCACCCACTACCACACCCGGCTAATTTTTGTATTTTCAGTAAAGACAGGGTTTCACCATGTTGGCCAGGATGCTCTCAATCTCCTGACCTTGTGATCCACCCGCCTTGGCCTCCCAAAGTGTTGGGATTACAGGCGTGAGCCACCGTGCCCGGCCTATATTTAATTTTAAGAAAGAGATAGGGTCATCCTATGTTGCCCAGGCTGGTCTCAAACTCCTGGCCTCAAGAGATCCTCCTGTCCTGGCCTCCCAAAGTACCAGGATTACAGGCATGAGCCACCATGCCCAGCCAACAATAAGTTTTAAATTGCGCACCATTCTGAGCAGTGTGATGAAATCTCAAACCCACACAGTCCAGAAAGTGAATCATCCCTTTGTCCAGCGTCTCCATGCTGTACATGCTACCTGCCATTGATCACTTCATCACAGCGCTTGTGTTCAAGTAACTCTTATTTGACTTAATAACGGCCCCAAAGTGCAAGAGTAGTGATGGTGGCGTAGTGTCATAATTGCTCTATTCTATTATTAGTTGTTGTGAATTACTTACTGTGCCTAATTTGTAAATTCAACTTTATCACAGGTATGTACCTATAGGAAAAAAACATAGTATATATTGGGTTTGGTACTATCTAAGGTTTCGGGCATTCACTGGGGGTCTTGGAAGTTATCCTCTGCAGATATAGGAGGACTACTGTAAGTATCGGTTCAATGTTTTAATATTTTCTTTGCAGCATCTCAAATCTTACATAGGAAATAAAGATAAAAGTTCCTTAAGCTGCTTAATTTGCATGTGTTTTCCAAAACATACATGTATTGCTAATATGACAAGCATTGCAAATAATTTGCTAATACAGCAAACATTAGCAAATCCTAACTCTCATACTCCCCTTCTTTTCTAAAATGTTTTTTATGTGAAACCCAATTCCAACTATTTCCTTGATTTTCCTTTTTAAAAAAGGACTCGAGATACTTATACTTAAAGCAGAAGCAAACCCAAGCCTCTGTCAGCTAGTAGAAAAATAAGCTGTCCTCAAGTCCTACAAATTTTCCTAAATTATAGCCACACAGAGCATTTGCTGTATAAATACGTACACTGTGTTCCAAACACACTCTTACCTAAGATCCCTTAGACTACACTTCAAATGCCTACGCCCATTAGGGTCCCCCCACATGGACAAACCTCCTCTGCACACAGTGAAATAATGCTAACCCCTCTTACAGAATGTTTTCTGGTATTTATCAGTGTGCCTCACATCGCTATTAAGTTTGTATCTGTACTGCCTGCCTGGTGAAAAGAAGCTTTCCTCAAGGGCAGAAAACATAACGTGGCATGTTATAGCCTCCCCGTGGAGCCCCACATCCATCATCTTTGGCTTTCAGACTATCAGGAGGCTGCTGACCCCCAACTCCTTTTATGTGGTGCTCCCACCCTCAGCTCTCTGAAGGAGGACTCATTAGTGACTGTATTTCAAACTCTGCAGCACCATCCCCTATAGCTTATTAGAGCCCAAGAAAACCAAACTGTACGTAGCATTCTTTCCCTCAAGGGCTTTCACGAACACACAAAGGCTGTCGTTAGATAAGGAAGAAACTTGACTGGAGGTGAGCATAAGTCTGAGCCACAGGTGGCATGTCAACACCCATGGGTGCATGGTGGCTTGCGCCTATAGTCCCAGCTACTCGGGAGGCTGAGGTGGGAGGACAGCTTAAGCGAGGAGGTCGAGGCTGCAGTGAACTGGGATCACGTCACTGCACTCCAGTCTGGGCAACAGAGTGAGACCCCGCCTCAAAAAAACAAAAAACAAAAACAGAACGTAACAAAAAAACAAAGAAAAGCCCCCAAAAAACCATGGGTGGACTCAAACTAGGCATCTGGAAGAAGCAGTTAGTCCAGGAAAGGAAAACAGGGAATACTCAGAGAGACAAGGGAAGATGAGAAACAGACAAGACTGGATCTGGCAGAGACCGGATCTGACAGGGCCTGCCTGTGCCCTCTAACTCTTTTAAGTCTTGGGATGTGCATTTGGATTCTAGGAGATGCCTTGTCCCCTTCAATAAGCCCTATTTCTAAACATAAGCTCCTTTAGTAGCTTTATGCTCCTTCCAATTGAACAAAAGCCAAGAAAAAGGCCCGGCTTGCATGCTAGTTCACTAATTCCCACCACATGATGCCCTCAATCTCTGTGCGCAGACCATTCTGTCCTACCACTGCATCCTCCACTTGCCTTGATCACTTTATCTGATCCCTGACCACTTGCTACCTCCTATTCTGCTGATGGGCTGTCTGTCCTATTAGAATATATAATCCTTGAAGGCAGGGACAATATGATTCATCTGGTGTTCCCTCAACAGTGGCAAACCCTGGGATAGCACAGTAAGTGTCTGATAAGCATGTAATTAATATTTCTGGTTAAGGTCAGAATCCATTCAATCAGGGACTTTCAGTATACATTAAGTTCCCTTTGGGTATTATAAACCTATCTCTTAAATAAGATATTCTAAATAGTTGTTGGATTATGGGCTTTTGAGGGAAAGTAAGTATCTCAATGCCTTTCAATATTGTTCTTCCAAGTAGATATGGACAGCTTATACAAATCATAGCATCTGCTATAAGCAGTAGATTACTGTAAATAAGCACTCAGCTGAGGAAGGCATTTAGGAAGAGTGACAAGTTAAGCTCTCACTTGGGCTAATGGGGCCCATTCAGTTAGTACAGGAGTCTGAAAAGCAGCCTACCTACCTGGTCATACAGCCATGTTTTATCATTGAAAGTGAATGTATCAGTACATGAAATAATTTTAAGAGTGCATAGGCCGGGCGCGGTGGCTCAGGCCTGTAATCCCAGCACTTTGGGAGGCCAAGACGGGTGGATCACAAGGTCAGTAGATCGAGACCATCCTGGCTAACATGGTGAAACCCCGTCTCTACTAAAAAATACAAAAATTAGCCGGGCATGGTGGCAGGCGCCTGTAGTCTCAGCTACTTGGGAGGCTGAGGCAGGAGAATGGCGTGAACCTGGGAGGCGGAGCTTGCAGTGAGCCGAGATCGCGCCACTGCACTCCAGCCTGCGAGGCAGAGCCAGACTCTGTCTCAGAAAAAAAAAAAAAAAAAAAAAAAGAGTGCATAAGAAATTCCAAATCCTAACAACCAGGAAAGAGGGGGAATAGAAACAATCTTAGATCATATTATATTAATATTTTTATATATAATAATTATTATTAATATTAAAAGCTTATCATCGGTAGCCTAAGTAGTTTTGTCTACTGAAGAAATACCTTAAAACCTGGTCACCATCAGAATGTTTTGTTCCACATTTTAAAAATCTGAAGTCTCTCTTCTCACTATCTCTCCAAGTTGGAAATATATTGATCTCAGACAAGATGACATTTAAGTTGCTAAATACGTAAAGCAAGAAAAGACATTGATGATATTTAAGAAAGCCAAGAAGAGAAATGTATATATTAAAAAAAAACTTTGTAAAGCCATATGTTGTCAGAGTCCTACAGAAACTTTGTCTCTATTCCCAACATTAAGGGCAAATGGAGAACCGAAAAGTCCCTTTTGTAAACAGGCCACCTAAGACAGGTGATTAATGCCAAAAGTCCTAAAATGACCAAAGGTATTTCAAAAACACAAAATCAAACATGGCTAACAAAAGGCTGAAAACAAAGTTAATGAACAGAGTAAATGGAATTGGAAATTGCTACTAATTCTGAAAACAGTTTGCCTACTTTTCTACTTAGTCATTCAATTTTTAAAATTCACCTTTAGCCAAATTCTTATTTCTTTTTGAAAACGCTAAAAATTATGTGGTACTAATAAAATGTTTTAAATATATTAACAAAACGTCAATGAGTAACATGTGATGCTTTAGCACATCTTAATTTACAGGTCACTGAAAGAGATGAGCTGAAACCCGCATGTGTTTTGCCAGGATTGCTGGAGAACCTGAATAGTTAAGGGAAAAAACCTGCATTCCAGACTGACTCAGGAACAAGACTGACTAGATTTGATCATTACTGCAATTCAGTGACAGATAGATGGGAGGGTTCATTTTACTATTCTTTCTACTTGTACATATGCTTGTAATTTTGCATTTAAAGCACTGAAAATTTAAATAAATACATTTAGTCCAGAGGAAACAGCCAGGTTTCTAAATTTATAACTGCATGTGAAAAAGGAAAAAAAAAAAAACCCAGATCCAAATTGTGTCTGCATGACTGCAGCTAGCATATATGAATATATACATGAAACAGAGAATCAAATGCTCTATACCAAATTGTTTCAGAGATAGCCTATCTTGTATATTTTCATCGTCTCAAAGCTTTTCCATACCAGTCCCTTTTTCAAAGAACATATCCAAGAAGAAAGTAAGAAAAATGTCATAACTGAGGGTTTCCTAAGTACCAGACATCACTGCAAATGTTTTATGTGTAGCACATCATAATCCTGAGTTAGTAATTACTCCAATTTATTTAAGATGAAACTAGAACAACTAAAATCGATGCCATTTCTAAGCATTCAAAGAGTATATTAATCATAAATTTTAAACTACTCGGACTTAGGCATATAAACCAAGACAAAGCATGTCCTAGACAATATATACTTCTGTTTCTGGATTTCAATGACATTCTTTAAATTTTCCTGGAATACAAAGAAATATCACATCTTAAACTATTCTCAACAAAAATTCTTTTAATAATGAGGAATACTGAAAATACAATCTCTAACTTAATTGAGAAAGAGAACTGGAAAACGAAAACGTTCTCTGCTTGCAACTTAATGAGGCGCTGAGAGGCAGCGTGCAGCTGATGAAACGCTACTGCAATAATGGGAGGTATCAGCATGCTATGTTTCCAAATGATGGCCTTATGTAAAAGCAAAGGCGGTAAAATGCTGCAGGGCGTTAGAATATTTCCCAATAATCTGGCCAAACTCTGCTTCTGACATTCTATATAAATATATTGTTATATCCACACTTTCATACTCAGAGTTGGAAAATCCTGTCAAAGAACCTTGTTTGATAGATAAGCTATTCTAATTTCAAAGTGTTGAATGAAAAACAAATTGTGGGTGGGAGGGAAGAGATGGGAGAGAAATAAAAATAAATAGGACAGGACACAATTGTGAAAACACAAGCAGATGTGTACACATAGCCTAGATTTTCCTATTCTCTCTTTCAATGTAGGGCTAATTTTCTTATTTTAAAATATCCAAACTGGCTTCAACTTTTTAACCCTAGAAGAAATCTACGGTCAGTAAAGCAATCCTTACATTTATACAGACCAGAAATGCATAAAATATATCCACATATAGACAGCCTGATCCCTCCATTCAAAAACTGTCTCACTCAATATGAATTTGAGATCTTTCAAATTCCAAAACCACAATGTATACGTGCCTATGATTTGCCAATTTTCAGCCTACAAGGGTGAAGGGTGCCCATAGCAAAGTAATAATGGTCAAGAATGTACCAGACCTTCTACCATAGGATAATGTATATAGTATACCTTCCAACTCGGTAAGATTAAAAAGACTACCTCTGTTGTTTGCTTTTTATTTAATTTTAATTTCATACAACTGTAGAATGGAAAAAGAAAGGTTGAGAAACAATTCGTGTCTGGGAATCCCATGTTCAGTTATGTATTTTAGAGGAGAAAGTTGGGCAAAGGAAATGGTTTTGCTCAACTCATCTAACAGGCAGTTTCTGCTTTGTGCAGGCACTGCTGTGCTTTGTTTGCTGATCCTGTTAATCTATAGATTAAGCAACTGTTCATTTAAAGCCAGAAGGTTAAAAAGGCAGAGAACAGATAATGTTAAATGGTGGGAAAGAAAACAGGAAAAAGAGAAAATACCCATAAACCAATAAAAGAGATGATAAAGCCACGTTCACCTAACTTTCCCAATTGGAAATCTCTGCCTGCATTTGAGGCTTAACCTGTTCAAAGTTCCCTCCAGAGACCTGCCCTGCAGTGTAAGTTACCAGAGACATCAACACCTTCAAGAAGCCCCTAGACCCTAGCCCCTAGCTCCAAGAAGTGCACTGCATGTTATTAAAAGAATAGAGAGGCTGGAAGAGCCTGTTTCAAGTTATCTCTTTTTTTTTCCTTTTTTTTTTTTTTTTTTTTTTTGGGATGGAGTCTCACTCTGTCGCCAGGCTGGAGTGCAGTGGCGTGATCTCGGCCCACTGCAACCTCGGCCTCCGAGTTCAAGCAATTCTCCTGCCTCAGTCTCCCGAGTAGCTGGGACTACAGGCGTGCGCCACCATGCCCATCTAATTTTTGTATTTTTAGTAGAGACGGGGTTTCACCATGTTGGCTAGGATGGTCTTGATCTCTTGATCTCGTCACCAGCCCGACTCGGCCTCCCAATGTGCTGGGATTACAGGTGTGAGCCATGGCACCCGGCCCAAGTTCTCTCTTTAAAAGAGGAAGAATAGTATGGGGACTCATCCAATTTCTTGTTTAACTGACAATATGTAACTCTTACAACACTTGCCTGTGTGTTTCTATCATAAAGTGAGGATATGGTTTAAGACTGTGAGGATACAGTCTAAGACTGAACAGGCAGCCTTCCTGGACTGCTCGGGTGACAAAGAGCAATGATGCCCTTAATACAGCACCTCAGGATATCATGAATGAGGGGATGGACAGGATGATCTCCCACAATGCTTTTCACACTATTATTTTGTAATTTGAATTCCTTCTCTCCCCAATCTAATCTACTCTTGGAAACAAGCTAATTTTTCTAAAAGTGTCTTGACCAGAAAGCATTCATGCTAAAAATCTGCCATAGCTTCCACCTATCTCCAGAATAAGACCCTCCAATTTGCAACCTCATTCTACCTTTGCAATTTTCTAAATTTTCTTCACAATTTAATTGTATTAATAGATTTATAAGGTCCTTATGGGCCAAGAATGGTATCCCGCCACTCAGCAACACCTGACACAAAAACCTAACAGTGCCCAATAAATATAGACTAAATTTGCCTGTATTAAATTTGGGAAGAAATAGATTCTTGAGATGTAGAATTGAAGTACACTTCCTTTATTCTTCTGGAATCCCAAAGCCTTTGGTTTAAGTAAAACTATGTGGTTTTTTTTTTTTTTTTTTTTTTGGAGCCGGAGTCTCGCTCTTGTCGCCCAGGCTGGAGTGCAGCGGCGCGATCTCGGCTCACCGCAAGCTCCACCTCCCGGGTTCACGCCATTCTCCTGCCTCAGCCTCCCAAGTAGCTGGGACTACAGGTGCCCACCACCACGCCCGGCAAATATTTTTGTATTTTTAGTAGAGACAGGGTTTCACCGTGTTAGCCGGGATGGTCTC
The DNA here is from genome assembly GCF_000001405.40 of Homo sapiens. NCBI lineage: Eukaryota > Metazoa > Chordata > Mammalia > Primates > Hominidae > Homo > Homo sapiens. Next base: position 26,102,311 of record NC_000021.9, read on the forward strand.
GATCTCCTGACCTCGTGATCTGCCCGCCTCGGCCTCCCAAAGTGCTGGGATTACAGGCGTGAGCCACTGCGCCCGGCCAAAACTATGGTTTTTAAAAAATTTCATTTCATCCCAAAGAAACAGGACAATAAAATCTAACAATTCTAACTTTTAGCCCCTGGTTTTAGAATATGTTTCAAGGGGAATATTATTTTTGTTTTGTTCTATTTATATTTATAAATTCCTCAGGCCAAAATTTTGGTACTATAATAGTTTATTAAAGCAAGTGGCCACTTTATGCTGTTAAATGATGAATAACTGCCAGGCACAGTGGTTCGCACCTGTAATCCCAGCACTTTGGGAGGCCAAGACAGGTGGATCACTTGAGGTCAGGAGTTCGAGACCAGCCTGGCCAACATGGTGAAACCCCATCTCTAGTAAAAATACAAAAATTATCTGAGAATGGTGTGGGCACCTGTAATCTCAGCTACTTGGGAGGCTGAGGCACGAGAATCACTTGAGCCCAGGATGCAAAGAATGCAGTGAGCCAAGACTGCACCACTGCACTCCAGCCTGGTTGATGGAGTGGGACTCTGTCTCAAAAAAAAAAAAAAAAAAAAAAAAAAGATGAATAATTGACGTAGTTGTATTCGAGTTGTTTCCATAATGCTATGAGAGATACTTTTTGCTTCTAGTATAAATAACAGAGGAAAAGCACTGTTTTCTATCAAAGAATGTCAAAAGAAAATAACAACTCAACAGTCTACTGTGGTCATCTATGATTCACACAAACTACCCTAAACACTAAACAAAAAGAACAATATAAGGATTTTGCATGCTTAATGTGTTTGGAAGCATACTTTGTAATATTACAACCAAATATTTTAAGTCATACTATGGATTTATGACTTTACTATTGAATTATCATGGCCTTTGCATTTGAAGCGGATAAAAACAAACTGAAGGCAAATCTGGACTACACGCCAACATTCCACCAACTCTTGCCTAAACATGTCTTTAGAATTCTGTCGATGGAAGGCTGGGTGCAGTGGCTCATGCCTGTAATCCCAGCACTTTGGGAGGCCGAGGCAGGTAAATCACTAGAGTTCAAGACCAGCCTAGCCAACATGGTGAAACCCCATCTCTACCAAAATACAAAAATTAGCCACATGTGGTGGCGTGCACCTTGTAATCCCAGCTACTCAGGAGGCTGAGGCATGAGAATCACTTGAACCCAGGAGGCAGAGGTTGCAGTGGGTTGACATCATGCCACTGCACTCCAGCCTGGGCGATGGAGTGAGATCCCGTCAAAAAAAAGAAAAAGAAAAAAAAGAATTCTATCAATGGATAGAAATGGTCTCTGCAAAAGGAAAGTATAGGCTCCATTTTATGGGAAGCTCTCTCAGCATAAGCTGGATACAGAACTCCTGCCCATTACCGCTCCAATCTCTGTGCCAGAAACTACCATCCACAAGCATTTACCTAACGACGACTAGCGTGCTCTAGGTCAGAGCTAAGTGTTGGATAAAATCCACTGTAAGGCATGATCCCTAGAAATGTTAATTCTCACAACACTTTGGGTCTGTAGGGCTTTTGCCTACAGAAGCCACAGTAGGTCTTTGTCTTAGCTCAAAATGCTGCCTTACTGTGAATGGCTTAAACAACAAAAATGTCTTTTGTCACAGCTCTGGAAGCTGGAAGTCCAAAACCAAGGTGCCAGCATGACCGAGTTCTGGTGAGGCCGCTCTTCCTTGCTTGCAGACAGCCACCTCCTTGCTGTGTCCTTATGTGACTTCTTCGTTTGAGCAGGGAGAAAAAGGCAAGCTCTTTGGTATCTTTTCTTATAAGGGCACTAGTTCCATCACGGGGGCACATACTCATGACCTCATCTAACAGTTATCACCTCCCAAAGGTATCATCTCCGAATACCATCTCCGAATAGCCTGGGGTTAGGGTTTCAATATCTAAATTTTGGGGGAACACAAACATTCATCCCATAACAGTCCTCAATACATACTTGAAAAAAAAGGGGGGAAAAATCTCAAATGGTGCTAACACAAAATATTTTTTAAATGCATTGAAAGGCAGGTATTTGACCAATGACTAGGCAGAAGCAAAACTATTACGATTGGGAAAGAGGAAAGAATACATAAGCACAAAGAATTTGGAAGACTTGGGATTAAACAAAGACTCAATTTAAACCATAAGATCCAAGTTATCTTCTCAATCAAACTTTACAAGGGTTTATAACCAAGAGCAAAAATAAAAGACTGTGTTTTTACTTTTTCTCTTGAACCTTGCCCTTGACCAAAACCTGGATCAAAGAATCAAGGGCAAAAAAAACACTATGAATGATAACAACAAAACAACCCAGTAACACAAAATACAAATTCAGAGAAGCATGAGACTATGAAAGGAGCAGAGTAGATAATTCACAGTCAAAGTTATGTATTTATCATCATGTTAAGCTATGCACCAACATGTATACTGCAAAGCAATCCTTTGGAAAAACAAATTAAACAATGAGTTAAACTTGTGAGCAAAAAGTCAAAACGACGTGACGGTGATGAGTTCTGTTGGTTTTGTTCTATCCTAGGACCAGACTGTTAACAGCCACCTCAGACTTAGCCAGCTAGTTATCTCTAAAATATTTTGGTCATGAGAGACACAAAGTGAGAACGCAAAGTAAAAAATTCATCCACCACTATTGGGAGAAAAAAAAAATCATTAAATGAGTAGCTCTGTCAATGGTAACTAATGGTTTCCACGCATTTTTTTCAAAAAAAAAAAAAAAAAAAAAGAAGAAGAATTTGCCCAATGACAGATACCAGAATACCGTGAATTTTCATGGTGCTGAATCAAACACCCATCAACCAGGAATTCTATACCTAATGAAGCAATTGTTCAATAATAAGAAAAACATTGTTCAACAATAAGAATGATTAAGATGAAAGTCATCCAACAAAACGGAATCAAAATATTAATGTAATACAGGGTTTGAGATGATCTGATGAAAAGACTAGCTGTAAACAATGAGTCCAGTTAAAGACAGACCCTATGAATGAGAAGTATGGCAACAGAGGAGATGGTAAGATTATAACTTTGAAAATATAAAAATAATACAACTTATAAAACCTGTGAGAAGGAAACGTGGTAACATTGTGAGAGTATTCTTTTCCTTGCCGTTCCTAGCAATGAATCCATCAATACGGTTTAAAAAATAAAAACATGAAGTTAAAAAAAAAAGGCAAAACGAACACTTTCCAACACACGCATGAAAATCCAAGCCTACAAATGAGAACTATTCATTATTTCTAATTATAAAAGAAAAACACCAGAATAGCTACAATGTGGAAAGTGGCAGGAAGATCCTGAAATATCTATAAAGAATGTTCTAGAGAATTCAAGATGCACAATTTGAAAGAAAATGTCAACACTGTCTAAAACTTCTGAGTGAACTTGTCTCCCCTGCCACCTGCTCAATACTCCCCAAAAAGCCACTTAAAATCCTAATGCATGATGCACTCCCTCACCTCGCCCTGTCCAGCCTACAAGCCTTTTCTAATCCATACCCACTGTGTTGCAGCACTGGGGTCATTCTTCTATTTTGCCCATGCCATTCCTCATCCCTCTTCTGGCAACAGCTCCTCTCCCCACATCACACGGCCACACCCACAAGGCCAAGATGGGCTAGTCCTGATACTGAGTCCCTGCAGATACGGTGGTGGCTCCAAGGGCAGACGTGTAACTCAAAGCAGTGCCAACCAGAAGCACTCCCTGATAATGCCCATGGGCAGAACAAAGTTGGGATGCCAAACCAGGACTAACACTACCAGAGGTCGTGGCTACCAACATCCCTGGTCTCCTTGAGGACACCCATCTTAGCAGGAGAAAAGGAGTAAACACACAGCAGGAAGGTAAGCAGAAACAAAAGAGACCCTAATGGGGAAATTCTAGGCAGTACTGACCCTCGGTTCCAGCACCTAGGGATCTCATTTCTGTGTACATTTTTAAGAAATTGGGTAAGCATCCCCCACACTACGATCCTTCCCATCAGTGGGAGAAAATATTCTCCATATATAAAATACAAATTGTTTAGGGGGTTTTTATCACCTGGCAAAAGAAACTGCCTAATTAACCCACCCTATCTCCCCATTCTTCCTCAGAAAAGGAGATGTTCCCTCCCCTTTCCAAGACCCAGGCAATCACATATCCACTGGATCTCCTTTCTGCCTAGTTCTTACAGAACTGAATACCATAGTCATAGCTTACTGTAACCTTGTACTCTTGGGCCCAAGCGATCCTCTCACTCAAAGCGCTGCGACTACAGGTCTGAGCCACGGAGCTCGGCCAAAACCTAGTTCTTAAGAGATACCTGCAACTAGTGCTTAGGATGGGTATCAGTCCTTCCCACAGTTTAGTTTAAGCTTCCTTAGGCCCAAATTCCTTCCATTTAAAAATCAAAATCACAAAGCCTTTCCTTTTGTCTTCAATGACCTCAAAGCTTTTTGCCTCTAGGTCTTTCCTCCAGGAGTCCACAGCTGACTCACCATTGACCCACGTTGTTTTTCCTGCAATGGACTACAACGTAACTTCTCCCCATGCTATTCCACAGGGTCAACAATGACCTTCTATTTGCCAGATCCTAACAATGTTTTGTCACACACACATACAAATGTCCAAAAACAAGATATGAGCAAAAGAGATTGCTGGGTGTCCTAGCATTGAAATGCAGGTGTTGTCTTGCAGACCCTGAGGGTGGCGGGGAAAGGATTATCTGATTCTACAGCATGTTCCTCCAGTTGACTTGCTACTAAATAAGCTATTTTACGACTTACACCCTTAAAATTCTTACACCCTTATTACTTACATCCTTACAAGCTATTCCACACCCTTAGAGCTTTGTAAAGATGGATACTGCAGACACCCCATAGCAATGCAAGTGTTCCTGTACCATGGAAATAATTTGACGATATTCCAGATAATTCCAGATGATTCCTGTTCATAGCCATGCAACTCAAGTGTGCTGGGGAAGGAATTTTAAATCTCTCCAAGTCAAAATGAACCATTTTTCACATCTTACAGTTCATCTCATTAATGAATTGAATAAAATATTTGACATGTGTTCAGTCTGCATGACAGACATGATTTTACCATGTCAAAAACTACACTTCAACTGCTTTCCGTTTGCATCATGCTTGCACTCTTATCTTTCCCCTCATTTAGAAATTTACATGGCTTGCCTTCCAGCATGTAACGCCTCCTACTTCCTATCCTATCTCTCTGGCCACTGCTCATCTCCCTCATGGGGAATCGTCTCTCTTTGTTTGCCTTCAATGCTGCAATTCCCCAAGGTGCTTTCCTTCGGTTCTTCTCCACAGGTGTCACTGAGTGGGTAAAATGAGTGCAAGTACTTAGCATAGTAGCTGACCCTTTGTGACCCTTTGTGAATGCTCAATGCTGATGGTATTAGTGTCACTGTCACCATGTAGTTTTTAGATTGCTAAAATTATGATTTTACAAGCTTTTCTCCCCCTTTGAAGAACAGGCCCTGTGTTCTGTTCATCAATGCACCCTTAGTATCCAAAGACATTATGTCTGAGGAGGAAGAGAGCACCACAGGGTTCTAGAAAGGCATATAATCATCTTACATCCAAATGTATTTAATGAAAGATGTATTTAAAAGGACCCCAAACAAGCCTTGTTCCCTGACTTGCAACATGCAGTGAAGTTCTGGTTGAAGGTATGGAGGGACTCATTTCTACCTCCCTCTCCCACTTGCCAGATCATGGGATCTAAGACCCTTACAGCTCAGAGTCACTGGTGGCTCGGGATAGCACAGAGAACAGCACTGTTCCACGGAAACAGAATGCAACTGCCTATGGAACCTCAATTTCCTCACTGCCACGTGAAACGTCAAAAGAAACAAGTGAAATCAATTTTAATCACATAGTTACAACTCAGTAACATTTATGATGTATTTAACAACATATTCAAAACATAACTATTTCAATGTTAAACCTATATAAAAATGAATGTGATCATTTTACAGGTTTTCTCACATTATATCTTTGAGATACGGTATCTATCTTACACTTATAGCACACATCAGTTTCCACTAGCCACATTTCAAGTGCCAAACAACCACATAGGGCCAGTGGCTACAGTACTGGACAGCACACGGCTAGAGGCTGCAGCATGGCAGTCTCTGGGAGAACGAAGATATATGGTAGGGGACATAGTGATAAAGCAAGAAGGTGATTTGTTTAAATGCAAATCTACAATCACTCCTCTTCTCTGAAAAAATAAAGTCTAGGCCGGGTGCGGGTGGCTCACGCCTGTAATCCCAGCACTCTGGGAGGCCGAAGAGGGTGGATCGCAAGGTCAGGAGTTCGAGACCAGCCTGGCCAACATGGTGAAACCCTGTCTCTACTAAAAATAAAAAAAATCCCGGCGTGGTGGCAGGCGCCTATAATCCCAGCTACTCGGGAGGCTGAGGCAGGAGAATCATTTGAACCCAGGAGGCAGAGGTTGCAGTGAGCTGAGATTGTGCCACTGCACTGCAGCCTGGGCCACAAGAGCAAGACTCTGTCTCAAAAACAAAAGAAAAAAAAAGAAAAAAATAAATAGATAAAAAATAAAGTCTAGTGACTTCCTGTTGCTACAAAATAAAGCCCAAATCCATTAAAATGGCTCACAAGGTATGATGTTTTGGCCCTTTCTTACTTATGGCGCCTAATGTTGAAGAATCTGGCTGGTGTGTATCATCCAACAAGACTTCCGTGGGTGGGTGGTAGGCAGAGGACAGATAATACCAGAATTGCAAGAGGAAGGTGACAGCAAAGGGCTAATTCTCCCCACTCATGGTGGCCACCAACAATCTGGTAAAGTCCAGAACTGGGAAGAACCACTCTGTGCTCAACCCTTTGATACAGTTTGGCTCTGTGTCCCTACCCAAATCTCATGTCGAATTGTAATTCCCAGTGTTGGAAGTGGGGTCTGGTGGGAAGGGATTGGATCATGGGGGTGGTTTCAATGTTTAAGCACCATCCCTCGAGTGCTGTCCCGTGACAGTGTTCTCATGAGATCCGGGTGTTTGAAAGTGTGTAGCACCTCTCCCTTCACACTCTTTCTCTTTCTTGCTCTGGCCATGTGAACATGTGTCTTCTTCCCCTTCACCTCCTGCCATGATTCTAAGTTTCCTGAGGCCTCCCCAGCCATGCTTCCCATACAGCCTTTGGAACCGTGAACCACTTAAACCTCTTTTCTTTATAAATTACCCAGTCTCAGGTAGTTTATTACAGCAATGTGAGAACAGACTAATACACCCTGGGACAAACAACAGGCTAAGACAGAAAGTAAAGCTACCCAGGCATTAGTAGGATCTCTAAGTGAAACGGGAAAAGAGGGGTGTTCCTGGGGTCAAGAAGAGTAATTTTTGGTATGGCCACCATACAAATGTGAAAACATCTGGTTATTCATACGTGAAACTAAGGGAAGAAAAACTTAGATGCAAACTATGACACATGTATCAAAATAGTCGATTCACCAGAAAAGGACAATTTGGTCAATGTCATAAACTAAATTTTAATTCTAGCCTTTAAAAAAAGTTTATTTGACACTCAGAATACATAGTCTGTATGCATATATCAAAAAAATGGTATCAAAAACATATAAGTATGCACAGAGTTCTGATTTATAAAATTTATAACTTATCTACACAATTGTACTACAAGAACTCTTCAGCAGAATGTAAATATTATTTCTAACATTGACACTTTATAAAAGTCACACCCAGGCAAAAGCTGATTTATTATCAATCCATACTTAGTAAATCAGCACACAGAATGTTCTTGTAAAAATACATATAATGGACCATACGTGGTAGCTCACGGCTATAATCCCAGCACTTTGGGAGGCTGACATGGGTGGATCACAATGTCAGTAGTTCAAGACCAGCCTGGCCAATATGGTGAAACCCTGTCTCTACTAAAAATACAAAAAAATTTAGCTGGGCGTGGTGGCGGGTGCCTATAGTCCCATCTACTCAGGAGGCTGAGGCAGGAGAATCATTTATACCCGGGAGGTGGAGGTTGCAGTAAGCTGAGATTGCACCACTGCACTCCATCCTGGGCGACAGAGCAAGATGTCATCTCAAAAAAAAACAAAACAAAACAAAAAATACATATAATGAACTTAAGTATTAGTGATTTCCACTATTCATCATTTCACATCATGGTTCATACTCCTTTCAAGATAAAAATTACTTAATATGTAATATATTGTGATAATGTAGATGCTTTTTGCTTCTCAAAACACCAATTAGTAATTAGAGCTTGTCCTTTCTTAAACAGAGCGCTATCAAAACAAATTAAACCTTTTAATAATAATAATTTTAGTATTTACAATTTAAAATAAAAGGATCTCAATAGAATAGTAATATTAATTAAACAACAAACATTCATTATCCAAGTAGGCTAAAGAAAAATTTCTAGTACAAAAAGGATTACAACAAAAGAAAATGTTGCCAGGCTATCTGCTGTTTATAATGAGTGTCGAGAATTCTGCTTTGCCAACAAGCATAAGACTAATTACTTCTAATGTTCTTAAGATGCAGTCACATGCAGAGATAACTATCTAAGAAGTGTGAGATAAAATGCCTGGAACTCCAGCTATTTTAAATTGAATAAGAAAGGAGCACCCTGTATAGTAACAGCAAAAAGACTACAAAGAATTAAACAAAAATGAAGATCTCCACGAAATGACAAAGGATGATTTCCAGGATACAAAGTTAAGTTAAAAAAAAAAAAAAAAAAAAAAGCAAAGTGCAGAACAGTGAACTTTGTACTTTTTTTGTACAAGAAGGAAAAATATGTATTTTCTTTTGCCAAAAAAATAAATCAGGAACAATGAAAATGTTTATCAATAGAGAATGAGTGAAAAGTGAGCTTTCTGAGTATATTTCATAGAACTAACATGATAGTCAAAAAGTAAAATTAATAAGGGAGGAAAAAACCAAACTATAATAGAATACAAACAGATACAAATGAACTAAAATATGTATCAAGCTGGTAACAGAAAAAAATTAATGCTAGCACTTTTAACCAAAAGACCTTGACTGTAGAGCCGTGGTGAGATATATACTGAAGATGAAAGGAGTGTGGAGGGCTGAGCATGGTGGCTCATACCCGTAATCTCAGCACTTTGGGAGGTCCAGCCAGAGGATCGCTTGAGCCCAGGAGTTTCAGACAGCCTGGCCAACACAAGGAGACCCCATCTCTACTAAAAATTAAAAAAAATCAGTCAGGCCTGGTGGCATGTGCCTATAGTCCAGCTACTTGGGAGGCTGAGGTGGGAGGATTGCTTGAGCCCAGTAGGTCAAGGCTACAGTAAGCCATAATCTTGCCACTGCACTCCAACCTGGGTGACAGAGTGAGGAAAAAAAAAAGTGCTGTGACATCTTAAACTACTGTTTAGTGATGGTCATAATACGACATCATAATTTTAAAAACATTTATATGTATATCATAGGGTAATGCAAATAAATATATTAATGGTATGGTGAATCATTAGGAACCAAGATTTTTACTGTAGGGTTAAAATACTGATGCAAAATACAAGAAGTTAAATTTTTTGAAAACAAATGCATGTGATCCAACGTGAATTGCTAGCCACCGGACAGGACTTACTTCTTGGCAATACTGCAGGATGCCTTCCTTGGTATCAATGCAGGTTTTGGTCCCTGATGGATCTGAATCCCACTTCCCATTCTGGACATTCATGTGCATGTTCAGTCTGCCACAGAACATGGCAATCTGGGGTTCAGCCAGCAGGCCAGCATTACCATCAGTGGGTACCTGAAAGAAGAAGCTTCAGTTAGTTATAGTATCCATAGCTCCAAGGCAGAGGCTTGGAGGAAGAACAGGGATAACTATCAAAAAGAGTTCTATTCTTGCTCATTCTCAATTAGGAATCAGCCCGGTCTTCAACACTCCTTTAGATTAAGTGTTATGTATGCTACAGATGTTCTTAGCCACCTATAAGGCAATGCTTTCTTTTATACTAAAACAGAGAAGGAAATTACCAATACCGAAAGGAATTTATTCATGAAAAATTTACACGTTTTCCCATATGAGATTTTGTGGTACCTGCTGAAAGGTTCTGACAACAAAATTACACGTTTTCCTATAATAAATATAATCACTGTGGAGGCTACCGCATTCTTATAATAAACTCCACTGACTCACACAGAGCATGATGCCTGCCAGGCCCTGCCTGATGACCAAGACTGAAAATAATATTTGTGCCACCTCTCAGCACTGAGAGCAAGTATGGCGTTGGTAGTTAGCAAGTGACTGTATTATGATTTTGAACAGAAAAATTCACTGTAGAATTCACCATCCACAAATATAACTGAGTATGTTGGCGATCCCTCCTGGTTTCCCCCAGAATATTCTCTGGTTATCAGTCTCAACTCTTAACAAGTCTGTTAAGAGTGCTGGTGTCTCCTCTCCCAACCATCTGCAAGGAGCCAACATTTTCTCATTTGGAGCTCTACATAGTGCCTGCTGGGTAGTAAGTAAGGGGTCCTAGCTATTACCATTGCAGGCAATAGACCACTTCACAAAATAACTTCATGAAAAAGGGTGCCTTCTGTATTTTCAAACTCTTCTGTGTACAGGCATTACCTTTACAAAAATATTTTTAAAAGAGAAAATGGAAGTCCTGAAATATCTATACCGTGTCACTTAACAGGTTCTGGTATCTCAAAAAGAAAAAAAAATTCAGCAAGAAATGAAAAATATATCCACAGGAGTAAAGGTGTTATTAAACCAATCAATTAGAAGGCATATTAATCATGATAGGCCCTCCCTTGTCAAATCCAGCTGCTGGGGAAATGTGAGACACCCATGCCAAGAAGAATTAACTTCCAGCAGAAGCCATTCGTTCACACACTCAAGAACTGGGTGATTCCACGATAACTTGTATCATTCCTAAAAACTGTCCACAGGAGGAAAAACACCAACTAAAATTGCACTGAGAAATTTTCAGTTAAAGAAATGAAACAGTTTCCAAACATTTCTTCCCACATAAATGTAAAATAAGATACCTCTGGCCATTTTAGTCATTTTTACACATACTTCGTCAAAACCCAACAGAGGACTTAGGTCCTTACAACAAAAAAACAAAACAGGTCTTAGATTGAACCAAGTCATGAGTGCAAAAGCTGCTGGCAAAATCTCTAGAGCCATGTTTTCAAGTAACTTTTCCAATATTTAACGAAATTCTGCCTTTACATTGCCAGATGGTTAAGTCAAAGCAGCCGATGCCAAAATATCCAGATCATCTGCAGAAATAGCTAGAACCCCTCAACTCCATCTGAGCCCCTTGCCACTTCCTGTGACTTCCATGAAACTGGGGGGTCTCATTCTCTGACAGATGCAAAGCAGCAGGCTAAGTAGAATGCTCTATAAATTTAAATTTCACAGCTTTCCTGAGGGATTAAGAGGAAATTCATTGTCTTGATCTTAGAAATCGAAATGCAAATGTTGTCAATCTTACTGAAATAAGTAGTATAGATAATAACACTGCAAAAACATTAAAGAAAGTCAAATAATAATCAGATACCTGTGGATAAGGCCCTACATCAGATGCTATGGAGGGCCCTGCCCGTAAGGAATGTACAATCCACTAATGGAATCGCCATTGTTCCCACAGTACTTTATTCTGTTCACCTTCCGAATTCATTCCTGTCCCAAAGATTTCCAGTCTTGGCAGCATGTTGTTAACTGTACGGAGACACTAATGAGCCTTTACCATAGCTGGTAAATATTCTGTTGAAACAGTCTCCTCCTCTGCCTCAAACTCTCTCTGTACTTTTGTTTATCCACAATCTGTTCATTACAATGTCTAAGGAAAGCGTTCTACCTTCTTGTCAATACAAATGCACTTGATTCCATTTCCTCCCCGCAAGGAGAGGAAATTGACAATTTCTCTCCCCAGGGTAGCCAGCCTCCAAGAAGGCCCCCAATAGTCCCTGCCTCCTGCTATTCATGGACCCTGGGAAACTCCACAATGTATCAGGGTCTGTCTGTGCAACAAATGGAGTACAGCAGAAGTGATGATGGTGTAACTTCCGAGCATGTATATATTAGACTTAAAGATGCTGCAACTCTTTTAAAAACAAACCCTTTGCTACCAGAAAGGTCACTGAAGGGCATGATGATGTGTAACATCCAAAACAAGGTCATGAAGGGCATCACAATTCTTCATTGCTCTCTGGGATCACTCACTGTGAGGGAGGTCATCAGCTGCCATGTTCTGAGACATTTGGTGCTAAAACCAGGAAAGTTTTTGGCAAAATACACTGGATCACCCTACCTGACAAACCAAGTAAATGCTTCATTTTTTTTTCCTCTTTTGACTTAACTTCCTTTGATTTCTTCTATTTTTCACTTTGTCATCCTCCCTGCTTCTTGACTTTACAGCTATTTTAATGTCATCTGTTGGCATATGTGTGTATGCTGACTATCAAAAAGTGGTAATTTTTTAAACATTTTTTTCAAATAAATTTATTATGACCCTATAATTGTCTCATGTTCTTGCCATTTTTTAATGCCATCTGTTGGCATATGTGTGTATGTTGACTACCAAAAAGTGGTAATTTTTAAAACATTTTTTTCAAATAACTTGATTACGGCGCTATAACTGTCTCATGTTGTCTTCATTTTAACAATGAGAGTTTAGACTAGAAAATATATGCTTCAGTTCCTGTCAGGTTTTCCACCAGATGAGATTTAATATTAACTTTAAAAATAAATGTTTGGAGAATCGTGATGATTAACATGCTCTATTTTCTTCAAGTGGAGATCATTTAATAATTTAAACTGCGAATCCTCAATAATAGGGTAAGCTGTTGAATTAGAAATTGTAAAATTGGTTGTGTGTATAGATCTTCTTACATTTGACATTACAAGAGGCCCTTCACAAATAAATATCAACTCACAAAAGCCATGTTTCTCAAGTAAAATTTTTTCCCCCCGAACCAACACCAGATGTGTATATGGAAATCAGAGCAATTAGCTTGGAGATACAAATTGAACCAGAAACCTTCCTATTCTTACTGAAGCC